>NC_000004.12:104546381-105171381 GCF_000001405.40 Homo sapiens | reverse complement strand
AGAAAAATAAAGAACGATTTGCACTTCATTTCCTTAGCATGGAGTAGAGCATTAATCATTATCATTTTTTCATGCCACTAAATCTTTGCAATGATAATTCTTTAATAGTATTGGTCTACATCCACTAGATAAACATTATAGGCTTATAATGTGCCAGGCACTGTGCTAGACACTGGAGATAACACTTTGAATAAAACAGAAATGGAACTCCCATCATGGAGCTCAGAAATAACACTGAAATGCTCCTGGATTTTGAGCCAGCAATAACAGCAGGAAGAAAACTGCACTCAAAACACTATGAATTTATTTCCGCCATTTAAAAAAAAAGAATGAAGAAGGTATTTCAAATCCAGAAAAGATATTTTCTCATCATGATAGCAGATGTTAAAGATATTGGAAACAGTGCAATTTCTCCTAGTGTAGAAGGAGGAGGAAGTTGGTAGACACACAGCTGAAATAAAGGAAGCAGAAGGAAGAACACAGGCAGTGCTCATCTTGCAGGAGGCTTGAGCACCCTAAGTCTATTTATAAATCAGTTGTTCAAAACTAACAAGTAGTGTCGCACATCATGTTTATATTTTGAGGTAGCCGCAACAGCCTTTTAAATGCACAATGTAATTGAAACACTAGCATCGGAAAAGAGTACAGTTGCCAATATAAATGGTATTTTAGTGACCAATGTTTCCTCGGCTCCAGAAGCTCCTGGAAGATTGTCTCAGCTATTCCTCATGGATCCAAAAGCCTAATTTCACCTATAAATAATCAATGGATATTTTATCTATCTTCAATTTCCAATGAGGATAAATCAGCAGAGAAAAGACAACACTGGCAGCCTTAAAGAGAAAAGCAGTAAAAATAAGATTATTTCATTGCCATTTTTTTAAAGAGATGGGTTCTCACTGTGTTGACCAGGCTACAATGCAGCAGCTATTCACAGGCACAATCATAGTGCACTACAACCCCAAACTTTTGAGACTCAGGCAATCTTCCTGCCTCAGCCTTCAGAGTAGCTGGGACTATAGTCATTGCCATTTTAGAAACCATTTTCATTCACTGCAACTTTCACCAAATATTTATTGAGTGCTCACCATGTGCTAGCCACTGTTTGGTATGCTGACAATACATGTCAGTGACCCAAACAATGTTCCTCATCTCATAGAACTCACATCTACTGGAGAAAGCAGACAATAAAAATTGTTTAAGAAAAGCAGAAACACTTTGCCAAGGGTTGATAAACTATGCAATTCCCATCAAAATACCACCATCATTCTTCACAGAATTAGGAAAAACAATTTTAAAATTCATATGAAAACAAAAAAGAACCCACAGAGCCAAAGCAAAACTAAGCACAAAGAACAAATTGGGCAGAATCACATTACCTGACTTTATACTAGAAGGCCATAGACACCAAAACAGCATGGTACTGGTATAAAAATAGGTACAGAGACCAATGGGGGGATAGAGAACCAAGAAAGAAACCCACATACTTACAGCCAACTGACCTTTGACAAAGCAAACAAAAACATAAATTAGTAGGTAAAGGACACCCTATTCAACAAATGGTGCTGGGATAGCTGGTAAGCCACATATAGAAGAATGAAACTAGATCCTCATCTCTCACCTTATATAAAAATCAACTCAAGATGGATCAAAAACTTAAATCTACGTGCTGAAACTATAAAAATTCTAGAAGATAACATCAGAAAAACCCTTCTAGACATTGGCTTAGGTAAAGACTTCATGACCAAGAACCCAAAAGCAAATGCAACAAAAACAAAGATAAATAGGTGAGACTTAATTAAACAAAAGAGCCTCTGCACAGCAATAGGAACAGTCAGCAGCGTAAACAGACAACCCACAGAGTGGGAGAAAATCTTCACAATCTATGCATCCGGCAAAGGACTAATATCTAGAATCTACAAGGAACTCCAACAAATTAGCAAGGAAAAAAACAAACAATCCTATCAAAAAGTGGGCTAAGGACATGAATAGACAATTTTAAAAAGAAGATATACAAATGACCAACAAACATATGAGAAAATGTTCAATATCACTAATGATCAGGGAAATGCAAATCAAAACCACAATGCAATACTTTACTCCTGCAAGAACGGCAATAAAAAATCAAAAAATAGTAGACGTTGGCATGGATATGGTGAACAGAGAACACTTCTACACTGCTGGTGGGAATGTAAACTAGTACAGCCACTATGGAAAACAGTGTGGAGATTCCTTAAATAACTAAAAGTACAACTACCATTTGATCCAGCAATCCCACTACTGGGTATCTACCCAGAGGAAAAAAGTCATTATATGAAAAAGATACTTGCACACACATTTATAGCAGCACAATTTGCAATTGCAAAAATGTGGAACCAACCCAAATGCTCGTCAATCGGTGAGTAGTTAAAGAAACTGTGGTATATTTATAAGATGGAATACTACTCAGCCATAAAAAGGAATGAATTAATGGCATTTGCAGTGACCTGGATAAGACTGGAGACTATTATTCTAAGTGAAGTAACTCAGGGATGGAAAACCAAACATCATATGTTCTCACTCATAAGTGGGAGCTACGCTATGAGGATGCAAAGGCATAAGAATGACACAATGGACTCTAGGGACTCAGGGGAAAAGGGTGGGAAGGGGGTGAGGAATAAAAGACTACGAATAGGGTGAAGTGTATACTGCTCGGGTGATAGGTGCACCAAGATCTCACAAATCACCACTAAAGAACTTACCCATGTAACCAAATACCACCTGTTCCCCAATAACCTATGGGAATAAAAAAATAAAATTTTAAAAAAAAAGAGAGAAAATAAAGCAAGGTCAATAGTCAGAGTTCTGTTAGATAGAATGGTTAGGGAATTTATCTCTGAAAAAGTAACACTCAAGGAGAGATTAGAAGGAAAGATAGAAACAATACCTGTGGCTCTCTGAAGGAAGGGTGCTCCAGGAAGAGGGAACAGCAAGTGCAAAGGCCTGGAGGAAAAAGGATGCTCTTCTTGTTGCCAGGACAGCAAGAAAACCAAGGAAATTAGAATAGAATGAGGGAGAATAGTGGCAAGAAATGGAATCAGAAACACAAATAGCAGCCAATTCACTTGAGGACTGGTGGGTCATGAAAAGGGCTTTGGCTTATATTCTGAGTGAAACAGAGACCCATTAATGGTTTTAAGCAGAGGAGAGGCATGACCTGACTTAATTTTTAAATGATCACTTGAATTTTTGTTTGGGTAAAAACCCACGGTGAGGTAAGAAGGGGGAGCAAAGCTAGAAACAGGGAAACCCATGACAGGGAAACTGCACTTTTCAAAGTAACACATGAAGGTGGTTTGAATGGAGATGGAAATTGGTGAAATGGTGTGAAGTAGTCAGATCCTGAATATACTTTACAGGTAGAGTCAACAGAACATGTTGGAGGATCAGTTATTCCTTTTCTCTCTGTTGTTTCTAGTGTTTCCTTCATTCCTTAAAGCTAGGCAAGATTACGTCCTTACGGGTTTCACATTTATTTTTAAAGACTGTTAAGCAGTGGGAAATGATGACATTTAAGTTTTATCTCCTTTTCTATTACCTGTTATTGAACAGCAAGATAGGTAAAAGATATGAAGACAACCAAAGAATCTCCAAGGGCCCAGAAATGAAAATAGTTACACCTTAGATCTGTACAGGATGAACTGCTACTGCTAGGACTATTAGCACAGTCACTGACTATGCCTGGGCACTGTAATACTAAAGCATTATTATTGAGGGCTTAATAAACAACCATACACACCAAGTTCTGAAAATTAGTCAGTCATGAACTCTAGCACTGTTATTTTTAAAAGGGGAGCAAATAAAGTACAGTGAAACTATTATATACATATTTTTTCTTTGTACATATACATGTATATAGATATACTACATGTGTATATACATACATACACACATATACTACATGTACATATACTACATATACATGTATATGTAGCATATGTGTACACATATACACGCATATGTATATGTGTACACATATACGCACTTTTCTTAAGTTTAGTTGTATTGTTTTTAGATATAGTTAGGTAAAATTTAATTTTCTTTGTTTGCCTAATTTTCCCACAAAATTTAATACATTTTATATGATTTGAGCCACGAAATAGGCTACCATTAAAAAGAATCAATCAGAGAATAGAAAATGGACTTCTTGGAAATTAAATTTCAATTAACAAAAATATCAAAAGTTGAGAAAATAAAATATACAGAGATAAACAGATGAAAAATATGTGATGGAATTTAATAAATAAGAAAAATCAGTTCACAAGTTCTAATGCACCATTAACATGAGTTTCATAAAGATAGGGTGAAAAAAAGAAGGAAGAAATAATCAAAGGTACAATGGAAGAAAAGTACCTTAAGCTAAATAAAGGCAGTTGTTTCCAGATTGTACAGAATCATCAAGTGCTGAGAAGAATACATTTTAACAGAGCCATATCTGGAGGAATTTCAGAAGTGAAAAGATAAAGATCCTAATAAACATATGAATAGGGAAAAAAGTTATCTAAAAAAGACAGAATCAGACTGGCATCAGATATCTATCTCATAAGCAATCCTAGATGAAGGGTAACAACGTACCAATGTTTCCCAAGCTCTGAGAGAAAATTACTTTGAATTTATGGTTCTAATCACAATAATTTATGAATGTACTATAAGGAAAAATATAAGGCATTTTGGACATGTAAAGACTCAGCACAATATTTGTAAAAACCCCTGTTTTTTTTTCTTTTTTTTTCTGTAAGAAGAAAAACAGTAGTAAAAAGAAAAATAATAATCAAATACAAAGACATGAGACTAAAGCAATAATAGACATAGCCAGGAGAAAAATGAGAAGAAACTCTAAATTAGAACAGAAAAATCAGACTTCAAGAAGAAAGTGTATTTCATTCATCAAATGGTATAATTAAGAAATCTGAAAAAAAATTGTGATATGATGAAAATGTTTCTTCTGTCAACAAGAATAAAAAAATGCAATTAAAATTTTCAAGAAAAATTGAATGCTTACAGGAAAATCTAAGTCCAAATGTGAAAGAAACAAAAATGTGGCATAATTTTGAGGAACTGAAAGAATTTAGCAAAAGGGAATCCATTTTACCCTAATGCTTAAAGTAGCATCCTTAGAACAAGCTAAATTTTAGTGTCACAGGATCACTTTTTCCTTTTCTACATGTTCAACCATACTGCTAGGTGTTACAGTGAATTTTATTTATTACAATCATGGCATTGTAAGTGATGTGTTTTCTTTTTCAATTAGCACTGAGAAATGAAGCACAAGAGAATTAACTATAGATGCAAACCAGAATATAAATATTATAAATTTAGCAATAAGAAGTAATGATATGGAATACAGGAGTTGACAGAAGGCAGGAAAAGAAAAGTAGCTGGAATTGAAGAATATTAACTTTCACATCTTACATAGTAGAGACTCAGAAAGGTATGGTCTGACACTGATAAACAATTTTTTAAAGCAATGCATTATTGTGGGTAAGAATAATAAAGGCATACTTAAGATTGTAGTATTTAAAATAGTTTTGTTACCATGCTCCTATACATTTTGAAAAGTCACTGTGGAAACTAAGCAACCAATCAAACATTTCATTTTGTGTTCTGTATTTCCCTAAATGCAGACTTAGAAAGGTACTCAAGAGTATCCCAACTTATACATGGCAATAATCATCAGTAAGTGTTATTGAGGGTCTGCTATTCATTTGCTTGCGTGATAATTGTTGTGGGAAATTCAATAGATATACATGATATGATCCTAGTTCTCAAAGAAACTTCAATTTCAATGAAAGCAGTTTCTGACACATAAATAATGTATTTTTAAACCGTTAACTATTTTGAGACACTCAAAAACATCTTTCACATGGGCCTAAAATTTCATGACACTGCCATGTAAGGAATTTCCACTCTCACAGGAAGCTCCTGATTAGCACACCAAGACAATTATTTTTTATTTTTATTTTTTGGGAGACGAAGTCTCCCTCTGTCACCCAGGCTGGAGTGCAATGGCACGATCTCAGCTCACTGCAACCTCTGCCTCCTGGGTTCAAGTGATTCTCGTGCCTCAGTCTCCTGAGTGGCTGGAATTACAGGCGCCCACCACCACGCCTGGCTAATTTTTGTATTTTTTGGTACAGACGGGGTTTCTCTACGTTGGCCAGGTTGGTTTCAAACTCCTGACCTCAGGTGATCTGCCCGCCTCGGCCTCCCAAAGTGCTGGAATTACAGGTCTGAGCCACCACACCCGGCTATCATCTATCTTTAAGCAAGGTATGCCAAAATGTTGTCTCTTCTTCCTGAAAATATGATACAAAATAGAGGAAAAACAGTAATATCTATAGTCCTTAGTACTTTTTAAATCATGCCTGCTATCATTTAATATTTCTATGGACAAATTTGTATCTTTTCATTGTATCTAATAAAGACAATAAAGGATGATCATGAAAGGATGGTACTATGAGCTCATAATATATATCTTGATTGAAACAATAAAAGGGATGGAAGTAATCCTTCATCTCTTCCCCCTTGAGCCAATCTTCAGAGGCTGTGCTGTTACACTTGTGCAATCTCCCTGTCAGGTCCCAATACTGAGAAAGCTATGCCAACTCTGGCGCCTATTCAGGCAACTGGGAATTCACACCTTTTGAGCAGAGGCTGGAAGCATCCTGGGAAATTCCTCAACTGACCAGTCTATGAGTCCTATAATTTTCATCTCATTATGCTTTAAAAAAAGATCAAAGCATTGATTATTTCCTATGAGCCTGTATATTCCAGAAGGGTAAAGATGATGGCTCTCTTCTTGCCTGATACATAGATGCTCAACACATGCTTGAAGAATAAACAAATATTTATTCAATCACTACAATTTTGCCAAGTAACATGCTGGATGTTTTATTTATGTTACTTCATCTGATCCTCTCAGTAATCCATGAGATAAGAATTATTAGTTGTTCTCATTTTACAGGTAGAGAAGCAGATTCACAAATGCTAAGGCAACCTGAATATGACATACACAGCTAATAAAAAGGAAAGTCAGGATGCTAAATTAGATCTTCCTATTGCATGATCTCACTTATATGTGGAATCTAAAGAAGTCGAACTCATAAACGCAGAGAGTAACATGGTGGTTGCCATGGGCTGGGTAGTAGGGGAAATAGGTTTGTCAAAGGATACACAGTTTCAGTTATGCCAGATGAATATTTAATACATTCTGGAGATCTAATGTACAGCATGGTGACTACAGTTAGTACTGTATGGTATCCTTGACTACATTTGAGTAGCTCTTAAGTGTTCTCACCGTAAACACAAAAAATGACTGAGAGGTGATGGACATGTGAATTAGCCTGATAGTAATAATCACTTCACAATGTATATTAAAACATCACACTGTATCTCTTAAATGTGTACAGTTTTGTGGACTGTTTACTTGTCAATTATACCTCAACAAAGCTGGAACACACACACACACACACACACACACACACACACTCTCTCTCTCTCTCTCTCTCTCTCTCTCTCTCTCTCTCTCTCTCTCTCGAAACTTTCGAGCTCCAAACACCAGACTGCTTGTTGGCATCCAACTGTTTAAGAGTTGATTTACATTGATTACGAACAAAGAGACAATGGAGATTTGCAAATAGGGAGATGATGCCAAAGATAATTCAAAATTTATAGGGAAGTTATTTAACCCCATGTCTTGGTTTCTTCCTTAGTAAAGTGAGGAGAGTAATAGCACCAACAAAAATATAGATGACATAAGAATTAGATAATCTTTGGAAAGTGCTTAGCATGGTACTTAACCCAACATAAGAACTTAATCAATAGTAGCTATTATTAGAAATATACATAGCTTGTTACGCTATTTGAGGCAACTGACTTTACTTTCCCATGCCTCCATTTTCTCATCTGTAAATGCAAGGAATGGGGTTACTGAGTCTCTAAAGTCCTTTCAGCTTGTAGCAATCCATGATTCTATGTTTGAAAATAAACTATGTTTTTGATGAAGTGTTTATTGAAATACTGGAGTGAAAGTGGTGGCAATCCAGGTGGCAATGTCTTATAAGCAGTTAGAAACAGCTCTAGTTTACAAATCTAGATCTAAAATATAAAAATATATTCAAACACACACATACATACACAGAATTAAATCTATAATTCAGGGAAAAAGATGAAAAGCTCAAAAAAGGTAGATTAAAAAGTCTGATAATTTGTTACAAGTAGGAAAAAGTTTAAAATACATATTTAAAATGTTCATAATTTGTGACAGAAAATTTATTCTTCACTGAAAAATTTATAGTCTCCTGATTTTTACTTTTTTTTCTCATCCTTTTAGGCAATTATCCATGCTAAGCACAGCTGCTGGTGTTTAGTTCAATAAATACCACTAGTTTATCATTGCATATTTCCCAAAATTACTTCTCACCTTTTCTTTCTCTTTATCATTAATCTATCACACAAAAGGGGATTTTCTCCCCGTATTATTGCAGATATAGGCTCTTCAATAGAATCCTAATGTTAAGCAAAATAGTTCTATACAAACAGTGATTTTGGGAAGTATTTCTATATGTAATAGGAATGGCATGTTTTCAAAAATAAAATGTAAATAATAAACACTTAAAAAAAAGAAAATGCAGCTCTTGCTCCAACTGTTTCTATGAAGGCATGCAGCAACATTATTAGAGATGGTTAAGTTACTACACTAGCTTCTAAAAGAGTTTGAGTCAGCTTGGTTATGAAAGAGAGTAACACTCCTCAGGGCTTGTCACCTTCAGTTCTTGAATACTAAAGTGCCTACTTGCTTGTCAGGGTTAAAAGCTACTATTTTAAGTTCAAAGTGAAAAGCTCCTTTCAGGTGATAATGATAGTTTAAAATAAACAGTGTGGGGCAGGGAAAAGCCTCCTTTAGGCATCTACCATGTTTCCCCTGCAGTCAGGCCAGTGCTTTCTTATTCTGTATCAGTATTCATGATCCAGGTCATTAAACAGTTAGTAAGATAGACACCACTCTTTCTCCCTGTATCCCACTGATAAACAACTGCAGGCTTCAGAATTCTGGAGCTGTGTGTAAATATGAAAGCTCCATGTGTTTGACCATGTGGGAAGGCATTAGGGTAACCTGGGACTCCTATGCAAGAGAGAACTCCCTTGCACGAATGTTATCATCACCAAGCAAGCTGTTTGTTTTGTGTGTGTGTTTGGTGCCTCAGCTGTCTTCTACAGGAACCATATAAAAACAGTTTATACAAAAGACCCCAAGGATTCTGTGCACTTTCAACATATTAGGGAAAATGCAAGATATCAGTATTTTTTCATTTTATATTTATAGACAGAAACTTTTACTATAGTCTATTTAACCATTTCTACCAAAGAGGATTCAGCTTAAATATGAAAAGTTCAAAACACATACACACCACATACACACACTTAGTAGTAACTGAAAAAAGACGAACAGCCTAAAATTTCCACATTGCTCCTTGGTATGCATCAGATTCAATCTACCATTCTGATATTTTATAATACACAGACAACTGTCACTCAGTCTCATCTTTATGAAGACAGCCTATGCATTGAATAAGTCAATGTTTATTGCATGCTTGCCCCTTCAAGTGAAACTACAGTACAGCCAAATGAAAGTTCTATTTGAATCCCTTTTTTAGTAGAAATTAACTTATAGCCTTAATCAAATTCTGAGCACTTGCAGCTTATATCCATATATGATTTACTGTGAAACAAAGGTCCGAGAAAGAGGGAAAATATTAATATTCTAATATAAGATAGGATGATTTTTGTTAAAGCTCGAGAGTGTTCAGTAATGGCTCTGCTCTGTGCAGGAAAAGTATACTCATAAGTAATTTCACCCAAGCTTTTACTATTTAGGCCGAGGATAATTGAGAGAAATACATCATTTATAGTCCGACACTAAAAAAGCAAGTAGATAAATCACGCAAATAAGAACTTTTAAAAATCTACAACCTACTCTCATCGCATCTTAATTCAGTGTATCAGAAATGTACAATAAATTATAAGTAATAAACACTAAAGAAGTAATATCTTTTCATATCCAGAAGGCTGCTTTTGCTCTGCAACAGAATGAAAAAATATCTATCCTTAGATTTTATTGTTAGTTAAATAAGTCACTCTTTTGGTAATTTCCTCTAAATGAGAACAGCTTTAGATGTTAAATGGCTAAAACCTGAGTTTCTATATGTGAATAATAGATTCGGTCAGATAATATTTAAATTATTCCAGATATAAAGTTCTCTTATACCAAGTATTACTTAAAGAAAAACACCTGTAATCCCAGCACTTTGGGAGGCTGAGGCGAGTGGATCACCAGGTCAGGAGTTCAAAACCAGCCTGACCAAGATGGTAAAACCCCGCCTCTACTAAAAATACAAAAATTAGCCGGGCGTGGTGGCGAGTGCCTGTAATCCCAGCTACTCCGAAGCCTGAGGCAGAGAATTGCTGGAACCCAGGAGGCGGAGGTTGCGGTGAGCCCAGATCGCTCCGCTTCACTCCAGCCTGGGCGACAGAGGGAGACTCTGTCAAAAACAAACAAACAAACAAACCAACAAACCAAAAAACCCCCAAAAAACAGATTTGGTGCTTGGTTTAGCTCTTGGGAAAAGATCCTTTATTTTAAAAAATACATATTTCACTTATAGTATTACATTTCAGAGACTCTGATTTTTCCTATCTTTAGAAAGGTAGTGTAATTACAAAAACACAGTCTATGAAAGAAGCAGTCAAATGAGCTAACTTTTCAATTACTATAAATTTCATCTTTGATGATCTAATTACAATTCTTTGTTAGGCAAGAAGGCTTCTATTTTGGATGATAAATGATGACATCCATCTCAAATGATCCTTAGATGCAATACAAAAAGAACTCAAATTCTGTTCATATTTTAAATATTCAAACCAGTCTGCTTACAGCTAATACATAGCACCAGTATACATATACCAAATATACGTGGTTAGACATTTAAATTTTTGATGCCTTTTTTTTTATTTCAACTTGCTTTGTATTGATAAAAATAAATGAAAAGCTCTAAAAATCAATTTGGGATAGGAGGCACATTCCCTAAATATAGAGACTTAAAGCTTTGTTGTTGTTGTTTTAGCTCTAGGTCTTGGTATGAAATTAAAAATGAGAGAAGGTTGAGAGAATTTACAGAGGATGGGGAAAGGGGAGAGGCAGGTATAATGGTATACTAAGGAGCATGATTAACCAAGAGTTTTCTTGAGTGTTTTCTGGTCAGACCGTTTAGTTTGGGAAGTCAATCATGAATTCTCTTGCTTTTTAAGATGCATACAAATATCAAGATTTTTTTTTTTTCTGAGACGGAGTCTCGTTCTGTCGCCAGGCTGGAGTGCAGTGGCGCGATCTCGGCTCACTGCAACCTCCGCCTCCCGGGGTCAAGCGATTCTCCTGCCACAGTCTCCCAAGTAGCTGGGATTACAGGCGCCCGCCACCACGCCCAGCTAATTTTTGTATTTTTAGCAGAGACGGGTTTTCACCGTGTTGGCCAGGATGATCTCGATCTCTTGCCACCCGCCTTGGCCTCCCAAAATGCCGGGATTACAGGCGTGAGCCATCCTGGCCAAGATGTAATTTTTTAAAGGCATTTTGTGAGGCTGGGAGGCAGGTATGCAAATCTCACGTAAATTACAAGAGCACTGTGAATTATAATCAGATCCAAAGCATCATCTGCTCATGTTTCCCCAAATCACAAAAATGGTTTGGCATGACTAGTTGTTTGCTGCAGGGCATAAAAAGATTAATCTTAGCTGGGCGCGGTGGCTCAAGCCTGTAATCCCAGCACTTTGGGGGGCCGAAGCAAGCGGATCACCTTAAGTCGGGAGTTCAACACCAGGCTGACCAACATGGAGAAACCCCGTCTGTACTAAAAATACAAAATTAGCCGGGCGTGGTGGCGCATGCCTATAATCCCAGCTACTTGGGTGTCTGAGGCTGGAGAATCGCTTGAACCGGTGAGGCGGAGGTTGCAGTGAGCCGAGATCGCGGCGCCACTGCACTCCAACCTTGGCAGCAAGAGCGAAACTCCGTCTCAAAAAAAAAAAAAAAAAAGAAAGAAAGAAAGAAAAAGATTAATCTTGTATTTAGGCACAGCTTTTGAGGCTTTGGTAGGAAAACCATGCGTTAGGGAATATCCTGACCTAAACACCTTGATCTTTGGTTCATGACCCTATCAGAGCCAGACAAGGGCTCCCGGACAATGAATTAAACTGTGTTGATTCCTCCGCCCACAGACACTCAAAGCTTACTCTCTCCACTGTTACATAAGAGTCTCTGGAATCCTAGGATGGTGTTTGTAAATACTGCTGCCACGTGCACGGTACCCACGTGTCAAATGTTGATGTGACCGCGTGTAACTGGAAGGAGAGAAAGCGTCTACAATTTCCAAAGAGAAGCCTACTATTTTTTGGCCCTAAAAATGAGCATACAGATGTCAAGGAATTATCACTAACTAAGGGTGATTTATTTGTCTTTTCTTTCTTTTTTTTTTTCCAAAAAAGAGGAAGAACTGTAATATTTTTTTCCTGTTGCATTTCTTGTAATCTAAATTAACTGCTCTACCTAATTCAATTTAGGATCAGTTTTACAATTTCAGCAATGCATTCTGAATGCACTTTCTACTTCCTCTATTTGCAGGACTTATTCCTGCTTGCTTATTTACTTCAGTGTAAACTGAGATATTATGGGAGATGAATTACATAAAAACCAGAGATATACACTAAGTAGGCAAATGATTTACAAAGTTATAATTTACACCCAATTAAATTACAACATGACCCATTCAGTATTCAATGGCTTTCCTTGGGTGAAGGAAAAAAAAGTAGCATTTTACCTCTCTTCCTATCTCGGATTTCACCTTCATCTACATTCATTATATCTTTTACAATGGGTTTGTGAACAGAAAACAAGTAAACTCCATTCCTTAAACACCTGAATTCTTACCAATACTGAGAAAAATTACAATGTCAATAACTAAGTTTTTAACCCCTAAATATAGTTTCCCAAAAACCCCGAGGATTAAGGCATGACTAATTATAACAATGCAAAAAAAATTAAAGAAAATCTGTCAGTAGTAAATTAAACTCATTGTATTTTTAAAAATATTCTGACTTCAACAAAACCCAAGAAGTGTCTTTAAAGTCACTTTAAAATGCCATACCCTAGATTTCCCATGCTCTTGAAAAATGTTGGTAAAAATGTTTTAAAATTACAATATATGTTTAAAAAATTAGTTGATGTCCATAAAATCTTATTTGAAATAAGAACCACATTTTTTAACAGTAAATAAGTTGTTTCAAAGTAAGTAAGTTGTAACAGTAAATAAGTTGGCCAGGCCGATGGCTCATGCCTGTAATCCCAGCACTTTAGGAAGCAGAAGGGGGTGGATCACTAGAGGTCAGGAGTTCGAGACCAGCCTAGCCTACATGGCGAAACGCTGTTTCTACTAAAAATGCAAAAATTAGCCAGGCATGGTGGCTGGTGCCTATAATCCCAGCTACTCGGGAGGCTGAGACAGGAGAATCGCTTGAACCCAGAAGGAGGAGGCTGCAGTGAGCCAAGATCATGCCACTGCACTCCAGCCTGGGCAAGAGAGTGAGACTCTACCAAAAAATAAAAAATAAAAATAAATAAAAATTTTTAGTTCCCACAGTTAGTAACCAAACGTCTTTTTCAAGTTTGCTTTTCAGTAGAAATACATAATTAAATCTTAGCCATTAATAAGGTGAGCCAACAGCAAAATGTCTATTAGCTTTGCTTTCTGCCAGTGTTTTTCCACAAGCGTAATGTGGCAGACAACTGCAAAATTAAAATACAACCTTGTTTTAAATTCAACTTATGTAGATAATATAACTTCACTGGAGAAAAAACCATTTCAGTGGCTAGATTGGAAGAAAGATAAAATCTATAAAACAAGGTTTAAAGTGTGTTTTTTCCTGCTAAAATGTATCTGTTTGTACTAAAATAATTATTTACTAAAATAAATAATTTATATGGTAAGAATCTTTAGTTGTGAGATTTTTTTTTCCTTCATTTTTGAAAGGTACCCATTTATGGTATTCTTCTTTTCATCAGTTACATTTGGTACATTAAAATAGGAATGTAAATGAATTAATATTTTAATAATTCACTTTTTAAGATGCTCATTCTGATTTGATGAACTATCAGACACTGTATTTGTAGAAATGGTTTTTTCTTCTGTTATAATGTATATAGGAGAGTGCACAGTAGAACAAACAAAAAAGCTAATAATCATCTGAATTAATTACAGGGTGCTCAAAGTGATCCTTTTAATGCAAATATAATGAAAAGTTATAAAAGAGCTGAGATAACTTTACAGCCAATGGCAAATATAAAAATTCTATAACTTCAAAGCAAGAGACTTCAAACAAAAGCAGGAAAAGTGCTAAAAGAACAAACAGGTTAAAAAAATTAATAAGACCAGGACAGTATGTTATGGATAGAATCTGGGTGTGGTCTCATTGTATTACTCTCACATTCTGGTGCTCTACTTCAGAGGCAGCACAACTAATAATTATGGTATTTAATGGGTGCCCTTCTTAGTGCAGACAGGTAAGAAAAACGGGAGGAATAACTCATATACCATGCTATGTTATCTGGCTTTCATTATCCCTATTGAAGCTTTTTTACTTTTTTTTATGCATCATCTATTTCAGGAGAAAATACTATAATAACCCATTTGAGAGATGGGTGAATGTTCTCATTAATGTATAACCTGGACATAGAAGCTAGATTTAACACTGCATCAAGAAAATAAGTGATTTGGTAAGGCAGGTTTTAGCAATGGCTAATGAGGCACGACAACTGTAATTAAAATTACCATTACTTTTACCCACCCACAGAACAAACTGTGACAAATCTCAAAATGTTAAAAGTAGCAAATTAAAAATATCAATACTCTGTATGGCATACCTAAATGTCAGACTGCCTGCATTTCTATGCCTGAACATAGGCAATTCCCTTTGAAGAGAGTAGTACATCAGCAAAAATTCACAGCCCATTTTTCTTCTTTTGAATATGGTGTACCTTCTGTATAAATTACTTATAAAAAGCAAAGCTAAAAATAAACAACAAATCAAAATGTTCCTAATATGCGAGAACAGATTTACATTTTTTGGAAGTGCATTAAAAAGCAAAGATGAAGTACTACACTCAAACTTGTGAACAACTTTTTTAAAATTATGGAGATACTAGTACAAAAATTTATAGTCAGCTGAGGTGGTTCACAAAGTTTTGAGAGAAACAAGAGAGAGTGAAGACAAGTAAGCTAGTCATTTCTCCAGTAAGGAGAACAGAACCTAAATTCTATCTTACTGCTTTCCATAACCATCACTACACCAACTTCTTAATGGGTCTAACATGAGCATCTATCTTGGGCTTGTCAAACATACTCAACAAACCTACAAGTAGATGCTATGATCATACTCTTAAAAAGTAAAATTCTATAGTTACTCATTGAACAAGTGATCATAACAATTATATAAAGCCAATATACTTCCTTATTGGGTACAATCACATGTGTACCTTAAATAAGTCTCTGAACCCTAAAGCTCAACCTTTCCAGATCAGTGAATTTTCTCCACTCCAGTTATCAGTCATGGTCCCAAGGTATGGGATCCAACCGGCTGCAACCCAGCATTCTCATGAGAATAAAAAGGGAGAGAAGCATTGCACAACAAGAATGTCTGGTATCTAGAATTACATAAGGTTAGAAATTCAAATACAATCAACCCCAAGTAATTCACCCTGTGTGTCCAAAACTACAAGTCATAGTTCCATAGGGACTAGTGTTAAAAATCTGCACTCATTTTACCTGTAAGTGGTTTGTAGAAGTTCTGCTGGTATTTGTAAATACTTGCAGCCATGTGTAGCAAAGATGGAGAGCCATCATCATTCTGACCCTGTTTCTCACTTTGTCCTGGCATTATGAAGACTGCTGCAAAGCAATTTCCTTTTCAACCTTATTTTACATCTTCAACATGCCACAGTATCAGTTAACAGGAAAAGAGTCACTTGTTTAAACCCTATGAGATACTTTGTCATTTTAACTTTAAAATCTGAAACATGACAAGTGGAGATATAAACAGTTAACAAACTCAAAGTTTTGAAGTTTATTCTCTGCCCTGCATTGCCCTTCTGTTTTCACATAGATAAGACATTAATAACCCCCCAAATCTAGTAATTTGTTATTATTTCTAGATTAAACTGCACTTTGTAGTAATTTAAACAAGAACAGCAATTTTTATAGTTTTTTTTTGAGAGAGAGGGTCTCATTTTGTCACCCAGGCTGAAGTGTGGGGGCACCAACATGGCTCACTGCAGCCTCAACTTCCCAGGCTCGAGCCATCCTCCCGCCTCAGCCCCACAAGTACCTGGAACTACAGGGATGTGCCACCACACCCAGCTAATTTGTGCATTTTTTGTAGGGATGGGGTTTTGCCATGTTGCCCAGGCTTGTCTCCAACTCCTGAGCTCAAGAGACCCACCCACTTCCGCCTCGCAAAGTGCTGGGATTACAGGTGTGAGCCACCGCACCCAGTCACATTCCTTTTAACACTTGGGTTACATCTCCTGAACTGAATGGCTAGGTAACTAAAGACATCTGAGAAAGTTTCTTGCACCTATACATTAAGCCCTCTTTACCAAGTCATATAACCTATCACTATCTATTGAATCTTCCCATATGAGCTCTAAAGGCTATTGTTATCACAAAACACAATGCCAACTTTTGAGTGATTAAGTATCCTTCTCATCTATAAGAGGATGTTGCCCAGACTAATCTCAAACTTCTGGTCTCCCGCCTTGGCCTCCCAAAGTGCCAGGATTACAGGCATAATAAAACTCCTTGATGCCATCTTCCTAGAAAGATATGCTTAGCCTCATTCAATCCAAATAGTTCCTGCATTTCTTTTGCATGAGATGTAAGACATTTTCTGACATAAAATAAACCAAATAACTCAACTACATTCATTTTTATAACAACAGCTTTTTGAAATATAATTCACATACAATAAATTCATCCTTTTAAAGCATATAATTCAGTGGGTTTCAGCATATTCAAAGAGTTGGGCAATCATTACTATCTAATTATAGAACATTTTCATCATCACCAAAAGAAATCTCATACTTATTAGGAGTCACCTCCCTCCCATCCCTAGCCCCTAGTAATAACTAGCCAACTTTCTGTCTCCTTAGATTTGCCTATTCTGGACGTTACTTAAAATTGAAAGCATATCATATGTGGCCTTTCTTGTGCCTCTCAGATTCACCTATGTGACAGCATTTATCAATAATCCATTCCTTTATACTACTTAATAATATTTCACTGTATGGATATACCACAATTTGTTTATTCACTCATGACATGATAGACATCTGGGTTGTTTCCATTTTTTACCATTATTAATAATGCTGTAATGAACATTTGGCTACAAGTTTTCATGTGAACAACTGTATGCATTTTAAATCTCCTTTTATGACTTTCTCTACATAGTCCACATTATACACTTTTACAGCTATCAATGATAATGATGAAGTATAATATAGTGATTAAAAGATTTGGCACTAGAGACAGACTGCTTAACTCAAATGCTGGCTAAGCCTAAGCCATGTATAGGCTGTATGAACTTAAGGAAGTTATTTAACCTCACTGGGCTTCAGTTTCCTCACTCATAAATAGGGATAAGAATAATACCTATCTCTAGGGTTGTGATGAGAATTAAATGACATCGACTTACACTGTCACAAAACAACTTAAAATATTTTTAACATAAAGGCCATTCTATCAAAAAAAGGACTTTTAAGAAAACAAAAACTTACATTCTGACACACATTTTAATATGGCATAACAGCACAATCACAAGATTGATAAATTGCTAAACTTTTGTGCTAAACTTCTCTGTTTTGAGAAAAAAAGGTTTAAAAATATGTGATCATGTGACTAAATGGTATAAAACAAAACACACACAAATGAGTACAAGTTAAACTGAGGACATCTGAATAAGATTAGTAGGCCACATCAATGTCAGTATCATGGTTGTGATATGATATTATAGTTTTGCATGTGATGTGATATGATATTATAGTTTTGCAAAGTGTTGCCACTGGGGGAAATTGAGCAAGTATACGTGGAATCTCTCTGTATTATTTCATACAATGGCATATGAATCTATAATTAACTCAAAAAATATTTCAATTAAAAATATATGATCCCATATAAGTTTACTAAAAACCATTCACTTTTGTGCTTAAAATGGGTGGCTTTTATAGGGCAATTGCCATAGCCTGTAGAAATTAAATGTAAGGAAAACACACCATTACTCCTACCATCATCACCATCACCAAGACACTTAACACTATTTTTCTCTTATACATTGAAAATAGATTAGACCAGGTGCAGTGGCTCATGCCTGTAATCCCAGCACTTTGGGAGACCCGGGCAGGCAGATCACCTGAGACCAGGAGTACGAGATCAGCCTGGCCAACATGGTGAAACCCTGTCTCTAATAAAAATAGAAAAATTAGCCAGGTGTGGTGGGGCACGCTCCTAGTCCCAGCTACTCTGGGGGCTGAGAAAGAGAATCACTTGAACCTGGAAGGCAGAGGTTGCAGTGAGCCGAGATCACACCACTGCACTCCAGCCTAGGTGACAGAGCAAGATACCGTCTCAAAAAAAAAAAAAAAAAGAAAGAAAGAAAGAAAGAAAAAGGAAAAGAAAATAGATTATACTTTTTTTTTCTAGTTAAATTGCATGGTTTTTCACTAGTTCTATATCATCCATTAAATATTGACTGAGAGGTCAACAGTAGGTTCTATTAGGGAATAGAAAGACATAGAAATCAGTGCCTACCTTCCAATAGACAAAAAAGAAATGTAATTTGAAAGAAACATTTGTAGTATTTTTAGTCAAACAACCAGTTCATTTTATATCCTAGACTGTCCTTCAAAAACACTTTATCCCAATTTATTCATCTCCTATTTATTATTATTATTTTTCTTTTTTTGAGGCAGAGTCTCTCTGCCTCGCCCAGGCTGGAGTGCAGCAGAGCCATCTCGGCTCACCGCAGCCTCTGCCTCCCGGGAGGGTTCAAGCAATTCTCCTGTATCAGCCTCCAGAATAGCTGAGACTACAGGCATGTGCCACCACACCCAGCTAATTTTGTATGTTTAGTGGAGATGGGGTTTCACCATGTTGGCCAGACTGGTCTCGAATTCCTGACGTCAGGTGATCCACCTGCCTCGGCCTCCCAAAGTGCTGGGATTATAGGTATGAGCCACCATGCCCAGGCTCAAGTGATTCTCGGGCCTCAGCCTCCTGAGTAGCTGGGATTACTGGTGTGTGCCACCATGCCCGGCTAATTTTTGTATTTTTAGTAGAGACAGGGTTTCACCATGTTGGCCAGGCTGGTCTCAAACTCCTGACCTCAGGTCATCCACCTGCCTTGTCGTCCCAAAGTGCTGGGATTACAGGCATGAGCCACCACAACCGGCCTCGTCTCTTACTTTAATTCTCAGTTTATTTGGAACATGATTTCAAGTCAGTTTAGAGGAACAACTTTCAGTGAGTATAAAGCATTGAGTTCTGAATTATTTTTATTTTTATTTTTATTGAATAGAGACAGGTATCTCACTATGTTGCCCAGGCTGGTCTAGAACTTCTGGCCTCAAGTGATCCTCCTGCCTTCCCCTCCCAGAATGAGCCACCACACCTGGCCTGAGTTCTGAATTCTTAAAACTGCAGGTAGGATGATATTATCACTGAATTTATTTTTACATATATTATATATTGAAAATATATATTATCTATATCTAATATATATTATATTGAAAATCCACCTACTATCTGTTTCTTCTTTTTGAAGTATGACACATTTAACTACATGTCATTACAAATGAAGAAAACATAAATCAAAGCTGATAGAATGTGCTTTTTTGTTTGTTTGGTTTTGTTGTTGTCGCTGTTTGAGATAGGGTCTCTCCCTCTTGCCTGGGCTGGAGCGCAGTGGTGTGATCAGAGCTCACTATAAGTTAGAACACTTGAGCTCAATCCATCCTCCTATCTCAGTCTCCTGAGTAGCTGGGACTACAGGAATGTACCACCATGCCCCACTAACTTTTTAAATTTTTTGTAGAGACTGGGGCCTGACTGTGTTGCCCAGGGTGGTTTCAAACTCCTGGCCTCAAGTGATCTCTCACCTTGGCCTCCCAAAGTGCTAGGATTACAGGCATGAGTCACCACGCCCATCCAAAATTTGTTATTTGGAATGGACAACCAAATATCTATTCTTTTGAGAAAAAGATTATATATCTATTTTAAGTCAGCAAGTCTCTGCAATGTACAATATAGGACAAAAATAATGCTGGAAATAGCAGACATACATAATTCTTTTTGGATTGTAGTCACAGTGATTCACATGCTCTGACTTTCCCCTTTCCCTCCTGGAACCCTTCTCTCCTACTATATACCAAACCAACAGATGTACTGCATAACCTCCTTCAATAATGTCACAGTATTCACTCAGTTTTGGCAGTGAGTAGAAATAGAAATTGGAGATCTAGACCAAGTAAATACTGTATATTTGGCAAAATCATTTGTGGTTGTGTTCTTCAGCACAGTTTCCCAGATAACCACCAGCTCTACTTGGCAACTGGTCTTTCCCACAGTGAAGGCTCCAATTGTAAAGTTGGCTTGGGAGATATTCTATTGCTGCTGGCTTTGGTACCATTACTATCCTTAAGAACTACTGTGCAATGGTAGAATAATCATTGACAAAGTGTTATTCTGATGAACAAATACTGACAGCTGGTCCAAAGTTTTAGCCTGTTCCCAAGGTAGGAAACAATAACATTAAAACAGTCTACATGGTTATTTATATAACAAAGATGACTCTTTCCAGCGATTTGAAATTGCTAGATAAGACTATGAAATTCTATTAAAACAATAACAACAAAAACAATTTAACTTGCATTAGAAGCAATTAAAGCATAAAAAGTAGATCTAAGATTTTCTAAATATTAGATATTCTAAAATATTGACATTATACAATGTCTAGCATCCGTAACTTTTGAAGATATTTTATTTCAAGGTAATTTCATAAGAATTCATAAGAATTTACCTACTCAGACTTTGGGCAGGATGGAAAATAGAGTTTCTGTGAGGTGTGCCTATGAATCATAAGAAGGGCTTCTTAATGAGGTCAGTAATTAAGGAAATACATTTCAATAGTGACATTTGACTTACAACATTGTTTGGGGGTGGAGTCTTAGAAGAATTGATAGGGAACTTTTAACTTCAACAAGTGAAACTAAAACATTAACTCCAGTTGTTGTTACCTAATACAAGACCAGTGCCCAATAAGGACTTTGGAATTCTTTCATAACAACTCCTTGGCAGGTGCACTTCACTTGTTCTGGAAGTGATATTCACTTGCCAATGTCTAGTAGGACCATGTGCCACTGCCTCAAAATCATATCAATTCCTCCGGCTTCTGGCATAAACTGGCACATCAGACCTAATTAAAGCCTTAAGAAGAGTTTGGCAAATATGACAATTTAAACAAAGCAAGGGATTTCTCTCACTGCAACTTAATTTCTCATTGATGATTAGTTCAATAAGAAAATAAGCAAAACAATGTCATAGTTAAGAAAAGCTATCTATCTTGTTATTGTCCATTATCATGTTCCTAAAATTCAATAACCCAAGACAGTCCTATGGAATTTTTGGAGCACCTAGGTAGTATGATCACATATATGGTAAAGAAAGAACTGAGGTTATGTCTTTTATTGTAAACTACCCCATACTTATTAAAATAATTTCTCTTTTCCAACAAAGGATAAAGTGACTAACATACACATCTCTTCCTTATAATCACTGAAATACTTTATACAGTATTAATTAGCAGCTATTTTCAGTATAAAAGTAGGATGCACAAAATAACAAGAATCTAAATTTGATGACAGGAAAAAACAAGCCTTCATAGTTGTATTCAAAATTATTAACCAATGTAGTTATTCTTATTTATTGAGTGGAAAATGTTGTATCTATTATTAGTTGAGTAGCCTGAAGACAGTATATACCACAACATTTGAAAAGTTGTCCCCAAAAAGTAAATATTAGTTTGTTAGCAAAAGGAATTGTTTTTAATTCTGAATTGCTGGAATAATTAACCATAGTTTTCTCGATAGTTTACCATGAACAGCATTAATGGTAAAATCCTAATTTTTGTTTTAATTTTAGGGCAAATAAGAACTAACCAATGAACCGTTTCTATTCCACAGAGATGAGTAATGCTTCTCCCTTGTAATCATGTGAAAGAACCCCACGTATCAATGATTAAAGCAAACTACATTAAATTAACAAAGATCAAAATAGAAAGTTACAAAGTGAACTATCGAGGACAAATAGTTTTGGAAATTCGACTTATGGAGAAATATCTATTATTGTGTTTTTCCTTCTATCCATTTTTTAATCCTATAAATTGTCTTCTAAACTTCAGTTTGATTATCCAACACTTCATTAACCGTTCTCTGCTTATTAACATTTAAAAAAATCAATATTTATTGTGTTTAAATTTATATTCTATTCCAAACATTATTAAGCACACATACAAACATGTAAAAGAACATAACTCCCCTTAGTATTTCAACTTTCCATTAAAATGCAAATGTAATGATTTCATTAGCCAGGCAACAATACCCACAGTATCACACCAAACCAAACCAATGTCTTTTCTCTGTGAATCCCAACTTCCCTTAAGATACAATCTTATTCCTATGATGGATCATTTGTTGATGAATATCTTTGAATTTGGGTTTCCCATTATAATCCCTGACTGAAGGGGAAAAAGCACAATGTGTGATTTGAGATATTAAATTCATGAATGTATTCCACTCCCTAGACACGTAAATATATAAATATTTCACTAAATTTTATGCACTAAATTTTACCGCTGGAAAATAAGCCTTTTCTCAATTCTTAAACATTAGATGAAGAAGGGAGAACTCCCTCAATGTAATTAAAAGTATATCATGAGGGGAATAACCAGCAAATAACACTTATATTTCATTTTCGGCCTTTCCAGGAGTCTATCCAGGCCACACTTCATTATGTCATAGGTAGAAAACTCTCCATACAAACCCTATTAGCTTAATAAAACTAGACAAGCAGTCCCAGTGAAAAGATTCAGCAAGATGCGAGTGAGGTGTGTGTGTGTGTGTGTGTGTGTATGTGTATGAGAGAGAGAGAAGAAAGAGTAGAGAGGAGACACAGAGAGAAAGGCAGAGAGATGAAAGACCAAAGAGAGAAGCCAAAGAGAAATTTGGATGGGACTGTTATAAATCTGCTCTTCACTTCTTTGCTGGGATTGGGTTTCATTTCTTTAGGCGCCCCTGACCTTGCAGTCTTGCAACTCCAACGCTGCGCTCCCCACCCCCTCCCGCCCCCTCCCCGGGCCTGCGCCTGCCTTTGTGTCTGCCTGTCACTTACCAAGGAACCAAACGAAGCTGATTCGGGAGAAGCACAAAGCCGGGACACAGATTTGTCCATAAATTCTCTTACATACATTCCCCAGGCTGGAAGGCTCAGCCCAGCGCTGACTTATGTACCTTGAGAAAAGTGAGTTCTGGTCTTGTTTGGGGAACCAGAGAAACTATTCTTTCCTCTTTCACTCAGCGCCGCTAACAAAACGCGCGGACTTAAGGAAAAAAAAAACCCACTCAGTGTACTCCAATTCCACTCCCTGTGACATTCACTTCGTACAGCCCCCTAAAGGGGGATAAGAAGGTAGGAGGAGGCAGACACAAACCCAGACCCAGACCCTACAGCTGATAAAAGGGTCGAAAAACACCCTATCAGTGTTCTCTCTGAGGTTGTTCAGGATAAACGGGAGACTCGTTTCACTTACACGAAAGAAACAGGGGAAGAGGATTAAAGGGAAAAGTAGTGCCCCCAAAGCTGAACTATTTTAGAAAGGAAAGCAAATTTAAAAATCACTTTTCTGAGGATTAAAAAAGGCCGGGAAACCGGCTCGTCGGAGGCACAAAGGTAAGTTTTCTGGGAGATGAGGGGACGAGCATTAGGAGGAGAGAAGAGAACACAGAACTACAGGTTTAAAAGGGGTAGAGGGAATTAAAACTATATTTGTCAGCCATGTTGAAGAGGCTCCAGTAATTTGTGAAGCTTCCCTCTTCCCTCTTGGTATTTGTGGGTGACACTACAGGGTTTGCTCCCCAGTCCCTGGAAGCCCGAGAAAAAGCGAAGGGGAGAAGAAAGGGAGAGTTTCGCGGCATAAGAGAAGCGCTCTGACCTCGTTCTCGTCCCTCAGCCTTGCAGCAATCCAGCAGTTGCAGTCGGGTCTCCTTTCTAACAAATCCTAAAGGGCAGCCATCTTGCTTCCTTCTGCTTCTCTACGAAAGCAGCCTAGCCTCCGCATCAATATTCATAAGGCAGTTTGACGTCTGTTCTCATCACTCAGCGGGGCCGGCGTCTCGGGGCGGCCGCGCCGAGGGGGCGGACGTGACTTGCATGCGAGCGGGACCCGGGCGCGCGGCGCTCGCGAGGAGGCGGCGGCGGCCGCCCAAGCTCTCGCCGCTGCCACTGCCGCTACCGCCGGCTCTCCTCCTCCGCCCGGGCCTCCTCCTGCTCCGCCCCGGCCTCCTCCCGCTCCGCCCCGGCCTGCGCCGCCGCCCTGGGGCCCTCAGCCCCGGCTCCCAGGGAATTAGCCCCCCGCACCGGGCGTCCAGCACAAAGGCCGGCGGCACCTGGGGCCGTACAGCGGGGCGCGCAGTGGAGACCTGGGCTGCCCTCACGCCGTGCAGTGGCGCGGGGGGAGTGGTGCGCCCGGACCAGCGCGGAGTAGGGGCCAGGGCTGGCGAGCGCGGGGAAGGGTGCAGCCCTCGGGAACCCCGGGGACCTCGGCGGGTCTCCACCCCTGGGAGAAGAAGCAGAGCAAGCGCGAAGGTTGGGGGCGAGGTGGGAGGTTGGGATGGCACGGGTGCCTGGACAAAGACGTGACATCTAAGATTTCCCTTTGAAACTTTTTGCTGGTCTGCACTCCACCACCACTTCGAGGTCCCGCGCACACGCCCCCGCGCGCACCCACCTCCTCCGGAGTGTACCCGCACGTGCCCTCGCTCTGGCCCCCGCCTCCACCCACTGGCACCTCTCCCCGCACCACACCTCCGCTTGCGCCCACCTTACCCTCAGAGGCCCGCGTCTCTATCTCCCTTTAGATCCCGTTGCCCGCGCTCTCCTTTCCCTTTTCTGTCGCTTTAATCTCATTCAGCAGAAGCGCTCCCCTGTTTCACCGAGGGCATGCCCTTAGTGCTTTAGGGGCCTGTATTTTTAAAGACCCGACAAACTGGGAAATTGACCGAGTTCTGTTTCTCCCCGCCCCGGCCCACCTTCTGTTTACTTTAGCCACGTGGGCTGAGTAGAAGGGGGCGTCTCACAGATTGAAATAGGTTTCTCACTAGTGACCCCCTACTTCTCGCTAGGAGGAAATAAACCTGCACTTTCAAATGCTTAAGTTGCCTCTCGTAAGAGCCCTTACTTTGAAGTAGTTTCCCCCCGTACAATTAAGTAATGAAGAAACCGACCGATACAGAGCTAATTCCGAATGACGGATGCTTGATTTTCCCTGACATTCGGAGCTCTGTAACTATGCTCTTCCTTTGACCGGAGTTTTTCTCTATTGCCGAGTAGTGTTACTTCCCCCTTCTAATGCTCCTTTTTCTAATCATCAACTTTTTATTTGAAGATGAGATGAAGAACAAAGCCCATATGAGTCATAGTAAGTATCATATTACGTCAGATAGTCGTTTTTGAAATATTCCCTTCATCTTTTACATGTTCTTACATGACTGACGTTCAAATTTTAAGTGGGTATTTTGGTCACATCTTTTATGGGATCACTGCATGGTGATCACAGTACCCTTAAGTCAATACTAGTTATATTGTGTAACCACACTTTTTTTGGTCTGTAATTTTTTTTAAAAGCGAAGCCCTAATTTTACGAAATCGGAATATTTCCTCTTTGAAGAGTGTGAAAAAGGGAACTCCTTGCAAGTGTCGCATTGTTGCTAAGAAGAATGTTTAGTGGGTCCAATCAAACTTTGTTTATTCCATTTTGAAACAAAGTTGACTCAGATTTCAGATTTTGCACAAACTAAGGAAATAGTACATTTTCCCTTAAACATTTCAGGTGGGAATGACATTCCATGTTTTCTAGCTGTACACTAAAGCGTCACTTAGGTCTTGGAAATTGTTAATGCACTTTAAAATCTAAGCTGTTTGAAAGTTCTTTGTGATCTTTATTTCTTTCTTTCTTTTCTTTCCTTTTCTTTCTTTCTTGAGACAGCCTCTCTCTGTCACCCAGGCTGGAGTGCAGTGGCGCGATCTCGGCTCACTGCAACCTCGGCCTTCCGGGTTCAAGCGATTCTTCTGCCTCAGCCTCCGGAGTAGCTGGGACTACAGGCGTGCGCCACCACGCCCAGCTATTTTTTGTATTTTTAATAGAGACGGGGTTTCACCATATTGGCCAGGCTGGTCTGGAACTCCTGACCTCCCAGAGTGCTGGGATTACAGGCGTGAGCCACCGCGCCCGGCTTGTGATGTATTTTTCAAGTCCAGGAAATAAAGTTCTCTCAAGACCACAACATACATTTATACAGTGCACAGTATTGCAGAGTTGTTGAAACATGGGCTTTGGAGTTTTACAGAGCTGAGTGACTCTTAACTCTATCTTTTCCAGTGTGACCTTGTGCATTTTACTTAACTCTCTCGGTATCGGTTTCTTTCAATCTGTTCAACAACCTGTAAGACAGCAGAGTTGTGGTGAGTTTTTAATAAGAGCACTAGGTAAGTGCCCAGGTAGTTACTACTACTACAGTAACAAACCATTTACTTCTAGGAGTTATTTTGTTTCTGACTATAGAAGTATATAATTATATATCTTCTTACATTTAATAATATGTGGAAAATATTATATTAGCATGTGTTTAATATAAAAGTATCCGTAGGTTCCTTTAGTTATAACTGGGAAATGATCTTTCAGGTCACCTCCCTCTCATTTCTTCTTTGAAAACTGCTCTCTGTTGTAACAGGGTGTTCTTACCTATTTGGAATCATGTTTGGGTTGCAGTTGGTTTTACAACAGGCCCTGAACATTTTCTTGCCAACTTCTTTCTCTGCACCTCCACTCTACCCTTAACCATCATGACTTTTTAAAAGTTAAAATAAAATACATTACTCCTCTTGGCTATTGTGATTTTTCAACAGCAAAAGGAAGTAAAATTCTGCAGGCCTTCACGTATAAAATATTTTAGTTAGATTTTTTTTTTGATTTGAAAAACTTCCTCCTGCTATTTCTGGGAAAGAAAGGATATAGTTTGCAAATCAGTTGTTTACTGAACGCAGTGCGCACTTGTATGGGTAATTCAGAACCAGCTTTTATTAATTGTGTGCATTCTTGAGATTCCTCCTCCTACAGGTGTGGACAATCTGTGTTTAAAATATAATTTGCTGTTTTAACAACAATTAATTATCAAATTCTTTACCATTTTTTTCCTCAAACTAGAAATAGCAGCACTGCTTCCATACAGAGAGATCCTTGCTTCCTTAACAGAGAAAAAAGACTAATAGAACAAGTTCCACAACATGCTACTCTGTGTTAGAAAATTGACTTGATTGGCCTGCGCACCTGCTATCTAACTCAGTTGCTCAGTCTTTAAGTCTCAGGGTGGAGGCAGTTTCCTGTCTGCTGCTGTCCATTAAAGAGCTGATGATGGTAGTTTGCTTTACAATGCAAATTTTTTTTATGTTGTACTAACACAAAAATAATAGGTGCATTCTTCATTTCCTCCCACCTGCAGAATAGAAAATGTTCTTTCTTTCTTTCTTTTTTTTTTTTTTTGAAACGGAGTCTCACTCTGTCACCCAGGACGGAGTGAGTGGCGCGATCTCTGCTCACCGCAACCTCCACCTCCCGGATTCAAGCAATTCTCCTGTCTGCTCTCCAACTCCTGACCTCGTGCTCCTCCTACCTCAGCCTCCCAAAGTGCTGGGATTACATTTTTCTTTAAGAACTTGATACTCTCTTCAACACAGAGAAATAGTTGTGATATACACTGCTTTGAAAGAATTATACTGGTTTAACAAAAACATAAAATCATGGCCTGTTGTTTCCCATCTCCAAAAACATGTTTCTGAAGTATAACATGATAAAGATTCTCTGTATGCTTAAAAGACAATTGACCATCAAACAGCATAGCAGTCACTGCGGTTAAAAAGCTTTCTTATTTATTTTGTTTGGTTACATTACTGCACATTATATGTAGGTACGTATTTAACACAGAATACTAAGTTTCAACAGTCTCCAATAGATGACATATTGAGATATAATATTTTAGCTTATTAATATAAATTATTATTAATAAAAATTATTGTCTAAACCCAGGGATTATAATATGATGAGAATCTCGATAGAATCTCTTATGATTTCTAGTTACTTTTTTCCTAATCTGATTTTATTTGGTTAATTTTTCTTTATATAATTTGAAAATTTTAAGGAAAAAATACAAATTATATAATATTAAATTAATGAAATCAGGAACTATCCAATGTGTGTACTAATTTAATGGGGGCAAAGTAGAATATAAGATAAACTGAAAAGTATTGGCAAAGGCATTATAGAAAGAATATTACTGAGGAGGATCACTTAAGCCCAGGAATTCAAGACTGTGAGCCACGTGAGCCATGATTGTACCACTGAACTCCAGCCTGGGTGATAGTGCAAGACTCTGTCTCAAAAAGAAAATGAAAGAATATTAGAATCATTAGTGGGACAACATCATGGAAATTCCTCCACAATTATTGCAAATATTGCTAATACCAATCTCTTACAATTTTAGGGAATACTTTTTCTTTTCATAAATTCTGACTTCACAATCCAGTAACTACTCTTTTTGTCCTCATCCAAATTTACTAACTCACTTAGTATCTCATTTTATTTTGAAAGAATAATTTTTAACTTTATTGATGAATTTCAGTAATCAATAAAATTTAACTATTAATAATTACCTCAGCACCATTTTATAGGACTCTATAGTTTTTTGGCATTTTATGTGTATTATGACTTAATATGCAAAATGATGTCATATTAAAAATGGCATTTAATGTAATTTCCATCATATAAATATTAAAGGTGAGGTTAAGTGATTTATTTAATGTAATTTCCATCATATAAATATTAAAGATGAGATTAATTGATTTACTTAGGGTCAGACATCCTGTAAATAGAGAGCACCTTACAAATCTAAATTTTGTGAATTAAGGTTTAGGCCTTTTTTATTATACCAAAGCTAACCTTCTGTTTTTTTCCTGCTTATCCTCCTCTAATTTTTTTCTCACCATTATTAGTACTGACTGGTAAAGGAATCTTCCCTTCAAAACCTCATGTTAATTTTCTATTATCCTTTGCTACTTAAAAAATTAAAAACTCAGCACCTACATTTACTTAGCACTCCAAAAGTAAGTTTATTGGTTAAATACTGGCTGTGCACCAAGCATTGAAATAATTGTTTTACATTCATTATCTCTTTTAATTTAATGCTTATTATAACCAAGTAAAGTAGGTAATATCTTGTTGAGAATTAAGGGCTAAGTAACTTGGTTGCTATAAAATAGCGGGAAGAATTGTCTCAATCAGGGTTAGCTGACTCTAAAGCTGATGATCTTGCAGGCTACCTGGTGCTGTCTCCCAATTTAGCAGATACAGACATCTATGTTTGCCCCATCATAAGTTTTTCACACAGTATGTTGTATAGCAGTAACATCAGTATTTCCTATATCTTTCTCATATTTTTAAAAAAACCTCTTTTGTCCAAATCTCTACTTTATAAAAAAAATCACTGCTTTCTACTCTGTTTCTTTAGTTTCCAATTTTGTGCCAGGGAGTTGACATTCTTGAACTCTTCAGAAGAATAATTACATTCATGTAATAAGCAAATGTGATACTGTACCCCTTCCCCACCACCACTTTAACGTGTGTCTTAACCGACTAACAATTGGTTTGCAAAGGTAAGTTCTAGTGTATGTTTTCAATATTGGTGGGAATTGCACCTTTGACCTGCCCTTGACTTTTATGAATGGCTTAGGGTTCATTCCGCCAAGCAAGGAAGCTGGCAGGTGGAAAGAGCGCCATCTACTGAAATCATTAATCGGACATGGGTCTTTGGTGATATTAATAAAATGCTCAGAATGGGATAGCACCAAACCTTTCAATTGGGAAAACAAAATCTAATTTAGGGAGCTTTTGAAAAATATGCATGACTAGGTTACCCTCCTCTACCCCCGCAGGCCTTTTGGAGATTCTGATTAAGGAGGTCTGGGATGGGGCAGGAGTAACAATACTTTTTGAATGATTCACAATGAGATGTACAAACTGTGCTTGAAAATCACTGGGATGGCTTAATGTGTGAGAACGCAATAAAAACATTTAGTGTTTACACCTATTATGAATAGTTAACAGGCACACAATATTATCATTCATAGAACATCCTATGACAAAGAACAGACTTTATATATCTCTCTATAGTATAGTGGAACTCTTTCCTTTGCAAAGATCCTGCAAAGCTGCCTTTAACTCTTTTGATATTTCATATTGATTAAATATTTCTGAATTCTCTTGTGATAGGTCAAAAAATTGAGGAAGACATAATTAGCAGCTGAAGAATGACTCAGATCATCAGTAGTGAATAAGAATGATTAGGGGGAAATGTAAGTGACAGGAACAATGCCCTGAAGCAGTGGGGAGAAAGAAGTACTGAACATTGCCTGAGTTCCATGTGTGAAGAATATTCTGTTTTGTTGTTGTTGTTATTCTCATGGGAAAATTCTACTGATAGAGTTGTGTCAAAAATTTTAAAGTTTTTAAGCCATTCCTATAATCTTGGCAATTAGACCAGTTGAATATGATTTTTTTTCTTTTTCCAAAATAATAGTCATGCAATAGTTTATGAGTGTTATTATCTGGCATCATGCTAACAGTTAGTGCAATTCTTCCTGGAAGGAAGACCTATAGAGATTAAACAATGTTTAGGCCCCAGTAAGTTAAATTATTCCCTTTCCGACAGACACCCTATATGGAGAAGGCAAATTAAAAAGGAAGTAAGGTAGCTATTAGTTGATATCCAATTTTCTTCAAATCTTCTAAAGTGTGTTTTCATATTTTCTGGAGATGTGTGGGAAAATTGAGCTCTGACTCAGATCCAACTCAAAGCCTGTGCAAGCATGAGAGGCTAAGTAGTTTCCTGCGAAGCTCTGCACTACCAACCTCTGTTTAATTTGTTTTCTTATGTTATATCTCAGAGTACAATATTATTATGATTTGGCAGAAAACCTTGATCTGTTAGTAATTAGGCATACCACTAAAGTGAACATGGGTTGGTTGCCAGGCAATTGTTCTGCATTTCACAATGACTTGTATACTCAAGAGAATAAATTATATCCAAGCAGGGACCACAAAACAGGGGTTTCTGACAGGCTAGGGTAGAAGGTGAAAACACACACACACAGACACACACACACACACATCAGAATAGCAAAAACAAATCCCAAAGGAGCATTTCATTGAGGTTCTCTGAAATCTTATGAACACTGGCCCTAGTTTGACTGGATAGGAAGATGCAAGACAGTGAGAACTATTGAAGAAGGGTTTCTTTAGCATGGATTAGTGGTCAGGTGCATGCTGATCCTAGGGTGATGATGATAAATTTTAATGAAGAAAATTTTCTGAAACCCCTTTAGTAACACAATGTCAATAGGCACTGTCTACTAGTGAACAAGAATGAGAGAGTCTCTAAATTTAAATTTGGTGAAACAGTAAAGTCATAATTTTGATAAGTGAGAATTGCTGTTAAAGGTAAAGGTAGTGTGAGGTCAAAAATAGATATTCAAAAAATTTAGAAAGAGAAACTCCAAAAACACACTTATTGGAAGTGTTAAACTTAGGCAATAAGTATATGATAGGATCCAAGATTGTAGTCTAGCCTCCACTACTGAAAACCTACAAAAAACCTTTAAAATGCATTATGTCATTTAGTATTTACAGTAATCTTGAAAACAGGTAAGACCATTATAATTTCCATTTTATTGAATTTTACTTTTTTAACACCAGGGAACATGTGTTTAATACATGAAGGAACGTGTCAGAGAGATTAAGAACTTGCCCATGGTGACACAGCAGGTGATAAATTCTCAAATTCAAGTTTTCTTCAGTATTCTTTCCACAAACTAAAGGGAAATAGCCAACTTTAATTCTTTCCTGAAGGCAGAAAAGAAGCTCTTACCAACTTGTGACATTGTATCATAGGTTGATACATTTTCATTCCTTGCCTGTGCTCACACAGATAGAGGAGAATGCTACAGTAAAGGAAACATTTAGGAAGAGAGTGCTTTGTGTATTTTTTTTAAGTAGGCCATCCACTGTGATAGTAATTCTGTTTATTCCAAATGTGAGATGAAAGTTAATCTGTTCCCTAAAAGCATTTCTAAGGGAAAGAATAAGTTATTCAAAGGCATGAAAGACAAAATGTTTGGAGCTCTTACTTGCTGTCTCCCCTTCAAAGCAACTGAGAAAGATGTTTGGATGAAGGGGAGAGAGAGGAGAGAGAAAGAGCTAGAGGGAGAGAAGTTTGTGTGTGTGTGTGTGTGTGTGTGTGTGTGTGTGTGTGTGTGTGTGTAAGTAATGAGAAAAAATCATTAGACCAGAAGTTTATAAACTGAAAGTTTTATGAAAAGTTTTTTTTTTAAATTTTGAAATTTATTGAAACAATTCCCCTTTTTATTGATTAAGGCTGGAGGGATGGGGCTTGGTGGATTTAGTTTAGAGTTTCAAATTCACATATTTTCTAATGAAACAAAAACTCAGAATGAAACTTGATGCATACAATCTGGAATGAGTGAAACATTTTGCTCTAAACTATTTCATGAAAAGAAAAATTTCATATAATTCTGGTAAATAATAATGTTCTCCAACAAGGCTGCTTACCGAGCAATAATGCTTATTGCATATCCAATATCTTTAGAAAAAGGGCAAATGTAGAATGTATTTATTATAGAATCATTAGCTTTTTGAAACAATAATTACTTTACTTGGTAGCATACATTTTTACTTTTGAGAGACTTATTGATGGGAGCCAATGGGAAAGATGTGAATTTTTGTAGTAATTTATAAAATTCAAAATCATAGCTGTGGGGTGACCAAGGAAATAGTTATAGTTCCCACTTTTAGTTGGGACTTTTGAATTGCTTTGCTCCTGAAAGGTATGTGCCATGAATTGAGAGGAGGGAGGAGCTTACCAAAGAATTTGAGATGAATAAAATCTAACCTAGTCAGGACACATTTACAGAATTTTTTTTGTTAAAAAAAACTGTAGAAATGAAGGCTTGTTATTCTCATTTCCATTACATAAATGGTTGCTCAAATGTGAATTTCTAATTTATCATAGTTTATGGTGATACATTAAGAGACTAATGTGTCATTTGTGTTTTGATTTCTACATTCTAGAGAGACAGTTTAATCAGTCCGTGACCAAAATCAAACAGAGTAAACTGTGTCATCATGGAGATCTGCCCAGGAAATCCCCAAAATACAGAAGGATCAGAAGTAGATGGAAATAATGTCATAGAACGTCTCTCACAACTGTGTTATAAGAATGACAGGGAAGCTACAGGTTACAACAGATTTGTGAACTCAGCCAAGCACAGTGGTGGCAGGGCCTAGCTGCTACAAAGAAGACATGTTTTAGACAAATACTCATGTGTATGGGCAAAAAACTCGAGGACTGTATTTGTGACTAATTGTGTAACAGGGTATTTTAGTTCCTGTTCTGTGGAAAGTGTAAAGCATTCCAACAAAGGGTTTTAATGTAGATTTTTTTTTGCACCCATGCTTTGATTGCTAAATGTAATAGTCAGATCGTGACGCTGAATAAATGTCTTTTTCTAAAAAAAAAAAAAAAGAATGACACATATTTGTTCTTCATTCTTGTTTCACATTAGTAGTGGCATTTCTCATGCTCTATTTTCCCAGCCTTGTTCTATATTTTGAGTTATGTGAATAAAAGTATGCCAGGATGCAATAGGAAGGGTGCTTAATATTCATCCTTGTAGGTTCAGGGAGATCTTTCCATGGAAGTAACATTTGAACTGAGATCTAAAGGATGAATAGGAATTATTCAGGCCAAGTGGTAAGTCAGAGAAAAGTGCTTGCTTTAGATAAACGACTGTATCTATATTAGAGACATAAGAGAGCATGACATGTTTGATGAAATAAAATTAATTCCAAAAGCCTTACAGAAAGTAAAGAGGAAGAGTTCATACTATTGGGATGCAGCAGTTTGCAGGGATCAGATTATGAGGGTTACTTTAAATCATGGTAAGGGTTTTGGAATGTGGCTTAAGTGGACTGAGAAATCAATAATCGATTTGAAAAGAGAAGAAAATGATTAGATTTGGGCTTTGAAAATATTTTTGTAGTTGCTGTGGGGAAAATGGATTGAGAGAACACAATAACAGAGGCTAGGACACCTATGAGGAGAGAGTAGAAAAATTAGAGTGGTCTAGATGAGAAATTAGGCAATAATAGAGAAGATAGAAATGGGTAGATCCAGAGGTATTAACAGAAGTAGCAGGAATGGAGCACAGTAACTACCTTGGAGCAGGGTGAGGCAGAGGCAGGATTGAGGATGTCAGCCAGGTTTCTGACCTGGCCGACAAAATGGTTGGTAGTGGCTTTCACTGGAGATAAAAAGAAGATAGAAGGACCTGGGAGTAGGAGTTTGGGGGTTGTGGGAAGAAGAAATCACGATGAACAAGTTAAGTTTCAGGCACTGGAAGGACATCCATTATGAGATACACAGTGAGTAGCTGGGTATCTGAGCCCGAAATTCAGAAAAAAGATCCAGACTGGAGTTAGAAATTTGTGAATCATCAGCATAAAGATGGCAGTTGAGGAAAATAATCTCATACACTGAGGGAGAAGAAAAGTGGAACTCCAGAAGAGAAACGGAGGAACACCACTCTCGAGGTTCGAGAGAAAGAGGAGGAGCCCCTAAAGGAGAAATCCAGATGTGTGTGGTTTTATGGGAGCCAAATTAAGGAAATGCTTCATGACAGAGCATTAGCAGGGCCACATACTGAACTATCACCTGAGACAAGTAATAAGAAGTATCCCTTGGATGGTGGTGCATTCATTGCAATCCTTGGCAAAATGAGTTTTAGTAGAAGAGCAGTGGTGACAGAAGCCAGATTGCCTGAGGTTGAATGCTAAACAGGAAGTGAGGATGTAGAGATAGTGAGTGCGGATGACTATTTAAAGAATGTTCGCTACAGAGAGGAGGAAGAAGATAGCAGAGTAGCTACAGGGGGATGTGAGATTGAGAAAGGAATTTTTTAAGATGGGAAAGAATTGAGCATGTCTAAATGCTAATGGGAGAGAGCAAACTGAGGTGCATAGTTAAAGGGAAGAAAATATAATATATTGAATAAGGTCCCTGAAAAATTGGGTCTTTTAAAAAATCACTCTACTGACAAGCTGAGGTAGAGGAGAGGTCTTACAAAGGACTAAACCCATCAAACCTCACCCCCTTCTGCCTTAAGCAATAAAAGAGAATGGTTTCAATACACTTCTTCTGTCTGATAAGAAAGTATGAGAGATACCATGGGTTTGGTTCCAGACCACTAAAATAAAAAGAGTATCATAATAAAGCAAGTCACAGAAATTCTTTGGTTTTCCAGAGCCAATTGACTCAGTATAAAGTTTTCTTTTTATGGTTCAGGTAAGTTTATAGATTAAATCCCAAGACCTGAGGGAATTTTCACCACATGCCTCTCCAGAATTGGTGTATAGTCTCCATAGTTACTGACGTAGGCTAAAATAGTTGATTTCATTGTGCCCTCCCCCTCCCATGCCATGTTTTTTCTTTCTTTTTTTTTTTTTTGAGACGAAGTCTCACTCTTGTCCCCAGGCTAGAGTGCAATGGCACGATCTTGGCTCACTGCAACCTCCACCTCCTGGGTTCAAGCAATTCTCCTGCCTCAGCCTCCCGAGTAGCTGGGATTACAGGCGCCTGTCACTATCCCTGACTAATTTTTGTATTTTTAGTAGAGATGGGATTTCACCATGTTGGCCAGGCTGGTCTTGAACTCCTGACCTCAGATGATCCAGCCCCCTTCAGCCTCCCAAAGTGCTGGGATTACAGGCATGAGCCACGGCGCCTGGCCGCCATGTTTCTTACACTGGCAAAAGGATCTTCATCTGGGTGATGTACAATGATGGTTATGGTTTTAAATCTATGCTTGCTACTGCAGTGACAGTTCTGTGATCCAAGAATAATCATAAGAATATTGCTTGTGCTGGGCCCAGAGAATATGTAGGCATATCTTGTTTTATTGTGCTTCATTTTATTGCACATCACAGATACTGCATTTTTACAAATCGAAGGTTTGTGGCAACCTGAGTTGAACAAGCCTATTGGTACATTTTCCAAAAGCATGGGCTCACTTTGTTTCTCTGTTTCACATTTTGATCATTCTTATAATATTCTAAGTTTCATTATGATTGTATCTGTTGTAATGATCTGTGATCAGTGATCTTTGATGTTACTATTGTAATTATTTTGGGTGCAACACTGTACCCACGTAAGATGGCAAACTTAATTGCAATAAGTGTTCTGCCTGCTCTGCTGACTGGCTGTTCCCTATCTCTTTTTCACCTGGGTCCTCCATATTCCCTAGACCATACCAATGTTGAAATATAGGTCAAGTAATAACCCTACAATGGCCACTAAATGTTCAAGGGGAAGAGTTGCACAGCTCACTCTAAATTAAAAGCTAGAAGTGATTCAGTTTAGTGAGGAAGGCATGTCAAAAGCCAAGACAGGCTGAAAGCTGGGCCTTTCACATCAGTTAGCCAAGTTGTGAATGCAAAAAAGAAAACATTATTGAAGGAAATTAAAAATGCTACTTCAGTGAACACACAAATGATAAGAAAGCAAAAAGGCCTTATTGTTGACATGCAGGAAGTTTTATTGGTCTGGATAGAAGATCAAACCAGCCACAACATTCCCTTAAGCCAAAACTTACTCTGGAGCAAGGCTGTAACAATCCTCAACTCTGTGAAGTCTGTGAGAGTGGTAAGGAAGTTGCAGAAGAAAAGTTGAAAGCTAGCAGAAGTTGGTTCATGAAGTTTGAGGAAAAACACTATCTCCTTAACATAAAAGAACAAAATGATGGCCGGGCGTGGTGGCTCATGCCTGTAATCCCAGCATTTTGGGAGGCCGAGGCCGGCGGATCACGAGGTAAAGAGATCGAAACCATCCTGGCCAACATGGTGAAACCCCATCTCTATTAAAAATACAAAAATTAGCAGGGCATGGTGGCATGTGCCTGTAGTCCCAGCTACTCAGGACGCTGAGGCAGGAGAATAGCTTGAACCCGGGAGGCAGAGGTTGCAGTGAGCCGAGATCGTGCCATTGCACTCCAGCCTGGGTGACAGAGCAAGACTCCATCTCAAAAAAAAAAAAAAAAAGAAAAAGAACAAAATGAAGCGCAAGTGCTGATGGAGAAACTGTAGCAGTTGTCCAGAAGATCTAGCTAAAATAAATGATGGAGGTGGCTCCACTAAACAATAGATTTTTCAATGGAGACAAAACAGCCTTGTATTGGAAGAAGACATCATCCAGGACTTTCATAGCTAGGGACAAGAAGTCAATGCATGGCTTCAAAGCTTCAAAGGACAGGTCAACTCTTTTCTTAGGGGCTCATGCAGCTGGTGACTTTAGGTTGAAGCCAATGCCAATTTACCATTCTGAAAATTCTAGGGCCCTTTAGAATCATGCCAAATTTACTCTACCTGTGCTCTATAAATGGAACAATAAAGCATGGATGGCAACCTATCTGTTTACTACATGGTTTACTGAATATTTTTAGCCCACTGTTGAAACCTACTATCCAAAAAAAGGAGATTTATTTCAAAATATTACTGCTCATTGACAATGCACTTGGTGACCCAAGAGCTCTGGGAGACTTGTGCAAGGAGAATAATGTTGTTTTTATGCCTGTTAACACAACATTCTTTCTGCAACCCCTAGATCAAGGAGTAACTTTGACTTTCAAGTCTTATTATTTAAGGAACACATTTTGTTAGCGTATAGCTACCACAGATAGCGATTCCTCTGTTGAATCCAGACAATGTAAATTGAAAATATTCTGGAAAGAGCTCACCATTCTAGATGCCATTAAGAATATTTGTGATTCACAAAAGGAGGTCAAAATAGCAACATTAACAGGAGTTTGGAAGCAGTTGATGCCAACTCTCAAGGATGACTTTTAGGAGTTGAAGATTTCAGTATAAAGTAACTGCAGACATGGTGGAAGCAGCAAGAGAACTAGAATTAGTGGAGAGTCTGAAGATGTGACTGCATTGCTGCAATCTCACAGTAAAACTTGAATGGCTAAAGAGTTGTTACTTGTAGATGAGCAAAGAAAATGGTTTCTTGACATGGAATCTGCTCCTGGTGAAGACACTATAAACACTGTTGAAATGACAACAAAGGATTTAGAATATTATGTAAACTGAGTGTATGAAGTAGCAGCAGGGTTTGAGAGGATTAACTCTAATTTTGAAAGAAGTTCTGTGGGTAACATGCTATCAAACAGCATCACATGCTACACAGAAACCTTTGTGAAAGGAAGAGTCAATCAATGTGGCAAACTTCATTGTTTTCTTATTTTAAGAAATTGCCACACATAGCCACCCCACCCTTCAGCAACCCCCACCCTGATCAGTCAACAGCCATCAACATTGAGGCAAGACCCTCTGCCAGCAAAAAGATCATGGCTTTCAGAAGGTTCAGATGATTGTTAGCATTTTTTAGCAATATTCAAAAATTAAAAGATATAATTCTATTGCACACTTCGTACACTATGGTATAGTGTAAACTTAACTTTTATATCCTCTGGGAAACAAAAAAAATTATGTGACTCACTTTATTGTGATATTTGCTCTATTGCTATGGTCTGGTACTGAACCCACAAGATCTCTGAGGTATGACTGTATTGCCTTCATACTCTTGTAAGAATTATGCAAGGTGGATATTATTATCCTCAGCTTACAGATAAGTAATAGCTCAGAGAAAATAAATAAATTTCTGCAATCAAAGAGCTAGTAAATGGCCAGGCACAGTGGTTCATGCCTGTAATCCCAGCACTTTGGGAGGCCAAGGCAGGTGGATCACTTGAGGCAAGGAGTTCAAGACCAGCCAGGCCAACATAGCAAATCCCATCTCTACTGAAAATACAAAAAAATTAGCTGGGTGTGGTGGCACACACCTGTAATCTGAGGTACTTGGGAGACTGAGACAGGAGAATCACTTGAACTCAGGAGGTGGAAGTTGCAGTGAGCTGTGAGCCAAGATTGCACCACTGCACTGTAGCCTGGGTGACAGAGCCAGACTCTGTCTCAAAAGAGCTGGTAAATCACTGAACTAGCACTTCACCTAGGTTTATCCATTTCAGATGATGAGCACCAGTGTAAAGTGCTCATTTTCTGAAATAGACAATGTTTTGCTTCAAATTACCCTCATAGCAGTGTTATGTTTTACAACTAATTTTCTCTGTTACACAATAGTGAACAACCCACAGTGGGAGATATTGGTATTGATATACAAAAGAAAGAGAGAGCTGATGAAAAACTAGATCCAGAAATAGATCGATGGGAAAAACAAAGTAATAACTTTCAGCACCTATGTACTCCTTTACCTTTCCCATTTTCTCATGCCTTCATTTATCCATTCAGTAATACCATATTTTTAAATTTACAGAGAAATTTTGTCCTCATGGAGCTAAAATTACCCAATTAGGTACTTAAATTACAATTATGGTAAGAGATATAAATGAAAGGTTTAGAGACTTTGGGGGATGATAACAGGAGGGATACAAGCCAGTTTATGAGTCAACCTAACGTTTCCTTGAGGAAGTGATAGTTGGGCTGACCTTTGAAAAATTTGTAGGAATGAACCAATCCAATGAAAACTGAAGAAAGGAGCTTTGCTTTTTGCAGAGGAAATTGCCCATGTGAATGTCCACAAGCAGAATGGGAAATGACATAAGGCCAGTGGGGTGGAGCCCAAAGGGTAAGCAGGAGACTACAATCAGATAAGGCAGATAAGGCAGGCAGGGGTCAGATCATCCAGGGCCTTATATGACACATTGAGTCTTTAAAAAAATTATTATTGTTTTACCTACCCAAGATCTATCCCCTCTTTTGTCAAGTAATAACACTATGATTTATCCTTGGAAAGCCAACCTTCAAACCACAAGGCTCAGGTTCTCTATCTTTAGCTACAAAGCTGGGCATTTTTTTGGGGGGGAAGAGGGTATTTTTCTGTAGCCCAGGCTGGAGTGCAGTGGTGTAATCTTGTCTCACTGCAATCTCCACCTCCCAGGTTCTCGTGCCTCAGCCTCCTGAGTAGCTGGGATTACAGGAATGCGCCACCACACCTGGCTAATTTTTGTATTTTTAGTAGAGATAGGGTTTTACCATGTTGATGAAACTCCAGGCTGGTCTCAAACTCCTGACTTCAAGTGATTCTCACCATCAGTCTCCCAAAGTGCTGGGATTACAGGCATGAGCCACTGTGCGCGGCCTAAATCTGGACATGTGTTAATCCAGCCTTGGCCAGTTGGAGAATAATCCTCCTCTCACCATAGAAATTACTAAGAAAGGAAAACATACAACCCAAGCTAGGCCAATAAGAACCAATAAAGTTAGTTCTGGGCCTTCTGCTTGTGTTGTTGGGGAAAAGTATTCCGTTTGTGCCGGGGATGCTGATGTGATGGGATGTAAACCTAATACTACTAGCAGCCAGAAGGAAAAAACTCATTTTCTCAAAGGAAATGCCTTTTCTGTGGCGTAGACAACACAGAGGATAGAGGAGCAGAGAGATAAGAGGTAAGTCAAGTTGACATCATTGAGCAGATCTACTCCATAACTTTTTAGTTTTATGAACCAGCAAATTTCTCTCACCAAACAAGCCTGTTTGAGGTTTTTTTAGACACTTAGATCTGAAAGAGTCCTGATTTGTATATTTTTTAAATGGGTCAAGATTTGAAGCGTTGTAAGTAACAGACCCTTAAATGTGGAATTGGCTCAATTCAGGTAGTAAAGAGGCAATGAGGATCCTTCTTTCTTTAGCTGAGAAATTGACACAGATGTTGATTAACCTGTCTTTTATATCTTGGGGCTCAGACCATGTGTCCACTGAGGCCGAAGATTAAAGGATGTATATGAAAAAAAGCCCCAGAAATGTGTTTGTTCCTTTTTGTAGGGTTTAATGACGTCCTACATGCAAGAAACAGCTGCATTAAAAGCTGGCTTCTCTGGAAGCAGTAAAAACACTAAGAGCAGCCCTTTCGCCCTTGTCCTGATAGACAAGCCAGCCAAAAGTCAGAAGCATTTCTGCTTCACTCTCATCTAAATTTAGTGTTAGCAAAGGCAGGGAGAGTAGAATAAAATTGGAAGCTATGAGTGAAACTAGGAATTCTGCCTACCTGGGGAGACAGAGCACTGAGACTTAGAAGACAGAAACAACAAATTTGGAATTTGGAATCAAGGATTAGAATGCAATACTAACTCAGTTTTGTTGTAAACAAACTGAATTTACTTGAAACAGATTGTAGAGTTTAGTAAACTTTTAAGGAACAGAGGTTTCCAGAGAAATGCAAATACCCGTAAACTGAGTGCTATGATTGCTCAACCCCTGAGGCAATACTCAGTCAGGATCCTAAATCTATACCAACAGAAACAGCACTATCAGTAGGGTATGATAACCAGAAAGTGGGTATCCCCAGTGCCTTTGGCAGCTGTGACCATAAAGGACAAGCAACAACGGCATCCCAAAAGACAGAGCCAAGAGCAGACTGAAGGACTGACCAAGGAATTTGCCTCAAGACCAGGACAAGGGGTTGTTGCTGCTCCTGTCTAGCAGGATAGTATATATGCTAAAGAACGGTGATCATTTTCTGCCACCTCCCACCCAAATCCCCTTTTTCAAGTAGGAGTTTTTATGATAGTTATTTTGTTTCCTCCAAATAAATGCATATTAGATTTCTTGGAGATGGTCAAATGTATCATTTAAAGATAGGTTTTTGGACCATGAGAAAGGCACAATAACAGTAGAATCTGGACTCAGGCTGGATGCAGCAACTGAATAAAACTGAAGTGATGCTGATACATTTTTTTTGATTACATATGATATTACTGTTTAATGTAGGCTTGGGTTTTTTTGAATTTTTAGGTAAAGATATAGATACATGAGCTTGTGCAGCCAAGAGGTAAACTGGAATAAATATGTGATTTTGGCCTATTCAGAATCCATTTCTCCTAGGTTCATGTCTGATTTTCCCAGAGAAACTATTCCTCTCCCTACGTTTATTACATGTGACTAGGTGAATTTGACTTCACGTCTAGCCTCAAGGCCAACATTGACACAGCCCTGGATAGTCAGAACATTGTATCCCTGTGATGTTAGTGATTGATTTATTGTGGATATCTGAATCACAGGATCATAGCTAAATCAGTTAAATCAGAGAAAATGAGACTCAGTTCTTTGTTGGGATGTTGCAAACATAAAATGTAAGCTTAGAGTTTCTAGCATCTATCATGAATGAAGAACCCACCTGACAACAGAGCTAAAATAGACCAAATGAGAGCTGGAAAATGCAGAGTGAGATGGAATCCTGGTGATATCATTTGAGCTCATTTTTCTAGCTAAACATGAAGATGACCTATTTATGCAAGTTTTCACTATGCTAGTCAATCCGTCTTCCACTTCCCCTTTTTTTGGGGGCAATCTACTTTTTGTTGGGTTTATGTCCTTCCCAACCTAAAGAGTCTTTAACCCAACAACAATGGGATGTCATGAAATGGATGTAAGCAGGGTTGGGATGTGATCAGATTTGAGATTTTTAAAGAACAAATTTTGAGTAATTAATCTTGAATGAACACCATCTAACTCTCTAAAAGTCATAAATAAGAATACTCAGTCAGCTAGTCAGTTGTACCTATGTTTGTACCAAATGTTTGTAATGAGACCAAATCTAACTCTGCTTACATTTGCTATGAGAGATAATTGTGTAACATGATCCAACAATAAAATATCTTTCTTATTGAAGACTTTTAGGAAATATAATTTTGAGAAAATGAGTCAGTTTTTAGTGACTTTTTGTATAATCCTGAAAAAAATTCAGACATAATTTTTACCTTAAAAGAAAGTTGCATTTTGTTTTCCAAACAATGTTACCACCAGTTTACCACTTTCTAGTTATCTCTTAGTTTTTGGAAAAGTCACCAAACTTCTTTAAGCAGATGACACAACTCCTTTAAATACATTTTTTCCCCAGAGTTATTAGAAACAATTCTATCTCAATGTATAACTGAGAATAACTTACTCCTTAGAATAAATCTCTATTGATATGATTATTCCTGGGAGTTTCATATATCTTTTACTGAATGCATTATTGCAGATATAAAGTAAGCTCATATTAAAGATAAAAAATTGTCTCCTCCATTTTATTGCATTCAAGCTTTTCTATTCTTCTGAGGTCCTAGAAAATTGAGGTCTCATATTTATAGAAATATGTGTTAAACCACATAATTTAATTATCAACATTAGGTCTAATATTTATGAAATCGGTTGTAAAAATCACATAATTTCATTATCATGAGAAAAACCTAGAAAGTTCTGATGCTATAATGCCTATCTTGGCTTCCCATCATAATCTTTTAGTGTCAGGATACTAACCCACGTATATTTTGGCTTATTACTTACCTTTCAGCCCCAAATGCTTCTTGCCACAAGATTTCCTTCTCTGTAACAATGTCTTTTTTTTTTTCTCTGTAATTCTCAAGACATTTTACTGAGGAAGAGTGATCTAAAAATCTGGGTCATTGCTGAATGATTGACCAAGAGATATTTGCATAAACAATTCTCAGAGAGTATTTCAGGTAATTCATTGTACCAGTTTTTAGAAAAAATGGATTGTAAATGTAGCGTAGAAATATTCTTGAGACAGCTTATTCAACAATCTAATTGCTTACTAATCTAGATTAATGTTTTCCTTTGAGCAGAAGCAGAGGCTCATAAGCATGAAGCCTAATTTACTGTTTGACAGAGTCTGATATTCAAAAGCAGGCTTATGTGGCTAGTTATAAGTGACCAAGGTTTGGGGTAACCCTCTTGTGGTTTTACAAGTGATTGTCCTTAAAAATCTAAGTTTCTTCATGTGAATCCACATATATATTAGTGAAGACTCCAGCTTAGAAAGTAATCTCTCCACTCCCCATTCTATTTTAACCAGTATCTAAGCATAAGTTTACCCTCACATACTCATAATGTCATGGTCCTAGGGACACCTGCCAACTATTTCAAAACATGGAGGAGATTGTCTGGCTTCAGTGAGACAAATGGAATTTAGCTTAGAAAACTGATTTTGTAAGTGCTTTTGTTTCTACTGTGCTTCCTAGAATCTCATTCAAATATATTTTTCAATAGTGCGGTTACTATTTACTGATCCCTAAGAAAGATAATCGTATTACTTTTTAGAAAAGAAATGTTCTTATCACATTAGGTTAAGGTCAACTTATACTCCAATTACTTTTCATTTTAGCATAGATTTTTCCATCTGTTTCATGGACAACTCTTTTAGCCAAGAAAAACAACCTCAAAGGCAAATATTTTACTGAAATGTCTGGTTTTCTTTAGAGAAGTGTAAACAATTGAATTTTCTGTTTCATAAAAAAATAAAATTATGATTAGAGTTTGTGATAAAAGAGACATGCCATTTCCCTTGGGCCAAAAGTGAGTTCAGAAACTGTCCCTAAACAGCTTACGTGAGGGATTAGGCTACACAATTGGATCAACTTCTCTTCTTCCACAGAGGGAAACAGAGTAAGTTTTCTTATTTTAAAAATGCCAAAGATTACAACTGAAAAAGATATTTATGTATAATTTCCTTCTTGGAACTAGTTAACAATCCTTCTCAATATAGATACACCTTAGAAATCAATAATATAAGACTATGCTGGGAGTGGTGGCTCATGCCTATAATCCCAACACTTTGGGAGGCTGAAGTTGTAGGATTGCTTGAGCCCAGGAGTTCGAGACGAGCTGGGAAACATACTGAGACCCTGTCTTTACGAAAAATTAAAAAAGTAGCTGGGCATGGTGGCATGTGCCTGTAGTCCCAATACCTTGGGAGGTTAAGGTGGGAGAATCACTTGAAGTGAGCCAAGGCCATGCCACTGCACACCATTGTGGATGACAGAGTGAGACCCTTTGTCTAAAAAATTAAAATAGGCCGGGCGTGGTGGCTCATGTCTGTAATCCCAGCATTTTGGGAGGCCGAGACAGGTGGATCACCTGAGGTCGGGAGTTCGAGACCAGCCTGACCAACATGGAGAAACCCCATCTTTACTAAAAATACAAAATTAGCGTGGCATGGTGGCACACGCCTGTAATCCCAGCTACTCGGGAGGCTGAGGCAGGAGAATCGCTTGACCCCGGGAGGCGGAGCTGAGATTGTGCCATTGCACTCTAGCCTGGGCAACAAGAGTGAAACTCTGCCTCAAAAAAAAAAAAAAAATTAGAATATATCTATATAAGACAAATAGAGTCAATATCTATGTGAGATAAATGAATGTTTTTATTTTATTTTTTTCCACATCCTTTTTGGAAGTAGATACTTTTATCCATAAAATATAAGATCTCGTTTGTAATCCTAGCACTTTGGGAGGCCAAGATGGGTGGATCACCTGAGGTCAGGAGTTCGAGACCAGACTGGCCAACACGGTGAAACCTCATCTCTACTAAAAATACAAAAAATTAGCTGGGCGTGGTTGTGGGCGCCTGTAGCCTCAGCTACTCAGGAGGCTGACGCAGGAGAATTGCTTGAACCCGGGAGGCGGAGGTTACAGTGAGCCAAGATCGCGCCATTGCACTCCAGCCAGGGTGACAAGAGTGAAACTCCATTAAAAAAAATACATATATATATATTTAAAGCTTCTATTAAAAACCTTGCAACTTTTCCATGCAGCTATTTTTTTTAACAATTGTCATTGAATAGAGAATATATACTCCTGTTTTGTACCTTTATAAATTATATTAAGCAATTTTTTAGTTTATCAAATTCTATTTAATTATTCTGCTTATTAGCATACTTGCTAGGTATACCACCCTATCATTTGATGAGTATATACTCAGAATTGGTCATTCTTGAAATATCGGAAATACAGCCCTCAAAGGTTTTAGAAAAATCCCAACAAAAGAGCCACGAATCAGAAAGGGTCCCAGGAGGAAATAGAGGGCATATTCACATTATGATAATTTGAGAAGGGTTTTATATAGAAATATTACAGATGTTTGGAAAATGTTTATAGGAATCACAAAGGGGAATGCTATTATCACCCCTAGGCTCAAGGGGAAAGGTGAGAAAATGGTTACCAGAACCCAGGAGGAAAGAGATGTGTAGTTTATCCCACCTTGAAAGGAATTATGATGTTAGGATGGAGGACAGTGCCAGTCTGAGGTGATGCCACAGCAAAGGAATCAGGGGAAGAAATATCCCACATTTATTCTTGGCCCTCTCTGTGATCCATTGACAGGGCTTCTTCTGGGCTACACTGCACTGCCTGATACGATAGCCTGGTCACAGGTGTCTACCGAAATGTGGTTTTAGGTGTAAAATACATCCCAAATGTTGAAGACTTAGTATGAAAAAAGAATGTAAAATATCACCTTAATAATTTTATGTTAAATAAAAATGGTATCAATAGTATGGACATATATATTTGATATACATTATTATTAAACATTAACACATATTAAATATGTATATATCAATATATGTAATATATTGATATACACATATTATTTTTACCTGCTTTTTAATTTAAATCATAACTATTAGAAAATTTAAATTTTTAGAAAATTATTAAAATTAAAAAACTATTTATACATATATCATTCCATATCACATAATATCATACCATATCACATAATATCATACCATATCACATAATATCATACCATATCACATAATATCATACCATATCACATAATATCATACCATATCACACAATTTCTCCTGGACAGGACTAGACTAAATCTACTAGAAAGTAGAGGATGTGGGAGTCTGTTGATATAGTTAATTACAGGCCAGCTTCTGGAGCACAGAAAAGGTTGGAGAAGGAGGGTGAGTAACCCAGGAGAGAACAACAGAGATGTTAATAAAGAACACTAAACCTAGACAGATTTACCCTAAGTAAGTGGACATTTTTCTTGGTGATTTCTGTTGTTGGTCTGTGAAATAATTTGTTAGGAAACTTGTCAGGACATTCCATATTACATGAAGACTCATATATATATATATATTTTTAAACAGCATTGAGGGTGGAATACATAATCAGCTGAGTCCTTTCCAATTGTAACTTTTAACTTTTATGTGTGCTCCATTTTGCTAAGCTCCGAGTATAAATTGAAATTCATATATTATGGAAGTATATGTAGGTCTTTAAGGGACAACTATAGCAGGCCTGACAAGTAGAAGACACTTTATTTTTTTCTTTTTTTTTTTTTTTTTTTTTTTTTTTTTGAGACGGAGTCTCGCTCTGTCGCCCAGGCTGGAGTGCAGTGGCGCGATCTCGGCTCACTGCAAGCTCCGCCTCCCGGGTTCACGCCGTTCTCCTGCCTCAGCCTCCCAAGTAGCTGGGACTACAGGCGCCCGCCACTACGCCCGGCTAATTTTTTGTATTTTTAGTAGAGACGGGGTTTCACCTTGTTAGCCAGGATGGTCTCGATCTCCTGACCTCGTGATCCGCCCGCCTCGGCCTCCCAAAGTGCTGGGATTACAGGCGTAAGCCACCGCGCCCGGCCAGAAGACACTTTAAAAAACAAATTTATTTTATGAGATGGAGTCTCAACATGTTGCCTAGGTTGGTCTTGAACTCCTGGACTCAGGCAGTCCTTCCACCTCAGCCTCCCCAAGTGCTGGGATTACAGGTGTGAGCCACTGCGCCTGGCCTAGAAGACATATTTAAAAAATTTTTTGGGGGGGATGGTATCTCTGAGATTTGATTAACCTTTTTTTGAAAAATATTTGTTTAAATGTAGGCATTTATCTTTTTTTAAGTAAATATTGATTGGGTACCTTTTACGTTCCCTCACTAAGCTTATTGTCTAATATAATATTAGGGAAGAGATATTTAGCAAGCAAGCAAGCAAATAAATATTAATTTTATGTTTTATATATAATACATAAATTATTATATATATTTTTGAAGAAAGAAAAACAAACTAATGTATAATAATGACTGGAGTGTGATTATGGGGTCTTATTTTAGATTAGGATGGTAAATTAGTTTTCTGTTGCTATGTAACAAATTATCATGAACTCAGCCATTTAAAAAACACTCATTTATTATATACTGCTTTGTAGATCAGAAGTCTGGCATGGTATTGCTGGGTTCTCTGCTCAGGGTCTCACAAGGCTGAAATAAAAACTCTGCTTCCAAGCTCATTGCTGTTACTGGCAGAATCCAGTTCCTTGTAGTTGTAGGACTGAGATCCTTGCTCCTTGCTGGCTGTTAGCCAAGGGCTACCCTGGGCTCCAGTAGCCTGCCACATTCCTTGAATTCCTCCATCTTTGTCAGCAATGGCATGTGATAACCGTCACAAACTTCACATCTCTGACTTCTTCAAACAGCCAGATAAAATCAAGTTTTTTTTTTTCTTTTTTCTTTTTTCTTTTTTTGAGCAGAGTTTTGCTCCTGTTGCCCAGGCTGGCGTGCAATGATGCGATCTCGACTCACTGCAACCTCCACCACCCCGCTTCAAGTGATTCTCCTGCCTCAGCCTCTCAGGTAGCTGGGATTATAGGAGCCTTCCACCACACCCAGCTCATTTTTTATATTTTCATCAGAGATGGGGTTTCACCATGTTGGCTAAGCTGGTCTCGAACTCCAGACCTCAGGTGATCCACCCACCTCGGCCTCCCAAAGTGCTGGGATTACAGGCGTGAGCCACTGTGCCTGGCCAAAATCAATTTCTTAAAGTATAAGCCCCATTTTTATTTTTACTTATTTTTAAATGAATAAATAAAAATTGTATATATTTATGGTGTACAATATATTTTGATATATGTACACATTGTGAAATGACAAAATCAAGCTAATTAACATATCTACTACCTCACATATTATTTGTTTGGGGTGAGGACATTGAAATCGACTCTTTTAGCAATTTCCAAGTGTATGTTACATTGTTATTAATTATAATTGGCATGCTATACATTAAATTAGCTGAACTTGTTATCTCTTGTTTTTTTTTTTTTTAAGATGGAGTCTCACTCTGTTGCCCAGGCTGAAGGGCTGTGGTGTGGTTTTGGCTCACTGCAACATCCATCTCTTGGGTTTAAGCAATTATTCTGCCTCAGCTGAGTTGCTGGGATTACAGATGCCCTCCACCATGCCAGGTTAATTTTTGTATTTTTAGTAGAGACGGGCTTTCAGCCTGTTGGCCAGGCTGGTCTCAAACACCTGACCTCAAGTAACCCACCCTCCTCTGCCTCCCAAAGTGCAGGGATTATAGGCGTGAGCCACCATGCCCAGCCTCTCTTGTCTCTTTGATATAGCCGTTGTAACAGCTATGAGGTCGTATCTCACTGTGGTTGAGAAAATTTATTTTAAAGGGCTCATATGACTTGGTCAGTTCCACCCGGTTAATCTCTTTATTTAAAGGTCAATAGATTTGGGACCTTGATTTCATCTCCATACTTCCTTTACAGCAATAGCTACATTAGTGTGTTTTACTGAATAACTGAGAGATGTGTGTATATCAAGGCTAGGAACCTGGAGGGTCCATCATGGAATTCTTCTTGCCAAGGATGGTTAAGAAAGCAAAAGGCTTTCTGAGGCATTTCCGTTTCAACGAAAGCCTGAATGATGAGAAATTACCAGACATATAAAGATCTGGGGGGTGGGGCTGAGGGAAAGAATTATCACTAGACATGTGCATTACAAATGGTGAATTCCTAAAAAATTTATAATGGAATATCAATTCAAAACTCTGAAAGCTTCTGGAAGTATACAGACCATTACATATTAGAATTTAATAATAGCTGTATACCTACGCTTGCTCTACAAATGCTGAATTTTAAACATTGAAGTTTAGCAAATAGTAGTATATAAAGAACAACTCCTAAAGGATCTTATACTTTCTATACTTCCCAAACTTTCTACTATCTTCCTCTTTTTCTAGGCACCAACCTCTTGTTTATATTCTTCATGTACCTTTTTTTCCATCTTCCTCTTCCTTTAATGTCACATGGTCTTAATCACTATAGTATGCTCATATTTATGCCCTTGCACAATCTTTCCTGTGCTCTCATGTATCTAGAAGAATCCTTTTAGATATCTATCTTTAGAGAGTCAGCACTCTACCTTTAATCAAAAGCCTGCTCTAGGCAAAACTAGGAAAAATGTTCTTTCACTGTCCTTTGATCTTTCCTTTAAGTTCTTGTTGACTTCTTTCTACCACCTTTACTCTACCAAGCAGCCAAAGATCTCAGGCCTCCTCCTCCTTTTCCAGCATTAATGCTCAGATTCAGCTAGCTCCTACTGGACACCTTTTACATATGTTAAAGTTTAAACAATTGATGAGCAGTTTCATGTGTGCAGGGGGTGTCTGTATTTTAACACTGGACAATTGGTTAATTCATAGGACTGAGGATTTAATCATGAAATCTTCAGAATAACCAGGTTAGATGCCAACCATGCTCAATGTCCCTATGAACTGTCCTGCTCAGGAAAGCAGCACCAGGCTCTTTGTATATTTCTTGTGTAGAGTCAGACAGTAATTTGACGAGAGTCGGTACCTGGTCAACTAAGATTCACCCATAAAAATGCTGATGAAATGGATTGGTACAAAAGGTTCTGCCCAAGAAAAGTGAGACAATGAGCAAAGCCAACCAGCCTATTCCCTTCCGGAATTTTAACTGGATATTGCTGAGAGAAATTCCTAGTAAGGGTGTAACAGCAGGATGAGAAAGCTAGTCAGGAAAAACAGCGACACTACAGGAGAGAGACCATGTGGGTAATAAAAGAGAAGGGAACTGGGTTCCAGGTGTTTTGATTCTTTATTGCCGCATAACAAATGAACCCAAAACTTAGTGCTTTAAACAATCATTTTATTTGCTTATAATTCTGTGAATCAGGAATTTAGGCAAAGTGTAGTTGGGTAGTCCTGCTTCTCTTGGCACTGGTTGGTGTCATTCGCTCAGTTGTGCTTATCTGGTGGTGGAGCTGAAATGGAAGTTCCGAGAAAGTTTTACTCACAGGTATGGCCCTTCTGTACTCCTTCACACACTCTCTCTCTCCATGAGGTTAGCTCAGGCTTCCTCCCTGCATGGTGGACTCAGGGTAGTTGTTATTTCTTGCATGGTTGCTCACTTCCAATAGAGAGCATTCCAAGAGGGAGAAAGCATATAGATCTCTGAAGGCCTACTCTTAGAAGTTCCATAATCACTTTTGCCACAATCTATTTGTCAAAGTCTGTGACAGGGCCAGTCTAGATTCAAGGGGAGTGGAAATAGATTTCACCTCCTGATGAGAGGTGTGGCAAGACTTTGATGACATCTTTTAAGTTACCACATCAGGATTATCTTGAAGCCATATGGCTTAGTAGTTCTTTGTCTTCATACTATGCAAATAGAAGGTCCCAGCAGATAGTATATTTTGGAAGAGAAGATAAGATTAGAGGATTTTTCAGTGCCCCTTAAGTCAAAATCTGCTGATGACTATGTTCATTAGCAATGGTTTTCTTAAATCATGTCATACAATATTCCTCTACTCTAGGGATATAAGTACTTAAACTGTCTTTAAAACTCTGCTAGCAATTATTTTTCTATGGAATCTCCATTAAAATACCTTATTAAGTTAGTAGAACAAATATATCAAACTAAAAAATACAAAAGAGATCTTTATGAAAGATTTCTTTAAAAATTTTTACAGAGCAGAGAAAAAAGAAGACATCTCTCCTGTTTCCCCAACGATAGTAAGAAGTATAACAGAAGGGAATATGTGTTGAAAAGGGGATATTAAAAGGGTTATTCATTTTATTTTGCCCAATTAATCAGGTGATATACGTATAATATATATGAGTAAATGTCTTTCTGATTTATCTGAAATGAAGAGAGCTTTCCAGAATAAATGCTGTTTTCACATTTAATGGGCTAAAAGTATATCCAGAATGCCTATAGCATATGTCTCAGGTGTGTGGCAGAGTAGTGTAGGGTGAGGGCTAGGTAAAAATTAGGACAAGAGGCACACACAGTGGCCAAACTGGTATGACGTAGGGTGAAAGGGATGCTTCTGTTAATTTGTGGGAAATAAGACCCAAAGCACTTGAAGACAAGAGGAAAGTCACATTAGAACTAGAAGTTTTCGAACTTGCCTTTTTTCTTTTACAAATAACTGCAAGAGAGGTTGAGGAACTCACTCAAAGTCACAATAATTACTTGGGTATGAACATTTGACAGTATGTATCTGCCACATCACATATGCAAGTAATATTTTGCACTTTCCAAACATCCTTTCTGGTTCCATTACCATATTTTAAGATCTACTTCCCTTGTGTTTCTCTATTTAAAGAGGGCTTTGATCTTAACTTTAGGACTATTTCGCCTGTTTTATTATTTATTTATTTATTTTTGAGACAGAGTTTTGCTCTTGTTGCCCAGGCTGGAGTGCAATGGAGCGATCTTGGCTCACTGCAACCTCTGCCTCCCAGGTTCAAGCAATTCTCCTGCCTCAGCCTCCCGAGTAGCTGGGAGTACAGGCACCCGCCACCACACCCGGCTAATTTTTTGTATTTAGTAGAGGCAGGGTTTCACCATGTTGGTCAGGCTGGTCTCGAACTCCTGATCTCAAGTGATCCACCCACCTCGGCTTCCCAAAGTGCTGGGATTACAGGCATGAGCCACTGTGCCCGGCCTTATTTCACCAGTTTTGAAAGAGATTTTATCAAACTTTAATGTGCAAATTCTGATTCAGCAGGTCTGATTAATTAGGCCTGAGATTTTGCAGATCTCACAAGCTCCCAGGTGATATTGGTGCTTGTCTGTGGACCACACTGTGGAATAGTAAGGAATTAGGTTATTGGGGTTTCAAAACTTGACCCTAAAATATTTGTGTAAATCATCAGGAAATTAATATTAGGTATAAATGCCAAATGAATTCTACTTTCTCAGGCTAGCCAAAGATTTATTCAAGGAATATTTATCAAGACCTTACAATATGCTAGTCATTGTTCTATTTAGAAAAGATGAACTTTTGTACTGTCATTTCTATTGTTATAATAAAATAAAGTGCCAATTAAAAAAAAATTTTAAAGACAGTCTTGCTCTGTCGCCTAGGCTGGAGTGTAGTGGCATGATCTCGGCTTAATGCAAACTCTGCCTCCCAGGTTCAAGCGATTCTCATGTCTCAGCCTCCTGAGTAGCTGGAATTACAGGTTCTCACTACCACACCTGGTTAATTTTTGGGTTATCTTCGTAGAGACGAGGTTTCACCATGTTGGCCAGGCTGGTCTCGAACTCCTGACTTCAAGTGATCCACCCGCCTCTGCCTCCCAACGTGCTGGAATTACAGGTGTGAGCCACCACACCTGGCCTAGTGCCAAATTTTTTCCTACTTAGACATCACTTTTTATATGCTCAAGCAGAGTTGCTTTCTGATGTACTGTGGATATAGGTTATATATACTGAAAGAAGTTTTACAGTAATAGCCTCCTTTATTCTATCAGCATACTGTTCAAATTCCTGGAACTTGGAAATACTTTTGGAGATTACTTTCAATTAAATGTTTCAATAAAATATTTGGCCAATTAAAAAGTGGAAAAACATATTTACTTTTAATCCCAGGGAAAAACCAGCATGTATTGGATGGTTCAAGTACCATCAAGTATTGAATGGTACTTGAACTTGTTAAATGTGCACAAAATGCTTTGTACAACCCTTGAGCTAGGATCACTGATTTGCTTCCACAGCTGCCCCATGTGGCTTTTTGTGACATAACCCAGGTCAGGCTGACCTGCCAAATAACTAACATTGATAAGTGCCGACCAGAAAATGTGAGCTGAATTATTCGGTACTGTCTTCCCTCATTGCAAGGGCATCAACCTCAGCATTTATTAATCTAATGTAATGCTCACTTTGTAATTAACCTGGGAGCTACATCAAACATCTAATTGTACCTCTGACAGCAAAAGGGTAAGTTCTGTTGAGCCTTGAACCTCTCTCAACATGTCTCTAGGAAGTGCAGTTTTGTAGCTATCAGTTGGTGGCTGCAAGAGAAAAAAAAATAGCAGTCATGCTATTGCAACAGTGATTACCCCAGCCTCTTCTTTCAGTTAATGAAGTGTTGAAAGTTCAAGACCCAAGTTATTGGTAGAACTAATGAGAACCAAAATACTATTAATACTTGCTGGAATGAATCTTTTAGGATTTAAAGCTTATTCAAAATCATGCTTTGATAGGACGATATTTTATATGCATTTCCTCGTTTGCTATATATTTGTGCATGCATATCTTTTTGTCATGTGAAGTATAAGCTACTTGAGAGCAAAGATGGTGCAACTTGTTTCTATACTGTGCCTGTATACAGCTTTGTGCATTACAAATGTTCAGGACTGCTTGGTAAATAAAAACAGAATGCAATCTGTGTACTTAACTTCTTTCTTAGCACCAAATTCTTTCTGCTTATTACTAAGAAGTTTTCCTGGTCCATTCTCACCTTCCTGGATTAGAAAATTAGAATAATTCCTGTAAGAAGTTTAGATTAATTCCCATGATTCCCCGACTGACTTCTCTAGAAAAACCAAGAAGTGTAGATTACCTAAAATGTCTGAAAATCTTCTGGGGCAGTCTAGATAGACCTTGAATAATAGGAATATAGCAAGAGGCATTATGGAGGTGAACTCTTTTCAGTAGTGGTTTCAAGAAAACCAAAATTTACTCTTCAGCTTCCCTTCAATCATATATGTTCTATGAAATTCAAAAAGTAATATATCTGGACATAAATTTACATAATTTTCCTGAAAAAATATCCCCACAACACTAATATTACATTGTTATATAATATGTGATGATAGAACTATGGCACTGAAGATGTCCTCAAAAAATATTAGCCATTGACTATTCTGGCTGCGTCTAAATTCTGGCCATGAGACTATTCTGGAAATGAGTCTAAATATAGACCCAAGCCCCACAATATTAAAAGATGTGCTTTAATTTGATCACCCTTAGAACTAACTGTTCATTGTATAAAAGCAGTGGGTTAAAGAGAACCAATAATCCCTGATGATCAGCTAACATCACTGCATGCCAGGTACTGTATTAAGAACTTCATATGCATCAACTCATTTAATCTTCATGATATCCCTATAAAGTAGGCATAAGTTTTCTACCCACTTTACAGATGAGAAAATGGAAGTGCAGAGAGATATTAAGAAATTTGTCCAAGGATACTCAACTAGAAGGCATGTAAGGGATTCAAACCCAGATTGACCTAGCTCTAGAGTCTTTGTTCTAACCTTTAGCACACTATGTGGCTCTTCTAAACCAAGCTTGCTTTAAATGACAGATGGAAATAGAAGTGTTGCCAGTTCCAAAACCACACTATATAGGTGCAAACCTAAAATACATGCTTCATCAAATTGGCATAAACAGCTTTTCTAATCATGTAGATATTATTTTCATTTCTTGAAAAGATGCTTTATTACAGCAGAATAGACTGAGGAGTTAGTTATACAGATTAAATATAATTTCATATGGATAGTCTGCAGAAGTGAAGAGGAAATTCATATTTTGTCGACACTCCAAAACTGTATTCAGTTTGGTAGACTTTGCTGCACTCCATGCCCTGTCATAAATAGAAAGCAATTAACTAAACTCTACTCTTGTAACAATAGCAATGGGGACTTTAAAAGGATAAACCGGCTGGGCGAGGTGGCTCATGCCTGTAATCCCAGCACTTTGTGAGACTGAGGCGGGCGAATCATGAGGTCAGGAGTTCGAGACCAGCCTGGCTAACATGGTGAAACCCCTTCTCTATTATAAATATAAAAAATTAGCTAGGCGTAGTGGTGGGTGTCTGTAATCCCAGCTACTTGGGAGATGGAGGCAGGAGAATTGCTTGAACCCAGGAGGTGGAGGTTGCAGAGAGCCAAGATCACGCCACTGCACTCCAGCCCAGGCGACAGAGTAAGACTGTCTCAAAAAAAAAAAAAAAAAAAAAGGATAAACCTCACTCCATCCTGTTCATAATCAAACAAATTACCTTCTCCTTATGCTTACATGACTTTACATAGATGAATCATCAAATGGATGCCATTTTTAATTATATATACTCCACTCATCGCTATGTTAGCATTTTTCTTCCTGTTCAGTCTTAAGGCTTGAAAGATATTATACGTGCTTATATTGATGTGCATTATATAAACATGTCATTATTGCTGAACATCTTTCTTCCTTTCTCTTTTTTAAACTATAAATATTCTGAAATGACCATCTATACACAGCTTGCCTGCCCTCCTTCTCTCCCTCCATCCCCCTTTCTTCATTCCTCTCACCTCCCTTTCCCTTTCTCTTACTCTTCTCTTTTGTTTTCTTTATTTTCTTAAGATAAAAAGTGATCAAAAGATAAGAATATTTTTGTGACTCTTGAAACCTGTTGCCAAATTATTTACCAGGAATATTGTACCAATTTATGCTGAAACCACCAATGTATAGGAGCATCATCCCTTTTCATATTTGCCAGAGTTGTTCATTGTAATTTTAAACTGAATGTAATGATAGAATGCTTCCTCATTAAGAAAAAATCCTCCTCTTTTAGGTAGGGTTCCTTTTAAAGGTTTTCAGTTTTTAGATTGTTAGAGAAGTAAATCTTTCAAATAATTAAAACACATTCAGTTACCTATACTTCTCTTTTTAGAGATAGACTACCAAAACCAGTCTATTCTCCACCATATATGCCTAACACACAAGACACATTGCTATATCTGTTAAATTACCCCTCCTTGCTTGTCCACTCAAGATATTACACAACTATCTTAGTGAGACAAAAAAAGTTCTCCTGCGTTAGCTTATTTTTTTATTTAATTAATTTTTTTTAACCACAGGCTTAATTTGCATTTAGAGGTTCCCATTTCTTCCTCTCAATGTTACCCAATAGATACCACAAAGTAACTGCTTCTGTCCAGACTGGCAGTAGAGAACTGTTGTGGTTCTAATGATAAGAAGAGCACTAACCTCTAAAGAATTCAGGGTTCTTATTTGCAGAACTAATCAATAATTAGTAATAATTTGGTTTTACACACTCTCTCTTTGATGAAGTTGTAGTGGAGAAGGATGATGGACAAGGGTTGAGCAAGGTAGCTTATGCTACATAATTTTTTTTGCTTTTTTTAAACAGCTTTGGAATTTATTTATTGCAAGATTTTATGTTATTTTTAATTTTGAGAAACTTTTTATTTTGAAAACTGCAATCCTACAGGCAGATTACAAGAATAGGACAATGAACATTGTAGATTCTCCCTCTACATTCATGAATTGTCAACATTTTGCCATATTTACTTTGTCTCCTTTTCCTTATACTACGTTTTTTCCCCCTGAAAAGGCTGAGAGTAAGTTGCAGACATCTTACCCCTAAATACCACAGCATATATCTCTATCTCCTATAATAAGACATATATATATAACCTACATACTATATATATGTATGTATACATATAACTACAATACCATTGCCACTCAGACTATTTATCATTAACATAATACTATTATTTAATATATAATCCATCCATATCCAAATGTCCCTGATTGTCTCCATGTCTTTTTTTTTTTTTTTTTTTTTTTTTTACAATCTAGGATTCTATCAAGGGTTATGTATTATCTTTAGTCACCTTTAATCAGAACAGTTTCCTAGCTTTTTTGTCTTTCATATTTTTGAACATTCTAGGCTCTTCCTTATGCCAACCCACCTCCACCCCCACCTTATTTTTTGGAATATGGAAGCTGTCTTTCTGACTGTCAGATCAATGTATTTTTGACACTATGACTCCATGTATGTCATTCTTTTATGTCTTTTTCCTCTCATATCTCCGTGCTATTTCCTTATTTTTCTCTTTCATCAGTTTTTTGGGACAACTTTTTGTTTTATATTTTTTATTATTTTCTTTTCTTACTAACTTTTCCCCTTCCCTGTAGGCTCTCATCTGTTTCCTTGAGATAATACTATTTTTAAAAACTGTAATTTGCTTGGTGTTATTTGTCTTTTTTCTAACTTTGTAGCACCTCCCCTCAAGATGATGTGCTCCCTGCAAAGACAACTCTGTTTTTACAAGTATTTTCCAAAGTGTAACTTAAATTCTCCTTTAAGAATTATACTCGTTCTCTCGCTCATTTCCTCAGCTTCCTTTCCTTTAGGCAGGTCTTAACTGAAATTCTCATTTTCCAAGTTGCCCTAAATCAGAACTTTACTTTTACTAAAATGTGTTCATTTAGATAAAGTATATTATGCTAACTTTGACTCTATGGTGGAAAAATGCATTTTGTCACATTCCTGGTTCAACATTCATAAGATTTTGTCTATTTTAGTTGACACAAACCTTGAATTTGAGGTTTAAAAGAAAAAAAAAGAGCTTAACATACCTAAGCAAATATGCATATTGAGAATGGCTATTGTAAAATGTCATTCCAATTATTTCAGGATAATAAGACCAAATACAGTCTTATTTGAAAGAATGTTAAAGCTGAAGGGGCTTTAGACATAATTAATTTACTTCCATTATTTTTCAGATGAGGAAACCGAGAGCCCAAGTTACTAATGTCACAATTGGTGGGGAAAATTCAAGTGATCCCATATCCTGATTTTCAGTTCAGCATATATTCTTTGCTCTCACTGTGTTTCAATTTAATATTTTCCTGGAAATAATATTCAGAGATATAGAAGAACTCATTGGAAAGCACTTGGAAATATGTGACAACAAAGAATTAAGAACAAAGAATTAAGGTATAGCATCTGGTTTAAAAAGATAGTCTTGCTTTGATGACTGTTGCTGCAGACCTAACATACATTGAATTATTGCTTTGTACCTGACATTGTTCTAAGCATTTTACATGCATTCATTAATTTAATCTTCACAATATCCCTAAAAGTTGATATATTATCATTCCTTTTTACAAACGCAAAACTGGAGGCACAAAGAGTTTGAGTAACTTTTCTAAGGTCATTTAGTAACAGGAAGAATCAGAATGCACAGGGCTGTGTACCTAACCACTGTGATACACTGTCTCTCTTGATTTTAAGAGCTTCAAACACAAAGGCCATTCTTTTTCTTTCACAAATATGGAAACTGAGGCACAAATGGGTTTGAATGTTTTATTTATTGTTACCCAGTCAATAAATGCAAATAGACATCCCAAACTAACTTTGCCTCATATTGAAAATTTCCCCAAATCACAAAGGTGCCATATCTTCCATTCTAATAGGATTGCCACTTCTGGTGAGACTTCCCCAGAAATTTTATTCACAGTTACATTGGTTGATCACATTGTTTCTTCTTGCCAATGTGAATTGGCAAGATGGTTGTCCATAGTTTATATCGTCTATGATTATGAAATCATTTTTCTCTATACAGAACTAAGTTACTAATATCTGCTAGGGGCCAGATATTTTCTTTTTTTTTTTTTTTTTTTTTTTTTTTTTGGTAGTTTATGCCTTTTTATAGATACACAGTATCCCATTGTGTGGATATACCATAATGTGTTTAGTCATTTTCATCCTGTTGATGGACACTTGGGTTGCTTCCAGTTTGGGGCTATTCTGAATACAGTTTCTTTCTTTTTTTTTTTTTTTTAAATTTTTTATTTTTTTTTTATTGATCATTCTTGGGTGTTTCTCGCAGAGGGGGATTTGGCAGGGTCATAGGACAATAGTGGAGGGAAGGTCAGCAGATAAACAAGTGAACAAAGGTCTCTGGTTTTCCTAGGCAGAGGACCCTGCGGCCTTCCGCAGCGTTTGTGTCCCTGGGTACTTGAGATTAGGGAGTGGTGATGACTCTTAACGAGCATGCTGCCTTCAAGCATCTGTTTAACAAAGCACATCTCGCACCCTTAATCCATTTAACCCTGAGTGGACACAGCACATGTTTCAGAGAGCACAGGGTTGGGGATAAGGTCACAGATCAACAGGATCCCAAGGCAGAAGAATTTTTCTTAGTACAGAACAAAATGAAAAGTCTCCCATGTCTACTTCCATCCACACAGACCCGGCAACCATCCGATTTCTCAATTTCTTCCCCACCCTTCCCGCCTTTCCATTCCACAAAACCGCCATTGTCATCATGGCCCATCCCCAATGAGCCGCTGGGCACACCTCCCAGACGGGGTCGTGGCCGGGCAGAGGGGCTCCCCACTTCCCAGTAGGGGCGGCCGGGCAGAAGCGCCCCTCACCTCCCGGATGGGGCGGCTGGCCGGGCGGGGGGCTGACCCCCCCCCCCACCCTCTCGGACGGGGCGGCTGGCCAGGCAGAGGGGCTCCCCACTTCCCAGTAGGGGCGGCCGGGCAGAGGCGCCCCTCACCTCCTGGATAGGGCGGCCGGCCGGGCGGGGGGCTGACCCCCCCACCTCCCTCCCGGACGGGGCGGCTGGCCGGGCAGAGGGGTCCTCACTTCCCAGTAGGGGCGGCCGGGCAGAGGCGCCCCTCACCTCCCGGACTGGGCGGCTGGCCAGGCGGGGGGCTGATCCCCCCACCTCCCTCCCGGACGGGGCTGCTGGCCGGGCGGGGGGCTGACCCCCCCACCTCCCTCCCGGATGGGGCGGAGGGGCCAGATATTTTCAACCAACGAACACTCTTCTTTTAAAAATAGAAAAGGCTAAACATGGTTCCTCATGCCCAGAATCCCAGCACTTTAGGAGACTGAGGTGGGAGGATTGCTTGAGCCCAGGAGTTAGAGACCAGCCTGGGCAACATAATGAGACCACATCTCTAAAAAAAAATACAAAAAAGAAAAATGGAAAATAGCACTAAATTAAACTCTGCATGCCTCATTTATGATGAATTTGGTCATCATTTTCATTAAAGTACTAACAATGTCTATATGGCTATTGCTACAAAGGAATTTTTTTCAAAAGGTCATTAAGGCTAGATATAACTATACTATAGTCCATAACTAAGTAGAAAATAGAAAATGGAAATTTTGGCCACGTGTATGACATATGATCTGAATTATCAATCAGGGTTGACCTAACAAGGGATTAAATTTTCAGGTGATGATCTAAGTCCTGACTGTTTCAGAAACTTCTAAAAGGAAGAATTGTAATATAATATACTTGGTGAATAATGTATAACACCATAGTGAGTGACCCTCTATTGAATTTATGGCAAGTAGAAAATGATACTTAAAAAATTGGAAGATTTGGGCTGACTTTCACAAAATTGTCCCCCTATTTGTCTCTTTCTCAGCTTTGTGTAGGCTAAAAATGAAGATTACCTCAAGATGGAAAGAGGCATAAAGGGCCTCCTGAGACTGGCGAGGTACTGAGGACTTAAGGTGCACCTTGAATTAAGTTTGACACAAATACACAGATTTTTCTGACAATATGGAGAATGAAATGGTCACTAACATGTTGGGGTGGCTATTGTACAAAAATGACTGGCATCTCCAATAAAATTTCCCCTACTGTTTTGGGAAGCAGCCTACACGGCAGGTGATTACAGTTTGGCCGGAATGTAAGTCAGCCAAAGCCTTATCTCAATAACATGTCCTGCTTGCAAAATGAAGTGTAAGAGGGCAACTCAGGAAGAATGCCTGGCTGAGCAAGTGTTCTGGGGGAAAGACTTGGACAGAGAAAGAAAGATGAGAATGATAGGAAAGAGAAATCCTAAACATTCCTTTTGGGTCTTCTAGATGCTGCATAAAATTCCAGAATCTTATATCCCATGTCCATTATACCACAAATTATGTAGGGAATCTTATGTATGAATCTAAACATGTAAGGCAATGCCACATTTTTGCTTAGAGGATTTATTGTTGAAGAGCATAAAAATGTGACTTTCTTTTCTGAGGCAGAGGTCTGTGATATACCCTAACACAAGTATTAAGCAGTTCACTACATGCAAATAAGTGGTTTCAAGTTGTCAGGAACTTTCAAGGGAAAGGTGATAAAAGAGACAGCAGTAAAAACCTTTGTAAGGAAAAGGTAGGCTAAGGCTAATTATTATTATTATCATTTGAGACAGGGTCACACTGTTGCCCAGGTTGGAGTGCAGTGGTGCAAATCTGTTTCACTGTAGCCTCGACCTCCTCAGCCTCTCAAGTGGCTGAGACCACAGGTGTGTGCCACCATGCCTGGTTAATTTCTTAAAACTTTTGGTAGAGACAGGCAACATTTTTGTTGCCCAGGCTGGTCTTGAACTGCGGGGCTCAAGCAATCCTCCCATCTTGGCCTCCCAAAATGTTGGAATTATAGGCATGAGCCACTGCACCCAGCTGTTTTTACGTTTAAAGGATGATATGTGTTAAATTATTGGTGGGGTCCTTGGGCCACAGATAAAAGTGCTACTGGATAAAAGATCTGCATTTTAGTTTTATAAAGGAAAATAAGCATTGAAATGGAAAAAGGAAACTCTGAATATGCAGCAATTTTATTTAAAATTGCATTACGTTAATTTTTTAAAAAATAAAATAGAAAAAATTTAGGTTCAACATGTCATGTTGGGATTTGGATAGCATGTATACTTTGCTGTGCATCCATTCATTAACCTGTTTATCTATCTATCTATCTATCTATCTATCTATCTATCTATCTATGTCTGCTGCCATAGGAACCATATTCCTGGGCTACTGTGAAAGCTTCTCTTTTTCTGGTCCCTACCCTCAGAGGTCACAGTGGCTTAGAACCCAAAGGACTTGGGACTTAGTCCACATTTTCAACTGCATATGGTTTAAGTAGAATTTCTAGGATTCACCTGGGAACATGAACTATGGATTTAGTGGGGAAAAAGTTTTCTAATTCCAATTGACTGACATACAAAGGCATTTTGGAACACAGTCTGTTTTTAATCTAATTGTTTCTAAAACTTTCTATGCATTTATGAAATATATGTAATATATTGTTCTCTATCAAGTATGTACATTTTTGGGGACTGCAGATGCTGTGTCCATTTAGGGCCCATGGGAGATAGTTTATTTAAAAGTACAAAGCTTGTTCTCCTCACTCTTGGCTGACTTCTGAGGAATTATATCTCAATCCTGGGACCTTTTTCTGGATCAAATGAGACTTTTTTATATTTATGGCTTTTCCAAAAGCAGATATTTCAACTACTTATAATTTAATGAAGAATTATACTACTTTTATTTTTAAAATTCCCAGAGAAAGTTCCCAAAGCTCTCTTAGTCATTAAGGTCTCCCCAGATACTCCTTGAGCTGTTACTGCTGCACAACCGTACTGGAGCCGGCACTAATTTCCCCATCGTGCATCCAGAAATCAATACCCTGCTGGCACACTGATGGTGAAGTAGCATAGGATTTATTCCCTGGCATTGGTGGCTTCAATCAATTTCCTTGTGCACTTCATATTTTTTTAGTTTTTGCAAATTTATGTCCTTGTTCCTTCCGCTCTCTTATTCATTATCTAGTTAGAACAGATTCTATAGTCATATTAAAATAACCAGCAAATAAAGAGGAAGAGGTAGAGTCAGCCTCTTAGGAGGAGTCAGACAGCCTCAAAAGTCCACATTCAGTGTCAACCATTGTTACTTTGTTTGGCATCAAAAGTGGGAACAAGGATTAAGAAACACAGATTACATCTATCATCCCATAGAACAGCATACTAAGACAGAAAATAAGTCCTTGTTCCTCATATTTTCTAAGAAGCTTTTTCCAAAGTTCTGAAACAGGAAACTAGAACCATTTCTCTGGTTACGTAAGCTCTTCTACCAGGGCAAATGAAGGATAGATGTGCCATTTTGGGTATTTAGGAAAGAAATTTTAGCTCACACTGGCAACATGCTTTCTGGACAACTATGTATGGATGGCTGTTGTCATGAGCACCATCTTCCTGGATGTAAAAGCTGCTGTTCCTCTGGTTTCCCTCCTTCAGAGTCTCCAGTAAGTCAGACTGAAAGATAACAGGGACTTGTAACTCAGTTCTTGGATGGTATATTTTTAGCTACATCATGAGTTGATTAGACTCTCTGCAATTCACAGAACCTAACCATAGAGTTGTGAAGGTATAAATTCCAAACTCCAAATAACTGTATCCGCAGATTTGGCCACAGGAATTGGGGCTGGTTTGGTGGACCCAAGGCAAATGATGGTTCATATAATTGCTAATGCTTCTGATTCAAAGAGGTTGGGAACAGATAATTTGTTTTTGTGCTTGGAGCTTGGATTATGATGCAAGACTAGAAGAAACAAGAGGAATAGAAAGATCAAAGTAGAAGCTGGGGAGGGAGGAAACTGGCAAAAACACAAGCAGGGCTATTTATGAAGATAGATGGCAAGTAAGATGGAATGAGGTCACTATTATGTAACTTTAGAACATTTTCATCACCCCAAAAAGAAACTTGATACCTATTACCAGTCATTCACCCTTCCTTACACTTCTCTCTTCACTGTCCAACCCAGTTGTTAGTAACCACTAATCAACTCTCTGTCTCTATAGATTTGACTATTATGGACATCTCATATGAATGGAATCATGCAATATTTGTTTTTTTGTTACTGACTTCTTTCACTTCACATAATGCTTTCAAGTTTTATTCAAGTTGTAAGATGTATTGGAATTTCATTCCTTTTTATGTTCTTCCTTTTCTTTTTATTATTGGCTTGCTTTTAATTAGCTTTAGCCTTTAAGTTCTTACAAATGTAACCAGCTAGGTTAGGATAGGAGGAGCTATTTCCCAACACTTCTCATGTAAACCAAATTTTAGGATTTTCTTTGTAGTAAAACAGGCTCTTTAGTGTTTACAAGATTATTCCTGAGCCGTAAAAATTCTCTTTCTGGGTTTTCCCTCCTGTATTCCTCTATTCAATCTCAGGCTGCTACAATCAGACAGACAGAAAGTGTGAAGAGACTTTTTCTTGTATCTGTAGTGGAAACATTAGCAGCAGACAGTAACTTCTTTCACCTTTTAATTTTCAAACCATGTTCTATTGTATGGATATACCATGTATTAGTTATCGATTCATTAGTTGATGGACATTTTGGTTGTTTCCAGTTTTTGGCTAATACAAATAATGCTACTATAAACATTTATGTACCAATTTTTATGTGGACATGTCTTCACTTCTCATGGGTACATACCAAGGAATGGAATGGCTGGATCATATAATAACTCCATATTTAAGAGTAAACAGTCATCTGCCAAACTATTTGCCAAAATGGTCGCATCATTTTACATTCACATCAACATATATGAGTGTTACAATTTCTCCACATTCTCGCCAATATTTGTTATTGCTGTCTTCTTGAATTTAGTCATCCTAGTTAATGTGAAGTGTTATATTGTGGTTTTGCTTTGCATTTTCCTAATTACTACTAATAATGTACTTTTCATGTCCTTATTGGCAGTTCATATATATTCTGTGGAGAAAGGTATATTTAACCCTTTGCTCATTTAAAAAATTAGTATGTCTTCATGCACACATATGTTTATTGCGGCACTATTCACAATAGCAAAGACTTGCAACCAACCCAAATGTCCATCAATGATAGACTGGATCAAGAAAATGTGGCACAGATACACCATAGAATACTATGCAGCCTTAAAAAAGAATGAGTTCATGTCCTTTGTAGGGACATGGATGAAGCTAGAACAATCATTCTCAGCAAACTATCACAAGGACAGAAAACAAACACCACGTGTTCTCACTCAGGTGGGAACTGAACAATGAGAACACTTGGACACAGGGCGGGGAACATCATACACCGGGGCCTGTCAGGAGGTGGGGGGCTGGGAGAGGGATAGCATTAGGAGAAATACCTATTGTAAATGACGAGTTGATGGGTGCAGCAAACCAACATGGCACATGTATACTTATGTAACAAACCTGCACATTGTGCACGTGTACCCTAGAACTTAAAGTATATTAAAAAAATTTTAAAAATTAGGATGTCTTTTTATCACTGAGTTGTAAGACTTTAAAAATATATTCTAGATAAAAGTCACCTTTAATAATTTACAAATATTTTCTTCTATTATTTAGGTTGTTATATTAGTGTCTTCCAGAGAAAGAAAACCAATAGGACACACACACACACACACACACAGGCATACCTCCATTTATTGTGCTTTGCTTTATTATACTGAACAGAGCTTTCATTTTTCACAAGGTGAAGTTGTGTGGCAACCCTGCCGCAAGCAATTCTATTAATGCCATTTTTCCAACAGCAATATGCTCCCTTTGTGTCTCTGTGTCACATTTTGGTAATTCTCACAATATTTAAAACTTTATTATTATTATTATTATATCTGTTATAGTAATCTATGATAAGTGATCTTTGATGATAGCATTGTAATTTTTGGGGTCTATATGAACCATACCCATAAAAGATGGCAAACTTAATCAACAAAGGTTGTGTATGTTCTGATTGCTCCACTAACCACCCATTCCCCCATCTCCCTCACTCTCCTCAGGCCTCCCTATTCCCTGAAACACAATAATATTGAAATAGCCGTACAATGGCCTCTAAGTGTTCAAGTGAAAGGAAGAGTTGCACGCCTCTCTTTTCAAATTAAAAGCTAGAAATAATTAAATTTGCTGAGAGAGGAAGGTCAAAAACAATGATAGGCTGAGAGCTAGGCCACTGTGCCAAAGAGTTAGCCAAATTGTGAATGCAAAGGAAAAGTTCTTGAAGGAAATTAAAAGTGCTGCTTCAGTGAACACATGAAAAATAATGAAAAAAAGGAGACAGCCTTAATGCTGATGTGGAGAAAGTTGTAGTTGGTCTGGATAGAAGACCAAGCCAGCCACAACATTCCCTTAAGCCAAAGCCTAATCCAGAGCAAGACCCTAACTCTCTTCAATTCTACAAAGACTGAGAGAGGTGAGGAAGCTGCAGAAGAGAAGTTGGAAGCAGTGCTTGCTTCTTGCTGTACCTGCTGTATGCTGTTTGTGTCTCAGAAAATCTGCAAAACCTGCTGGTGACCAGTCCTCTGGGGCACTTGAAGACCACAGAGATGTTCACTATGGGCTCTTAGGACAATGGGGAAAATTATGTTTCACTGCGGTCTATGGGAGATTTTGGAAACTTGGACTCTGATAGAGGGTTTGAAGGAGACAATCAATTATTGTGTGATATTAGACACCATGGTGATATAATGGATTGACAGTTGTCTGACCAGGAAAGAATTGTAGCTGCTTCATCAACAGGATGTGTATCAGTTTTCCTTCATCATCCGAATAACCAGACTCTTTCAGTCAACCAGCTGTGAACTACAGCTCACTACCACATAGGCCCAGAAAGTCCTTCGTGTAGCAGGGCACCATGTACAGGTGTTGTGTGCAACAGCCCAGAAATCATTAATGTTGGAGATGATGGTTGAATAAATCTCTTCAAAGCTTATCACAAGGAAGCTGTAAGAACTGTAGGCAATGCAGATAGTAGTATACTCCATGCTGTAATCTTTCTTCGAACTCCTGAGAGATTCTTACTGTAAATTCGATTGGACAGTTAAAAACGTGGGATTTCACACAACAAGGAAATGAGCCTTCTCAGATATTGTCATGACTGGTGACTGAGTGCCAGTCCATTGTGTTGATAGAAATCTCATCAAACAGCATGTTATAGCTACTGGTGGCCAGGATGGAATGTTGAGTATTTGGAATGTTAGACAAGGTACTATGCCTGTATCTCTGCTGAAGGCTTACAGAGCTAAAATGTAGGAAGTTCACTTTCACCTATCCAACCCAGATCCTCCATTTATTGTTCTGAAGATGAATTCCTCTGGCACTGGGATGTTTCCACAGATGTACCATCACTCTTTCAACAAGGAGGAAGAGCTAGAACTTTTTTGTCCCATAGCATTAGTAACCAAGCTAATGTTCACCAGTCTCTCAAAGTTCTTGGCTCAGCACTGATCCTACAAAAGACCAAATTGAAATCACAAGGTTACTTCTCAACCCTGTCTGTGAACCGTTTGGATGTTTTTGGTCCTTGTCTTATTTGTGGAACTGATGCAGAAGCAATTTATACTACTGGACAACTTTTTTCAGAAACTACTGTAATTATAAGATTTTAGATAAATGTATAATCAGCCTTTTGCATTCTACCTTTTGTGCAAAATTTTATTATCAGAAAATGTGAGATTTGCAGGGGAAACATCAGTAAGCTACCGTTAGTGTCAATGCCCAGCTTTGGCTTTTGTTAGTTGGATATTCCCAGAACAGTTGCAGTATTTGATAGATGACCAATGGTAAAAAATTGTGAACATGTGGAAGAACTTCAGAGGGATTCTGGTGCTGATGAATAATACATTGCCTTCAGACAATTATTGACAGCTCATGGAACTATTTCTTCATTTTTGATGTTGTGGGACTTAACATCAGTGGTAGTTATGGGAACCACCAACAGGTTTCTATAATTTTTATCAGTATGTATACTCCTTCCTAGTGGCAATTACCAGTGTTAATGATTATTCTTTTTATTGAAAATATTTTCTATAATCCTTCTACACTTTATTTCCTTAATAATTTTAATAAACTTTTTCAGGCAAAATTGAGTAGAGCAAAAGTGAAACATTAATAGTTGCATTTAAAAATTTTTAAAGATAAAAATGTTTTGACAAGTTCTTTTGTAAGAATAGGTTTTCAAGCAGAACTCTTGTCAACTGCTTAGACCCAACTTTATTTTTCTTGAATTTCACAACATAGTTGAAAATTGCTAAACTGGACATTGTGCAACAAAGTAGAATTTGATATTGATAAGTGGACTGACTTCCAAACTAAAATTTGATAACAAATGTGATAATTATATGATGATGTGGTAAGAGTAAAGAATTTTGCCATCTTTATCTGCAATGTTAATAATGACTTAATGTAGTGTTTTAAGACAATTTTATGATATTGTCTTTCCAAAGTTCATTAAATTTTAAATGTATTATAGACCTAAAACCTTAATAATAAATCACAACTGTTACATGATTGAAGTGTTCATTTACTTTATAATTACAGTATTCATAATTATGGTAAAGTTTTGCTTTTCTGTCCAAATAAATATTTTCGATTTTTAAAATGCCACCTTACCTCAGGGATTGCTGGATTTTTTATCTGTCTATGGTTTTATTGCTGGGACTAATTTTTAAAAGACTTTTTTTACTATGAAAGCAATTCATTGCAGAAAAAGCAAATACAGTCAAAAGAAAATTTTAAATACAATTTCAAATAGACAATATTATTTTCATATTCCTTTCTGTCAATATATATAATTTTTTATAAAAAATGAAAACATCTATGCTATTGTTGGGAATGCACATTCCCTAGCAGTAAACACATTTTTTTAAGATATAGATTATTTTTTAATTGGTTTTACACATTGAACAAACTCTAATCTTTTTTTTTCTTCCACTTTTATTTTAAGTTTTGGGGTACATTTTCAGGATGTGCAAGTCTGTGCCATGGGTAAACGTGTACCATGGTGGTTTGCTGCACAGATCAAACCATCGCCCAGGAATTAAGCCCAGCATCCATTAGCTGTTATTCCTGGTGCTCTCCCTCCCCCTCTACTTCCCTGACAGGCCCCAGTGTGTGTTGTTCCCCCAATGTGTCCATGTGTTCTCATCATTCAGCTCCCACTTATAAGTGAGAACATGCAGTGTTTGGTTTTCTGTTCCTGTGTTAGTTTGCTGAGGATAACAGTTTCCAGTTCCATCCATGTCCCTGCAAAAGACATGATCTTGTTCCTTTTTATGAGTACATAGTATTCCATGGTGTATATGTACCACATTTTCTTTATCCAGTCTATCATTGATGGGCATTTGGGTTGATTCTATGTTTTTGCTATGGTGAATAGTGTTGCAATGAACATATGTGCACATGTATCTTTATGATAGAATTATTTATATTCCTTTGGGTGTGTACCCGGTAATGGGATTGCTGGGTCAAATGGTATTTCTGCCTCTAGGTCTTTGAGGAATTGCCACACTGTCTTTCACAATGGTTGAACTAATTTACACTCCCACCAACAGTGTAAAAGTGTTCCTATTTCTCTGTAACCTCACCAGCATCTGTTGTTTCTTGACTTTTCAATAATCACCATTCTGACTGGCCTGAGATGGTATCTCATTGCAGTTTCGATTTGCATTTCTCTAATGATCAGTGATGTTGAGCTTTTTTTTATATGTTCGTTGCCCACATGAATATCTTCTTTTGAGAAGTGTCTGTTTGTGTCCTTTGCCCAGTTTCTAACAGGTTTGTTTTTTCTTGTACATTTGGTAAACACATTTTTTTCTATTATCATTTTGAAGAACTGCTACTTAATATTCAAAGGTATAGGTATGTGTATCATTTATTTCAGTTGTTTGCCTATTATTGATTATTTCATGTTTCTAGCTTCTCACTGTTATGATTAATGCTATAATGTCTATTTAATCTGTATTTCTTTTAAAACTTGCTTATCTGGGAGGCTGAGGCAGGAGAATCTCTTGAACTGGGATGCGGAGGTTGCAGTGAGCTGAGATTGCACCACTGCACTCCAGCCTGGGCGACAGAGCAAGACTCTGTCTCAAAAACAAACAAGCAAAAAAAACACACAAAAAAACTTGCTTATCTTTAGCCATTTTCATTTGTTGAGGTAGTTTGGAATGTTCTTATTAATTTACAGTATCTTTTTATATATGAAGATTTTTGCCTTTGGTTATATGATACAAGTGTTTTTCAATTTATTTTTGGATTTACTGGTGGTGCTTTTTATAGAAGTTTGCATTTTGTGGTAAAAACAATCAATTTCTTTCATTACAATTCCTTTTCCTGGCATCATGCTGTCCCTATCCTAGGTTTATATAAATGTTAAACAGCAATTCCTTCTATTCTATGGTTTCATTTTTTTACATACAATGATTACATTTGGAATTTAATTATTTAGTAGATCTGAAGTTTATTTTCTTTGAAAAGAAAGAAAAGTTGGAAGTTAGCAGAGGTTGGTTCATGAGGTTAAAGGAAAGAAGCCATCTTCATAACATAAAAGTATAAGGTGAAGCAGCAAGTGCTAATGTAGAAGTTGCAACAAGTTATCCAGAACATCTAGCTAAGATAATTGATGAAGTTGACTCCACTAAACAACAGATTTTCAGTGTATATGAAACAGCCTTACATTGGAAGAAGATACCATCTAGAACTTTCATAGCCAGGAAGGAGAAGTCAACGCATGGTTTCAAAGCTTCAAAGGACAGGCTGTCTTTTTAGTTAGGGGCTCATGCAACTGGTGACATCAAGTTGAAGCCAAAGCTCATTTACCATTCTGAAAATCCTAGGGCCTGTTAGAATTATGCTATATCTACTCTGCCTGTGCTCTATAAATGGAACAATAAAGCCTGGATGACAGCCTATCTGTTTACTGCATGGTTTACTGACTTTTTTTTTTTTTCCTTTTAGAAGGAGTTTCACTCTTGTTGCCCAGGCTGGAATTCAATGGTGTGATCTCGGCTCACTGCAACCTCAACCTCCTAGATTCAAGCAATTCTCCTGCCTCAGCCTCCCAAGTAGCTAGGATTACAGGATGTGCCACCATGACCAGCTAATTTTTGTATTTTTAGTAGAGACAGGGTTTCACCATGTTGATCAGGCTGGTCTTGAACTCCTGACCTCAGGTGATCCACCTGCCTTGGCTTCCCAAAGTGCTGGAATTACAGGCACTTTGGGCATGAGTCAACATGCCCGGCAGTTTACTGAATATTTTTAGCCCACTGTTGAAACCCACTACTCAAGAGGCTTATTTCAAAATATTACGGCTCATTGACAATGCACATGGTCACCCAAGATCTCTGAGAGAGATGTGCAAGGAGAATAATGTTTTCATGCCTGTTAACACAACATTCATTCTGCAACCCCTGGATCAAGGAGTAATTTTCACTTTCAAGTCTTATTTAAGAAAAACATTTTGTTAGCCTATAGCTACCATAGATAGTGATTCCTCTGATGAATCTGGACAATATAAATTGAAAATCTTCTGGAAAGAGCTCACCATTCTAGATGTCATTAAGAAAATTTGTTGTTTACAGGAGGAGGTCAAAATAGCAACATTAACAGGAGTTTGGAAGAAGTTGATGCCAACTCTCAAGGATGACTTTTAGGAGTTGAAGACTTCAGTGGAGAATGTAACTGCAGATGTGGTTGAAGCCGCAAGAGAACTAGAATTAGTGGATTCTGAAGATTCCACTTCAGTGGATGAATTGCTGTAATCTGATGGTAAAACTTGAATGAATGAAGGACTGTTGTTTATAGATGAGCAAAGAAAGTGGTTGCTTGACATGGAATATACTTCTGGTGGAGACGCTGTAAACTGTTGAAATGACAACAAAGGACTTAGAATTTTACATAAAGTTAGTTGATAAAGCAGCAGCAGGACTTGAGAGAGTTGACTCCAATTTTGAAAGAGCTTCTATTGTAGGGAAATGGAAATGCTATCAAACAGCATCACATGCAACAGAGCAATCTTTTGTGAAAGGAGGAGGCGATTAATGCAGCAAACTTCATTGTTGTCTTATTTTAAGAAATTGCCACCACCTCCCCAATCCTCAGCAACCACCATCCTGATCAGTCAGCAGTGATCAACATGGAGTCGAGACCCTTCCCCAGCAAAGATTATGACTTCCTGAGGGCTCAGATGATTGTTAGAACTTTTAAGTACTATTTTAAAATTAAAGTATGTACATGTTTGATATATAACATTACTGCTCATTAATAGACCGAAGTAGAATGTAAACATAACTTTTATATATACTGGGGAATATGTCTGCCATAATATTCATGTGATTTGCTTTATTTGTGATATTTGCTCTATTGCTGTAGCCTGGAATCAAACTTGCAGTATCTTCTAGCATTATGCATACATACACACATATCTGGAGAGAGAGGTTGAAACAGAGAGGGAGAGTTTTTTTTGTTTTTGTTTTTTTTTTTTTTTGAGACACAGTCTTGCTCTGTCGCCAGGCTGGAGTGCAATGGTGATCTTGGCTCACTGCAACCTCCAACGCCCAGGTTCAAGCGATTCTCCTGCCTCAGCCTCCTGAGTAGCTGGGACTACAGGCACGCGCCACCACACCCAGCTAATTTTTTATTTTTACTTTTAGTAGAAACGGGGTTTCACCATGTTGGCCAGGATGGTCTTGATCTCCTGAGCTCGTGATCCGCCTGCCTCTGCCTCGCAAAGTGCTGGGATGACAGATGTGAGCCACTGCTCCCGGCCGAGGGAGAGATTGTTTTATAAAATGATCCATATGATTGTGTGGGCTGGTAAGTCTGAAATCTGTAGGGCAGGCTGACAGGTTGAAAATTTTGTCAGGAGTTGATGTTGCAGTCTTGAATATGAATGTAGTCTAGAAACAAAATTTCTTCATTTTCCCAGGACCCTTTTCTCTTAAGGACTTCTGTTGATTGGATAAAGCCCACCTGCTTTATGAAGGATAAATCTGCTTTCCTTAAAGTCTACTGCTTTAAATATCAATCATATCTAAAAAATACCTTCACAACAGCATCCAGATTGATGTTTGACCAAACAACAGAGTACCATGATCTAGAAAAGTGTCTTATAAAATTAACCATCAGAGTTGTCTTTTTATTTGTGTGATAGTAGCACTCAAAGAGCAAAAGTTTGCTAGTTCGATAAAGTCCAATTTATCATTATTATTTTTTGTCATTGGTGGTTTGGGTCAAATAAATCATTGCCTAAGTCAAGGTCATGAGGATCTTCTCAAATAAATTTTCTTCTAAGAGTTTTATAGTTTTGACTATCATATTTAGGTCTATAATTCATTTTGACTTGATTTTTATATATGGTAAAAAGTCTGAGTCCAAATTCAATTTTTGGATTCTTTTTGGTTATTCAGTTATCCCAGCACCATTTGTTGAAAAGATTGTTCTTTTCCCATTACTGTTTCTTGGCACTTTTGATGAAAATCAATTGAGTTTATATGTGAGAGTTTATTTCAGGAATGTCTATTTCATTTTATTTATTTATATTTCTAGTCTTACATCAGGAACACACTGTCTTGATTACCTTAGCTTTACGATTATATTTGAAATTGGGAAGTATGAGTTCTCCAATTTTGTTCTTTTGTTTTCAGATTATTTTGTCTATTCTGGATCTCTTCAATTTTTGTATACATTTTTGAATCATATCCAATTTTTTCAGAGGAGTTGTCTGGGATTTTAATAGATATTTTGCTGAGTATACAGATACATTTGGGAAATACTTCCTTTTTAACAATACTAAGTCTTCTGATCTATGAACGTGAGATGTCTTGATATTTATTTATTCTTCCTCAATTTATTTCAACAGTATTTTCTACTTTTCAGTATACATTTTTTGCACTTCTGTTAGATTTAGTTCTAAGTATTTTATTCTTTTTAATGCTATTATAAGTGGAATTGTTTTCTTAATTTCATTTTCATATTTATTGCAAGTGTACACAGTTACAATTGATTTTGCACACTGACCTTATACCATATAATCTTCGACTTTATTATTTCTGCTAGTTTTAAATTTCCTTATGATTTTCTATATGCAAAATCATATTACCCCAAAATAGAGGTAGTTTTACTTCTTTTTTTCCAATTTGTATACATTTTTTTTTCTGGCCTAATTGCCTTGGCTGCAACCTCCAGTACAATGTTCAGTAGAAGAGGCAAAAGTCGGCATCCTTGTCTTGTTCCTGATCTTAAGGGGAAAAAGTTTAGTGTCTTACCATGAAGTATAATGGTAGATGAAGTTTTTCACAGATATTCCTTATCAGATTGAGGAAGTTCCCGTCTATTCCTAGTTTATTGAGTATTTCTTTTTCATCATGAAAGAGTATTAGATTTTTGTCAAATGCATTTTCTGTATCTGTTGAGATGATATGATTTTGTTTTTTGTTCTATTAATATTGGATATTACATTAATTGATTTTTTGGATATCAAAACAACCTTGTATTCCTGGAATAAATCTTATTTGTTCATGGTCTATAATCTTTTTTAATGATTCTAGTATTGGTTTGCTAGTATTTTACAGAGAATTTTTATGTCTTTATTTATAGTTTTTATTGTCTTTGTCTAGTTTTGCTATTAAGGTAAAACTGGCCTCATAGAATGAGATGGAAAATGCTCCTTTCTTTTATATTACTAGAAGATTTGTAAAGGATTTGTGTTAATTTTTCCTTAAATATTTGGTAGAATTCACCAGTGAAGCCATCTGAATCTAGGCTTTTCTTTTTTTTGAGACAGAGTATCACTCTGTCACCCAGACTGGAGTGCAGTGCCCTGATCACATAGCCTTGACCTTTCTTGGCTCAGGTAATCCTCCCACCTCAGCCTCCCAAGCAGCTGGGACTACAAGCACTTGCCACCACACCTGGCTGATTTTTTTTTTTTTTTTTCAGAGATGAGGTTTTGCAACATTGCCCACGCTTACATCCGGGTTGTTCATGGAGGGAAGTTTCCCCATTTCTAATCAATTTTTTTGTACTTATTATAAGTCTGTTCAATCTATTTCTTGACACAATTTCAGTCATTTGTGTTTTTTTTTTTTTTTTTTTTTTTTTTAAGACAGGGTCTCATACTGTCCCCTAGGCTGGAGTATGTGGTGTGATGTTGGCTTACTGAAGCCTTGACCTCCCAGGCTCAAGTGATCATCCCACCTCAGCCTCCTGAGTAATTGGGATGACAGTCATGCACCACCATGCCTGGCTAATTTTTGTATTTTGTATAGAGACAGACAGCCATGTTGCCTAGGCTGGACTTGAATTCCTGAGCTCAAGTGATCCATCTACGTTTGCCTCCCTAAGTACTGAGATTACAGGCATGAGCCACCAGGCATATACCCAGCCTTGTATCCTTCTAAGAAGTTGTAGATTTTATTTAAGTTATCTAATTTGTTGGTATACATTTGTTCACTGTATTTCTTTAGATTACTTTTTATTTCTCTATGGTCAGTAGTTATGTTTCCTCTTTCATTCCCTGTTTCAGTAATTCTCTTTTTTTAGCTAAAGATTTCTCAATTTTATTGATCTTTTCAGAGAGCCAAGCTTTGGTTTTGTTGATTGTGTTGCTTTTCTATTCTCTATTTTATTTATTTACATTCTAATTATCATTATTTCCTTCCCTCTTCTGGTTTTGGGTTTAATTTGCTCTTTTTTATTTTAGTTTCATATGGAAGAAGTTCAGATTATTGATTTGAGTTCTTTCTTCATTTTTAGGTATAGGTGTTTACAACTATAAATTCCTCTCTGAGCACTATGTGAGTTGCATCTCATAAAGATGAAATTTTCAAGCAAGTTATCACTGAGGGCAACTAGAGCTTAATCCTTCTTAGGAACTCTTATAGACTTTGTGAAACGCAGTACTTAGGAAGTATCCACCAACTGTTATTAGTCACTAATTGAGGATTAATCTTGGGAGGAATTAATTATTGGGCTTTTCTGGCCTTCTCCATAGTCTGGTGGTCAGAAAGGGAGCTTTCGAGCAAAAAATTACAGTGCTGGCAATTAGAAGTCAGACCTATAAGCAAAGAAATGGAAAATAATAAGATGTTCTGTGCAAAACACTGACAGCACCTGTTGCACGACTGAATGTGTCTTTTTCTTAGTTGCAAGGTTGCAAGGTGCAATAGCTTGTCTTTTTTCTTGGAGTACACGACAACATGTTCAAATATGTGCCAGGCTATTGGCTTCCTAAAAATCTTCAAAGTATGTAGCAGCCTCTCAATCTTTGTAGCTTTTATCTCTGACTCATTGGAATATATGATTTGACAATGGTAACAGAGCTACTCACCATTTCCTGTTCATTATAATTTCATCAATATAGTAGGCCAGCATAATTTTCTCTAGAATGTCAAGATGATCTAGTTTCCTTTGTACTACATTTTGACAGAGAACAGGATAAATAACATAGCCTGGGGACAAGGCAGTGAATGTGCATTGCTGTCCTTTCCACATAAATGCGAATTTCTTTCATCTTCATTATTGATGAGGATTGAAAAGAACATATTAATCAGATTAATAGCTACATACCAACTGCCACTGCCTGATCAACAAGTGATGTTGATCAGTTCTAGTCAACATACCACATCTGACACAGACGTGCAATTGTGGGTCTCATTTGGTATTTTCATGGTAATCAGCTATTATCTGTAATGATGTCAACCAGACAATGATATGATGATGACCACAATACCTGTGCCTTTACATCTTGATTGTAGCATTAAGCTTGGATTTTCATTGAGCATGGTATTCTGATTTACTATCTTAAGTGGGTAAGGGTAACTTCAAAGCCTTATCCTTGGCCTTTCATATAACAATTGTTCTTATTGGACAGCTCAAGGAACCATGTGAGTGAGTGTTTGTTAGCTACTAATCATATTCATCCCAATTGTACACTCAGGCACAGGGGAAATAACAACAGAATGGGTATACAAACTCATTGTGAGATAGTCTTTGGAGAGGATTCATCTGACCTTCAAAAGCCCCACTCTAATTGAGGTAGTGAGGTATGACAACATAGCATGTCTCTTTGTATTTTTGTCGGCTTAGGGATATATCTAATAGTCCTTGAAAGGTCAGAGTCCTCCTCTTTCCCCAGTGCACAACTTAGTCTGGTAAGTGGTCAGTTTCTTCAGATAATGAATTTGGAGCATGTTTACTGTATATATTTGCTGTAGCAGTATATACAATATACCTTCCTTAAGGGGACCTTTAGGGATCTTTCCTTGCAGTGAACATTATCCTCTTTAATGACTCTTTTTTTGAGAATTGGATCAGATCTTAAAGCTTGAAGCTTGATGAATAATTGTGATTTTCCACTGTAGCAGCTGAGATCAGTCTTCTGTTTACCAGCCATTGATTTTTGTCTGTAGTCAGCAGCCCATCTGCCTCACTCTTGATTGACTCCTGATTGTCATTCTAGATTTGCTGCCTATTATGGTTATTATTTCCACCTTGCCTATGACTGTTAAGTGTTGCAACCTCCTATCTGATGCTTTGGAATTTTACATTGCCATTGATAGAGAGGAAATGAGTTCCACCATGACATCATTTCCTTCTATCTACCCTGTCCTACAGAGAAGAGCTACCATTGAAATTTTCAAAGATATAACTGGCTACTCTCCCATAAAGTTTATTCTTTATTTTGTTAGTAAAGGCGTATCTTCTGGGCTCTTCCGAAGAACACAGTCAGAGTGAGTTTTTCTCCCACTTCTAAATCTTTCTCCAATACTCTGCCAACACAGTTCCAGCATCTCCACCATTATTACTATGGGCCATAAATGTGACTAAGTTTCAAAGAGGGATCCCAGTTCTGTATTTGGAGTGGATCCAGGTGTTCTTGCCAAGGCATTAAATCCTGAGTCATGAAAGAATACTCCAATGTCAACAACCTCTCCCTTATTCAGATTTATATACTGTCTGCCCAGCTTAACCCTCAAAATCCACTCCCACACATATTTTACCAATTTCTGCCAGAACATATAAGCCGGTAATACAAAATGTGAATAAGCTATTTCTTTCTGGAAGAGGGATTGTATTTCCCCACTTAGTGTACCCTGATATATGACTTTAATTATTGGTTTGGAAGCTAGAAGGAAAGGCAATAGTGGATATTGAGGAAGAAACATCACCTTGCTAGGCATCTGCTTCAGGTGAGATCTGGACAATATCTCCAGGTAAGAAGGACTCCTCTCTGGCAGGGGCAGTGGCTGCTTATGCCAATCTGGAGGATCCAGGAGAACTTAGGGTTCAATCTTTTTTTTTCTTTTTTTTATTATTATTATTATTATACTTTAAGTTTTAGGGTACATGTGCACAATGTGCACGTTAGTTACATATGTATACATGTGCCATGGTGGTGTAATGAATCTACAGATATTCCCATATCAGGTTTTAGGATTTTACTACTCCCCTATTATGGCTGTGTCTTCAGCTTTGAAGATTTTTCAAGGCTGCACATTCAGTGTCTTCACAAGGTTTAAATATTTGACCTGACTTTCAGCATAGAACTACCCTTTGATTATAGGAGTTGAAGGTCTCTTTTTACCCATCCATTGAGGTCTTCTGATCTTCACAGGGTGCACTTCACAGGACATAGCTGAACCCGACATATTATTTTTATTTCATACTCATATTTTTTCAAGACATTTAAGGCATTTAATGAAGGCCATTGAATTCCATAATCCTTATAATTACTATTGCCCAATATCAATGAACGCAATACCTTTCTTTTCCTCTGTATTTGTCACATCCACTACAGATGAGAGTTGTGTGTTGTTGTTGTTTTTTTTTTGAGGTGGGGTCTTGCTGTTTCCCAGGCTGGAATGCAGAGACGTGATCTCGGCTCACTGCAGCCTCCGCCTCCCAGATTCAAGCAGTTCTCCCACCTTAGCCTCCCGAGTAGCTGGGATTAGAGGGGTGCACTATCATGCCCCACTAATTTTTGCATTTTTAGTAGAGATGGGGTTTCACCATGCTGGATAGGCTGGTCTTAATAATTGAATGGTACTGCATGTTAGGTCTTATCACCATCCTGCTTATTACCAGTCATTCAATTATTGGTATCATCTAAATGTAAACAATCTAGTTATAGGATCTCATTCTTCTGTTTTGCAGGATCATTGCTGGTACCAATTATCTTTTGGTTTCCCTTAAAGCAATGCCTAAAATAAGAACTTGGGTACCATTGAAAAATGGGCCCAAAACCCCAACAGACACTTCACCAAATAAGACCTATGGATGGTAAATAAACAATAAAAAGATAATCCACCTCATTCAGGAAATGCAAATTAAAATGACAATGAGATGGCACTACACATCAATGAGAATAACCAAAAATCAAAAACACTGACAACATCAAATGCTTGTGAGAATGTGGAGCAACAGGAATGCTCATTTATTGCTGGTGGGAATGCAAAATGATACAGCCACTTCGGAAGACAGTTTGGCAGTTTCTTATAAAAGTAAATAGGCCAGGAAGGTACTGTGGCTCATGCATGTAATTCCAGCACTTTGGGAGGCCAAGGTGGGAGGATTACTTGAACCCAGGAATTTGAGACCAGACTGGGCAACATGGTGAGACCCTGTCTCAATTTTATTTTTAAAAAAACTAAATATACTCTTATCATACATATGATCCAGCAATTATCCTTGGTATTTGCATTAGTTCATTTTCACATTGCTATAAAGAAACTACCTGAGATTGGGTAATTTATAAACAAAAGAGGTTTAATTGATTCATAGTTCCACATGGCTGGGGTGGCCTCAAGAGACCTACAGTCGTGGCAGAAGGCAAAGGGGAAGCAAGGCACTTCTTATATGGCGGCAGGAGAGAGAGAGAGAGAGAGAGAAAGAGTGTGGAAGTGTCAAACTTAAAATCACGAGCTGTTGTGAGAACTCCCTCACTATCACGAGAACAGCATGGGGGAAACACATGCGGGGCACGCAGATTTTTGTGGCCTGATTATTCATAATTACCAAAACTTGGAAGCAAGTAAGATGTCCTTCAGTAGGTGAGTGGATAAACTGTGGTACATGTAGACATTGAAATATTATTCAGCACCAAAGAGAAATGAGCTATCAAGCTATGAAAAGACATGAGGGAAACTTAAAATGCATATTATGAGGTGAAAGAAGCCAATCTTAAAAGCCTATATACTACAGGATTTCAACTATATGATGTTCTGAAAAATTCAAAACTATGAAGACAGTAAAAAGATCACTGGTTGCCAGGGGTTATGGGGAGGTAGAGATGAATAGGTCGAGGAGCACAGAGGATTTTCAGGCCAGTGAAATAACTCTGTATGACACTATAATGGTAGACAGATGTCATTATAAATTTGTCTAAACCTATAATAATATACATCACCAAGAGTAAATCCTAGTGTAAACGATAGGCCTTGGGTGACAATGATGTTTTAATGTAGGTTCATGGATTTTAACAAATGTTCAACTGTGGGGCAGGATGTTGATAATGGGGGAGACTGTGCACATGTGAGGACAAGCATTACATATGGGAGCTCTCTGTATCTTCTGCTCCCTTTTGATGTGAAACTAAAAGTGGTCTAAAAAATAAAATCTATTAAAAAAAGGTATTTGGCCATAAGTAGTTGGTTTGGCAAGTGATCTCACAAAACCTGAGTGGTCACAGAGGGAAAGTGAAATAGGGAAAAAGGAAGAGCCAGTGTAAGGGTACTTTATTGAGGTCAGTGCTCTAGGCAACGAGGGACTTTTGAGAAAAACAAAGAAAGCCTCCAAGAATTACCCATCTGAAAGGTGGGAGTCTGAAACATATACCTTCTGACTTCTGTCTTGTGAGCTGCTCTTGTTTAAGTGGGCAAAAATGCTTCTATGACATTATAAAAGGACTTGAGTCGCAACAGGAAAAGACAAGAGAAGCAAGCACTTGAGGTGAGATTTTGGCAGCAGGAGGTGGTTTGGAATTGTTCACAATAGCACTGCTAGAATCAAAGCGTGCAGATCAAGATGTAAGGATTTAGGAAGGAAGTCTAGGCTAGACATATAAATGGGAAAATTATATAGAGGTGATATTGAAAAGATGAGAATGAATGAGATTATAAAATATAACTCCTATTTTAAGAGGACAATGGAAGAGAATTCAGTGAAGAAGACTAAGGATTGATGATCTGCAATGTTGAAAAGGAATCAGGTTTCCATGATGCCATGGAAAACAAAAGAAGACAAAATTCTCAAAGGAGAGTGGTTTACATCTTCAGATACAACAGAGAAATCCAGTAAAATAGGTAGTAGAAACATTTACTGTATTGATCATAATGTATTACTTATACAAAAAGTAGATCATTGTTGACATCTGTCTTTGTAAATTTCAGTAAGGTAGTAAGAATAGAAGCTAGACTATAGTGGGTTAATCAATCAGATGAGAGGGAGTAGAAACACTGAAGATGGCAACACTTTCAAGGTGATTCCAGAAGCAAAGTAGAGATACAATATTCAGGATTAACAGGAAAAGGAAAGATTCCTTCTTGGGTGGGTATTTAGGTTCCAAAGCTGTGAATTATTCACCTCAAAGGTTTTCTTAAACTAGTTCAGTTGACTAATTCTTCATTGAGGAGTTAGTTCTTTAGCCAGTTAATAGGACTCTCAGCTACTTTAGGAAATGCCTTCCTTTTATTTATCCCACCACTTCCTCTTACAAAAGGACAGGCTTGGGTTACAACTTGGTTGTGTTCTACTCTAACCACCAGAATTTGAGTAAGGGCTGGGGTTGTCTACAGCCCGAAAACAGGAGGAAAAAGTGATTAAAATAAACACAAAGCTTGTTTACATTTTCACAGGAAACTTCCCACGACATATTAAAATGGAAACAAAGAGATCAGACTCAAGAAAGGGATGCAAATGTTGAAATATTTTTAATCCATGGAGGCCAATTTTCTTTACAGTAAAAAGCCTGGAAAAGAAAATTAGCCAAATGCACTACTGTTTTGCTGGCTGCCAGCTTTTCAGCATCCGGACACGTTGTCGCACTAATTTTCTTCTTCATTATAGGCAGGCAGGAGCTTGAAATTCCCTGCTGAAGCAGAAGGAATCCGTGCAGATGCATATCGTAGGCAATTGCAATGTGACTCACACACCGAGGTTGGGAATCTTGGGAGTTGAACTGAGGACAAAATGGGAGGGATTTGCACTTCCTAGGCTGGTCTTGGAGAGGCATTCTCAGGCAAACTCACTCTACAATCCCGTTTTTAATGTAAGCTTACTACTTAGCTACACAGCGCATCAGGGAGAAAGATGATGACTATAGAGAAAGCTAGTGCTTGTTGCTTGCTTTTTTAACCTCAACTTTGTGCTTCACTGTGCTCTGTTTATTCTGAAGCTTCCCCAATTTTATATATGAGTTTATAAGAAAACTTTCTAGCTAAGATTGGTGATGATGATAATAATATTACTTAAAATTTGTAAAGCAATTATTACTGGAGAGTAAAAAGAACTACGTGGATCTTGACCCTTGGAAGACTTGTTAGGAGACATTAAGATTAAGATTGGTATCCAATTATAACAAGTGATGGATAGGCAGCTTTTCCTCTCCCTCCTTCTTTTTTTCCTCCCCTCTTCACATTTCTCTCCTTCCTTTCTTTCTTTTTCATCATTCCTCTTTCTTCATAGGGCTGCTATTTCTGCTCTGATAGCCTGTGTTTCTCACAGTGCTATTATGCAATTAAATAACACATAAGAAACTGTTTTAAACTTTAAAGAACCCTATGGAATTGTTTTGTGATTATAATGATCACTTTTGTGCTATTTTGGGATGACAATCAAAGATGATATCATGGATGAAAATACAGCAATTGACTCATGAATATTTCTTTCTTTCTATCCAGCACATGAAACTGAAGTACAGATAGTAATGGACTTTTCATACTGTTTTTATTAATTGATTGATAGCAGCAGTAATACCTTTGTCTCCATTCTGTTTCAGGGTTTCTGTAAACACATGCACACACACACACACACACACACACACATACACACAGTAATGTATTTAGAAATATCACAGATTTTTGATGATTAGTCATATATTACATTGGGTTTCTCAAATTGTATATTGATTTGTTGATGCCAGAGACATTTGTAGAGCCTGGCTATAACTCTTCTTGGTCTCATTTTCCTCTCCTAACAATCTTCAGGATATCAGCAAGAAATCTACCTTTGTTCTGTTTCTGACAGAATGGGATGTCTATTTCTCTGAAGTCCAGAATTGTCTGAGCATCCCTGAAATTCTCCTCAGCTTCCGAGGTCATAGTAGCTACTTTTCATATATTTTTGAACATTCCATGCTGTACATTAGTTCTTCAACATTTGATACAATATATAGTAATATGTTGCATGACAATGTTTTGGTCAACAATAGGCTGTGTATAAGACAGTGGTCTCATAAGATTATAATGGAGCTGAAAAATTCCTATCATCTAGTGATGTTGTAGCCATAAAGCCCTAACATGCCACATTACTCATGTGTTTGTGGTGATACTGGTGTAAACAAACCTACTGCATTGCCAGCCATATAAAAGCATAGCCTATACCATTATGTACAGTACATAATAATTGATAATGATAATAAATGACTATATTACTGGCTAATGTATTACAATACTTTTTATTATTTCAGACTGTACTCTTTCTGCTTATTACTGTAAAATAGTATATCGTGTTATGCTATTAGCAGCCTCATACATCTTATGTTTACTGCATCTCCTGATTGCATCATTTTCTCTTATCCTTGACTTAATCTTGTGTTTTGTTCATCATGGCCCCAAGTGTACAAAATCCATGGTGAATGGTGTCAGTAAGAAGCCACATTGAGTAAATGACCTGGAAATGAAATTAAAAATGATGAAGGACTACAAAGGTGGAAAATCAGTGGTGGTTACTGCCTGTCAGTCAGGCATGTCCCATTGGACCATGGCTACCATATTGAAGGACAAGAGCAAAATGATGGAAGGTGTTAAAGCATCTGTTTCATTAAAGGCAACAAAACTAACACAAATTCAAGAAGGGCATTTATCAGATATGGAGAAAGAAACTTCTACTGACCTGAATTGAAGACCAGACACAGAAGCATATCCCTCTCAGCATCTTGATGATCACAACCAAAACAAAAAGCTTGTGATGTTGAAAGAAATGGCTAGACCTGACTATGATGTTGAATTTACTGTTAGTTCTGGGTAGTTTAAATGATTCAATAATTGTTATTCATTAAATAATGTGAAAGTGAGAGGTGAGTCTGTGGCTGTTGATGTGAAGGAAGCTGAAAAAATTTTGGAAACTCTAGATAAACAAATTGTAGAGAAAAATTACTTGCCAGAACAAATCTTCAATATGAATGAAACCTCCTATTCTAGAAACAGATGCCCGAAAAAACTTTGATCTATGAAGAGGCCAAGTCAATACCAGGTTTCAAGGTTTTTAAGGACAGGATAACAGTCTTTCTTGGGGGCAGTGTAGCAGGTTAAAAATTGAAACTCTTTGTGATTTGTCACAATGGGAACTCAAGGCCTTTAAGAATATCAATAAGCACATGCTGCCAGTGTACTATAATAGCAATAAGAACTCATGGGTGACCCGTTTCCCTTTCCAAGATGCCTTCCTGAATTGCTATGCCAGTGACATGGAGAAGTACTGTCTGGAAAAAACACTTTTAAAGATTTTGCTTATTGTTGATAATGCTCCCACACATCTTCCTTTTATTGATGATCTTTATTCCAATATCAAAGTGATCTTTTCCCCTCTAAAAACCACCTTTTTGATTCAATGAAGGGGTCAAGAAGTTATAACAGCTTTTAAGGTCTACTACTTAAGTAAGACATTTGCCCAGGATGCTGTTGCGACTAGACACTGAGAAAATACTGATGGAAGGGTTACAATACCTATGACTGCATCAAGAACCTTGCTTGGGCTTCAGGTGATGTTACCAAAAAGTGTGTGCATGGCATCTGGAAGAAGACACTCAAAAGGTTTGCCTGTGATTTCAAAGAAATTGTTAAGGATGAGGTTGCAAAAATTAACAAGTCTGTGGTTGAGATGGCAAACAACTTTAACCTGGATATGGATGAGGATGACATCGAGGAGATCCTGCAGGTGGTTCTTGAGGAACTAACTAATGAATTGGAACTGGAACAGAAATGCACAGCTGAAGAAGAGGCAAGAGAAAAGGAAACTGAAGGAGAAGAAAAAGAAGAACCTCCAAGAAAATTCGCAGCAAAGGGTTTAGCAGAAGCTTTTGCAGAGCTTAAAATCTCCTTAAAAAGTTTGAAAACATGGGCCCTAACACTGAAAGATTTTCATTTATAGAGAGGAATGTTCATGGTGCATTATCTGCTTCCAAGCAAATCTGTAATGAAAACCAGGAACAAACCAAACAAACCATCATGAACATCTTTCTGAAGAGTCACACCTCCTCAAGAAGATCCCCAGCCAGGTTCTTTAGGAGGTATTCCAGAGAAGACATTCTTGTCATAGAAGGTGACAGCTCTATGTGTGTTTATTGCTTGTGAAGACTTTCCAGTGGTACAAGATGTGGAGATAGAAAACAGAGATATTGATTATTCTGTAGGCCTAGGCTAATACGGGTGTTTATGTTCTAGTTTTTAACACAAAAATTTCAAAAAGTAAAAAACAATTCTAAGGATATAAAAAATATTTCTGTATAGCTGTATAATGTGTTTTAAGCTATATTATTAAAAAAGAGTCAAAAAGTTGGAAAAATTAAAATGTTTATGTAGTAAAAAATTTACAATAAGCTAAGATTATTATTGAAGAAATTTTGAAATAAATTTAGTGTAGCCTAAGTGTTCAGTGTTTATAAAGTCTACAGAACTGTATAGTAATTAACGTCCTAGACCTTTGTATTCACTCATCACTCACTCACTGACTCACCCAGAGCAATTTTCAGTCCTGCAAGCTCCACTCATGGTAAATGCCCTATATAGGTGCACTATCATTTATCTTTTATACTATAGTTTTACTGTACCTTTTCTATGTTTAGATGCACAAATACTTACCGTCTTGTTACAACTGCCTACAGTACTCAGTACAGTAACATGCTGTACAGGTTTGTAGCCTAGGAGAATAGGCTATACCATATAGCCTATGTGTGTAGTAGGCTAAACCATCTAGGTTCCTATAATAGGTTGGCACAATGACAAAATTGCCCAGTGATGCATTTTTCAGAATGTATCCATGTCGTCCAGTGATGAATTCCGTACTTTTAGAATATTAGATACTATCAGATATTAGAGGAAAAGCTGATCTTGTTAATACCCAATATGGAAGATGCTGGAATTGTTCAAGTGGACATTTAAGTTGCCCATGGTGGCCTCACATCTCAAGACCATGTGGAAGGTTGGCATACACTTGCCAGGTGAACACTCTCTGTTTGTCTGCCCCATTGTTCTTAGCTCAAGTTCTACCATGAGTTGAGATGCTTGCTTCTTGTTTCAGCACCATTACCTTTGACTTGTGCATTAATGAGACTTGAGTTGTCTATATTTTCAAGTGGGGAGGAAAAACAAAAATGAAGTAGAACCTTGCTCTGTTAAGTCCCCTTTAACTCCTCTAGGCAATTCTGACTCTTCCCTAGGTTGACAGGGTGGGATTTTTCTTTTTATAGGTCCTCTTCCTTCTCTCCCACCCCTCAAAAGCATAATAATACATCAAAAATATCACACTCCACAAAGAGACTTAGATTCCCACACAATAATAATGGGAGACTTTAATATCCCACTGTCAACATTAGACAGATCAACGAGTCAGAAAGTTAACAAGGATATTCAGGAATTGAACTCAGCTCTACACCAAGCAGACCTAATAGACATCTACAGAACTCTCCACTACAAATCAACAGAATATACATTCTTTTCAGCACCACACCACACCTATTCCAAAATTGACCACATAGTTGGAAGTGAAGCACTCCTCAGCAAATATAAAAGAACAGAAATTATAACCAACTGTCTCTAAGACCACAGTGCAATCAAACTGGAACTCAGGATTAAGAAACTCACTCAAAACTGCTCAACTACATGGGAACTGAACAACCTGCTCCTGAATGACTACTGGGTACATAACGAAATGAAGGCAGAAATAAAGATGTTCTTTGAAACCAATGAGAACAAAGATACAATATACCAGAATCTCTGGGACACATTCAAAGCAGTGTGTAGAGGGAAATTTATAGCACTAAATGCCCACAAGAGAAAGCAGGAAAGATCTAAAATTGACACCCTAACATCACAATTAAAAGAACTAGAGAAGCAAGAGCAAACACATTCAAAAGCTAGCAAAAAGCAAGAAATAACTAAGATCAGAGCAGAACTGAAGGAAATAGAGACACAAAAAACCCTTCAAAAAATCAATGAATCCAGGAGCTGGTTTTTTGAAAAGATCAACAAAATTGATAGACTGCTAGCAAGACTAAGAAGAAAAGAGAGAAGAATCAAATAGACTCAATAAAAAATGATAAAGGGGATATCACCACCGATCCCACAGAAATACAAACTACCATCAGAGAATACTATAAGCACCTCTTCGCAAATAAACTAGATAATCTGGAAGAAATGGATAAAATCCTCAACACACACACTCTCCCAAGACTAAACTAGGAAGAAGTTGAATCTCTGAATAGACCAAAAACAGGCTCTGAAATCGAGGCCATAATTAATAGTTTACCAACCAAAAAAAGTCCAGGACCAGACGGATTCACAGCCGAATTCTACCAGAGGTACAAGAAGGAGCTGGTACCATTCCTTCTGAAACTACTCCAATCAACAGAAAAAGAGGGAATCCTCCCTAACTCATTTTATGAGGCCAGCATCATACTGATACCAAAGCCTGGCAGAGAAACAACAAAAAAAGAGAATTTTAGACCAATATCCCTGATGAACATCGATGCAAAAATCCTCAATAAAATACTGGCAAACCGAATCCAGCAGCACATCAAAAAGCTTATCCACCATGATCAAATGGGCTTCATCCCTGGGATGCAAGGCTGGTTCAACATATGCAAATCAATAAATGTAATCCAGCATATAAACAGAACCAATGACAAAAATCACATGATTATCTCAATAGATGCAGAAAATGCCTTTGACAAAATTCAACAGCCCTTCATGCTAAAAACTCTCAATAAATTAGGTACTGATGGGATGTATCTCAAAATAATAAGAGCTATTTGTGAAAAACCCACGGCCAATATCATACTGAATGGGCAAAAACTGGAAGCATTCCCTTTGAAAACTGGCACAAGACAGGGATGCCCTCTCTCACCACTCCTATTCAACATAGTATTGGAAGTTCTGGCCAGGGAATCAGGCAGAAGAAAGAAATAAAGCGTATTCAATTAGGAAAAGAGGAAGTCAAATTGTCCCTGTTTCCAGATGACATGATTGTATATCTAGAAAACCCCATCGTCTCAGTCCAAAATCTCCTTAAGCTGATAAGCAACTTCAGCAAAGTCTCAGGATACAAAATCAATGTGCAAAAATCACAAGCTTTCTTGTACACCAGTAACAGACAAACAGAGAGACAAATCATGAGTGAACTCCCATTCACAATTGCTTCAAAGAGAATAAAATACCTAGGAGTCCAACTTACATGGGATGTGAAGGACCTCTTCAAGGAGAACTACAAACCACTGCTCAATGAAATAAAAGAGGATACAAACAAATGGAAGAACATTTCATGCTCATGGGTAGGAAGAATCAATATCATGAAAATGGCCATACTGCCCAAGGTAATTTATAGATTCAATGCCATCCCCATCAAGCTACCAAAGACTTTCTTCACAGAATTGGAAAAAACTACTTTAAAGTTCATATGGAACCAAAAAAGAGCCCACATCGCCAAGTCAATCCTAAGCCAAAAGAACAAAGCTGGAGGCATCACGCTACCTGACTTCAAACTATACTACAAGGCTACAGTAACCAAAACAGCATGGTACTGCTACCAAAACAGAGATATAGATCAATGGAACACAACAGAGCCCTCAGAAATAATGCCACATATCTACAACTATCTGATCTTTGACAAACCTGAGAAAAACAAGAAATGGGGAAGGATTCCCTATTTAATAAATGGTGCTGGGAAAACTGGCTAGCCATATGTAGAAAGCTGAAACTGGATCCCTTCATTACACCTTATACTAAAATTAATTCAAGATGGATTAAAGATTTAAATGTTAGACCTAAAACCATAAAAATGCTAGGAGAAAACCTAGAAATACCATTCAGGACATAGGCATGGGCAAGGACTTCATGTCTAAACACAAAAAGCAATGGCAAAAGAAGTCAAAATTGACAAATGGGATCTAATTAAACTAAAGAGCTTCTGCACAGCAAAAGAAACTACTATCAGAGTGAACAGGCAACCTACAGAATGGGAGAAAATTGTTGCAATCTACTCATCTGACAAAGGGCTAATATCCAGAATCTACAATGAACTCAAACAAATTTACAAGAAAAAAACAAACAACCCCATCAAAAAGTGGGCGAAGGTTATGAACAGACACTTCTCAAAAGAAGACATTTATGCAGCTGAAAGACACATGAATAAATGCTCATCATCATTGGACATCAGGGAAATGCAAATCAAAACCACAATGAGATACCATCTCACACCAGTTAGAATGGCGATCATTCAAAAGTCAGGAAACAACAGGTGCTGGAGAGGATGTGGAGAAATAGGAACACTTTTACTTTGTTGGTGGTACTGTAAACTCGTTCAACCATTGTGGAATTCAGTGTGGCAATTCCTCAGGGATCTAGAACTAGAATTACTGTTTGACCCAGCCATCCCATTACTGGGTATATACCCAAAGGATTATAAATCATGCTGCTATGAAGACACATGCACATGTATGTTTATTGTGGCACTCTTCACAATAGCAAAGACTTGGAACCAACCTAAATGTCCAACAATGATAGACTGGATTAAGAAAATGTGGCACATATACACCATGGAATACTATGCAGCTATAAAAAAGGATGAGTTCATGTCCTTTGTAGGGACATGGATGAAGCTGGAAACCATCATTCTCAGCAAACTATCGCAAGGACAAAAAACCAAACACCTCATGTTCTCACTCATAGGTGGGAATTGAACAATGGGAACACATGGATACAGGAAGGGGAACATCACACACCGGGGCCTGTTGTGGGGTGGGGGGAGGGGGGAGGGATAGCATTAGGAGATATACCTAATATTAAATGATGAGTTAATGGGTGCAGCACACCAACATGGCACATGTATATACATGTAACAAAACTGCACGTTGTGCACATGTATCCTAAAACTTAATGTATAATAAAAAAAAAATCACATTCTAGATGCCCAACTTTAGCTGAAAAGTCTGTAGGATGTACAGCTTCTTTCCGGGACCCAGCACAACAAGAAACTGCCTTGGCTATTCCTTAGGGCCAATGCTTATAGACTGAAACATAAAAGGTCTGTACCATCTCTGGGCTCTGCAGATTTGGGTCTGTCTAACAATAAGATTACCTGTCCTTTCCCAACCACACCCTTCCACGCATAACTCCTTTGTTATGGTTTGGGTCTGTGTCCCTGCCCAAACCTCATGTCAAATTGTAATCCCCAGTGTTGGAAGTGGGGCCTGGTGGGAGGTGATTGGATCATGGGTGCAGTTTCTAATGGTTTAATACCATCTCCCTTGGTGCTATTCTCATGATATTAAGTGAGTTCTCATGAGATCTGTTTGTTTAAATGTGTATAGCACCTTCTCCCCATCTCTCTTTCTCCTGCTGTGGCCATGTGAAGACATGCCTGCTTCCTCCTTTGCCTTCAACCATGATTGTAAATTTCCTGAGGCCTCACTAGCCATGCTTCCTGTACAGCCTGCAGAACTGTGAGCCAATTAAACCTCTTTTCTTATAAATTATCCAGTCTCAGGTTTTCTTTATACTAGTGAAAGAACAGACTAACAGACTCTACTTCTAGCTTTCACAAGCATAACAAAGAAGTTAAGTTTTGCGATCGCACTGGACCCTGAATCTTCTCAGTGGAATCAGTGTTTCCTTTGGAATGGAGGCTTAAAATCCCCTTGGGGACAAAAGAGTTGGTCTTGTTTGAAGTTAGAGATGAAAAGAGACTCTACCTTTCCTCCCTCAATTTGGGAAGGACCATGGCACTTCCCATGGGACTCTATTATCCACCCCCACCTGCAAATTAGCTCAAGGTTTTATTGTTTAATCACTTCATGCTCAATGTTATATACATTACAATAGCATGTTGAAAAAAAATGTCTAAAGGCATTTAAAGTTACAAAAGCAAGACAATTTTATTAAACTGGAACCTAACCATGGCACTGTTGGCTATAAAGCAGAATTTAGTTCAGGGGGTTTTAGTTTCATTGCTAAAGTGATGCTGTGTGAAGATCATCAACCTTTAAATAATACTCCATTCATGATTTAAATTTAGTTCAAGACCAGTGGGTGTTCAAAATGAAGCACTGAGCTAAAATCTTCATTTCTAGGAAAGTGGCTGCAGATGCTAATTTAGATTTATGAAGAAAGACAATGGTCTGTGGCAAACTAAGCAGAGTAGCTGGGAGACCATTGGTATTCTGGGAGGACACTTCCTAATTAAGCCGTACACCTCCCTCTCCTACTTTCAAGACCCAGCAGTTGTTGTTCATGGCAGATAACTTACCATTTGTAATTGTTTTCATTTTCCTTCTTTAACTTGGATTTTTATTTCTGCTAGGAAATTTTGAAAATTATCTAATTCACTAGACAGCTCTTCCCCTAAAGGAAATGTAAACTTGAATTGAAAATTAACTTTTGTTTCTGAGGCCTAGACATGTAGAAGTTTTCTCCTTTTGCAAAAATATGACAGAAGAAGCTTGTCATAATTGTCCTTGCATGCACTGGCCCAGATTTCTCTCACAGACATACTGAGAATTGCTGGGGACGGAAGGAAGACTGGCAAATGCAGGCATCACTTTTGATTTCAAAACATCAAGGAAGCCCTAGTTATAGTGAAAACTTAACTCTAGAAACTCATCCCATTCTAGGTGCTATTCTTAATTTCTTTCCTTACTGTGGTTCTCTCCTCCCCTTGTCTCTGTCCCACCTTTTCCTCTACTTTATTTGCACTTTGAACTTGGCCAAATTCAAAGTGCTGGGTTTAGGAAGCACCTACTTATTGATGGCAAAGAATGTTTGTTATCTGATCAAAAGAGTCAGCGGTTCTCAAGAAACTGAAGTCAAATGATTGAACTATTCGCAATTCTGGTTTTCATGGGGAGGGCCAGTGTCATGGCTTGAATATTTGTCTCCTCTAAAACTCATGTTGAAGTTTAATTGTCATTGTAACAGTGTCAAGAGGTGAGACGTTTAAGACGTGACTAGGCAATGAGGTCTCTGACCCTCATGAGTACATTAATGGTACTGTCTTGGAAGTGGGTTTATTATAAAAGGGTAAGTTCGGCCCCCTTCTCTTTCTCTCTCTCTTTTTTCCCTTATCTCTCCCTCTCCCTTCCCTTCTCTTTTCTTCTCTTGCTGTTCTGCCCTCCACCATGGGATGAGTCAGCAAGAAGACCCTTGCAAAATGCCAGAACCTCAATCTTGGACTTGCAGCCTCCAGAATTGTGAGCCAATCAATTTCTGTTCATGGTAAATTACCCAGTCTTAGGTATTCTGTTATAGTAGCACAAAATGTGCTAAGACAGCCAGCATGATGGAAAGAACATAGTGCCAACCTTTCCCAGAAGCTACTATGGTAGAAGGAAGGTAATGTGTTTATTTCCTAGCCCTTCTATTATCACAGACTAGTTGTACCAAACTCAAAGTCTTCCCTTACTTTTTGTAATCTCATATGTTTTCTTCCCTTTCCTCTGCTTAGGCACAGGTTTCTTGTTTATCAAACTGTACTGAATAATGTATTTTGGAGGCCAAAAGTGAGTATGCTGTCTTATAAAAGTCTGGCTAAAGAACAGTGATGTGCTGGTGAATGTTTAACAACTGGCTGTCTGCATAAAAATTCCTGATTTACAGTATTTACTGATTTCTGTGGTGTAAATACTCCCACTACGGCTGATTTCAAGCTACCAGTGTGAGGCCACTGAACATGGAGTTGGGAAAGAGATGTGCACCATTGGCTTTTGTAAGCTAGTACTAGCTGGCTGTAGCACACCTGAATATATGCTAAGTGCTTAGAACATGGCCTAGAATACAGAAAAGTCTACACTAATGTGTGTTTTTATCAATCATTATTCCTCTTGTAACTATAATTGTGCTCTGTCCCTCTCTTCCTCATATTTTGTGTGTTTCTATATCCATATCCATATCTATATATATATAGCTATAGATATATATATAGATATGGATATGGATATAGATATATCAGTGATGTGCTGGAAAACTGTTAAGAAAAAAAACCTTGATTTACTGCATTTGCCAATTTTGATGAAAATACCCATATGATGGGTGATTTCAAGTTGCCAATGGTTTGACACTTGGTTTGTAAAATTCCTGAATATTTAACAATCTGTCCCCTTAAGCTGGTAGGAAATTGCTCCAGCACACAACTGTCATAAGAGCTGGTTTCCTGGGATATCTGTATTGTTGCAGAATTTTGTTCACAAACACTGAAAATACAGGTTGTAACTTTTAGATTCTGTGTAAGTGAACTTTTTCTCTTCTGAGTAATAACCTGTGAATAAGTATTTTTATATACTTCTCTCAACTCTTTCTTCTTGCCACATCTGAAATATCGTATATCTCAATTTACAAGATTCTAGAATAAAACCTTCTATCATAAAATTCATCTGAAATTTCCTAGAAAGCCTTATAAATTTAGAATGTATAAATTTAGAATCTAGATTGTCACTTTGGCTCCTAATAATTATGAAGCCTTGTAACTTTGGACAAATCCCAAAGAAGAAATACCTCAAAGGATAGTGTGAGGTATGGGAAAGGATGTTAGAAATTGTGCATAAATAGATGGCATGTTCTTACTGTCTCAAGAATCAATATTGTGGCTAATTCTATATCTCCCTGTGCATTGAGGCAGTGAAGAGATGGATGATATAAATTTTTAGTGTCAGGAATTTGAATAAAAAATTGATCATTAAGCTTAGACCAGTTTAGAGAAAATATGAGACTAGAGACAGTACAGAGGGTTGGATAGATAGGAAAGCAAGGAAAGAATGTACTAAGTAGAGGCAGCATATAAATAAAGTGACAGAAGTAGAAAAAAAATCAGTAGTATTCCCTGTTTACCATATGCCAACCACTGTGCCTGGTGCTAGAGCTATAAGCGATGAAACAGAATTTCTGCATTCAGAGGTTCTGAAATCAAGTAAGAGAAGTAAGAGAAGATGCACCTGATTGGAGAAGATGGCTTGGGGAAAGTGCAAATTAGATTTTGTTGAGTAAATTGAGGTGAGTTGGTTGAAGGATGCTGAATTTGCAATGATCAGTGACTTGTAATAAAAACAAGTCACTGTGGAATTGTTAGTAGATGAGCGACAGAATTAAAATGGTATTTTGCAACAATCAATTTAGTTGAAATATGCAGAATAGATTAGGATGGAAGCAGGGAGAGACAGATAAAAGAATATGGAAATAATTTAGAAATGAAGAATGTGAACTGAATTGATAACCTTTGGTCTCTGATTGTACATAGAGAAGAAAAAGACAGGATCAGAGCTTTAAAACAGGGGTCGGGAAATCTTTCTGTAAAGGGCCAGATGTGTAAGTATTTTGAACTTTACAGGTCACACAGTTTCTGTTGCAACTACTCGGTTCTGCCATTGTAGAGTGAAAGAGACGTAGACAATACAAAAATGAATGAGCTTGGCTGTGTTCCAATAAAATTAGCAGTGATGGACTTGGCTGCTTACTATAGTCATCTGGCCCCTGGTTTAGAGTATAGATAAATTGAGAAGAGTCATTGTCCAGGGGAGAGAATTCTGAATTCAGTTTTGAATATGCTGGGTTTGAGATGAAGAAGAAAAAATTAACGTGGAAATACCCTAAGGCCTTTGGAAATTTAGAATAGGATTTAGATCTAGAAATCAGAACTCTAGAACTTTTAAATCTAGAACTCAGATCCAGATTTAAGAGTTATCACTGTTAAAGTAAGAAAGTAGATGCACATTTACAGTCAAACTAGGAAACCACAAGCAATCTAATGCAAGGAGTTGGTTAAACAGGTGACAAGGGAGCAAAAGAGACAAATGGGGAACAACCCAGAGATTAGGAATAGTATACACTGTGTTTAGGAGAGAGGTGCTGTTTCTGGAACTCTGGGACTCAGCGAGGTAGATTGTCACAATAATGGCTTCCAATGAACTACATCCCCTTGTTTTCATGTCTTTTGTAATGTCTTATTGCTGCTCTTCTCATCAATAAACAAAGTCTGTTTTTCTATCCCTTTGAATAAGGCCTGGCCTTGTGACTTGCTTTGACTAACAGAATGTGGTGGATGTGACATTGTGTAAGTTCTGGATCCTCTACGTAAGAGGTCTTGCAGTTCTAGTCTTGCCTCATAAAACCCTTAGACCACCATGCTGTGAAGAAGCCCAGTCTAGCCTACTAAAAGACAAAAGGTCCTATGGAGGAGAATCAAGCCAACAGCCAGAAAAAATTGTCAGACATGTGAGTGAAGCTATCTTGAGGCATCCAGCTCCAGTCAAGACATCAGACATGGTACCCAAAGCAGAGAGAGGGAGGGAGGGAGAGAAATATCCTGGCTCTTCCCATCCTTTATCCTTCCCTCAGTGTCTCCTGCCAGTGCTTCCTTTCTCCCTCTAGTCCTTGCCTTTGGTCAATGAAGCTAGCTAATAGGGGACCCAGGAAATGCAGCCTGCAAGATGAAGAAGAATTGGGACAACATGCCCAGGATCAGTACGGAGGATTAAGCAAATGAAAGAAAGCATAAAGTGGTAAGAAAAGCCATGGAGAAAGGAGGGAAGCTTCTGAAGGAGCAGAGACAGATCAGCCAGACAGGTTGGAGTAGCAATAATACAATGTTGGCTTGAAATAAAAAATTATGAGGAAGAAGGAGTGGTCTGATAAATGGCATCAAATAATACAGAGACTTCAAAGAAGGTAACTAACAAAAGAGACTATTTTATTTGCTGACACACAGTAATTAGGGACCCATGAGTGGCCTGTAAACACACATTAATTTTTCCTTCCCAAACTGTGGTTTGAAAATCCTCAAAGGTTTGTGAAAATGTCACAGGGGGTTCTTTAAAAATAGCAATGGTATCTGTTTTGATTTCTAGTATGCTTTAAAACTTCTTTATTTGGATGGCATGTTTATGAAAACATGTTATAAAAAAAATCTTCAAAGGTAATACATCTCCATTAAAAAACAGAGGGTCATAGAAAATTAAGTGAATATTTAATTTTTGTTTTAAAAATGTTTAAATTAAGTGATGGTATGATTATTTCTTTCTTTCACACGGAACACTTTGAGTCTTATAAAATGTATTGAGTGGCCATGCACAGGAATCATTTGACATAAGATAATTGTATTTATGATTTGGTCATTCAGTTGAATACCTCTAGCCCTGGTGTTGAGTTTAATTACTGTAGAGTGAAAGATTCTTTTTATTTTTATGTATCTTTAGAATTTAACTTAAATCCATGATGAAACCTTTGATAAAAATAAAAGCTGATGCTAAATGCAAGTTAACTAAGAGTGTAAAAAATGATAATTCTGCTAATTTGTTTCAAGTTGTCTTATGCAATATTGTTGTATTGAGTTGCAATTTTTTTTTTTTTTTTGAGAGGGAGTTTCGCTCTTGTTGCCCAGGCTGGTGTGCAATGGCGTGATCTCGGCTCACCGCAACCTCCGGGGTTCAAGCAATTCTCCTGCCTCAGCTTCTCGAGTAGCTGGGATTACAGGCATGTGCCACCACACCCAGCTAATTTTGTATTTTTAGTAGAGGTGGGGTTTCTCCATGTTGGTCAGGCTGGTCTCGAACTCCCAACCTCAGGTGATCCACCCGCCTCGGCCTCCCAAAGTGCTGGGATTACGGGTGTGAGCCATCACGCCCTGCCGAGTCACAGTTTTTATATTGCTCACTAAAATCTCTCGAATACTTAAAAAAATAGTGTGAATGGAAAAACCCCATAAATATATCAAATAAGTAAGTTTTTTTGCTTCTTGCAACAAAGATAACCCATATCTGTTATGTGACATTTTTAGAGAATTGCTGTTTTAGATATTTTTAGTATCTTATTATTTAAAAACAAAATGTAAATACTCTATGATTCCATTTATATAAAACTGCAAAAGTCAATCCAAATTATAATGACAGAAAGCAGGTCAGTGGTTTCCAAGGATCAGGGGTGGGGGCGGGTAATAGCAAAATACTACAAGGGACATTTTTTGGCTGATGGAGATGTTCTGTATCTTGGTTATTGAGGTGGTTACATTGTTAAATTCAACAAACTACATTTGCAATGGTTGCATTATACCAAATGTAAATAGGATCACAACATAGTAGATTAAAGATAGGCATAAATTTCATACAACAGCTCACTATATTTTAAAAGTATATTTAATTAGACAATTCTGCGTATTAGATCACAGACGCAGATTTTTGTCTCTAAGAATCAGGACAAGAGTGAGGCACGTGAGAGACTCAGGTTGCAAAATTTAAGGCGGGCCCTCACTGTCAGGTTCCTGAGAGCCCCAGCCCTGCACTTGCACATCTCTAAGAGTGAGTGCCTCATTTGCATTTGCCTCGTCCTTTTTTGGTGACTTCTTAGAAGTTAAAATTTCATTCCATCTTTTAATATACATTGCTACCGCTAGGCATGGTGGCTCATGCCTGTAATCCCAGCACTTTGGGGGGCCGAGGCAGGTGGATCACCTGAGGTCCAGAGTTTGAGACCAGCCTGGCCAGCATGGTGAAAACTCGTCTCTACTAAAAATACAAAAAATTTGCTGGGCGTGGTGGTGCATGCCTGTAATCCCAGCTACTTGGGAGGCTGAAGCAGAACTGTTTGAACCTGGGAGGCAGAGGTTGCAGTGAGCTGAGATCATGCCATTGCACTCCAGCCTGGGCAACAAGAGCAAAACTCCGTCTCAAAATAATAATAATAATAATAATATAATAAAATAAATAAATAAAATAAAAAATGTATATTGTTACCTAAACCAAATATTATTAAATATATTGCCATTACATTTTTTGCCAAATAAAACTTTTATTTTCTCATTTTAGCTCATGTGATTAGTTGGGTTTCTTGAGTGTAAGGATTGCTACCTTTCACTTCTGGAAGAATCTCAACCATTATCTCTTGGAATGTCACCTGTCTGTCTGCCTCAATTTTCTCCTATTAAAGCACTGATTACATATATATTAGAACTTCTCCCTCTGTTCTTTATGTCCTTTAACCTCTTGTTCATATTCTGTCCCTTTGTGCTGCATTCTGGATCAAAGCTTAAGGTCTTTCTTTGGTCATTTATAACCTATAGCTTATCCTGTCCATTGAGTTTTCAATGATTATTATTTCTGTTTCTTCATGTTCTATTCCTTTATCAAATCTGCTGAAATATTGACAATCTCTTATACTTCTTTAAGAAATTTAAATACATTCTTTAAAATTTAAATATAGATAATATCACAAAAATTGCAGATCTGAAGGTCAGATTCTCTTATTTATTGTTTCTGCTGACTCTTGCTAATGGTGACTAGTTTCTCTGGGTGATTTAAAAAAATTTTATGGTAAGCTCATGTTTCTTAGAAATTTATTTGGAAATACTTTGTGTCCTGGGTTTAAGGAGCTCTCCTTTGAAAAGTTGCTGTATTTTCTCTTTTCCTGTGCCTCGGATGCACTAACCACCATGGGTCACTTTCAATTCTGAGCTTGGGATTTTTATGGCTTATACAGGTAGAGTGCATTCTAGCCTCAAATTTACATGAAGACTAATTTAGGATTAAGATTCTAATGAAAGAATTTTTTTTTTTTCACTTAGGACCAAGGCAAGATTTCTTACCATTTATTTTGAAGGTTGATATGGCCTAAGGAGGTTAAAGTCATACAGACAGAAGAGGAAAGAGGATGAATAAATAGATTTGTAAGACTTTGAAGCCCATGTTTTCCCCTTATACCAAATGCCTTCAAATGACTTGTGTTGATAAGTGGACTTGACTTCAACCAGGTCTAGAGTGGGTAAGCAAGTTAAAGAGTTAGAGTTTGCAGGAAGCCATGCATGTCCAACTGCTAGAGTAGAAGCAGAAATAGTACTAGGTTCCAGTCATTTGCAAAAACATGGATGGAACTGGAGATCATTATGTTAAGTAATCCAGGCACAGAAAGACAAACATTCCATGTTCTCACTTATTTGTGGGATCTAAAAATCAAAACAATTGAACTCATGGACATAGAGAGAAGAAGGATGGTTACCAGAGGCAGGGAAGGATAGTTGGTGGAGGTGGGTGAGGGATGTGAGAGCAGTGCAGGGGCGAGGTGGGAATGGTTAATGGATTAAAAAAATAGAAAGAATAAAAACACTATTTGATAGCACAACAGGGTGATAGTCAATAGTAATTGTATATTTTTAAATAACTTAAAGGATGTAATTTGGATTGTTTGTAACGCAAAGGATAAATGCTTGAGGGGGATACCCCATTTTCCACGTTGTGCTTATTTCACATTACATGCCTGTATCAAAACATCTCATGTACCCTATAAATACATATACCTACTATGTACCCACAAAAATTAAAAAATAATAAATAGTACTGGGCTAGAAGTCTGATGAAGGTTGCAGGATCTTTGTGGCTAGTGCCTCTGAGTTCAGCTGCAAAGGGTTTGCTGGTAACCTAATGTTGCTATTGTTTGGCTGGACAGGCATTCAGCTAGGGACATGGGTCAGGATGAGCAGAACGAAACAAAACTGCCAGTTTCTCGTTTTGTCTGTTCCTCCCTGCCTTGAGCAACAATGATCTTTTGAGCATAATGGCTGTTGGTACACTTCCGCTCCCAAATTTCATCTAAACTCCTCTTGTGGCCAACACTAACCCAGGACTATAGGGAAAGAAATTTGGGGAAATATATTTCTAGCTTATCTAGGCAGATAATATACAACTACTAGAGGAGGAGGAAGAATTGGCAACCTATATATGCTAGTTGCATCTTTCTCTCATCTCTAACTAGATGAACTGTAGTGCATAAATTCTTCATAAGCAACCACCAACTGCCTTACCTTCTCAGCACACAACTTATTACCCAGAAAGTGAGTGTGGGAAGTTGTATATTTCGAGCATCTACTATTAAAAGTGTATTTTATTTTCTTGGGATGTTGGTTTCAGTAGCAAAAATGTACAATAGTTTTCTATCCATAATTCCTGCAACTTTTAAAGGATGCTATTTAAAAATTTTTATTCCTGGAACAGTTTAAAGCTTTGTATTTTGGAGCAAACATATGATAATGAATGCTTGTCATTGATTGGTGACTTCATGTAACCCTACATAACCCGTGAGTGACTGATCTAACGAAAGAGAAATGCAACCTTAGCAAGTTAATGTGACTCCCCTGTTTTGTGGGCAAAGGTTGTCTGAAACCCTAACAAGCCATTTCAAGAATAGGATACTCTGTTAGCCTACACTTGCTTTTGAAAAAAGCTCTCAGAAAGATGTAACTTTAATTTAAGAGTTTCTTTCAAAGAACAGGTGTTAATGTAGTCTGCAGTCCACTTCAGTTATAATAGACTTCACTTTTTCATGTGGGATTACAGAGTATGTATGTCTCCTTTTCCTCCAGTTAAGAACATAATGAAGACATGGTCTGAGGATTTACCAATTTCTAGCACTTCTGGGCAGGATTTAGTATTTTCATTAATAACAATTATTATATTTAATATTATAATTGTCATTATAATTGTTACATATTGTAATTATTATTATCATCCCGTTTACTTCTCCTTTTCTTCCTGATGCTCTTAAAATGTTTTACCATTTGCAAAGTACGTCACAAACATTTTCTCATTTCCTGTCCACAACAGTCCTGGAAGGGAACATTTTACCATTTACACTTTATAGATGCAGAAATGGAAACTCAGAGGAATTCAGTGATTTGCCTGGGCTTTCTCCATCAATGTTAGAGCTGGGATCAGCTGAAGTTATTGTTCTGTTTCTTCATATTTTTACCATTCTATTTTTTTTAAGGCTGATTATTCCTATTTCAGACATTTTGTCACTTACACAATGTGAACCTTTTCTCAATAGAAATTGTGAAAAAATCACTGATTTACTCCACATTACCTGTTTAAGCAGCAAACATATGACAATGACTTCTTAAAAAATTGATGAATTTGTATCATTTTTCATGCTCCCTTAAAAGTGATGTTTCAGGATCAATTTTCTAGCTAAATTATATATTCTCAATAAACTGATTAAATATGGGAACATTTTGACTTATTCAAATGGCCAGCCCACAGAGATGGGTAGAGGATATTTCCTTTTGCCCACACAGACAGAATAAAAAATGATTGGTCATGCACTGATAATTACAGTACAAAAGAAATGTGGCTATTTTTAAAGCACCATTTTTCTCTTTAAGACCCAAAGCTTCCCAACCTCTTATAAAAATCCATTCACCTGATATTAAAAGCTCCATTCCCTGCACCAAACCTCAATCTCTGACCTGAAACATAATGGCAAGTTCCAAGAAAATGATGCAGCCTCTGCCACAGCCGAAGCCTTTGTTGTTTGCACTTATCCCCACACGCAGACATCTCTGAATAGAGAGGCAGGTGCTGTTTGATTAAAAAAAAAAAAAAAAAACTGGTCCCCACAGTAAATGTGAACAGCAGTCAGAGCGCATTTGCATTTTTTTATTTTGTGAAGAAAATGTTAGATAAGTTTGGAATCTTGGAATATCCTTCTGCAGTTCAGCATTTACTTCCCTTCAACATCTGCCAATTTCAGCATTTTAAAGCTGTGTTTAGTTATTAATTCATACAAGTTGTTGAGATGCAGGCATCCCAGTAGATGACAAAACAATGACAAAGAGAAAAATCATTGTATATTTCAACTAACACTCTGGATTTAGAATTAAAGACTGCTTGAATATTCCCATTTCTTATTATTTAGAAAGGTTCTTTGGAGTTGCTCTTTGCAGACACAGCAAATTCATTGGCAGTATTAAAAAAATTTGGAGCTGGATTTTAGATGAAAGTGTTGCTGCCGGCATATCAATGCCAGCTACAAATCAGCACAAACAATTGTTCCATCATTAGCAAAGCCTGTGAACAGGAGCAGTCCTAATAAAGACTTCTGGCGCTCTCACTGGATTTGTTTGACTTGACTGCATCCCGCTACATTTACAATCTGTCTTGTGTTATCGGCACATAGACTGACAGACTTTTAAATTCACATTTAGAAAATTTGAGAGCAGTTTTCAAAAAACAAACACTCCCCAAAAGAGTAATATATCAGCAGCATTGACTTACACTGCCAATAAATAATATTTAGCCACTGGAAACAATCTGCTACAATTAATGAGGAATCCAAGATGAGAGACCTAGATTCTGTTAAGGTTTTATGTATAACTTTGTGCATGTGGAGTTAGCGCTTTATATCATAGTTCTTTTTAATAACTAGGCCGTTGTATGTGCTCCTGCCTTTACTAGTACAAACATAACAGACGAGAATTAATATTTTCCAGAACTTTGGTCCTCTGAGATAAAAGATGCTGTGGGAATGCAAAGATCTATTAAAATTGTGAATTCCAATGTTGTTATCATTCAGCTCAGACACATGAAGCAGCTAGTTGCATGCATAGTAAAATAATAATGACAGTAAATTCCTGTTTAATGAGTATTTATCATCTGCTGGCCATGTGCTAAGTGCTTTACATTTTGTCTTCCTCTTAATTCTCAAACAGCACTATTATTATCTCTGTTTTACACACAAGGAAACTGTGACTAGAGAGGCTAAGTAACTTGTCCAAGGTCACACAGCTCAGTGTCACAGACAGGATTCAAACTAAGGCTGGTTTGTGTCCAAAGCCTATGCTCTTCACCATAACGTAAACTTTGAAAGTTGCTGTAAAAGTCACGTTTTGTAAGGTTACCTTTCATGATCTTTTCCCCAAATCACAAGTACTCTACATTTATCTTTTATCTTTTTTTTTTTTTTTTTTAGATGGAGTCTCGCCACTCTGTCATCCAGGCTGGAGTGCAGTGGCGCAATCTTGGCTCACTGCAACCTCTGCCTCTTGGGTTCAAGCAATTCTTCTGCCTCAGCCTCCCCAGTAGCTGGGATTACAGGCACGGGCCACCATGCCCAACTAATTTTTGTACTTTTAGTGGAGACAGGGTTTCACCATGTTGGCCAGTGATGCTCACAGAAATTGCACCTATACCTGTGGGGAAATCCTGTACAATCAACTGAAGGAATGGAATAAACCTGAACTTGGCTTATGGTCAGGTTGGCTCAGTATGTAAAAATGGAAAGTGACTATGAGAATATAATTATGGTAGCTACAACTTCTATAGTAATTATGCTTCTATAATAATTGGCCATCTCTCTGCATAGTGGGGAAATTTAGGAGATGTGTACCTGCAATGAGGATTTCCTGTTGATTCTTATAATCCACATCTATCTTTCAGCCAGGACAAGCTAGTTAAACAACTATGGGTTCTCAAAAAATGGAAGAGTTTTAAGGCTTTTTTGAGAGAGGCTGTCCACTATGATATGGGTCCCATGGAATAAAGAAGAGGATATGTTTTCCTCTCTATCATTCTAATTTGCTGTATCAGAGTAAGTGGAGAATTAGCAGAAAAATGAACTGAGTTGTTTGAATTATCCTATTTGGCTCAGCATACATAAATTGAGTGCATATGACATTTAGGCCTAATTTTAGTTGGTTAGGATGAGATGAATTAGATATAATAGTCTCCCTCAAGGGTTTATAATGAGGAGAAATAGATTTATGAGCAACTAAGTATTTAAAACAATGTGGTTTTAACAGAGATAGGGCCAAAATTCATTATAGATTTTAAATACATAACATAGGAAAAAATTCTTTTTTATTAAAAAAATTATTTCAACCAAAACATTTCTATAATTCTTGAATTAAAGTCCACCTCACAGATAAGATTTTTGCAAAACTGAAATATACAAAGTTTCAGAGTCAATAGTCATTTCTGATAATTAACTGCAATACTATGGACAAGTTATTTAATTTCTATAACCTTGATTGTTTTCTTATGTAAGGTGTGGATAATTCTAACTCCAAAGAGTGTAAGGATGAAGAAAGAAAACATTCATAAAGTACCTAAAGTAGTACCTGGCACATATCATCACTCAATATGTGCTGGCTTTATCCTACCTTCCATCACAAGCCTTATTTTTCTTCTTTCCAAAGAAAGAATAGGAAGGATGTATTTTAGTTAGTAATAACAGTTATAAAGAAGAATACATTTTGAGGTCATGTCTAAGGAGATAAGTGCATCCTGTTTTCTTCCTTGTGTTATTTAAAACATAGTGTTCAACGTTGACTTTAATGAGAAACAGGGCTTGTTGTAGATGCAGAGAGGGGCAGCCTCCATATCTACCTGCCTACACATGAAATAAGGGTCACTGCATTTCTTTGAAGGAAACCCAGGGCTCTGCTTATTACTCCCCTGTTCTGTGCAGTGAACACATAACGTAACAGTTGCTAAGGACCCACTCTGCACAGAGCTTGAGCTGGGCCTTCCCATGTACATCGATCTCCAGTTCTTCTAACAACTTTGTGGTCAAAAGATGTGGAAATAGGAGAGTTACAGAGTTAGAGATGGTCTGGACCAGGATTACAAACATTCTATTTCTCTTTTTACAGAAGCCAATTCTTCACTGTGGTCTGAAGGCCCTCTCTACTCCTGCCCCTTCCTTCTTCATCTTTCACAGGAGTTTCCCCCAATATATATCTTACATGTGTAATCCTGTTTTGTTAGCTCCTCCTGGGTTGACCTGAGTTGACATGGCAGAAACCAAACATGTTCTGATAAGTCAAGTGGCAAGATGGAGCTTGGGGCCTGGCTCACTCATTTCTCGACAGGCAAGGAGGACTGCATCATGAGAGGAATGTGGGGCCTAGATAGTCCCTGGCACAAAGTGAAAATCCAATCGCTGAACAATTCATCAGGGGTGACTTGAGGAAACATCCCAATGGAAAATGCCCTTGCAGTTATAATGATTCAAGGATTTGAAAGAGAGATGGCGGTGGGGAGCACAAGGACAGAGTGTTGGCTGGGCATTACTGTTATATTGATGCTCTGCAATGGGATAATGAGAAACAGAGAACCATTAACAAACTACTGCTAAGGGCAAGAGTTAGAGAACCTCTCTGGTGATTTAAGAAGGGTCTCTTTTCCCCTGCAGTGGAATAATGAACAGCTGAAAAACAGACTCCAGGATTTGACAAGTAGAATTCCAGAGCATCAGAGATACTTACATGCTCAGCCAAGGCAGACCATGGATGAAAACCTAGGATCTTAAAACATGGGATGAAGACATAATGGGTAGATTCCCCCAGAGGATTTTGGCTCTGTATACATCCCTGAATGTTCAAAGTTTACAGAGGTGGCTCATTCCTTTGCAGTAAGAGGTGGCAATGCCTGAGTGTGGGAGATAAACCTCATGATGTTTTAGAGACCTGTCATTTCAGTGAAGTTTTTAGAGGTCCAAAGAAGCTCCTGGAACAATATTAGATCCTGCTAGGGACGGAGCTCTTGACCATGGGACACCAATTGTCCTGCCCATTATGAGCTAACTTCTGTCAGACTGGCCAAAGCATAAATATGAATGGGCTGAGCAGCAGTCTCTCATTAGATAGAAATGTACATCCAGAAATGTCATATGCAATGACAATGAGCACAGGTAAGCTATGTGGGAAGGTAGACAAGACTCCCACATTAACCATCACAGTCACAGCAGTGATGCTTACAGAAATTGCACCTGTGCCTGTGGGGAAATCCTGTCCAATCAACTGAAGGAATGAGATAAACCTGAGCTTGGCTTATGGACAGGTTGGCTCAGTATGTAAAAATGGAAAGTGACTATGAGAAATATAATTATGGTAGCTACAACTAATTGATTAAAAACTTGACTGTAAAAGTATATACTTTTTAAATACTTAAATATGTGTAATTATTTTTCAAGTTCTTTTCTCCTGAAAGTAGAATTTTTAAAAATATTCATAAAACTTAAAAATTATTTGGGTTATAGTTATATTCATACTTTTTCTCTCTGACTACCTAATTTAGGATAATGAAGTTTTTAGTCCTTTACTTAAGCATTTCCATCTGCCCAGCAACTGGAGTCCATCTGGAATAATGTATTTTTATGAAATTGTATGGGTAACTCAAACCAGGATTACTCATCTGAAGAGAAAATGGTTGTATTTCCTAGGTTTCACACATGAGCAAATTGATCTATAGCTGTGAAATGAATAATAGTGTTACTTGACTACACAGTGAAGTGAAAGTCTTGGAAATTATATAGTTGAATGTTTTGCATTATTATTGCTATTTTCCCTGGATTTCTCTTTGGGAGGGCTTTTTCACTAAGAATTTTTCTTTACTTTTCACCTTTATGAAACAATAAAGATGATTGTTTGATTAGTACAGAGTTGGTAAGCAGTGCTGTAATACTCTATGGGTATAATGACAAGTGTAACACCTCTTAGGGCAGATTCATCAGTTGAAAGTCAATGCAGTGTTTTTTTCAATTAGTGACTGATTCTGTATCCAAATGGAATCATTTCACAATAAGAGATACAGGCTAATTGGATAATTCTGGATGCAGTTTTATTTCATCTCCTTGTCCATGCAGAGACCTGAGACAAGCCTTGGTATCCAGGTGACCTAGGTTTGGGCTTGGCTTCATCGCTGTATAAATGCTGTAACCTCTGGATTTCATTTAATTTGTTTGTGCTTCATCTGTAAGATGAGAGCTTTAGAGTAGTTTGTCTTTCTGTTCTTCCACCTTTAAATTTACATTTCTAGGGTTAGATTTCTGAATATAATTAAGGTTGACTGAAATATGCAACTGGCTCAAAAGTACTTTCTCCTAAAACAGTCTCTTAAAACAGTGTTTGAAGGTTAAATAGATTAATATATGCATTGTGACTTAATCTTCTAACTAACAATCAATTGTGCCAAGTCCTCATTAATTCTCCCTCCAACAAGATGACATTAAAATGTCCCATTGTAATATTTTAAATTCTTTTCTGGCAGGGGCAGACCTTGAGAAATATTGATCATACTTTAAAAACTCAATTGTCTGAATAGATGGCACATGCCATCATTTCCATAACATATTTCATATAGAAATTCTCAGAAGATGGAAGATGGAAGAACAGGATTTCCCATCTGTGGCATGGTACATGCTCCACCCTTCCCTCATTATACTGCTAACAGCTGCCCTGCCTCAAGTTTATTCAGGTGTCTTTAAAATTCGTTTATGTTTCTGAAATTTTTGAAGTAATAAGTTTTATAAACTTAATACATACTAGTGAGATCGTATTTCCTGGTCTTTGTCTAAAAATCGTCTCTTTCATTTTATTCTAATATTTGCATATGTTCCTCATATCTATTGATTTGAGGATTTTTTTTATTCTTTACACTGCTTGATAACCTTTTGAAAATTCACCATGGAAGAATGACTATCACAGGAGAACTGGTACTTGGAAACCTTGAGGCATTACAAGAAAAGTCTCGGTGTAATGTGCAAATGCTTATAAGCAAGAAGGTGATTTGCCATGACCTTCATAACCCTAGTGTTTACAACAGTGCCTGTTCTAGAGTAAGCAATCAGTAGATTTTTTATTTTTTTTTTTGAGATGGAGTTTCACTCTTGTCACCCAGGCTGGAGTGCAATGGCGGGATCTTGGCTCACTGCAACCTCCACCTCCCAGGTTCAAGTGATTTTCCTGTCTCAACCTCCCAAGTAGCTGGGACGACAGGCGCCCGCCACCACACGCAGCTAATTTTTGTATTTTCAGTAGAGACGGGGTTTCACCATGTTGACCAGGCTGGTCTCGAACTCCTGACCTCAAGGGATCCACCCACCTCAGCCTCCCAAAGTGCTGGGATTATAGGCAGAGCCACTGCGCCTGGCCCCAGCAAGGTATTTTTTTGAAGTCCAATGCAAGTGGTGATTGTCCGACCAAAAAAAAAAAAAAAAGAAAAAATCTCAAATATTTCCTAGCTAGAAAATGTCACCACATCCCTCTCTCAATTTTGGAGATTTTTTATCATGCCTAGCAACAATATTGGAGAGTAAAATGTAAAAACCATTTCATTGGTTATAAAGCACTGGAAATATGATAATTAGGGCAGTCCAGATGCTCACTCTTCCTGTTGGAATTATATTGACATTATCATTTCATTTTGTTTGTTACTCATAACAGTATTCCCATCTTGGCACTTAAGCAGAAAAGCTTCACTTGTTATGGTTGTTTCACAGTTGATTCCATTATTTGACTTCCTGTTTTCACAATTTGCCAACCAATCAAATATATCTGTGGTTTTAAAACATGTGTCAACTGAACAGATATCAAGAATAAAATGCACATATACATCCCAAAAGACCTCTGTCAAAATCAGTAAGATTGCACAAGGCAGGAACCTCGGATGGCACTTTAACAGAAGAAAATTGTCAGAAATTATTTCATTCAATGTAGTATCTGAGCTTTAATAAACCATGTCTTATCTCTTTTGGCCAGTGGACAGTTTCTAATTGGTAAGGGTCCAAGGTAAGGCAAACAAATGCAAGGAAACCTGTCTGCCTGACTTTATATATCAGCAAGATAGTCCTATCGTACATCAACGAACAGGCTTCAAGTTGACAACAGGAAAAATGTGACTCAGCTTATACAAAAGGGGAAGTCCCAGCGTTGGGCTCAAACAATGGGTCTGTCATTTTACTGCTTTGCTGGTCTGTCTTACCTTTTTGAAGACATGCACGGGTTGAGGACTCATCAATCTTCTCGGTCCTAGGCAGGGTCAGTAAATTTAGTATCCAGGGAGAGGCATTATTCCAGGTCATGAGCAGAGCAGAGGAAACAATGGGGAACTTGTGGTCAGGCTGGTAAAGTGATACCTTAAATTCCAGGAATACTTGATTTGGGAATGGAAACAGGATAGGCCCAGCAGCAAAACAAGAGCAGCACAAAATCCTCCTTAGAATGATCAGTCTAGTGAATGAATTAAACAAAGAAAGCAGACTGTGAGGGATATGTTTATTTTCTCCTATACTCACATATCTGCAGTTCCTTCTGCAGAAGATGTTACTGCAGAAGCAGTAACAACTAACTCATTGATGCAAAAACATTTTATGATATGACACTAAACACTGTGTATATGTGATTTACACGTTATGTGTTAATTTGAGTTTTAGAGGGATCTTTAAGTCATATAGGGCTGAGGAAAACATGTACTTCTTTGGCAACTGAGCTACATCTTACATAAAATAACACCACCAACACCGTATGGGCAGACCTCACTGTGGAGTCAAAGGCAGAAATAGTATGTTCTCCAAATGAGTCACTCCCAGAGGTCCTGTGGTCTTTAAAAACCTGACCACTATTATTCTCTGTGCTTATAGGTTGTTCTTAGTTGCTGCCTTGAGGCTTCCCCTCACTTCACTGTTTCCACTTCTTCTTTATTGACTTTTGTGAAGTCACCATTCTCTTCCTCTTTCATGGTAAAGTGATGGTAAATGTGGGTGATTAGGATGTTCAGTGAAGCACAGACTTATTAACAGGAACCAGGAGGAATGGCTAATGTTGCTAGGGTTTAAAAGTTTTACATAAAAGACAATCACAGTAGTAAAATAGTCATCAGTAAGAACATGACTTTTCTTGTTTCATTGAAAAAATGTTTAGTACTTTTGACTGAATTATTTCTAGAGTATGACAAATCTGTTTTATTGTTTTCCTATAACTTGGGGTCATTTTGTTCTGGCCTGTGGTATGCAATGCCCCAGAATATTTTATATATATTTTTTTTATTTTTATTTTTATTTTTTTTTGAGATGGAGTCTTCCTCTGTTGCCCAGGCTGGAATGCAGTGGTGTGATCTCAGCTCACTGCAACCTCTACCTCCTGGGTTCAAGCAATTCTCCTGCCTCAGCCTCCTGAGTAGCTGGGATTACAGTGCATGCCACCATGCCCGGCTAATTTTTGTATTTTTTTTAGTAGAGACGGGGTTTCACCATGTTGGTCAGGCTGGTCTCGAACTCCTGACTTTATGATCCGCCCACCTCGGCCTCCCAAAGTGCTGGGATTACAGGTGTGAGCCACTGCGCCCGGCTGCCCCAGAATATTATTAAGGATAGGTTTTTACTTCTAGTATAACCATATCTTCCTTATCTTTGTATGCTTAATACACAGTCAGTGCCTGAAACCTGTCAATCGCTTAATAAGCGTTTTTAATTGAATGAGTACATTTTCAAATATATCTTGATTAGTTACACTTTCTTTGAAAGAGCCCCCCAAAATAGATATAATTTTATAAAACTAGTACAGGGCTGAAACTGAACAACAAAACTGGAATTCCCTCTCCTGGGCCTCTCCAGAAAATATAGCTGAGATTGATCCTTTTGGTCACCACAGAAATAAAGAATGAATAAAAAGAGCCAGCAAAAAGAAGTCTTTAAAGACAACAAAGAGACTCTGTAGAGTTTTATGACAGGTTTAGATAATTAAAACTCATCACAAGGAAGGACATTTAGGAAACAGGAAGGGCTGACTTCATTCTACCCACAAGATTTCCAGAATCTTTCTTGATTCAGATGAGAGTGGAGGTCCCTCTTCTCCCCATTCCCACCCCACTCTTGAGTGCTGTGCTGCTTCTCCTTTCTCTGTTCCTGTTCTCAGTCTCCCATGTCACACAATAGTAACAAAATGACTAAAGTCTTACTCACTGAATATATTATGTGAGCCAAAAACAAGTGTTCTGGCAGCTTGGTGAACTTACCAAATCTCCTGAGTCTCAAGGTAGCACTGGCTTAAAGTCCTTGATGGAGCTTGAAGAAGAAAGTGTAATACATCTGTTCTCAAAATTCACTTGACTAACTCCATCACCTCCTTCAAGTCTGGGCAAATCTCACCTTCTCAATAAAGCCCGCTCTGACTGTCCTCTTTAATGCCGCAAACTACCCCTTCCCCAACACTACCTTCTGGCATTCCTGATCTTTCTTATTCTACTGTTTTTCTTTTCAGTGATGTTTATCATCTTCAAACATACTAGCATATCTACTTATGATGATTTTCTATTCCTGCCTCCCACTTGAATGTAAGCTTCACAAAGGCAGAGATCATAGTTTGTTTTTTAATATATCATAAGCCCCAAGAACAGTGTTTGGCCCATAGTAGGTGCTCAATAAAGATTGGTAGGATAAAATAATGAGTATTAATTAGCTATTGCTATGACACATGACTGAAGGAATTTATATATATTAAAGAGAAAAAGTACAAATAATGCCCTGTAATACAGTATGATGAGTGCTAAACTATCAATATAAAACAAGAGCAATGGAATGAATAATTCCACAGAACAGTTCTCTGTTCTAGTAAGGTAGCCAAAAGTGGATCATAAGAGAGGGATGATGGATGTGGAGGTATCAAGAAGAGATTTCAAGTGGACTCTCAGCTTATTTTTCCTCATAGGAATGGAGTCTTCTTGTTAGGAAGATGAGATTTCCTATCTTCTGTATCACAACTTGAGTCAGCAAATGGAGTGGGAAGAATAAATTGGTAAACTGGAACTCACCTATTGAGTCTCTTGGCTTTCAGTTCCCTTTTTAGCCATAGTATAGGCCTCCTTCCCTTTCCCATATCATTTACTGCAGGTATTGGGTCTTACAAAACCTATTATCTTCCCAGCCTGCTCAGTGAGGTTCTGAGTCAATCTAATCTCCTTGTGTTAGCTTTTAATATACTTCATATTTCCTTCTATCATTGTAGAAGAACATTGTGGTTTGCATTTTCTTGATGTTGGTTTACTCCTGCTTATCTGTACCTTGACTTACATTTTCTGGAAGAGAAGCAGATGGCGGATGACTCATTGGTACAATCATTTTGACTTTCTTTGCTGCCTGTGATAATTTGAGATTCCTGGTCTAGATTTTTTTTTCCACTTCTGCTTCAGATGAGTCATATGACTTCAGGTGGTGGATTAGAATCGATGCTTTATCTGCCCAGTTTTGAGTATCTTATTTTAAGTCGTAAGAGTGTTAAAAGCTATGCTGCTGAGCAAATCCTTCCCAGTGAGAAGAATAAGGAGAAGTTCTGTTTTTGTAATATCGTACTTCTATTGATTGGCAAAAGAGTATTGTATTTATCATTACCCTCAGTATTTAAAAACCATCCAAAGCCTTCTTGGGTGAAGACTCTAAATATATCTCAGGCATATACTCTGTTTATTGTGTTCTGTGTGGCCTGGGAAAGTCATAAACAAATGAATTACATCTGTTTGTGAGGCATTTACTGATTTCTTAAGACAGAGGCTGGGAAACACAAAGGGAAAGTACCTGACCTTCCGACTATAATATGCTCGTAAGTTCCTCTGGGTCACATTTATTTTTGCATACCTGAGACAGAGCTACACAGACAGTAGATATCAAATAGGTATTGTGAAATAGTGAAAAAAAGAATTCATAGATTGACCTGATTTATTATGTGAGGAACAGCATGAAACCTGGAAATCCAGTTTCCATGTCTGTAGAAAGGAAAAATTATACTAGTCAACTATAGGCTAATAAAAAACACTGTAAAATAAATTAAGCAGCTGAGATCTGTGTGTTCAGGAAACTGCGCAACCATTACACTTCTCCAATTTTCTAGGAAGGGGCAATTGCCTTAGGAGTGCATTGAGTAAGTTCCATTTACAAAGTATAATTGTAGGGGCCCCGAGTCTCTTGAACGCCTTGCACAACACTACCTTCTCTCCTAGCTGGCCAGAAGTCCCTATCAATAGCACTGGTCTTCAAGATCAGGTAATAAGTATCCTTGTACTTTTTCACACACACTAATTGAAGAGAGAGTGTTGAAGGTTTTCTCAAACCTTCTCCAAAGGGACTTTGTTACTTCAGTTAGCACATGGTTACACACTAAGGCAAAATTTCCAAAGTTTTGTTCTGTGGATTCCTATACTCCAACCTCAGTTGTCATTGTTTAATCACTATACCCTGCTTAATTTTTATTCATAATGTTTATTATTACCTGAAATCATGTATGAATTTAGTCTTTACTTTCTGCCGTCGTTACTGAGAGCTTAAACTCCAAGAGCTCATGGATTTATCACCAGCACAGAAATTAGTATTTGGCATACTAGGCGCTCTATAAATATTTGAATAAATGAAAAGGCTTTATGATGTGATGATGTGAAAAAAGACTTTTTTTTTTTTTTGAGACTTAGTCTTGCTCTGGTCACCCAGGCTGGAGTGCAATGGTGTGAACTAGGCTCACTGTAACCTCTGGCTCCCGGGTTCAAGTGATTCTCCTGCCTCAGCCTCCCGAGTAGCTGGGACTACAGGCGCCTGCCACCATGCCTGGCTAATTTTTGTATTTTTAATAGAGATGGGGTTTCACTTTGTTGGCCAGGCTGTTCTCAAACTCCTGACCTCAGATGATCCGCCTGCCTCGGCCTCCCAAAGTGCTGGGATTACAGGCGTAAGTCACCATGCCGTGCTGTGAAAAAAAGACTTCTATGGTAAAGTTCATTTTGAAAATGGAGTAAATAAAGATAAGTTTATCTACTGCAGGACTCATTGGGCATTTTAATAAACTATATGTGTTTTATGAATCTCAGGATGGGGATAAAATATTCTGTGTTCCCTCAACTTCTTTGATCACAGAACTTTTTTGCTTTTGGCCTAATGTTATGAGATAAGTACATTTCAGTGAAGGAAAAAAAATGGGCAAATCTTAGAAAGTCTTACTCCTGTAGCAGTGAGGCATATTGGCATGCTGTAGGGATTTTTCAGTCAGAGTCCCTAGAGGATGAGTTCAGGAAAGCTGGCCTTGGGTAATGAAGATATGAGGCTATGGGAGACTTGGAAGAAGAATGGTGAAAGAGGAGAGGATCTGCAAAGACAGAATTTGAGTATCTCATTATGCTCTCTTTCAAAGTGCTGGAAAGATGTTACCAAACGGCAGATGCAGCTTGGAAAGAAGAATTCCTGACCATGTTTCAAAATTATTATTTTTTAAGTAAACTTTTTACACATAAAGGTGTATAAAACATAGTACAGAGACCAATGATTTTTCACAAAGTAAACCCACTCACAAAACCAGCAATTTAAAAAAATTACCAAAGCCCAGAAGCTAACTTTTATGAATTTTATCTTTGGCAATTGTCGATTTTCTATATTTTACATTTGTTTTCAATTTAAAAAGTCTTATCTGGGGTTTTTTCAATTTTTTTTCTATTTTTCAAGGTAAACACTTAGAATCATGGCTTTTTAGTCCTTTTCTTCTTCTTTTAAATTTCCAACTTTTATTTTAAGTTCAGAGGTACATATGCAGAACATGCAGCTTGTTACATAGGTGAATGTGGTGGTTTGCTGCACAGATTATCTGCTCACCCAGATATTAAACCCAGAAACCATCAGCTATTCATCCTGACCTTCTTCCTCTTCCTAACCCCTACCCTCCAACAGGCCCCAGTGTCTGTGGTTCCCCACCATGTGTCCATGTTCTCATCATTTAGTGAGAACATGCAGTATTTGATTTTCTTTCTTAGTTTGCTAAGGATAACGGCCTCCAGCTCCATCCATGTCCTCGCAAAGGACATTATCTTGCTTCTTTTTATGGCTACATAGTATTCCATGGTGTATGTGTACCATGTTTTCCTTATCCAGTCTATCATTGATGGACATATAATAGGTTGATCCCACGTCTTTGCTATTGTGAACAGTGCTGCAATGAACATACAGTATGCATGTGTCTTTATAGTAGACTGATCTATATTCCTTTGGGTATATACTCAGCAAAAGGATTGCTGGGTCAAATGGTATTTCTGCCTCTAGGTCTTTGAGAAATCCTCATACTGTCTTCCACAATGGTTGAACTGATTTATACTCCCACCAACAGTGTAAAAATCATTTCTTTTTCTCTACAACTTTGCCAGCATCTATTGTTTTTGGACTTTCTAATAATAGCCATTGAGTGGTGTGAGATGGTATCTCATTGTAGTTTCAATTTGTATTTCTCTAGTGATCAGTGGTGTTGAGCTTTTTTTCATATGTGTGTTGGTCACATGTACATCTTAATTTCATAAGTGTCTGTTCGTATCCTTTGTCCACTTTTAAATGGCATTGTTTGCTTTTTTCTTGTAAATTTGAGTTCCTTACAGATGCTGGATATTAGATCTTTGTCAGATGCATAGTTTGCAAAAATTTTCCCCCATTTTGTAGGTTGTCTGTTTACTCTGTTGATAGTTTCTTTTGCTGTGCAGAAGCTCTTTAGTTTAATTAGATCTTGTTTGCCAATTTTTGTTTTTGTTGAAATTGCTTTTGGCACCTTCATCATGAAATCTTTGCCCAAACCTGCTTCCGGAAGGGTATTGCCTGAGTTTTTTTCTAGGTTATTTTTATAGTTTTGTATTTTATATTTAAGTCTTTTATTCATCTTTGCTTGATTTATGTATATGGTGTAAGGAAGGGGTCCAGTTTTAATTTTCTGCCTATACCTAGCCAATTATGCCAGCACCATTTATTGAATAGAAAGTTCTTTCCCTATTGCTGGATTTTGTCAGGTTTGTCAAAGGTTAGATATCAGATGGTGGTAGGTATGCAGTCTTATTTCTGGGTTATTTATTCTGTTCCATTGGTCTATGCATCTGTTCTTGTACCACTACCATGCTCTTTTGGTTACTGTAGCCCTGTAGTGTAGTTTGAAGTTGGGTAGCGTGATGCCTCCAGCTTTGTTCTTTTTGCTTACGATTGCCTTGACTATTCAGGTCCTTTTTTGGTTCCATAAATTTTATTTTTTTCTACTTCTGTGAAAAAAGTCAATGGTAGTTTGATGGGAATAGCATTGAATCTATAAATTGCTCTCAGAAGTATGGCCATTTTCATGGCATTGATTCTACCTATCCATAAACATGGAATGTTTTTTCATTTGTTTGTGTCATCTCTGATTTTTTTGAGTAGTGGTTTGTTGTTCTCCTTGAAGAGATCCTTCATGTCTTTTGTTAGCTGTATTCCTAGGTATTTTATTCTTTTTGTAACAATTGTGAATGGGAGTTCATTCATGATTTGGCTCTCGGCATGCCTATTATTGATGTATAGGAATGCTAGCGATTTTTGCACATTGATTTTATATCCTGAGACTTGCTGAAATTGCTTATCAGCTTAAGAAGATTTTGGGCTGAGATGATGGAGTTTCTTAGTTATAAGATTATGTCATCTACAAACAAAGATAATTTGACTTCCTCTTTTCCTATTTCAATTGTTTTATTTGTTTCTCTTGCCTGATTGCCCTGGCCAGAACTTCTAATACTATGTTGAATAGGAGTGGTGAGAGAGGGCAAACATGTCTTGTGCCAGTTTTCAAGGGGAAGGCTTCCAGCTTTTGCCCATTCAGTATGACATTGGCTGTGGGTTTGTCGTAGATGGCTCTTATTATTTTGAGGTATGTTCCTTCAATACCTAGTTTATTGAGAGCTTTTAACATGAAGGGATATTAAATTTTAATGAAGGTCTTGTCTGCATCTATTGAGATAATCAAGTGGTTTTCATCTTTAGTTCTGTTTATGTGATGAATTACATTTATTTATTGTGTATGTTGAACCAGCCTTACATCCTGGGGATGAAGCCAACTTGATTGTGGTGGATAAGCTTTTTGATGTGCTGCTGGATTTGGATTGCCAGTATTTTGTCAAAGATTTTTTCATCAGTGTTCATCAAGGATATTGACCTGAATTTTTTGTTGTTGTTGTATCTCTGCCAGGTTTTGGTATCAGGATGATGCTGGCCTTATAGAATGAGTTAGGGAGGAGTCACTCCTTTTCAATTTTTTGGAATAATTTCAGTAGAAGTGGTACCAGCTCTTCTTTGTACCTCTAGTGGAATTCAGCTGTGAATCTGTCTGCTCCTCAGCTTTTTCTTTTTGGTTGGTAGGCTATTTATTACTACCTCAATTTCAGAACCCATTATTGGTCTATTCAGGGATTCAATTGCTTCCTGGTTCTATGTTGAGAGGGTGTATATGCCCAGGAACTAATCCATGTCTTCTATATTTTCTAGTTTATGTGTATAGGGGTGTTTGTAATATTCTCTAATGGTTGTTTGTATTTCTGTGGAATCAGTGGCAATATCCCCCTTATCATTTCTGATTGTTTATTTGAATCTTCTCTGTTTTCATCTTTATTAGTCTAGCTAGTAGTCTATCTATTTTATTATTTTTAAAAAAACCAGCTCCTGGATTTGTTGATCTTTTTAAGGGTGTCTCTTATATCTCCCTCAGTTCAGCTCTGATCTTGGTTATTTCTTGCCTTCTGCTAGCTTTGGGATTTGTTTGTTCTTGATTCTCTAGTTCTTTTAGTTGTGATGTGAGGTTGTTAACTTGAGATCTTTCTGGCTTTTTGATGTAGGCATTTAGTGCTATAAATTTCCCTCTTAACACTGTTTTGGCTGCATCCCAGAGATTCTGGTACATAGTATTTTTGTTCTCATTAGTTTCAAATAACTTCTTGATTTATGCCTTAATTTCATTATTCAGGAGCAGGTTGTTCAATTTCCATGTAGTTGTATGGTTTTGAGTGAATTTTTAAATCTTGAGTTCTAATTTGATTGTGCTGTGGTCCAAGAGTCTGTTATGATTTCAGTTCTTTTATATTTGCTAAGGAGTGCTTTATTTCTGAATATGTGATCAATTTTAGAGTAAGTGCCATGTGGCAATGTGAAGGTATATTCTATTGTTTTGGGTGGAGAGTTCTGTAGATATCTATCAGGACCACCTGATTCAGAGCTGAATTCAGATCTTAAATATCTCTGTTAATTTTCTGTCTTGATTCTCTATCTAATATTATGAGTGGGGTGTTAGAGTGTTCCACTATTATTGTGTGGGAGTCTAAGTCTCTCTGAAGGTCTCTAAGAGCTTACTTTATGAATCTAGTTGCTCTTGTATTGGGTGCATATATATTTAGGATAATTAGCTCTTTTTATTGAATTGAACCCTTTATCATTACGTAATGCTCTTCATTGACTTTTTAAAAAGGTTTAAAATCTGTTTTGTTGGAAACTAGGATTGCAATTCCTGCTTTTTTCTGTTTTTCAGTTGCTTGGTAAAATTTCCTCCATCCATTTTATCTGAGCCTATATGTGTCTTTGCATGTGAGATGGGTCTCTTGAAGACAACATGTTGATGGGTCTTGTTTTTTTTATCCACCTTGCCACTGTATGTCTTTTAACTGGGAATTTTGCCCATGTACATTTAAGGTTGGTATTGTTATGTGTGGTTTTGATACTGTCATCATGATTCTAGCTGGTTATTTTGTAGACTTGTTTATGTGGTTGCTTCAGAGTATCACTGGTCTGTGTACTTCAGTGTTTTGTAGTGGCTGGTAATGATTTTTCATTTTCATATTTAGTGCTTCCTCCAGGAGCTCTTGAAAGGCAGGTCTGGTGGTAAATAATTCCCTCAGCATTTTTTTGTCTGAAAAGGATCTTATTTTTCCTTCATCTATGAAGCTTAGTTTGGCCAGATATGAAGTTCTGGGTTGGAATTTGTTTCCTCTAAGAATTTTGAATTTTGGCCCTCAATATCTTCTGGGTGTAGGGTTTCCACTGAGGTCCAATGTTAGTGTTAGGGCTTCCTTTGTAGGTGACCTGGCCTTTCTCTCTGGCTGCCCTTAACATTTTTACTTTAATTTTAACCTTAGAGAATTTGATGATTATGTTTCTTGAGGATGATCTTCTTGTGGAGTATCTTACTGGGGTATTCTGCATTTATTGAATTTGAATGTTGGCCTGTCTAACTTGGTTTTGGAGGTTTTCCTGGATGATACCCTTAAATATTTTCCAAATTGCTTCCATTTTCCCTCTTTCAGGTAGCCCAATCAGTCATAGATTTGGTCTCTTTGCATAATCCCATATTTCTTATAAGTTTTGTTCATTTCTTTTCACTCTTTTTTTTCCATTCTTGTCTGCTTGTCTTTTTTTCAGAAATATGGGCTTCAAGATCTGAGATTTTTTCCTTCAGTTGGTCTATTCTGTTATTAATACTTGTGACTGCATTGTGGAGTTCTTGTAGTGTGTTTCTCAGCTCCATGATGCTATTTATATTCCTCTGTATACTGGTTATTTTGGCTGTCAGCTTCTGCATTGTTTTATCATGATTCGTAGCTTCCTTGAATTGGATTACAACGTCCTCCTTTAGCTGAGTCAAGTTTGTTTTCACCCACATTCTAAAGCCTACTTCTGTCATTTCAGCTATCCCAGCCCCAGCCCAGTTCCAAACCCTTGCTGGAGAGGTGTTGTGGTCATTTGGAAGAAAGGGGGAATTCTGGCTTTTTGAGTTTTTGGCGTTTTTTCACTGAATCTTTCTCATTTGTGGCCTTATCTACCTTCACTCTTTGAGGTTGCTGATGGGGTGTGAATGGGGTTTCTGTGGGTTTTTGTCATTGTTGTTCTTGTTTGTCTTCTGTAGGACTGCTGTAGTTTGCTGGGGGTCCACTCTAGGCCCCAGTCACCTCAGTTTTTCCAATACCTAAAGGTATCACCAGTGAAGTCTTCAAAACAGCAAAGATGGCAGCCTGCTCCTTCCTCTGGGAGCTCTGTCCTAGGGGTATTGACCTGTTGGCTGGCCCAAATGCATCTGTAGGAGGTGGCAGGGGACCCTGGTTGGGAGATCTCACCCAGTCAGGAGGAACGGAATTAGAGACCCAGTGAAAGAAGTGGTTCGCTACATTTTGGTAGAGCAGCTGTACTGTATTGGGGATCCCTTCGGCTCCTGATCGGTTTGGCTCTCCAATGCCCATAAGCTGGACCAGCTGAGTAGCCAAAACAACAAAGGTGGTGGCCCACATCTCCCCACAGCCACTCTGTCCCAGGGATAAATCAGAACTCTGTTTATAGAATTTGGGCAGTGGTGGCCGGAGGCCTTGGCTGGGAGTAACTGCCCACTGTGGAGGAATCAATCAGGGTCCTGTTTAAGGAAGCAATCTGGTCACTCCTCAACAAAACAGTGGTGCGATGCTGGCAAACTGCCTCTGCCCTTGTCGGTTTGGACTCTCCAAATCCCACAGGCTGGAATGGCTGAGTTGCCCAAACAACAAAGGTGGCAACCTGCTCCTCCTTTTGGGAACTCTGTCCCAGAGAGAGATCAGAGCTCTGTCCTAGAATACCAGTGGGGGTGGCCGGAGACCCCAGCTAGGAGGTCCTGCCCAGTGAGGAGAAATGGATTGGGATCCTACTTAAAGAAGTAGTCAGGCCACGTTTGGTAAAGCAGCTGTGCTGCAGTACAGGGGGTGCTTCCTCATCCCAGCCATTTGGACTCTCCAAAACCCACAGGCTAGAGTGGCTGAGTTGTCCAAACAGCAAAAATGGTGGCCCACCCTTCCCCTTGGGGGTTCTGTCCCATCTCAGGCAGGATTTACCCTGTTGCCAGTGGTTGGCTGGAACTCCAAGCCAGTAGATCTTTTCTTGTGAGGGGCCATGGAAGTGGAACCTGCAGACGGATGTTACTTGGCCCCCTGGATTCAGCCCCTTTCCCAGGGGTATGTATGGACCTCTTGCCTTGGCTGAGTTGTATTCACCTTTGTCAGGGATCCAGCGCCAGAGTATGTAAAGCTCCTGGGTCTCTCTGCATGCCTGAGTAGCTGCTCTGCTGAGACTCCACACAGCTCCATGCATCGGACCCAAGGCCCTCGTGGAGTGGGCTCACGAGGGGATCTCCTGATCCAATGGTTGCAAAGATCCATGGGAGAAGCATGGTTTCCTGGAGTCTTACATTTCCTTACCCCTTCCCTTGGTTAGGGGAGGGGTTTCTCTAGGCTCTGAGTCGCTCCCAGGTGCACTGTCGCCCTGCCCTGCTTTTCATTTTCTGTGGGTTGAGTTGTTCCCCTGATCAGTCCCAGTGTGAACATCTGGATATTTCTGTTGAATGTGCTATATTTACTCGCCCCTTTAATTCCTCTCTGGTAGTAGCATGCATCATAGCTACTTCTAACTGACCATCTTGTATTACACTCTGCCCTCTTGTATAATGTTTTTTTTTTTTTTTTGAGACGAGGTTTCACCATGTTGCCTAGACTGGTCTCACACTCCTGAGCTCAAGTGATCTGCCTGCCTTGGCCTCCCAAAGTGCTAGGATTATAGGCATGAGCCACTGCACCCATCTTCTCTTGTGTAATCATTATCATTTATTTTAATATTACAAGTATTTATAGCCCAAGAAACTATTAATATTATACTTTGTATGTCAACATTCATTTAGATTTATCCACATTTCCACCTTTCTATTGCTTTTCATTCTTCTCTGCATTTCCATGTTTTTATTTTATATTTATTTATTTTTTGTTCCTGCCTGAAAAATTTCTTTAATAGTTATTATAGTGTGAGTCTGCTGGGAACAAACTTTTTGGATTTTTTTTGTTTCTTTTCTCAATTGAAATGTATTTTCACCTTTGAAGTATATTTTCACAGTGCATAGACTTTTAGTTTGGCAGTTATTTTCTTTCAGTACTTTGAAAATATTGCGTTGCTTCTGGGCTTCCACAGTTTTTATCAAGAATTTAGATATCATTCTTATTATTCTTTCTTTTTAAAAAAGTGTTTTTTTTTTTTTCATTTGGCTGTTTTTAAGATTTTCTCATTATCTTTTTGCTTTGTTTTGCTTTTACTTGTGTCAGGCTCTTACTCTGTCACCCGGTCTGGAATACAGTGGTGAGATCATAGCTCACTGTAACCTCCACCTCCCAGGCTCAAATGATCCTCTTGCCTCAGCCTCCCAAGTAGCTAGGACTACAGGCAGGCACCACCATACCCAGCTAATTTTTTTTGTAGAGGCAGGGTTTTGCCATGTTGTCCAGTCTGGTCTCGAATTCCTGAGCTCAAGTGATCCACCTGCCTTGGTCTCCCAAAGTGTTGAAATTACAGGTGTGAGCCACCACAACTGTTCCCTCATCATCTTTGGCTTTTAGCATTTTTTACTCTAATATGCTTAGAAAACTTTAAATTTATATTTATCCTGTTCAGTTCATAAAACTTTCCACAAATCTGTGGATTGATTTCTTTCATTAGTTTTAGAAAATTCTTGAACTTAGTTTTAGAAAATTCTTTTTTTCAGTAAAAGGTCTTCAAAAGAAAGAAAAAACATAGTATGAACCCTCCTTTAGGATGACCAGTGTCTCTTAAAATATTGCTTCTATCATATTCTTTCTCTTTTCCTTCTTATGAGACTCTACTGATATGTCATTTAGAACATCTTGAAGTGTTTCATATATTCCCTATGCCCTTTTTGAGTACCTGAGCTACATCAATGAACAACAACATCAAAATGACTGCCTCATAGATCTTAAATTCTGGTAAGATTAAAGATAAAACAAATTATTTATTTTCATTTACAGGTGAGAAAACAGACACAGAGAGAGTTTTTTTTTTTTGTTTTTTTTTAACTTACCCAAATAGGTGGGCCAAATAAGTGGTGAGTGATGTAATCAGAGTTTATACCCGTGTAGCTCTCTCTGAAGCCATGTACTTTACTGTATGAATGATATTTATATTTATTTCACCTTTCCCAAGAGGGAAAACTTGGCTATTTATATATTTTGAAAATCTTGGGAGAACTTTTAATATGGACTCAAGGTATTATACCTGAAATGGGAGCCGTCCTTTAAAAGAATATTGTAGACTAATATCTGCTCTCTGATGGTCACTTTAAATGGACCTATTCTGCTGACGGCTGGGCACAGTGGCTCATGCCTGTAATCCCAGCACTTTGGGAGGCTGAGGCGGGTGGATCATCTGAGGTCAGGAGTTCGAGACCAGGCTGGCCAACATGGTGAAACCCCGTCTCTACTAAAAAAATACAAAAATTAGCTGGGTGTGGTGGCGTGCACCTGTAATTCTAGCTACTCAGGAGGCTGAGGCAGGAGAATTGCTTGAACTCGGAGGCAGAGCTTATAGTGAGCTGAGACTGTGCCACTGCACTCCAGCCTGGGCAACAAGAGTGAATCTCCATCTCAAAAACAACAACAACAACAACAACAACAACAAAAACCCAAAAGGTGAGATGGGTAAAAGTTCCTGCAGAGGAGCTGGCCTCAGGTTGCAGTACTCATCCCCATTGCTTATTAGATGTCTGAGCCAAGTAATTGTTTCTGGCTCCTATTTTTCCTGATTCTCAAGCTACACCACAGCCCCCAGTAACCACTAATGAGTGACAAGGCTGCACTCCTTGACTCGATATATCTTTTAGGAAGTAATTTTTGTTTTTGCCTTTCAGCTTTACATATCACAAGTTCAGGTAAGAAGCCCAACTATGCAGCCTTTTACCATTATGGCTGAAGAGCATTAGGATGGAGTTTAAATATTTCAGCTGCTCACTTTGTACGTAAGTCAAATTCTTTGCAGTTGAGCTCCCTTTGGCTCTCTAGACACACACAGTAAATTGTTTTTTAATCTGGCATTTATTTTCACTTGACTCATTTATAAAGTCTTCATTTTTTTTCTTCTGTGCATTTGTAACTCTATTAGCTTAGAGACACCATTCATTTTGTAAGCAGTGTTTTAAACACATTTCATCTATCAGAATTAATTTTGCTGAATGCACCATCAAATAAATACATTAAGAATAACTGTAACACTTCATTAATCAAAATGTCAACTTCCACAGATATAAAATTTCCCCCATCTTAAAAATTCACTTCCTTTACTGTTTGACTAAAATATGAAAAGTGATGTAAAATACTGTCATTCTATTATAATATGCATGCAGGATTTGAAGGTGTAATCCATTATAATTAAGGCTAATTAATTATTATGTGGTCAAATGAGCAACAAATGCACATGCAAAATCTAAAAACTTAATTATTAGAAAATTGGTTAATCAATTGTGCATTCAAATGCACATTTGTTTTAGCATGCAGACATTGTGCACTTTTAACAAGGGACTAGTCTAAGTAAAAAACAAAGTGAAACATTTTCAAAATATCTCTGCTCTATGGGGAAAGAAAATAAGATCAAACAAATCTAATTCTTTAAAACCAAATCTGTTTTTTTTTCAGTAAAGGGTCTTCAAAAAAACGAAAAAACATAGTATGCGCTCCTTTAGAATGACAAAATTAGTCCAGATTACTTACTTTGTAGGAGGCATTCAACTCGAACATAATAAAAAAGAAATCTTCACCATGTTAAGTGGCCTGACATCTGCATAAAGGTCCCCCCAAAGGCCAATATTCAGACAGAATTGCTCTCTTTTAAAGATAAAACTAGAATCATGTAAAGATGAACAAATCCCCAGTTAGCTAAGTGGTTTCAAGCAAACTCTTTTCATCTTCAAATTTCACAAACCACATAACTGAAGTTTGTGAGGGGGTGCATGAGAGACAGCCACAGTGGCAACAACAACAAAAACCCCCAGGAGGAATAAGATAGAATGAGGAAGCAGGAAAAGGGGCAGAATATAGATAATTGGAAACATAGGAGGATAACTAGAATATTATAGAATCACATAAACCAACAGAAGAGATGGTAACCTGTAACAAATCATTACAGTAGTAAGGGGTGAGGAGGAACAGGGTTTCTATGTGAGAGTGGTTGACAGAGTCTAAAAACAGAGAGATCAATGAGATTAAGGCATAAAATAGGGTCATGGAATTAGGGTCTAGGACAAATGTCAGTATGTTGTCATTAAGCAGGAGTTATGAAGAGCATAAATAATGAAGCAGTCAATTAGTTTGCTAGTAAACAATTAACACTGACCGATTTAGCATATAATATATGTCCAAGGCACTATGCTAGGTGACCTAAGACATGATACCTACTTTAGAGGAGCTTCTATTCTGGATTGGGAGATGGAAAGAATAACAAATTATCAAGTCATTAATACTCAGAAGGAAGGTACACACTGTAATAGCTGTTAGCTGTAGATACATGGAAAGAGAGCAAGCCCCATGGACAGATGATGATGTCAAAGGCTAATAAAAAATCTGTTACATAAGCAGGGGTCACAAAGGACTCCACACTCAGAGTATGTATACTATTGACTATAAGTGAATCTGCCTCCCCTTTCTCTTTGGGAAACTGTAAAAAAAATAACCAGTTTCAAACTTCGGTATTTAGCAGAAAAAAATTCTTAAATTGATGCTATCTGGATAGCCAAGCGTCCACGTGGAGAACATAAAGTGCCTCTAGATGACTGAATAGAGCAAAGACAAATTATTTCTGGAATAACCTACTTTCAAACCAGGCATCAACACATTTGCATATATAAAGTTCCAAGGTAACAGAGCAGTTTATAATTTAAAAAAATTACTAAACACAAGGAAGTAAACTATCCTATGTGAGAGAGAAAACAGATACTCAAACCTCACATTTTGAAATTATAGGACACCATATAAATGTACATTAATATATTTCAATAAGTAAAATAAAATCTGAACAAATTTGAAAAGCCACAAAGCAGCATATTACGCACATCTGAAATAAGAATCAGTAAACTAGAAAATAAACAATGGAAAATAATTATCTAAGAAGCCCCCCAGAAAGGCAGAGGTGGAAAATATAAAAATAGGTCAAAATATAGAGAGAATAATAAACATAAAAAGCCAAACATATGTGTATGTCTATGTATTTAGCTGAAGTTTCAGTATGAGAAGAAAGAGAATGACAAAAAGGAAATATTTGAAGATATTATTGCTGAGAATTTTACATAAATGATGAATGATAGCAGTATCATTCAACAAATCCATTAGGACAAATACCTAATGCATGCAGGGCTTAAAACCTAGATGATGGGTTGGTAGGCACAGCAAGCCACCATGGTACATGTATACCTATGTAACAAACCTGCATGTTCAGCACATGTATCCCAGAACTTAAAGTAAAATTAAAAAACAAACAAAAAATCCAAATCCAACAAATTTCAAGCAGGGAAATAAAAAAATGTGTATCTGGAAGCATGATAGCAAAAATGAAGAACATCAATGTTAGCCAGGGAATTACATGTATTTTGAAAAACAACGGTTGGCATGCTACTGTACCATGACAGAGATGAAGTGAATAATCATGCATCTGAAACTGCCTGCAATGTGCTGGGGTCTGTCAGATTCATGGAATTGTATAATCAGGTGGGTCCAGCAACAATCCACTGTGAAATAGCAGTGATACCATCTGGAATTATGAGCAGAGGGCAAAAGCCAACTGCATGAGCAAGTAGCCCAGGCTCCCATTTTATTTGCAATTATTGTACCAGAAACTACTCAGTTCACAGTTTTGTCTACTTGAGATATTCCTTACAATAAGAAAAGTGAGAAAAACAAAAGTCCAAACTTGGCTTATGAATGGAACAGTTTGGTATATTGGTGCCTGCCCAAAACAGATAGCAAATTCATTACAAATCTTACGCAGTGGCTTTGAAAGACAGTGATTAGAAAAAATCACCCCCACAGTAGGCAGAACTTTGGTGATGCATTTAGTCATCTACTTTGCATAGATCAGTATATGGACCTATGAACAGTGGTGAATGGCTGAGGTGGCTAGTCAGTGGCTTTTAAGGAAAAAGATTTCACGGCCAGGGACGAAAAGGTATGTGGCAGAGGTATACAGACAGACTTAAAGGAGTGGACATAAAGTTTAAAACCTTCATATTGGCCGGGCACGGTGGCTCACGCCTGTAATCCCAGCACTTTGGGAGGCCGAGGCGGGCGGATCACAAGGTCAGGAGATCGAGACCATCCTGGCTAACACGGTGAAACCCTGTCTCTACTAAAAATACAAAAAATTAGCTGGGCATGGTGGCGGGCGCCTGGGGTCCCAGCTACTCGGGAGGCTGAGGCAGGAGAATGGCGTGAACCTGGGAGGCAGAGCTTGCAGTGAGCCGAGATCGTGCCACTGCACTCCAGCCTGGGCGTCAGAGTGAGACTCTGTCTCAAAACAAGCAAACAAACAAACAACCTTCATATTAACACCCATCAAAGAGCAACCACCATAGGAAAGGCACCAAAAAATGAAGTAGACCAAATAACTTGGCTGGTTGTTATCAACCGATTTTGTTATTAGCTACTCCAGTGCTAAAGCAATAGGCACATGAGCAAAGTGGTTATGGTGATAGGAATAGAGATTCTGCATAAAGCCTTAAGCATGGATTCCCATTTAGTAAAATTAATCTTACTACTCCCAATATCAAATTTCTTCCCTGTTAGCAACTTATACCAACACCAAGCCCCTGAAATGGTACTATTCCTTGAGGAGACCAACTTACCAAATTGCAGCTTGTTAGGGTATATTGTATATTCCTTAGTGACTTATTGTAGCTATGTTCACTTTTGACTATTTTGACTTTTAAACTTCACACTAGAGATTTGAAAGATTTACATACTATCATTACAGTATTGGAGTATTCTGAGTTTGATTACAAATTTGCCTCTACCAGTTTCATGTTTTCATAATGGTAATTATCACCCTTTTGCTTCTGGTTGAATCACTCCCTTAAGCATTTTTCATTTGGCTTGTCTAATAATAATTAATTACCTTAGCTTCAGCTTGTCTGGGAAAGACTATTTTCCCTTCATTTCTGAAGGACAGCTTTGCTGGGTATAGTACTATTGGTTGACAGGTGTTTTATCTTTCAGCAATTTAAATATATTATACCATTCTCTCCTGGCTTGCAAGGTTTCTGTTGAGAAATCTGCTAATGGTCTCATGAGGATTTTGTATGTCACTTGATGTTTTTTCTCTTATTCCTTTAAAAATTCTTTTTCTTTGGCTTTTGAAATTTTGATCATAATTTGACTCAGTGAGGACCTCTGTGGGGTAAGCCTGTTTGGATAACTTTGAGTTTCATGGATCCAAATGTTAATATCTCTCCAAAATCTTGGGATTTTTTTGCATTTATCATATTAAATATAGTTTCTATGAATCTCTCCATGTCTTTTCCCTCTGAAATTCTCATAGTGGCAACACTTTTTTGCTTTATGGTATTCTGTAAATCCCAGTGCTTGATAGAGTGCTCCAAAATGTTATTTATTATTGTTATGACATTAAAGAGGAGAAAACCAAAGAGAAAATGCTGACTGTAGGAACAGAAAGTCTTAGTATACTATATATGTATATTAAGTAGATAACTAATTTATATTTTAGACATAATACAGTCAAATTAGGGACAGCATATTTTTCATATCTAAATTAGGAAATCTTATGAGTGTCTTTTGTTATATATTAAATTAATGAGTTGATTTAAAAAGGTTTACATACTCTGGAAACTACTATAAAAAATAAAATGTGTCAAAATCATCTTAAAAATGAAAAAAGACATGAAAAAGAAAATTAGATGTTGAAAGCATCATGTTTAAAACCAGGATGGGGAAAGGAATTCTGGAAATTACTTTTTGAGAAAAATGATATATGTAATAAATCAACATATAAAGGTCTTCCTGATGAATTAACATTTTATCATCATAGAATACTCCTTTATATCTGGTAAGTTTCTTTAGTTTGAAGCCCATTTGACACTAATATAATAACAGTATGCCCTGCCACTATTAGTGTTTGCATGGTACATCTCTTTCCATTCTGTAATTTTATTCTTTCTGTTACATTTCATCTAAATTTTGTCTTCTGTAAACAGCTTATGATTGGGTCTTGTTTCTTTATTCATTTCGACAACATTTTAATAAAACTGTTTATACTTAATGCAATTATTCAATATGGTTGTTTAAGTATATCATTTTTCTATTTTGTTTTCTATTTGTTCCTTCTGAGTTGTTTTACTACCCACTTTGTTCCTTATTTCCTTTCCATTTTAGATTGAGTATATTTTTACTGTATATTTTTCTATTGGATTTTTAAAAGCTCTACTTCTGGATTATTTTGAGAAGTTAGTATAGATATTTACAATATAGATCATTAATTTATCACAATCAACCTTGAATTAATATTATGCTACTTCACTAATAATGCAATAACTTTATATAGAATCATGTCATCTATCTCCTATTCTTCATGCTTTTTGGTTAAGTGTTTCTTGAAAAAGTTTTCCTTTTCATGGGTACACAAAAAGCATATATATTTATGTGTTACATGAGATATTTTGATACAGGCATGCAATGCATAATAATCACATTAAGGTAAATAGAGTATCCATAAACTCAAGAATTTATCCTTTGTGTTCCAAACAATTATATATGCTTTTAGTTATTTTTAAATGAACAATTAAATTATTTTTGACCATAGTTACCCTCTTTTGCTAGCAAACACTAGGTCTTATTTATTCTATTTTTATACCCATTAACAATCCCCCCTTACTCCCCACTCCCATAACTACTCTTCCCAGCCTCTGGTAACCATCCTTCTATTCTCTATCTCCATGGGCTCAATTTTAATTTTTAGCTCCTACAGATAAAGTAAGAACATGTGATGTTTGTCTTATTGGGCCTAGCTTATTTCACTTAACATAAAAGATCTCCAGTTCCATCCATGTTGTTGCAAATGACTGGATTTCTTTCTTTTTTTTAACGAATGAATAGTACTACATTGTGAATAAATACCACATTTTCTTTATTCATTCATCTATTGATGGACACTTAGGTTGCTTCCAAATCTTGGCTAGTGAATAGTGCTGCAATAAACACGGGAGTACAGATATCTCCTCGATAGACTGATTTTCTTTCTTTTGGGTATATACATGGCAGTGGGATGTCTGGATTATATGGTAGTTAAATTTTTGATTTTGTGAGGAAACTCCAAACTGCTCTCCATAGTGATTGTATTAATTTACATTTCCAACAAAAGTGTACAAGGGCTCCCTTTTCTCTACATTGTTGCTACCATTCCTTATTGTCTGTCTTTTAGATAAAAGCCATTTTAACTCAGGTGAGATGATATCTCATTGTAGTTTTGATTTGCATTTATCTGATAATCAATAATGTTGAGCACTTTTTCATTTGCCTGTTTGCCATTTGTATGTCCTCTTTTGAGACATGTGTGCTCAAATCTTTTGCCCATTTTTCAATTGGATGATTAGATTTTTTCCTATAGAGTTGCTTGAGCTCCTTATATATTCTGGTTATAAATTCCTTGTCAGATGGGGAATTTGCAAATATTTTCTCCCATTCTGTGTTTTCTCTCCATTTTGTTGATTGTTTCCTTTGCTTTGCAGAAGCTTTTTAACTCGATGTGATCCCATTTGTCCATTTTTACTTTGGTTGCCTGTGCCTTTGGGGTTTTGCTCAAGAAATCTTTGTCCAGTCCCATGTCCTGGAGATTTTCCCCAATGTTTTCTTGCAGTAGTTTCCAAGTTTGAGGTCTTAGATTTAAGTCTTTAATCTGTTTTGATTTGATCTTTGTAAATGGTAAAAGACAGGGGTCTAGTTTCATTCTTCTGCATATGGATATTCAGTTTCCCAGCACCATTTATTAAGGAGGCTATCTTTTCCCCAATATATGTTCTTGGAAACTTTGTCAAAAATGAGTTCACTGTAGATGCATGGATTTACTTCTGGTTTTTAAATTCTGTTTCACTGGTCTATATGCCTGTTTTTATGCTGGTATCATGCTCTTTGGCTACTCTAGCTCTGTAGTATAATTTGAAGTCATGCAATGTGATTCCTCCAGTTTTGTTCTTTTTGGTAAGGACAGCTTTGGCTATTTTGGGTCTTTTATGGTTCTATATAAATTTTAGGATTGCTTTTACCATTTCTGTGAAGAATGTCATTGGTATTTTGATTAGTATTGTATTGAATCTTTAGATTGCTTTGGTTAGTATGGACATTTTTACAACATTGATTTTTCCAATCCATAAATATGGAATGTTTTTCCATTTTTGGTGCCCACTTCAATTTCTTGCATCAATGTTTTACAGTTTTCATTGTAGAGATCTTTCACTTCTTTGGTTAATTCCTAGGTATTTAATTTTATGTGTGGCTATTGTAAATGGGATTACTTTTAAAAATTTTTTCTTTAGATTGTTTGCTGTTGGCATATAAAAATGCTACAGATTTTCATGTGTTGATTTTGTATCCTGCAACTTTGCTGAGTTTAGTTATCAGTTCTAATAGTTTTCGGTGGAGTCTTAGGTTTCTCCAAATATAAGATCATATCATCTGCAAAGAAGGATAATTAGACTTCTTCCTTTCCAATTTGGATGCCCTTTATGTTTTTTTCTTGTCTGATTGCTCTAGCTTGGACTTCCAGTACTATGTTGAATAACAGTGGTGAAAGTGAGTATTCTTGTCGTGTTCCAGATCTTATCATACTGGATACTGGAAAAACTTACAGTTTTTCCTCTAAGCTAGTATCCAGTATGATACTAGCTATGGAGTTTCTGAGATATGGCTTTTATTATGCTGAGGTGTATTCCTTCTATACCCAGTTTTTTGAGGGATTTTGTCATGAAGAGATGTTGAATTTTGTCAGATACTTTTTCAGCATCAATTTAAATGATCACATGGCTTTTGTCCTTCATTGTATTGATATGATATATCACATTAATGGCTCACAAATGTTGAACTATTCTTGCATCCCTGAGATAAATTCCACCTGGTCATGAACCATGATCTTTGTAACACATTGTTGAATGCAGTTTGTGAATATTTTCTTGATGATTTCTGCATCAACGTTCATCAGGGATATTGGCTTGTAGTTTTCTTTTTTGATGTGTCCTTGTCTGGTTTCGGTATCAGAGTAATATCGGCTTTGTAGAATGAGTTTGGAAGTATCCCCTCCTCGTCTATTTTTCAGAAGAGTTTGAGTGGCATTGGTATTAGTTATTTTTTAAATGTTTGGTACAATTCATCAATGAAGCCAGTGAGTCCCAGGCTTTTATTTGCTGGGAGACTCTTTTTTTTTTTTTTTTTTTGAGACGGAATCTCACTCTATTGCCCAGGCTGGAGTGCAGTGGCGCGATCTCGGCTCACTGCAAACTCCACCTCCCGGGTTCACGCCATTCTTCTGCATCACCCTCTCGAGTAGCTGGGACTACAGGCACCTGCCACCATGCCCGGCTAATTTTTTTGTATTTTTAGTAGAGACAGGGTTTCACCGTGTTAGCCAGGATGGTGTCGATCTCCTGACCTCGTGATCCACCTTCCTCAGCCTCCCAAAGTGCTGGAATTACAGGCGTGAACCACCACGCCCGGCCTGGGAGACTGTTTAGTATGGCTTTGCTCTAGTTAATTGTTGTTGGTCTGTTCAGGCTTTAGATTTCTTCATGGTTCAATCTTGGCAGGTAGTATGTTTCTAGAAATTTGATCATTTCTACTAGATTTGCCAATTTATTGGCATGTAGTTGTGCATTTTTGCCACTAATGATCCTTTGAAATTCTGTGGTATCAGTTATAATGTCTCCTTTTTCATCTCTGATTTTATTTATTTGCATCTTCTCCCTTTTTTCTTTGTTCATCTGGCTAAACATTGGCAATTTTGTTTAAATTTTCAAAAAGCCAACTCTTGGTTCATTGATTTTTTTGTATTGCTTTCTTCATTTCGATTTTATTTATTTCTTTGATCTTTATTATTTCTGTGCTTCTACTAATTTGGGGTTTTTCTCTTGCTTTTCTAATTCTTTAAGATGCATCACTAGGTTGTTTATTTGAAGTTTTCCTTCTTTCTTGATGTAGAGAATTGTAGCTATACACTTCCCTCTTAGTACTGCTTTTGCTGTATCCCATACACTTTGGTATGTTGTGTTGCCATTATCAAAGAAAACTGTCAATTATCTTCTTAATTTCTTCATTGACCCATAGGTCATTTAGGAATATATTGTTTAATTTCTATGTATTTGTATAGTTTAAAAAATTCCTCTTGTTACTGGTTTCCAGTTTTATTTCAGTGTGGTCAGGTCTTCTGCTGTTGGATATTATTTTAATTTATTTTGAATGTTTTAAGACTTGTTTTGTGACCTAACATATGGTCTATTCTTGAGAATAATTAATATGCTGACAAAAAGAATGTATATTCTGCAGCTCTTGAATAAAATGTTCTCTAAACAATTATTCGGTTTATTTGGTCTATAGTGCAGATTAAGCTTGATGTTTCTTTGTTGATGTTCTGCCTCAAAGATCTGTCCAGTGCTGAAAGTGAGGTGTTGAAGTGTCCAGTTATTATTGTGTTGGAGTCTCCCTCTCTCTTTAGCTCTAATAATATTTGCTTTATATGTCTGGGTGTCCCAGTGTTGGGTGCATATATATTTAAAATTGTTACATCCTCTTGCTAAATTGACTCTTTTTTCATCTTGTTTGTCCTTTCTTATAGTTTTGGTCTTGAAATCTAATTTGTCTGATAAGTAAATAAAAGCTACTTCTGCACATTTTTTGGTTTCCATTGGCATGGAATATCTTTTTCCATCCCTTTATTTTCAGTGTGTATGTGTCTTTATAGACAAAGCTGTGATACTTGTAAGCAACAGATCATTCAGTCTTGTTTTTTCATCCATTCAGACACCGTCTTTTAATTAGAGAGTGCAGTCCATTTACATTAAATATTATTAATAGGTAAAGACTTACTTCTGCCGTTTTGTTATTTGTTTTTTGGTTGTATTTTAATTTATTCTTCCTTCTTTCTTTTTTTTCTGTCTTCCTTTTAGTGAAGTTGATTTTCTGTGATATGATTTAATTTATTGCTTTTTATGTTTTGTGTATCCATTGTATGTTTCTTGGTTTGAGGTTACCATCAGACTAGCAAATAGTATTTTGGAACCTGTTATTTCAAGCTGATAACTCAATACTGTTTGCAAAAACAAACGAATAAGAAAAAAAACTAATAAAAACTTTACACCTTAACTTTATCTTCCCGCTTTTTAACTTTTTGTTGTTTTTATTTATATCTTATTATATTGTCTATGTCTTGAAAAGTTATCATCGTTATTTTTTAAAATTTTAATATTTGTGGGTACATAGTAGGTATATATATTTATGGGGTACATGAGACATTTTGATACAGGCATGCAATGTGAAATAAGCACATCATGAAGAAGAATGGGGTATCCATCCTCTCAAATATTTATCCATTGTGTTGCAAACAATTCAATTTCACTCTAAGTTATTTAAAAATATGTAGTCATTATTGACTATAGTCACCCTACTGTGCTATCAAATAGTAGGTCTTATTCATTATTTCTATTTTTTTGCACCCATTAACCTTCCTCATATCCCTCCCAGGTCCTTACTACCCTTTCTCCGTCACTGGTAACCAACCCTTTACTCCCTATATCCATGAGTTCAATTGTTCTGATTTTTAGATCCCACAAATAAGTGAGAACATGTGTTTGTCTTTCTATGCTTGGCTTATTTCACTTAACATAATGATCTCCAGTTCTACTCATGTTGTTGCAAATGACTAGATCTTATTCTTTTCTGTGAATGAATAGTACTCCATTGTGTATATGTACCACATTTAATTTATTAATCCATCTACTGATGGACACTTATGTTACTTCCAAATCTTAGCTATTGTCAACAGTATTGTGATAAACATAGGAGTGCCATTATCTCTTCGATATTCTAATTTCCTTGCTTTTTGGTATATACCTAGCAGTGGGATTTCTGGATCATATGGTAGCTCAATTTTTAGTTTTGTGAGGAACCTCAAACTGTTCTCCATAATGATTGTACTAATTTACATTACCATCAACAGTGTACAAGGGTTGCCTTTTTTCCACATCCTCACCTACCTTTGTTACTGTCTTTTGTATAAAAGCCATTTTAACTCAGGTGAGATGATATCTCAGTGTAGTTTTGATTTGCACTTATCTGATGATCAATAATTTCAAACACCTTTTCATATGCTTGTTTACCATTTATATATCTTCTTGTGAGAGATGTCTATTCAAATCTTTTGCTCATTTTTCAATTGAATGATTAGAGTTTTTGCTAAAGAGTTGTTTGTGCTCCTTATATACTTTGGTTATGAATTCCTTGTCAGATGAGTAGTTTGCAAATATTTCCTCCCATTCTGTCAGTTGTCTCTTCATTTTGTTGACTGTATCCTTTGCTGTGCAGAAGCTTTTTAACCTGATGTGATCCCATTTGTCCATGTTTGCTTTGGTTGTCTGCGTGGAGTATTGCTCGAGAAATTCTTGCCCAAACCAATACCCTGGAGATTTTCCCTAATGTTTTGTTGTAGTAGTTTCATAGTTTGAAGTCTTAGATTTAAGTCTTTAATTCATTTTGATTTGTTTTTTTGTATATGGGGAGAGATTGAGGTTTAGTTTTATTCTTTTGCATATGGATATCCAGTCTTCCTAGCATAATTAATTCAAGAAACTATCTTTTCCCCAGTATATGTTCTTGGCAGCTTTGCCAAAAATTAGTTCACTGTAGATGCATGAATTTATTTCTTGGTTGTCTATTCTGTTCCACTGGCCTATGTATCTGTTTCTATGCCAGTACCATATCATTTTGGTACTGGCATACTAAAGCTCTATAGTATAATTTGAAATGAGGTAGTGTGATTTCTCCAGTTTTCTTCTTCTTGCTTAGGATAGCTGTGGGTTTTCTGGGTGTTTAGTGGTCCCATGTAAACTTTAGGATTGTTTTTTCTATTTTTGTCAATGATGTCATTGATATTTTGATAAGGATTACATCTATAGAATTGCTTTGGGTAGAATGGACATAATCTGTAGATTGCTTTGGTTAGTATGGACATTTTAACAGTATTGATTCTTCCAATCTATGAAGATGGAATCTTTTTCCATTTTGTGGTTTCCTATTCAATTTCTTTGATGAATGTTTTATAATTTTCATTATAGTGATTTTTTGCTTCTTTGGTTAAGTTAATTCCTAGGTATTATATGTGGCTATTGTAAATGGGATTTTTTAAAAATTTCTTTTTTAGATTGTTTACTCTTGGCATATAGAAATGCTGCTGGTTTTCATATGTTGATTTTGTATCTTGCAACTTAACTGAATCATCAATTCTAGTAGCTTTCTTGTGGAGTCTTTAGGTTTTTCCAGATATAAAATCATGTCATCTGCAGGCAAACATAATTTGATTTATTACTTTCCATTTTGGATGTAATAAATCCAAAATGGAAAGTAATAAGTATCTTTATTATTTATTACTTTCTCTTTTCTAATTATCTTAATTAGGTATCTTAATATCTTTCTCTTTTCTAATTGCTCTAGCTAGGACTTCTAGTACTATGTCGAGTAACAGTCATAAGAGTGGGCATCCTTATTGTGTTTCAACTCTTAAAGGAAAGATTTTTAGTTTTTCCACATTCAGTATACTAGCTGGAGGTCTTTCAAAAATGGTTTTTATTATGTTGAGGTATGTTCCTTCTATCCCCAGTTTTTTGAGGGTTTTTTTTAATCATGGAGAGATGTCAAATTTTTCAAATACTTTTCAACATTAATTTAAATGATATGTTTTAATCATTTATTCAGTTGATGTGTCACATTGATTAATTTGTGTGCATTGAACCATCTTTGCATACCAGAAATAAATCCCGCTCATTCATGATGAATGTTTCTTTTTTTAAATTATTTATGCTTTAAGTTCTGTGATACACATGCAGAACGTACAGTTTGTTACATAGGTATACACGTGCCATGGTGGTTTGCCATACCCATCAACCCATAATCTACATTAGGAATTTATCCTAATGCTATCCCTTCCCTAGTCCCCTACCTCCCAACAGGCTCCGGTGTGTGATGTTCACCTCCTTGTGTCCATATGTTCTCATTGTTCAAGTCACACTTATGTGTGAGAACATGCAGTGTTTGGTTTTCTGTCCTTGTGTTAGTTTGCTGAGAATGATGATTCCAGCTTCATACATGTCTCTACAAAGGATATAAAATTTTTTTTATGGCTAAATAGTATTCCATGGTGTATATGTGCCACATTTTCATTGATGGGCATTTGGGTTGGTTCCAAGTCTTTGCTATTGTGAATAGTGCCACAGTAAACATACGTGTGCATATGTCTTTATAGTAGAATGATTTATATTCTTTTGGGTATATACGCAGTAATGGGATTGCTGGGTCAAATGGTATTTCTGGTTCCAGATCCTTGAGGAATCACCACACTGTCTTTCACAATAGTTGAACTAATTTACACTCCAACCAACAATGTAAAAGCATTCCTATTTCTCCACATCCTCTCCAGCATCTGTTGTTTCCTGACTTTGTAATGATCACCATTCTAACTGGTGTGAGATGGTATCTCATTGTGGTTTTGATTTGCACTTCTCTAATGACCAGTGATGATGAGCTTTTTTCATATATTTGTTGGACACATAAATTTTTTCTTTTGAGAAGTGTCTGTTCATATCCTTTGCCCATTTTTTGATTTTTTTTTTTTGTAAATTTGTTTAAGTTCTTTGTAGATTCTGGATATTAGCCCTTTGTCAGATGGACAGATTGCAAACATTTTCTCCCATTCTGTAGGTGGCCTATTCACTTCGATGATTGTTTCTTTTGCTGTGCAGAAACTCTTTAGTTTAATTAGATCTCATTTGTCATTTTTGTTGCCATTGCTTTTGGCGTTTTAATCATGAAGTCTTTGCCCATGCCTACGTCCTGAATGGTATTGCCTAAGTTTTCTCCTAGGGTTTTTATGGTGTTAGGTCTTACTTTTAAGTCTTTAATCCATCTTGAGTTAATTTTTGTATAAGGTAGAAAGAAGAATTCCAGTTTCAGTTTTCTACATATGGCTAGCTGGTTAGCCAGTTTTCTCAACACCATTTATTAAATAGGGAATCCTTTCCCCATTTCTTGTTTTGTCAGGTTTGTCAAAGATCAGATAGTTGTACATGTGTGGTATTATTTCTGAGGGCTCTGTTCTGTTCCATTTGTCTGTATATATGCTTTGGTAGCAGTACCATGCTGTTTTGGTTACTGTAGCCTTGCAGTATAGTTTGAAATTGGGTAGCATGATGCCTCCAGCTTTGTTCTTTTTGCTTAGGATTGTCTTGGCTATATGGGCTCTTTTTGGTTCCATATGAAATTTCAAGTAGTTTTTTTCTAATTCTGCAAAGAAAGTCAATGGTAGCTTGATGGGGATAGCATTGAATCTATAAATTACTTTGTACAGTATAGCCATTTTCATGATATTGATTCTTCCTATTCATGAGCATGGAATGTTTTTCCATTTGTTTGTGTCCTCTCTTATTTCCTTGAGCAGTGCTTTGTAGTTATCCTTGAAGAGGTCCTTCACTTCCCTTGTAAGTTGGATTCCTAGATATTTTATTCTCTTTGTAGCAATTGTGAATGGGAGTTCACTCATGATTTGGCTCTCTGTTTGACTATTATTGGTGTATAGGAATGCTTGTGATTTTTGCACATTGATTTTGTATCCTGAGAGTTTGGTGAAGTTGCTTATCAGCTTAAGGAGATTTTGGGCTGAGACGATAGGGTTTTCTAAGTATACAATCATGTCATCTGCAAACAGAGCCAATTTGACTTTCTCTCCTTCTATTTGAATACCTTTATTTCTTTCTCTTGCCTAATTGCCCTGGCCAGAACTTCCAACACTATATTGAACAGGAGTGGTGAGAGAGACATCCTTGTCTTGTGCTGGTTTTCAAAGGGAATGCTTCCAGCTTTTCCATTCAGTATGATATTGGCTGTGGGTTTGTCATAGATCACTCTCATTATTTTGAGGTGTGTTCCTTCAATACCTAGTTTACTGAGAGTTTTTAACATGAAGGATGTTGAATTTTATTGAAGGCCTTTTCTACCTCTATTGAGATAATCGTGTGGTTTTTGTGTTTAGTCCTCTTTATGTGATGAATCACATTTATTGATTTGCATATGTTGAATCAGCCTTGCATCCCAGGGATGAAGCTGACTTGATCGTGTGGATAAGCTTCCTGATGTGCTGCTGGATTTGGGTTGCCAGTAGTTTATTGAGGATTTTTACATCAATATTCATCAGGGATAGTGGCCTGAAATTTTCTTTTTTTTTGTTGTGTTTCTGCCAGGTTTTGGTATCAGGATGATGCTAGCCTCATAAAATGAGTTTGGGAGGAGTCCCTCTTTTTCTATTGTTTGGCATAGTTTCAGAAGGAATGGTACCAGCTCTTCTTTGTACATCTGGTAGAATTCGGCTGTGAATCCACGTGGTCCTCGGCTTTTTTTTTTGTTGGAAGGCTATTAATTACTGCCTCCATTTCAGAACTTGTTATTGTTCTATTCAGGGATTCAACTTCTTTTTTATTCTTGGAAGGGTGTATGTGTCCAGGAATTTATCCAGTTCTTCTAGATTTTCTAGTTTATTTGTGTAGAGGTGTTTATAGTATTCTCTGATGGTAGTTTGTATTTCTGTGGGATTGGTGGTGATATTCCATTTATTGTTTTTTATTGTGTCTATTTGATTCTTCTCTCTTTTCTTCTTTATTCGTCTGACTAGTGGTCTATTTTGTTAATCTTTTCAAAAAACCCTCTCCTGGATTCATTGATTTTTTGAAGGGTTTTCCATGTCTCTATCTCCTTCAGTTCTCCTCTGATCTTAGTTATTTCTTGTCTTCTGCTAGCTTTTGAATTTGTTTGCTCTTCCTTCTCTAGTTCTTTTCATTGTGATGTCAGGGTGTCGATTTTAGATCTTTCTCCTGTGGACATTTAGTGCTATCAATTTCCCTCTAAACACTGTTTTAGCTGTGTCCCAGAGATTCTGGTACATTGTGTCTTTGTTCTCACTGGTTTCAAGGAACTTATTTATTTCTGCCTTAATTTCGTTATCTACCCAGTAGTCATTCAGGAGCAGGTTGTTTAGTTTCCATGTAGTTGTATGGTTTTCAGTTTTTAATCCTGAGTTCTAATTTGATTGCACTGTGGTCTGAGAGACTGTTTGTTATGATTTCTGTTCTTTTGCATTTGTTAAGACTGTTTTACTTCCAATTATGTGGTCAATTTTAGAATAAGTGCGATGTGGTGCTGAGAAGAATGTATATTCTGAGGATTTGGGGTGGAGAGTTCTGTAGATGTCTATTAGGTGTGCTTGGTCTGGAGCTGAGTTCAAGTCCTGAATATCATTGTTAATTTTCTGTCTTGTTGATCTGTCTAATATTGACAGTGGGGTGTTAAAATCTCCCACTATTATTGTGTGGGAGTCTACGTCTCTTTGTAAATCTCTAAGAACTTGCTTTATGAATCTGGGTGCTCCTGTATTGGGTGCATATATATCTAGGATAGTTAGCTCTTCTTGTTGCATTGATCCCTTTATCATTATGTAATGCCCTTTGTCTTTTTTTGATCTTTGTTGGTTTAAACTCTGTTTTATCAGAGAATAGTATTGCAACCTCTGCTTTTCTTTGTTTTCCATTTGCTTGGTAAATGTTCCCCCATCCCTTTATTTTGAGCCTATGTGTGTCTTTGCGCACGAGATGGTTCTCCTGAATACAGCACACTGATGAGTCTTGACTCTTTATCCAATTTGGCAGTCTGTGTCTTTTAATTGAGGTATGTTTACATTTAATGCTAATATTGTTATGGGTGAAATTGATCCTGTCATTATGCTGCTAACTGGTTATTTTGCCCATTAGTTGATGCAGTTTCTTTATAGTGTTGATGGTCTTTACAATTTGGTATGATTTTGCAGTGGCTGGTACCAGTCAGTTTTTCCTTTCCATAATTAGGGCTTCCTTCAGGAGCTGATGAATGATCTTTCTAAGGGACTATTGAATTTAGTTTGCTAGTATTTTGTTGAGGATTTTTGCACCAATATTCATCAGTGATACTGGCATGTAGTTATTATTATTTGGTGTATCTTTGTCTGGTTTTGATATTAGGGTAATACTGGCCTCATAGAAAGATTTTGTAGGTAATCCCACCTCCTCTATTTTTCAGTATAGCTTGAGCAGAATTGGTATTAGTTCTTCTTTAAGTGTTCCATAGAATTTGGCAGTGAAGCCATCAGGTCCCAGGCTTTTGTTTACTGGGAGACTTTTTATTATGGCTTTGTTCTTGTTACTTTTTATTGGTCTGTTCAGGTATTGGATTTCTTCCTGTTGTGAATCTTGGGGTATCTAGAAATTTATCCTTTTCTTCCAGATTTTCCAATTTATTGGCTAATAGTTGCTCATAGTAGCCATTAATGATTCTTTGAAATTCTGCAGTACCAGTTGTAATGTCTCCTTTTTTATTTCTAATTTTAATTATTTGGATCTTCTCTCTTTTTTCCTTAGTCTGGCTAAAGGTTTGTCAGTTTTGTTAACTTTTCAAAAAGCCAGCTCTTTTTTCATGGATCTTTTGTATTGTTTTCTTTAACTTCATTTTTTTTTCTTTGATCTTTATTATATCTCTTCTACTAATTTTTGGTTTGGTTTGCTCTTGCTTTTCTACTTCTTTAAGATGCATCATTAGATTGTTTATTTGAAGCTTTTTCTCTTTTTTGATGTTGGTGGTTATAGCTATAAACTTCCATCTTGGTACTCTTTTTGCTGCATCATGTAGGTTTTGTTATGTTGTGTTTCCAGTATCATTTGTTTCAAGAAATTTTTCAATTTCCTTCTTAATTTCTTCATTAACCAACTGGTCATTCAGGAGCATAGTGTTTAATTTTCATGCATTTGTGTAGTTTCCAAAATTTCTCATTATTAATTTCTAGTTTTATTCCATTGTGGTCAGAGAAGATTCTTGATAATATTTCAACTTTTTTGAATGCTTCAAGACTTGTTTTGTCACCTAACATACGTTCTATCCTTGAGAACGATCCATATGCTGAGGAAAAAAATGTATATTCTCCAGCTGCTAGATGAAATGTTCTGTAAGTATTTATTAGCTCCATTTGGTCTACAGTTCAGATTAAGTCTAATGTTACTTTGTTAATTTTTTGTCTGGAAGATCTGTCTAAATCTGAAAGTGGGATGTTGAAGTCCTCAGTTATTTTATTGGGGCCCATCTCTTTCTTTAGCTCTAATAATATTTGCCTTATTTAAGTATTTTATTCGTTTTATAATATAAAATAAATATTTTAATATTTGCTCCAGTGTTGGGTGCATATATATTTAAAATTTTTATGTTCTTTTGCTGAAATGACCCCTTTTTCATTGCATAGTGACCTCCTTTGTTTCTTCTTATAGTTTTTATCTTGAAATGTCTTTTGTCTGATATAAACATAGTGACTCCTTTTATTTTATTTTATTTTTGAGATGAAGCCTCACTCGGTGAGCGAGTGCACTCACTGGAGTGCAGTGGTGCGATTTCAGCTCACTGCAACCTCTGCCTCCTGGGTTCAAGTGATTCTCCTGCCTCAGCCTCCTGAGTAGCTGGGATTACAGGCTACTTTTTGTGTTTTTAGTAGAGATGGGGTTTCACCATATTGGCCAGGCTGGTCTTCAACTCCTGACCTCGTGAACCACCTGCCTCAGCCACCCAAAGTGTTGGGATTACAGGTGTGAGCCACTGTGCCTGGCTTCCTTTTTTTTTTTTTTTTTTAGTTTCCATTGGCTTGGAGTGTCTTTTTCCATCCCTTTATTTTCAGTCTATTTGTGTCTTTATAGGTAAAGTGTATTTCTTACAGGCAACGGATCAATTGTTCTTGTGTTTTCATCCATTCAGCTGATCTGTGTCTTTTGAATGGAGAGTTTAGTCCATTAATTTTGATCTTATTGTTGATAAGTAAGGACTTACTTTTGCCATTTTGTTATTTGTTTTCTCATTGTTTTGTGGTCTTCTCTTTTCTTTCATTCCTCCTTTCCTCTAGTAACATGGTTTTCTCTGGTAACATGATTTAGTTTCTTGCTTTATATTTTTTGTGCATTCATTGTATGCTGTTTGGTTTGAGGTTACCATGAGGCTTGCAAATAGTATCTTACAACCCATTATTTTAACCTGCTGACAATTTAACACTATTTGCCTAAATAAACAACAACAAAAAACTAATGAAAACTTGTCTTAACTTTGTCTTCCTGCTTTTTAAAGTTTTGTTGTTTCTATTTATATTTTATTGTACTATATCTTGAAAAGTTATAGTTATTATTTTTGATTAACTCATTGTTTAGTCTTTCTATTTAAGATAAAAGTAGTTTACACACCACAGTTAGTATTATAACATTCTGCATTTTTCTATATACTTACTATTACCAGTAAGTTTTATACCTTCAGATGATTATTTCTCATTAATGTTTTTTTTTCTGATTGAAAAAATCAAAGGATAGGACTAGTATTGATGAAATCTCTCAGCTTTTGTTTGTGTATGAAAGCCTTTTTTTTTCTCCTTCATATTTGGAGGATTCTTTTTGTCTTTTTTGTCTTTTTGCAGGCTCATAAAGGTATTTTAGGATGAAGGTTTTTCTCCTTCAGCACTTTAAATATGTCATGCCTCTCTTTCCTGGCATGCAAGGTTTCCAGTGAAAAGACTGCTACCAGATGTATTGGAGCTCCATTGTATGTAATTTATTTGTTTCTCTTGCTGCTTACAGGATCCATTCTTTGTTGTTGAAATTTGGGAGTTCGATTATTAAATGCCTTGAGGTAGTCTCTTTGGGTTGAATCTGCTTGGTGTTCTATAACCTTCTTGTACTTGTATATTGATATCTTTCTCTAGGTTTGGGATGTTTTCTTTATTATCCCATTGAATATCCTTTCTACCCTTATCTCTCTCTCTACCTCCTGTTAATAGCAATAACACTTAGATTTGTCCCTTTGAAGCTATTTTCTAAGTCCTGCAGGAATGCTTCACTGTCTTATATTCTTTTTTATTTTGTCTCCTCTGACTGTCTATTTTCAAATTGCCTATCTTCAAGCTCACTATTCTTTCCTCTGCTTGGTCCATTCTGCTATTAAAGGACTCTGATGCATTCTTCATTATACAAATTGCATTTTTCAGCTCCAGAATTTCTGCTTGATTCTTTTTAATTATTTCAATGTTTGTTAAATGTATTTGATAGAATTCTGAATTCCTTCTCTGTGTTATCTTGAGTATCTTTGAGTTTCCTCAACAGTGATTTTGAATTCTTTGTCTGACAGGTCACATATCCCTGTTTCTCCAGGATTGGGCCCTCATGCCTTATTTAGACCCTTATTTGGTGAGGTCATATTTTCTTGGATGGTGTTGATGCTAGTAGGTGTTCGTTGGTGTCTAGGCTTTGAGGAGTTAGGTATTTATTGTTGTCTCCACTCTCTGGGCTTATTAGTAGCCATCCTTCTTTGGAAGGTTCTTCAGATATATGCAAGAAGTTGGGTGTTGTAATCTAAGCTATTTCTGCCTTAAGGGGCACTCCAAATCCCAGTAATGCTGTGGTTATTGCAGGCTCTTAAAGGTACTGCCTTGATGGTCTTGGACAAGATCTAGGAGAATGCTTTGGATTACCAGGCAGAAACTCTTGTTCTCTTTCCTTACTTTCTCCCAAATATTTAGAGTCTCACTCTTTGTTTGGAGCCACCTAAAGCTGGGGATGGAGTGACACAAGCACCCCTGTGGCCTTCACCACTATGACTGTGCTGAATCAGACCTGAAGCCAGCACATCACTGGGTCTCACCCATGGTCTGTTGTAACCACTCTGACTACTACCTCTGTTAACTTAAGGCCTTGGTGCCCTATAATCACCAGATAGCAAAACCAGCCAGGCCTGCTTCCTTCCCTTAAGGGCTGTGAGGTCCCTCAGGCCCCAAATGGGTCCAGAAGTGGTGTCTGGGACTCGTACTGAGTCAAAAACCTCAGAAGTCTACCTGGTATTCTATTGTATTGAGGTTGAACTGGCACTCAAGCCACAATATCCAGTCCTTCCCACTTTTCCCTTCCCTTTCAAAAGGCAGAGGAGCCCCACACCATAGTCACTGCTACCCCTGGCCATGAGGAGTACTGCCAGACAATCACCAATGTGCCCTTAAGGCCAAGGTCTCTTAAGTCAGCTTGCGGTGAATGTTGCCTGGTTTGGGACTCCCCCTTCAGGGCAGTGGTCTCCCTTCTGGCCCAGGGCAGGTCCAGAAATGTCATCCAAGAGTCAAGTCCTGGAATTGAGGACCTCAAGAGTCCACTGGTGCTTTATTCTCCTGAGGCAGTGTTGTTACCTGAGGTGTAAGACAAAGTCCCCTTTACTTTTCCCAAGCAGAAAGAGTTTTACCCTGTAACCAAACTGGTAATGTGCTTGAGTCTCACCTTAAACCCATAAGTCTCAGAGGCCCACTACAGCCCCCATGATGTGGTACCTGGATATAGCTGCTAGTTATTCAGGGCCCAAGTGCCTTCAGTTAGCAAGTGATGAGTGCTGGCAGAACTGAGTTCTTTCCTTCAAGGCAGTGGGTTCCCTTCTGGCCCAGGATGTGTCTAGAAATATCATCTGGGAGCTAGGGCCTCGAACAGGGGCCTCATGACTCTAATTGGCACGTTATCCTGCTATGGCTGAACTGGTATTCCAAGATGGAAGACAAAATCCTCCCCACTCTTCCTGCTCCTCTCCTCAAGCAAAAGGAAGGGGTCTCTTTTGGAGCCATGAGCTGTGCAGCCTGGGGTTAGAGAAGGGGTGATGCCAGCACTCCTTTGGCTGCCTCAGCTAGTGTCTCAGTATGTTGTGTGACCCCTCAGGCCATTGTCTCTGAGTCTAGCTCAGAGTTGCCGTCCTTATGGCCTAGACTGCCTTTCAAGTTTATCTGGAGACTGAGAATACTTAAGACCTTAGTGGCGAAGTTTGCTAGCACTGAAGTTTGGACTACTGGGATTGTGGGTTCGTCTCTGGCTAGGGGTGATTTAAATGTTCCCTCTGTGGGCAGGTGTCAGCTGTGTTTGTTCTGGTTTTCCTTCCTGCTCTAACAGAACAGCACTCACAATTTCTGTGTTCTCCCTCCCCCAGGGTCCAGAGATGCTGCCACACCACACCACTGCTGCCCCAGTCAGGGAGGGTTGGTGTTAGCAATTCCACGCTGTTTTTTCTCTCTCCAGTGCTTCTTTCAGTGATATGAAGTTAAAACTATATATGTAGCAAAAATACTATACTATTTTTGCTATATATACTACCCTAGGGTAGAAGTTTTTTTCCTTCAGCACTCTAAATACGTCACACAAATCTCTCTTGGCCTGTAAGGTTTCCACTGAAAAGTCTGCTGCCAGATGTGCTGGTGCTTCATTTTATGTGATTTGTTTCTTTTTTCTTGTTGTTTTTAGGATCTTTCTTTATCCTTTACCTTTAGGAGTTTGATTACTAGAAGCCTTGAAGTAATCTTCTTTGGGTTAAATATGCTTGCTGTTTTATAATCTTCTTGTACTTACATATTGTTATCTTTCTCTAGGTTTGGAACATTCTTCGATATTATCCCTTTAAATACACTTTCTACTCCTATGTCTTTCTCTGCCTTCTCTTTAATGACAATAACTCTTAGATTTGCCCTTTTGAAGCTCTGTTCTAGATCCTGTAGGTGTGCTTCATTGTTTTTTTCTTTTGTCTCCTCTGATTGTTTATTTTTAAGTAGCTTGTCTTCAAGCTAAGTATTCTCTCTTCTGCTTGATCAATTCTGCTGTTAGAAGGCAGATGCATTCTTTAGTATGTTAACTGCATTTTTCAACTACAGAATTTCTGCTGCTTTTTAATGATTTCAATTCCTTTGTTAAATTTATCTGATACAGTTCTGAATTCCTTCTCTGTGTTATCTTGAATATCTTTGAGTTTCCTTAAAACAAGTACTTTGAATTATCTGTCTAAAAGGTCACATAGCTCTATTACTTCAGGATTGGTCCCTTCTGCCTTATTTAATTAATTTGGTGAATTCCTGTTTTTCTCAATGGTTTTGATATTTGTGAATGTTCATCTGTGTCTGGGCATTGAAAAGTTAGGCATTTATTGTAGTCTTGACAGTCTGGGCTTGTTTACACATGTCCTTCTTGGGATGGCTTACCAGATATTTGAAAGTATTTGGGTGTTGTGATCTAAGCTGTATCTGAGGCACCCCAAGCCTAGTAACACTTTGGTTCTTGCAGACTTGTAGAGGTACCACCTTGATAGTTTTGGACAATATCTGGAAGAATTCCCTGGCAGAGACTCTTGTTCTCTTCCCTTACTTTCTCCCTGACAAATGGAGTTTATCACTGCTCTGAGCCTCCTGGGCTGGGAGTAGAATGAGATAAGCACCCCTATAAGCACCACCACAAGGACTGTGTTGCGTCAGACCTGCAGCCAGCACAGCACCAGGTCTCGCCCAAGGCTTGCTGTAACCATTCCCTGGCTACAGCCTATGTTCACTCAATGTCCTGGAGCTCTGCTATCAGGTGGTTAAGCCAGTCTCACCTGTGTCCTTCCCTTCAGGGTGGTGACTTCCCCCAGGCTCCTGGTGGGTCCCGAGGTGCTATCTGGGATCCAGGGACCAGAGTCAAAACCTTAGACGTCTACTTGGTGCTCTATTTTACTGTGGATGAGTCAGCACTCAAACCACAAGATGCAGTTCTTCCCACTCTTCCGTCCCCTTATCCAAAGGCACAGGAAGCTCACTCCATGCAACCGCAGGTCCATGGGGCACACTGCCAGGCTACTGCCAATGTTTCCTTAAAGCCCAGGGGCTCTCATTCAGCTTGTGGTGAGTGCTGCCTGGTCTGAAACTCACCCTTCAGGGGGCTAGGCATGGTGGCTCACACCTGTAATCCCAGCACTTTGGGAGGCCGAAGCTGGTGGATTGCTTGAGGTCAGGAGTTCGAGACCAACCTGACCAACATGGTGAAATCTCATCTCTACTAAAAAAATACAAAAATTAGTTGGGCACGGTGGCAGATGCCTGTAATCCCAGCTACTTAGGAGGTTGAGACAGGAGGATTGCTCTAATCCAGGAGGCAAAGCTTCTGGTGAGCCGAGATTGCCCCACTGTACTCCAGCCTGGGCGACAAAGTGAGACTCTATCTCAAAAACAAACAAACAAACAAACAAACAAAAAAAAAACCACAACAACAAAAAACCCCTCACCCTTAGGGGAGTATACTTCCCTCTGGCGCCCAGGGTAAGTCCAGAAATGTCACCCAAGTGCCAAGGCCTGGAATTGGGGACCCTAAGGGCTTGCTTGGTGCTTTACTTGTTTGTGGCTGAGCTGGTACCTGAAGCCAGCAAGTGTCAGAATCTCACCCAAGGCTCACGATGTACTACATGGGTATAGCTACTGGCTATTTAGGGCCCCAAAGCTCTTCAGTTAGCAGATGATGAATTCTGCCAGCAGTGGGTCCTTCCCTTCAAGGCAGTGGGCTCCCCTCTGGCCCAGGATATGTTTAAAAATGTTGACCGGGAGCTATAGGGCTTGGATATGGGGCTCGACCATGTGTTTCAATTCTCCGTGTTTAAAAGCCAGCAATACATAATCATCATCATTTTACTTAAAACCTTCAATCATCTTTTAAATAAATTTTGATAAATGCTGTTTAATGTTATCTCACACATTTACTCTTTTCTGTGCTTTTTATTAGTTTCTCAATATCCACTCTTTCATCTAGGATAATTTCCCGTCAGTTTGAATAACTTTATTTAGTTATTTCTCATAGTGCAGTGGTGCTGGCAACACATTTTATCAGCTTCAGTCTGTCTAAAAATATTTTTATTTTACCTTAATTTTTGAAGAAGAAACTTATTGTACGTACAATTCTAGGTTGAGAGATATTTTTGTCCTTTTTGAGGATGGCACTTTTTTTTTTCTTGGTTATGGATCACTTTCCTGCTTTTTTCATGTGTCATAATTTTTTATGTATGTCAGACATCTTGAATAAAACATCAGTAGACATGTAAACAGATAATTTGTACTCCCATAAAGGACATGGTCATTTCTGCTATAGGCAACCTAATTTTTACTCTCTTTGACCTAATCAGTACTTAATAGTCTTTGCCTGTTACACTAATTACATTTGCTTTCTCACTTTTGAGAAAACTTTGATAGTTTAGGTTATTTTAAAAAGCTGTGTAAAGCAATTTGTTAGATGAAACTTTTTCTCTTACATGTCTTAGAAGTAGACAAAGGTAGTAAGAATGATTCCATTAGCCTTAAAGCTAGACTCAAAACTATTAAGTACACCTTAAATGTATCCTGTTTATTATTGTAGATTATAGTGACAAAATGATAATATTTGGGTAATTCTCACAAGCATTGAAGTTTTGGCTGCTCCATGTATAATTTCCCAACCTATTTGGGAGGATAGTCCATTGTATAGATTGGTGAGATTTTATGTCTTCTCTTTATCTTGTCTATCATCACTACAAGTAAATCAAGTTATAGGTTCATAAACTAGGTTTAGCCATCAGGGAGCTTCTCTCTTTAGAATTTTATTTTTTTATTATTATTGATTTATTTTTATTATACTTTAAGTTCTAGGGTACATGTGCACAACATGCAGGTTTGTTACATATGTATACATGTGCCATGTTGGTGTGCTGCACCCATTAACTCATCGTTTACATTAGGTATTTCTCCTAACGCTATCCCTCTCACAGCCCCCCACCCCATGACAGGCCCTGGTGTGTGATGTTCCCCAACCTGTGTCCAAGTGTTGTTATTGTTCAGTTCCCACCTATGAGTGAGAACATGTGGTGTTTGGTTTTCTGTCCTTGTGGTAGTTTGCTCAGAATGATGGTTTCCAGCTTCATCCATGTCCCTACAAAGGACATGAACTCATCCTTGTCCCTACAAAGGACATGAACTCATCCTTTTTTATGGCTGCATAGTATTCCATGGTGAATATGTGCCACATTTTCTTAATCCAGTCTATCATAGATGGATATTTGGGTTGGTTCCAAGTCTTTGCTATTGTGAATAGTGCCACAATAAACTTACGTTTGCATGTGTCTTTGTAGCAGCATGATTTAAAATCCTTTGGGTATATACCCAGTAATGGGATCACTGGGTCAAATGGTATTTCTAGTTCTAGATCCTTGTGGAATCGCCACACTGTCTTCCACAATGGTTGAACTAGTTTACACTCCCACCGACAGTGTAAAAGTGTTCCTATTTCTCCACATCCTCTCTAGCACCTGTTGTTTCCTGACCTTTTTTTTTTTTTTTTTTTTTTTTTTGAGACGGAGTCTCGCTCTGTCACCCAGGCTGGAGTGCAGTGGCGGGATCTCGGCTCACTGCAAGCTCCGCCTCCCGGGTTCACACCATTCTCCTGCCTCAGCCTCCCAAGCAGCCGGGACTACAGGCGCCCGCCACTACGCCCGGCTAATTTTTTGTATTTTTAGTAGAGACGGGGTTTCACCGTTTTAGCCGGGATGGTCTCGATCTCCTGACCTCGTGATCCGCCCGCCTCGGCCTCCCAAAGTGCTGGGATCACAGGTGTGAGCCACCGCGCCCGGCCCTGTTTCCTGACTTTTTAATGATCGCCATTCTAGCTGGTGTGAGATGGTATATCTCATTGTGGTTTTGATTTGCATTTTTCTGATGGCCAGTGATGATGAGCATTTTTTCATGTGTCTGTTGGCTGCATAAATGTCTTCTTTCAAGAAGTGTCTCTTCATATCCTTCGCCCACTTTTTGATGGGGTGGATTTTTTCTTGTAACTTTAAGTTCTTTGTAGATTCTGGATATTAGCCTTTGTCAGATGAGTAGGTTGCAAAAATTTTCTCCCATTCTGTAGGTTGCCTGTTCACTCTGATGGTAGTTTCTTTTGCTGTGCAGAAGCTCTTTAGTTTAATTAGATCCCATTTGTTTATTTTGGCTTTTGTTGCCGTTGCTTTTGATGTTTTAGTCATGAAATCCTTGCCCATGCCTATGTCCTGAATGGTATTACCCAGGTTTTCTTCTAGGGTTTTTATGCTTTTAGGTCTAAGTCTTTAATCCATCTTGAATTAATTTTTGTACAAGATGTAAGGAAGGGATCCAGTTTCAGCATTCTACATATGGCTAGCCAGTTTTCCCAGCACCATTTATTAAATAGGGAATCCTTTCCTCATTTCTTGTTTTTGTCAGGTTTGTCAAAGATCAGTTGGTTGTAGATGTGTGGTGTTATTTCTGAGGCCTCTGCTCTGCTCCATTGGTCTATATCTCTGTTTTGGTACCAGTACCATGCCGTTTTGGTTACCGTAGCCTTGTAGTGCAGTTTGAAGTCAGGTAGCGTGATGCCTACAGCTTTGTTCTTTTTGCTTAGGATTGTCTTGGCAATGCAGGCTCTTTTTTGGTTCCATATGAATTTTAAAGTAGTTTTTCCAAATTCTGTGAAGAAAGTCATTGGTAGCTTGATGGGGATGGCATTGAATCTATAAATTACCATGGGCAGTATGGCCATTTTCATGAGATTGATTCTTCCTATCCATGAGCATGGAATGCTCTTCCATTTGTTTGTGTCCTCTTTTATTTCATTGAGAAGTGGTTTGTAGCTCCCCTTGAAGAGGTCCTTCACATCCCTTGTAAGTTGGATTCCTAGGTATTTTACTCTCTTTGTAGCAATTGTGAATGGGAGTTCACTCATGATTTGGCTCTCTGTTTGTCTGTTATTGGTGTATAGGAATGCTTGTGATTTTTGCACATTGATTTTGTATCCTGAGACTTTGCTGAAGTTGCTTATCAGCATAAGGAGATTTTGGGCTGAGATGATGGGGTTTTCTAAATATACAATCATGTCATCTGTGAACAGAGACAATTTGACTTTCTCTTTTCATAATTGAATACTTTTTATTTCTTTCTCCTGCTTGATTGCCCTGACCAGAACTTCCAACACTATGTTGAATAGGAGTGGTGAGAGAGGGCATCCCTGTCTTGTGGCAGTTTTCAAAGGGACTGCTTCCAGTTTTTGTCCATTCAGTATGATATTGGTTGTCGGTTTGTCATAAATAGCTCTTATTATTTTGAGATACGTCCCATCAATACCTAGTTTATTGAGAGTTTTTTAGCATGAAGGACTGTTGAATTTTGTCAAAGGCCTTTTCTGCATCTATTGAGATAATCATGTGGTTTTTGTCTTTGGTTCTGTTTATATGATGGATTACGTGTATTGATTTGTGTATGTTGAACCAGCCTTGCATCCCAGGGATGAAGCCCACTTGATCATGGTGGATAAGCTTTGTGATGTGCTGCTGGATTCAGTTCGCCAGTATTTTATTGAGGATTTTTGCATCGATGTTCATCAGGGGTATTTGTCTAAAATTCTCTTTTTCTGTTGCATCTCTGCCAGACTTTGGTATCAGGATGATGCTGGCCTCATAAAATGAATTAGGGAGGATTCCCTCTTTTTCTATTGATGGGAATAGTTTCAGAAGGAATGGTACCAGCTCATTTTGTACCTCTGGTAGAATTTGTTTGTGAATCCATCTGGTCCTGGACTTTTTTTGTTGGTAGGCTATTAATTATTGCCTCAATTTCAGAGCCTGTTATTGGTCTATTCAGGGATTCAACTTCTTCCTGGTTCAGTCTTGGGAGGGTGTATGTGTCCAGGAATTTATCCATTTCTTCTAAATTTTCTAGTTTATTTGCATAGAGGTGTTTATAGTATTCTCTGATGGTAGTTTGTATTTCTGTGGGATCGGTGGTGATATCCCCTTTATAATTTTTTATTGCATCTATTTGATTCTTCTCTCTTTTCTTCTTTATCAGTCTTGCTAGAGGTCTATTTTTTTAATCTTTTCAAAAAACCAGCTCCTAGATTCATTGATTTTTTTGAAGGGTTTTTTGTGTCTCTATCTCCTTCGGTTCTGCTCTGATCTTAGTTATTTCTTGTCTTCTGCTAGCTTTTGAATGTGTTTGCTCTTGCTTCTCTAGTTCTTTTAATTGTGATGTTAGGGTATCAATTTTAGATATTTCCTTCTTTCTCTTGTGGGCTTTTAGTGCTATAAATTTCCTTCTACACACTGCTTTGAATGTGTCCCAGAGATTCTGGTATGTTGTGTCTTTGTTCTCATTGGTTTCAAAGAACATCTTTATTTCTGCCTTCATTTTGTTATTTACCCAGTAGACATTCAGGAGCAGGTTGTTCAGTTTCCATGTAGTTGAGCAGTTTTGAGTGAGTTTCTTAACCCTGAGTTCTAGTTTGATTGCTCTGTGGTCTGAGAGACAGTTTGTTATGATTTCTGTTCTTTTACATTTGCTGAGGAGTGCTTCACTTCCAACTATGTGGTCAATTTTGGAATAAGTGCAATGTGGTGCTGAGAAGAGTGTATATTCTGTTGATTTGGGGTGGAGAGTTCTGTAGATGTCTATTAGGTCCGCTTGGTGCAGAGCTGAGTTCAAGTCCTGGATACCCTTGTTAACTTCTTGTCTCATTGATCTGTCTAATGTTGACAGTGGGGTGTTAAAGTCTCCCATTATTATTGTGTGGGAGTCTAAGTCTCTTTGTAGGTCTCTAAGGACTTGCTTTATGAATCTGGGTGCTCCTGTATTGGGTGCATATATATTTAGGATAGTTAGCTCTTCTTGTTGAATTGATCCCTTTACCATTATGTAATGGCTTTCTTTGTCTCCTTTGATCTTTGTTGGTTTAAAGTCTGTTTTATCAGAGACTAGGAATGCAACCCCTGCTTTTTTTTGTTTTCCATTTGCTTGGTAGATCTTCCTCCATCCCTTTATTTTGAGCCTATATGTGTCTCTGCATGTGAGATGGGTCTCCTGAATACAGCACACTGACGGGTCTTGACTCTTTATCCAATTTGCCAGTCTGTGTCTTTTAATTGGAGCATTTAGCCCATTTACATTTAAGGTTAATAGTTTTATGTGTGAATTTGATCCTGTCGTTATGATGTTAGCTGGTTATTTTGCTCGTTAGTTGATGCAGTTTCTTCCTAGCATTGATGATCTTTAAAATTTGGCATGTTTTTGTAGTGGCTGGTACCGGTTGTTACTTTCCATGTTTAGTGCTTCCTTCAGGAGCTCTCGTAGGGCAGGCCTGGTGGTGACAAAATCTCTCAGCATTTGCTTGTCTGTAAAGGATTTTATTTCTCCTTTACTTATGAAGCTTAGTTTGGCTGGATATGAAATTCTGGGTTGAAAATTCTTTTCTTTATGAATGTTGCATATTGGCCCCCACTCTCTTCTGGCTTGTAGAGTTTCTGCTGAGAGGTCTGCCATTAGTCTGATGGGCTTCCCTTTGTGGGTAACCCGACCTTTCTCTCTGGCTGCCCTTAACATTTTTTCCTTCATTTCAACTTTTTTTCTCCTTCATTTTATAATCTTACCAATATTTTTATTAATACATTTCTTTTCTGATTAACTTAGCTGTAGCTGGCTTTAGTGGCCCAAAAGCTAGAACTTTCCCTGATATGGGCACTTCTAAATGCCAGATGCCATTCTGGATGATGAGGGCATAGAGATTAAAACATATGGTTTCTGATTACAGAAAAGTATAATACAGTAAAGAGCTAGATACACAGAACAAAAAGTTTACAATAGTATATATGGCTGTATAAAATTTGTAAAAGAGCCACTGTGGAGGTATATAAGGAAAAGAGGCACAGAGAAAGGAGTGCCTATGCTTGCCTAGGCAGTCAGGCGCAGTTTACAGGGTGGTGACTGGTGCTGAGGAGAGATAGCTGGCAGAAGTAAATAGCCATGCAAAGGACTGGGGAGGGATTCTATACAGAGGGGAATCGAGGCCTGTACTTCCCTTCTCAGGTAATACGGGAAAGTCACTAAGTTTATGGAATACATACATGGTGGGAAAATGGCAGGAGGGCATTCTGAATATGTAGATGGATACCACACTAAAGGATTTAGGATTTGGAAAAGAGAGTCAAATATTACTAGAAAGATATTTCTGGAGAGGAGAGAGGAGAGGAAAATGAGGCAAGGATCAAATAAACCAGTTAGGATTGTGGTGTTTCTTAGTTAATTTCATATTTTAAAGGTCTGTAATTGTGTCTCTCTTCATATTGGCCTGATTTTGATAGCATTAAAAACCTGTGTTTTTCAACTTTCAAATATTAAGAGCTAACAGGTAAGTTTTTAAAATATTTCATAATCTGAAATACATTTGTTGTGACATTTTAATTTTATCTCACTCCTTCACATGTTGTTGGAAAGCAATAAAAAATCACCACATGAGTAAACATGGAAAAAACAACTTTGAAGCATTTCTCAACAAATTGAAGAGTCAGTATCTTGACTGTGATTACTGCTATTTCATTGCCAAAGGAATGGCTGAAGGGAGATGTGAGATGAGGGTAACAATTAGATGTAAATTACTAAAGAGGCGAAATGTGCATATGGACAAAGAGTTGCAGATAATGAGATAGCGATGGTATAATGGAAAGCAACAGAATGTCTCAAATAATTTAATGGAAGATAATGAACAAAGCAAAGAGGCCGTCATATTCAGAAGGCAATATCCACAGGCCTAAACTCTACAAGTGAAAAATTTTCTTTTTTCCCTCCAGTAACTGTTCTTCCTTTTCCTGTGCCAGGCTGTAGCCAAGATAATGAGGCATAATTACATTTATGATCTTTTCTTGACGAAGTCTAAACACATTTTCTAGAAACCATGATACATACATTGTGTTTTGGTTCCAGAGCAATCTTCAAGTTGTGTTTTAACACATAGTTTAGCTGAAACATTATGGAAAGAGGAAGTAGGTTTGCTGGTGATGGTAGGAGAGGCAGGAGCAGTAACAAGGGAGAGAAGGGGAGAGGAAGCGAGGGAAAGTCTACGAGGCAGCAGTGAAGAAAGGGGTAGAGGAAGTAAGGAGAATCATATAAGGCAATGAAAGTAGATCAACTCAAAGGAAAAGAAAAAATTAAATTCATTCCAGTTACTGATCGATTTAAGTGGGAATTGTGGGGAAGCCAGGAGTCTAACCACTCCTTATAACAATTGCTTCAATCACTGTTAAATATTTGTTGAATTAAAACAACTTCAACTTTTGGGTTTACAAAGAGAGGAAGGGTAGGGCTGTGGAGAATAAACAAGAGCTGTAAGAAGAGATGATAGCAATGAAAAAACATTATTGGCCTAAAACAAGGAAGCAAATCAGTTGTAATAAATGAAGTGAAAACCAGGAAGTATGGAAGGAAAATGCTAAAGCTCAGAGAAGCTGCACTCTGTGTTGTCTGTGACCTTCACTATGTCACAACAGCACAGAAATTAAACTCTTCTTTTTTACAAGTATATTTTGGACACTGTAGATTTGGGACATGTCATTATTTGCCAACTACTTACTTTTGTATTATAAGATTTAAAAACTAACATTTAACTGTATCTTGGTTTAGTAAGAGCAGAGCTGGCCATGCTTAAAAAATATACACATATATTTCTAAAAGGATACATACCAGTTAACAGTAGCAATCTGGGAGTCACATTGGGTTGGGAATGAACAATGTTTTAAACTTTTACTTCGCAAGTTTTTGTAGTTTATGATAAGGACAAATTTTTAAAGTTTTTTTTTAAGCAATTCTCCTCTTCCTTTTCTTTCCCCTACTTGAAGTTTTTTCTGAGGTTACAAAATTAATACATGCTTGTAAAAATATGTGGCAGTTTACTTAATTCCTAGAGACAAATGTCTGGGTTGTTTCTAATTTTTTTGCAATGACAAACACTATTAAGGTGATTATGCATGTGTGTTTCATATGTTTCTGCATCACCATATAACAAATTCATAGAAGTAGAATAACTGGCTAAAAGTGAATGTGCACTCATTATTAATTTTTATTTTTAATTATGGGTACATTGTAGTTGCATACATATATTCATAATTGATGCATATAGATGCATAAAAGGGCATCTATCACCTTAAGCATTTACCATTTATTTGTGTTAGAAACATTCCAATTCCACTCTTTTGCTTAAAAATATACAATAGATTATTGTTAACTATAGTCACTCTATTGTAATATGCAAATTTATTTTGAGAAATACTGCTAAATAGCTTACTGAAATGTAGCAATTTACATTTTCATAAGAATGCATGACTTTGCTGATATCCTCATACTCACTAACTCGGATATTATTACTCTTCTTAATCTTAGTATGTCTTATAGGTAAAATTAATTTCTTTTTTTTTTAGTTAGAATTATTAGAGACGTTGGGAATAGTTTCATATTCTTTTTTTTTTTTTTTTTTTTTTTTTTTGCGATGGAATCTCTCTCTGTTGCCCAGCCTGAAGTGCAGTGGTATGATCTCGGCTCACTACAACCTCCGCCTCCCGGGTTCAAGTGATTATCCTGCCTCAGTATCCCGAGTAGCTGGGACTACAGGCATGTGCCACCACACCCAGCTAATTTTTTGTATTTTTAGTAGAGATGGGGTTTCACCTTGTTGGCCAGAATGGTCTCCATCTTGACCCTGTGATCCGCCTGCCTCAGCCTCCCAAAGTGCTGGGATTACAGGCGAGAGCCACCACTCCCAGCCCTAGTTTCATATTTTTAATGATGTTTTTTTAAATCAATTTGTAAGAGTTTTCTACATAAAGTGATACTTATCTTTGCCATATATACGTTGAAAATATTTTCTGGCAGCTCACAGGGTCTTTTAACTTTCTCCATAATGTATTCTTATATAAAGTTATATAGTTTCATATAGTCAAGTGTGTTAATCATTTTTTAGGGCTTCTGGGTTTCATATCATGGTTAGGAAGAATTATAGAAATATTTTCATCTACATTTTATTGGTGAATAATGGGAACAAAAAAAAAACTGAGATTCTAAGATTCGTAGGACTATTTTACATAGCTATGGGTTGACATAACCTGTTTGCTACCTTAACATCATTAAAAATAGCGATTTTATCTTTTCTTTCTGTTTATCATTTCCTGTCTATCTTTCTAACGCTGCTGTCTCCAGCCACTACTGCATGCTACTGAGAAGGCTAAGAAAAGGTTAGAAGATATTTCTATGACCAAAAGAGAGTAACTTCTCATTTTTCAATAACTTTTTAAAATAAAATACAAGGTATGTCCCTTTTGTTTCTGGAGAAGTCATGCTGCACAGGTCATTTATTGTCATATATTAATTTGTCCCCATCCGAGAGGTCAACCAAGATGAAGACATATATCTGTGTCAGTATTGCTGTAACAGCTCCTGGTAGTTCATTGCTGCATGTGCCATCAGCCATAAGGCATTCCTGGATATAAAACTCAATATTGAATAAACCACACCATGTGTAGGAGATAGCTGTAGCTTGAAACAGAGGAAAAATACAAATTGCTCTCAGTTACTAAACTTGGTTACATGTAATTATATCTGCCCATTTTGCTATCCCAGCATATACAAACCTTACCTATCCTTCAAGATTCATCCCGAACACTAATTTCTCTGTGATGCCTACTTTATCCAGGATTAACATTTCTATTTTCTAAATTCTCATGGCTGTTTATGTATACCACTTCTCCCCACAATCATCTATGCCTATCTTTGCTTTCTAGTCATTTAAGTAGCCATGACTTATTTCTTTTAGAATATGAAATTACTGGGGCAAGATGCTCATTAAACTCAGAATTTCCCCATGGTGCTTACTAAAATGGAATTACTGACCTGAATGTGTAAAAACAGCATTAAGCTAGATGGAAGAGAAATATAGAAATTTGAAATTTAAACTCAGGAAAATAGAAAGGTTAAGAATAATAAAAGGGGCCAATAAAATTATTGAAAGGCTAGTAGCTAACCTAGGCAATTAAATTGCAATGGATAGCAAACAGGAAAAAAAGAAAACCCAAACTCAGGCTTACTTTTGCTGTGTGAATATTCAAAATAAATATCATCTCAGACTGCTATGACTTACCATGGTTTTCTCTGCTCTTTGAGATACTATTCGATAAGCAAAAATTTTTAAAATAAATATTTTAAACTTTCAAGTTACAGCAAATAAGACTGACAAAATAGTTTACTGCACTAGGAAGAAGAGAAAATCAACATGTCTAACAACTGATTACACTTTAGAATTTATGATTAGTTTTTCCATCTGGATGATGTTTGTCATTCTTTATACTGGTATGATTCAGGTAAGCCCATGCTTCTTATAAATACAACTAATCTTCACTGATATTCTTCTATGAAAATGTTTAGTCTAATATAGCAACTGTGGAGCAAAAGAGATATTTTGTATTAAAGCAGAATTAAAGTTCTTAAATAAGCTAAAATTACATTTTATATTATCATTTTATTTAAACCACAGGGACCAGCTTTGGAATTATTTAAAATCTGCATTGTAGCTACAGACTTTCTGGATAGCTCGCATAGGTGTGCTTGAATCAAAGCAATATGATTTTCTTAAATGGAAAAATAGCTAATTAAGTTTCTATCATTCCTTAATCATAACAGAATAGCCAATAATTGATTTGGGAAGGGAGGGGGAACCTTTCTTAAGCTGGCACTGTTTTGTTTATTCTTACTGGATCTGTCTTCTGATGATTAACACAGAAATTCCTCTAGCAATTATGGACTCTCTTATAAATGACTCTCATAATTTATAGTTTGCCAGGAGCAGCTTCAACTCAAATACGCATGTTAATTCACTCTTCTGGCTCATTTCCACCACATTTCCCTTATTACCACCCCATCAACCACTGCTCCAAGTCCAGACTCTCTTACACATATGAAATATTCCATGCTGAGGGTCTGTGCTCCCCTTAGTCTGATAAACTGGTTTACCACATAGGGAATAATTTGGCTGGCTTCCAAGGACCCATTTTGATGGAAAAAGGGATATTCCTATTAAAATCCATCCATAGGTCAGTTCCCACACTTCATTTCTAAGCACTGCTTTTAGCTTCTTACCCCTTCTACCAGTTTTTCCCTTGTCACCTTTTTTTTCTTTTTCTTTTTAGACTAGCAGAGTTATAAGGAAACAACTCAGTTAATAGATGTGAATTATACAGGACCTGAAATCAGCTCTGGATCAAGTGGGCCTGATAGATATCTATAGAACTCTCCACCCAAATTCAACAGTATATACATTCTTCTCATTGCCACACAGCACTTACTCTAAAATTGATCACATAATCGAAGTAAAACACTCCTCAGCCAATGTGAAAGAATCGAAATCGTAACAGTCTCTCAGATCACAGAACAATTAAATTAGAACTCAAGATTAAGAAACTCACTCAAACCATACAACTATGTGGAAATTGAACAACCTGTTCCTGCATGACTCTTGGGTAAAGAATGAAATTAAGGCAGAAATCAAGAAGTTCTTTGAAACTAATGAGAACAAAGATAGAATGTACAAGAATTTCTGGGATACAGCTAAAGCAGTGTTAAGAGGGAAATTTATAGCACTAAATGCCCACATCAAAAAGCCAGAAAAATCTCAAATTAACAACCTAGTATCTCAACTAAAAGAACTAGAGAACCAAGAGCAAACAAATACCAAAGCTAGCAGAAGACAAGAAATAACTAAGATCAGAGTTGAACTGAAGGAGATAGAAATCCAAAAAAAAAAAAAAAAAAAAAAAAACCCTTCTGAAAAGAAAATCAATAAATTCAGGAGCTGGCTTTTGAAAAAATTGATAAAATCAATAGTCCACTATCTAGACTGATAAAGAAGAAAAGAGAGAAGAATCAAATAAACACAACAAGAAATGATAAGGCGGATATTACCACTGACCCCACAGAAATACAAACAACCTTCAGAGAATACTATAAACGCTTCTATGCACATAAACTAGAAAATCTTAGAAGAAATAAATAAATTCCTGAACACATACATTGTCCCAAGACTGAACTTGGAAGAAACTGATTCCCTGAATAGACCAATAATGAGTTCTGAAACTGAGGCAGTAACAAATAGCCTACCAACCGAAAAAAGCCCAGAAGCAGGTGAATTCGCAGCTGAATTCTACCAGAGGTACAAAGTTGGTACCATTTCTATTGAAACTATTCCATAAAAACAGAAAAGGAGTGACTTCTCCCTAACTCATTAAATAAGGCCAGCATCATCCTGATACCAAAACCTGGCAGAGATACAACAACAACAACAAAACATTCAGGGCAATATCCTTGATGAACATTGATGCAAAAATCCTCAATAAAATACTGGGAAACTAAATCCAGCAGCACATCAAAAGCTTATTCACCACTACCAAGTTGACTTCATTCCTGGGATGCCAAGTTGGTTCAACATATGCAAATCAATAAATGCGATTCTTCACATAAAAGAACTAAAGACAAAAACCACATGATTATCTCAGTAGAGGCAGAAAAGGCCTTCAATAAAATTCAACATCCTTCACGTTAAAAATTCTCAATAAGCTAGGTATTGAAGGAACACACCTCAAAATAATAAGAGCCATCTATGACAAACCCACAGCCAATATCATACTGAATGGGCAAAAGCTGGAAGCATTCCCTTGAAAACTGGCATACGGCAAGGTTGCCCACTCTCACTACTCCTATTCAACACAGTGTTGGAAATTCTGGCCAGGGCAATCAGGCAAGAGAAAGAAATAAAGCATATTCAGCATATTCAGAGAGAAAGAGAAGTCGGTCGGGCGCCATGACTGAAGCCTGTAATCCCAGCACTTTGGGAGGCCAAGGCAGGTGGATCATGAGGTCAGGAGATCGAGACCATCCTGGCTAACACAGCGAAACTCCATCTCTAATAAAAATACAAAAAAAAAAAAAAATTAGCCGGGCATGGTGGCAGGCACCTGTAGTCCCAGCTACTTGGGAGGCTGAGGCAGGAGAAGGCATGAACCCAGGAGGCAGAGCTTGCAATGAGCTGAGATCGCGCCACTACACTACAGCCTGGGTGACAGAGTGAGACTTCGTCTCAAAAAAAAAAAAAAAAAAAAAAAAAGAGAAGAAGTCAAATTGTCTTTATTTGCAGATGACATGATCCTATATCTAGAAAACCCCATTGTCTTACCCCAAAAGCTTCTTAAGCTGATAAGCCTAAATCTCAGAATATAAAATCAATGTGCAAAAATAGCTAGTATTCCTATACACCAACAACAAGCAAGCCAAGAGCCAAACCATGAATGAACTCTCATTCACAATTGCCACAAAAAGAATACCTAGGTATTAATACAGCTAACAAGGGAAGTGAAGGACCTCTTCAAGGAGAACTACAAAGCACTGCTCAAAGAAATCAGAACAGACACAAACAAATAGAGAAACATTCCATGCTCATGGATAGGAAGAAACAACATTGTGAAAATGGCCATACTACCCTAAGCAATTTATACATTCAGTGCTATTCCCATTAAACTACCATTGACATTCTTCACAGAATTAAAAAAAAAACTATGTAAAAATCGATATGGAACTAAAAAAGAGCCTGAATAGCCAAGACAATCCTAAGCAAAGAGAACAAAGCTGGAGGCATCACGCTACCTGACTTCAAACTATACTGCAAATTTACAGTAACTAAAAAAGCATGGTATGGTACTAGAACAGATACATAGACCAACAGAACAGAATAGAGAACTCAGAAATAAGACTGCACACCTACAACCATCTGGTCTTTGACAAACTTGACAAAAACAAGCAATGAGGAAGTGACTCTGTTTAATAAATGGTGCTGGGAGTGCTGGCTAGCCATATGCAGAAAATTGAAACTGGACCCCTTCCTTACAAAAATCAACTCAAGATGAATAAAATACTTAAACATAAAATTCAAAACTATAAAAACTCTAGAAGAAAATTGAGGCAATACCATTCAGGATGTAGGCATAGACAAAGATTTGATGATGAAAATGCCAAAAGCAACTGCAACAAAAGCAAAATTTGACAGATGAGATCTAATTAAACTAAAAAGCTCTACACAGAAAAAGAAACAATAATCAGAGTGAACAACCTACAAAATAGGAGAAAATTTTAGCATCTATCCATTTGACAAAGGTCTAATATCCAGAGTCTACAAGGAACTTAAACAACAGGGAAAAAACAAATAGCCCCATTAAAAAGTTGGCAAAGGACAAGAATAGACACTTCTCAAAAGAATACATACAAGTGGCCAACAAACATGAAAAAAAGCTCAACAACACTGATCACTAGAGAAATGCAAATCAATCAATATTGATTCTTCCAATCCTTGAACATGGAATACCTTTTCATTTTGTGGTGTTTTCTTCAATTTCATTCATGTGTGTTTTATAGTTTCATGAAAGAGATCTTTCACTTCTTTGGTGAATACCTACGTATTTGTGTGTGTCTATTGTAAATGGGATTACCTTTTTGATTTCTTATTCAGATTGTTCATTGTTGACATATAGAAATGCTACTGATTTTGGTATGTTGGTTAACAGTGTTAATCAACACTGTTGATCACTGTTAGTACTATGTTGAATAATGGTCATGAGAGTGGGCATCCTTGTTGTATTTCAGATCTTAGAGGAAAGGCTTTCAGTTTTTCCCCATTCAGCATGATACTAGCTGTGGGTCTGTCAAAAATAGCATTTATTACGCTGAGGTATGTTTATTCTATACCCATTTTTATGGCTTTTATCATGAAGGATGTTGAATTTTATCAAATGGTTTTTCAGCATCAATTGAAATCACCATGTGGTTTCTGTCCTTCATTATGTTGATATAATATATATCACATTGATTGATTTGCATATGCTGAAACATTGTGAATCCCTGCATGATGTAATGATTATAGTAATTGACTATGGAATTTAACCTCATCATGGAAAATATGCAGTCATGATGGTAAAGGCAAGTGAAAAGGCACAGGTTGCGGGGGCCTTAATTTTGTGAAGTGTGTGGTAAAGGTAGGACAGAAAGCATGATCACTGAAGGGGAAATAGATAATGAATAGTTTCTACATTGTATTAACATTGTTTGTTTATATCTATGTTTCTTCCACTAGATCAAGGTTTCTCAACCTGAGCACTATTAACTTTAGGCTAAATAATACTTTACTTCGAGAGAGGTGTTCTCAAAACTCTCTCCCAATAAAAAGGAGAGACAGTTTATATGGTAGGATGTTAAGCAACATCCCAGACTTCTACCCACTTGATGCTAGTAGCATTGCCCCAGTGGTGACAATCAAAAATGTCTCCAGACACTGCCAATTGTTCCTAAAAATCAGCCTTGAATGAGAACCATTCCGCTAGGCACTAGGCTTCTTAATAGGGGCTGTACCTTATTTGTTATTATACTCTCAATGCTTAAAAAATACTTAGGCACAGTAAAAACTCAATAGATGTGTGATAAAGTGAATATTTTTTGTAATAGTAAGGTGTTGTATTGAAGGTCCCAAAGATCATTCCGAGGTTTGGGGATATGCTAGGACATAGAATTTAGCATATAATTGTATTTGTGGCTCTAGTTCATTACACAAAGGGCAAAAAAGCACAATCAGCAAAGAGAAAATGCACACGGAGTGAAGTCTTAGGGAAATTAGGCATAAGCTTCCAAGAATCCTCTCCCAGAGGAGTCACAGGATGCACTAAATTCCTCCAGCAAGTTCTGAGGACACATTTCTGGCTATTGCCAACCAAGGAAGCTTATTAGAAACTCAGTGCCAGTCAGTCGCAGTGGCTCACGCCTGTAATCCCAGCACTTTGGGAGGCCTAGGAGGGCAGATCACGAGGTCAGGAGTTCCAGACCAGCCTGGCCAATGTGGTGAAACCCGGTCTCTACTAAAAATACAAACATTAGCCAGGCATGGTGGCACACACCTGTAGTCCCAGCTACTCTACTCGGGAGGCTGAGGCAGAAAAATTGCTTGAACCCGGGGGATTGGAGGTTGCAGTGAGCTGAGATCACACCACTGAACTCCAGCCTGGGTGACAGAGCGAGACTCTGTCTCAAAAACAAACAAACAAACAAACAAACAAATAAACAAAAAACTCAGTGCGCAGGGCATTTTATTGGGGCTGATCATGCAGGTGCCCTCTGCCTGGCACCTGAATTCTGGAATCCCAGAAGGAAAGAGGGTTTTAAGCGTAAACCATAGTGTTTGCACAGGCTAGTCATAGTGAGACACTTCTGTCAGTTCTGGGAATGGTGGGAGTCCTCCTGAAATCCAAGTTCCCAGACAAAGACCAAGGACCAGTCTTGTAAGCAGCGCTTTTAAAGGTTGGAAGCCAGGCCTGCTATGTTAACTCTTTTCTGCAGAGGGAATTTATGTAATACATCACATAAAAAAACACAATCTTTGTTTTTAAAATTCTCAATCCTCTGCCCAAGTTCCTTGCTTCTCATCTTTTTTTTTTTTTTCAAAACCAACAAAAAGTCTGTAGAGTCCAGCACTACACAGCTCAGCATACCCATTTCTTCAGAAAGCAGTTCAGGGACCATTGATTGTTTATAAGGAATGCTGCCAAGAAATTCAGCACCTTCTACCCCTCATTCCCAACTGCCAAGAAAACAAACTTTTCTCCCTGTATTTCATACAGGAACAAAAGAAGTGTTTTCATTTGTATAATATTTAAGAAACCTTTTGTGCACCCTGTCACAGTTGCTTCAACCTTAGAGGAAAACATATTTAATATGGAATAAACTTGTTCTTGAAAAGTGTTTACTACATAAAAAACTACTAACGCTATTTGCTTGATCCATGGACCAGATTTTAAAATTGTCCAATTATTTAAAACTCTGTCTCAAAATAGATAATTCATATGATTAATGTACATAACTATTATGAGTTTACCAGTAAAGGCCTGTAGTAAAGGCCTTTCGGTCACAGCAGAGAACAGAGGCTGCAGGAATGAGAAATACTGAACTGCCCTCTATTACTCCACCCCTTGATTAATTAAAATTCCTTATTAAAGAAGGTCTAATAATTTGCAAGAAAATAAGAATGCATATTTTAGCAATATTTTGAAATAGGCTCAAACTTTTTTTTTTTTTTGAGATAGGGTCTCACTGTGTCACCCAGGCTGGAGTGCAGTGGCACGATCTTGACTCACTGCAGCCTTGCTCTCCCACGCTCAAGTGATCCTCCCACCTCAGCCTCCCATGTAGCTGGGACTACAAGCTTGCCATCATGCCCAGCTAATTTTTGTATTTTTTGTAGATATAGGGTTTTGCTATGTTGCCCAGGCTGGTCTTGAACTCCTGGGCTCAAGTGATCTGCCCACCTCAGCCTCCTAAAGTGTGGGGATTACTGGCATGTGCCACCGCACCCAGCCCCCAAACTTTGAAAAAGGCAATTAATTTGTTAGCTCCACAGTCATTAAGAGTATGGAGTCAGACAGACACAGTTAATGTCCTGGGTTCTTCACTTACTAGCTGTGATCCTTGAGTAAATGACTTAATTTCTGTAAGTTTTAATTTTCTCATACACAAACTGGGTGTGGTAACAGTACCTACTTCATAGGTTCTGATTAGTAAAAGAGATAATCTATGCAAGCAAATGGTACGTTCTCACAGTACTGGCCCATAGTGTATTATCAATAAATTTTGTCTCTTGTTTTAGTGACACATTTTGTATTGCTATTTTAACTATCCATGCATTTGTCTAAAAATTTTGAAACTAGACCCTGAAAAGGTACTCAAAACTGAGGGATTGTGATTCGACCTTGAGCATGTTGAGATTAGGCACGTGCAGGACATTGGAGAGGAGAAAGCTATTTGACAAGAGGGTCTGGTTGTCAGGAGAGACATCAAAATTGTAGGTAAATATTGCCTGGGAAATAATTCAGTTTATCATTCATTTGTCCAGTGTCTACTCTGTGATAGGCACTTGTAAAAACTGTTAAGACAGGCATATGTCCTTGTCTGTTTCTTGTCATCCTTTCCTCCATTGATTTTTGACTCTATTTACCCCTCCACTTAGCCCCTGAAACTTATGTTTCTATCCTATATCCTGTTATTATCAATGACTTCCACTAACTCCAGTCAGTCACAATTTTAAGTTTTCCACTCTCTGCTCACCAACTCCTATCATTCTACTTTCCTCCATCTGTTACCCTGACTCCAGAGAATCCTTAGCCTCCTAGAAACTACAATTCTACAATTATTTTCATTGTCCTTAATACCCTAATATCATCATGTTGTCTCTTATCTAGATTAAATTCCAACCACTTCTCCTTTGATGACTCCTGTGACAGTCTTACTTTCTCAATTCCCTTGCAGCTAGCAATTTTCATGGGACTCATTTCCAGTTCTTAACCTGTTGGTGGAAAGCTGGTGAGGGTGGTTTTAGAAAAGCTTTGATATGACCCCTACCTGCTTGCTTGGTCCTACCTTCAATGAGGTCATGATGGCTAGAGCCCTGGCAGCAATGTTGCAACCATGAATCAAAAGCCATGACAAATACTAAAATGTTCACTGGCCCTACCACACTGAGGCAGGAGACCCAAAGGCAACAACTGCATTCCTGTAGATATCTTTTTAGGCAAAAACCAATCCCTCATTTGAGGCAAAAAGCCTTCCTAATACATTCCACAAAAATGAGGGATGTTGTGCTGAATCTGTGCCTTTTAAAATGTCTTATGTTATGACAAATGTTTTACAGTAAAATTCTGTCATAAGCAATGGGGAAAGTTGATGTTTAAGCAAACATACATATTCAGATTTATATTTTAGAAGGAGCCCTCAGTTGGCTGCATGGAAGATTATAGGGGACCATCTTTTCTCTCCTTTGGAGAACTTTTTTCCTTCACTCCATGTGGTCCTGGTGGGGCTATCAAACACAGCCTGACTGCATGGCCCAAGGAATGAGTTCAGGGAATTAAATGTGAGTCAAATAGGGTCAATCAGAACCCATGTTTTAGTCAGAGCTAGAAGAGGAAGGCTGACCATTGATTCTGGGATTGTGGAGCTGGAGTTCTGTGAAGCCCTAGCCACTTTGGACATATAACTCACTGGGTTTCCTGGAAGCAGACACTGAGTTGGAGATTGGGGTATAGATATTTATTAGGGATCAACCCCTATAAAATGAATAAATATGCATGATTGGGCAGAGGGGGAAGCTGAATTGTGATACAGGTCTAACAAAGCCTCAGACAACCTGGCAGGGAGTTCTGGAGTGAACAGAGCCCATGAGTGTCCTGCATGTACCTAAAGTGGCTGGGCCACTGCAGTTAGTCACTGTATGCATGCTACTCTGGGAAAACTGTGACCTCAAGTGGTGGTGGGGCGGGGGCGCAGAGTCCCTGAAGCTGAGCCAGACTCTAAAGGAGCTCACAGCTGGAGGCTATTGGGTGGCTGAATTCCCCTCTCCTGGGCAGTATAAGTATTTTATAGAAAAGGAATGTTCTCAGTGCATCTCTTTATCTATCACATCCAGTATTGCATATAGAAATTCTGTGAGAGGCCGGGCGCGGTGGCTCACGTCTGTAATTCCAGCACTTTGGGATGCCGAGGCGGGTAAATCACTTGAGGTCAGTAGTTTGAGATCAGCCTGACCAACAAAGTGAAACCCTGTCTCTACTAAAAATACAAGAAAATTAGCTGGGCGTGGTGGCACATGCCTGTAACCCCAGGTTCTTGGGAGGCTGAGGCAGGAGAATTGCTTGAACCCGGGCGGCAGAGGTTGCAGTGAGCCGAGATCATGCCACTGCACTCCAGCCTGGGTGATGGAGAGAGACTCCATCTCAAAAAAAAAAAAAAAAAAAAAGAAATTCTTTGAGAATAGGGCCAATACACTGAGAAGCCAGAAGTGAGGAATGGAAAGAGAAACCTAATAGTGGCTTTGAGTCTGTAGATCTAGTTGCACCTAAGACTAGAACAGCACTTACCATCCTTAGTTTTTTTGAGCCAATAAATTTCCTTTTTTGGTTTAGCTATTTTAGCCATGTCAGTCATGACAGAAACAGTCCTGTTCAGGGCAATAATTGATTTGAAAGAACAATGAGTGGTAGAGAGAATTTTTTAGAAGTTGGGGAGAATTTATGAGGGACTAAGATACTAGCAACAGTGATGAAAAAAATGTTACATAGAAGAACTGACAGGCTATAATGATGGGTGTAATGGAAGGATCAAGGAGAGTAAGAATTTTCAGATAACTTCCCAGCTTTGGGTTTAGGTTATATGGAACGATAATGAGGCTATTCGTGTAGATAGGAAATAAAGAAGCAGGTGACGAGTGAGAGGAATTTATAGGTTTAGATTTATAACATACTATAAGTACATGCAGTGGACTTATTTAAAATTTAGTATGCCAGCTAATAAGTCTTCAGTGAAAAATAATCACGACCAATTAGTAGGAAAACTGAAAACAGCTGGTCAGTTAGTGCGTATTGTGCGTTAGAAGGGCCTATTTGTGAAGCTAAACTTAAATCAGAAATTTGCTTGAGTCAGAATAAAATAAGTTTAAATGATGCCAGTTAATTGTTATAAAGCTGTGATACTCATCTACACTAGAAGGATAGATCTGTCAAGAAAACTTGATTATTTTGTCTGCTGGCTGGAGTACCTGTTCCCTTGGACAGTAATAGCAAAAACCTGGAAATTAATTATCATCCCTCTTTATCTCCAAGACTCAGTGCAGATTTTCCTCTCTTGTCATTACATCATTATCTCATAACATGTTTCAAGTCACAAACTTACTCTACATGTTTTAAGAAAGTTACTACCTGACAATATCTAAGGGGTGGCATTTTTGTCCCATAAAAGAGATTATATTAAATTACATTGTGAAATGGATTACTGGAAATACACTGTATTTACATAAATGCCCATTTATAGAAAATACTTATTGACCTTTTTCTTGCTATACATTTTTCTTTAGGGTCAATTACCCTCTTACCTTTTAGTATAGGTGCGCAAGTAGTGGAAAGAAGAGGAAGGCAAAAATCACAGAGGGGTCCATAAGGATGGAAGCTTTATTTGTTCACTTCCTCATTTTATCTCAAATATAGCAGCACATATTGCTATGAGAGAATAGTGATATACAAAACACCTCTTGCATTTATGATATGTAGTCATTCTATAATTGACATTAATGTAAATTAGGTGCTGCCCCAACATTTGTCTAGAAAAATGCATAGTTCAAACATATGGACAAAATATATTGGATAATTGTAGGTACTAATCATAGATTCATACCCTAAATCAAATTCTCATTATGGTACCTCTACCTCTTTATTTTTCAACTTACTTCTCTTCCTCTTAATTCATAACCCTTTATTTTCCATAGTCTTATGGTATCTGAAGGTACATTCTTACCCCACTGGGCCTCGTCACTTAACCCTTCCCAATTCACCCAAAACATGTATTCCCAGTGGTAAAAATATCATCCCCAAAGGGCAAGCTGTTCAATACTCAGATGCGTAAAAACATCTTAGATAGTAGAATAAGTGCCCAAGTAGGTATATAGTGTATGTTTGGTGTTAAAGTTTCATGGCGGGAGTGATTAGAGAAAAAAATGTCTAAAAAGGCATTTTACGGGTGATGATAAAAAAGACTACCAAACACCGACCTAGAAGAATAAGCATATGGATGTTCAATTATATCAATACTGACTTCACTCTTACCCTAGATTCCCCTGTCCCTCTGCTCTTCTGTATTGTTTAGTCTGATGGCTACAGGAATGGAAATGTAGACTTAATCTAAATGTAGACTCAAAGGAATGGAAATGTAGACTCAATCTAAAATTTTCTACCAACTGCATTAATAAAGTATAAAAAGAAAGAGTTGAAATTAATCTGAATAATATATTTGACTTAATTCAATGTCCAAGATATTCAACATGTAATCAACATAATTATTGAGATATATTATTTTTCATATGTGCTAATCTTCAAAATCAAGTGAGTGTTGTATATTTTGAATATATTTCAGTGTGAATTATAATTTTCATTGAATTTTCTTGATCTGTTAAATTTTACAAAATTTAGTTAAGCAGTAGAATCACATACCCAAGTTATTCTAAACATATTTAAATATTTCCAGTAACCATGTCGAGTTCTCATTCTTTCCCACTGAGCCTAAATGCAGCATCAGAATACATTTATAGTTGTTTCAAGTCATATAATTCCTCATAAGATAGTGTTCAGTTGGCTATAATAAATTAATCGGAGTTACCATGAAAGTTGAGAGCAATCTGCTATCCTTGTCTTTGTTCGTACCACCATGTTCTTTCTCAGAACTTATTTTGAGTGCACATAGTGAGTTTTAGGCTTGGAAATAAAAGTGATTTGTGGGTAACAAGAGACAACACCCATAGCAAGGAGTAAAAAGCAAATCTTCTGTGGAAGAACAGATTGTGTTTGAATCTGCTTTTGCTGCTTACCATCTATATGATCTTGGGTAGGTCACCTAACTTCCCTGAGTCTTATTTCCTCATTTTAAAAATTGGAATAACACATGCTCTGCAGGTTATTATAGTTTAAAAATATAGGACATACCATGCATTTGGCACAGAAACTTGTACAAAGAAAGCATTAAATTAAATCAGTATCTATCATTTTGAGATAATTAAATATATTATTAGCTTTCTGTTCAGTATATATATTATTTGGCTGCCCAAGTAGCTCGTTAACTTTTTGGAAGAAAGAATTACATGCCATATTACATTTTTTAATCCTTTCTAGAGGTTACTAAAATTCTACCATAGGACTGACCTTTAATGACTACTACTGAATGAATAAATGCATCTGTAGCCTTATAATTGCTCTCATAATACTATTTAAAAGATGAATTTGCCTATCTAGGTTAAAATAGCTATTAAATACAGGCTGAACACATTTCTATGAAGCCAGACCTCTGCTAAGAACTATAAGGTCAGAGTATTAAGATCTGAAATGGAATCAGTAATAATAATAAAAAAAAACTACCAACCAAAAAATCACCCTGTATCAGATGGATTCACAGCTGAATTCTACCAGACATGTAAAGAGAAACTGGTACCAATCCTACTGAAACTATTCCCAAAAAAATAGAGGAGGAGGGACCCCTTCCTAACTCATTCTATGAAGCCATTATCGGCCTAATACCAAAATCTGGTAGAGACACAACAAGAAAATAAACCTTCAGGCCAATATCCCTAATGAACATAGACATAAAAACCTTCAACGAAATACCAGCAAATTGAATCCAACAGCACATCAAAAGTTAATCCACCAAGATCAAGTACACTTTTTTCCTGGGATGCAAGGCTGGTTCAAAAACCATATGATCATCTCAACAGATGCAGAAAAAGCTTTCAATAAAATCCAACATTCCTTCATGATAAAAACCCTCAACAGACTAGGCATCAAAGGAACATACCTCAAAATAGTAAGAGCTATCTATGACAAACCCACAGCCAACATTATACTGAATGGGCAAAAGCCAGTAGCAATCCTCTTGAGAACTGGAACAAGGCAAGGATGCCAACTCTTACCATGCCTACTCAACACAGTACTTGAAGTCCCAGCCAGAGCAATCAGGCAAGAGAAAGAAATAAAAGGCATCCATATAGGAAAGGAAGAAATCAAACTCTTTCTCTTTGTTGAGAAGTCTATATTTACAAAACCCTGGACTCTGCCAAAATGCTACTAGAACTGATACATGATTTTAGCAAGGTTTCAGGATATAAAAATCAATGTATAAAAATCAGTAGCATTTCTATACACCAATAATGTCCAGGCTGAGTATCAAGTCAAGAACATGATGCTATTTAAAATAGCCACAAAATGAAATACCTAGGAATGCAGTTAAAGAAGGAGATAAAAGATCTCTAAAAGTAGAACTACAAGACACTGCTGAAAGAAATCAGAGATGACTCAAATAAATGGAGAAACATTCCATGCTTGTGCATAGGAAGAATCAATATCATTAAAATGGCCATACTGCCCAGAGCAATTTACAGATTCAATACTATTCATATCAAACTACCAATGTCACTCTTCACAGAATTAGAAAAATCTATTTCAAAATTCATATATATCAGAAAGGAGCCTGAATAGCCTAAGCAATCCTAAGCTAAAAGAACAAAGCCAGAGGCATCACACTATCCAAATTTAAGCCATATACTACAAGGCTACAGTAACCAAAACAGCATGATACTGTTACAGAAACAGATATAGAGACTGATGGAATATAATAGAAAACTCAGAAATAAAGCCATGCACCTACAACCATCTGGTCTTCCTCAAAGCTGACAAAAAACAAGCGATGGAGAAAGGACTGCCTATTCAATAAATGGTGTTGGGATAATTGGCTAGTCACGTGCAGAAGAATAAAACTGGACCCTTACTTTTCATCCTATACAAAAATAAACTCAGGATGTATTAAAGATTTAAATGTAGGACCTCAAACTCTAAAGATCCTAGGGGAAAACCTAGAAAACACTCTTCTCAACATCAGCCTTGGCGAAGAACTTTTGGCTAAGTCCCCAAAAGCAATTGCAACAAAAACACAAAATGATAAATGGGACCTAATTAAACTAAAGAGCTTCTGCACAGCAAAAGAAACTATCGACAGAGTAAACAGACAACCTACAGAATGAGAGAAAATATTTGCAAACTATATATCTGACAAAGTTCTAATATCCAGAATATATAAGGAAATAAATCAGCAAGCAAAAAAAAAAAAAAAAGGAAAAAAAAAGAAAAAAAATTAAAAAACGGGCAAAGAAGTGAGGTGCAGCTTGAGACTGGAGTGAGTGAGCCAATCAGGTTTTGAAGTTCACCAAGTCCTTCTGGCATGAGAAAACAAAGAAGAAGTGGGGCAGCTACCAGGGAAGCTCAATCTCTGCCCAGGTCTATTCTGATAAGTTTCACAGTGAGTGACCTGGGCCATCTTTGGTGAAGCAGGGGTGATGATCAGAGACCGCTCACTTTGTTCAGTTGACCTGGGAACCCTCAACTCTGTAGTGAAGGTCTTGATGAGGGTGGAAGTTTAGTCCTAAGACTTTGCAGTATCACATTCTCTCTGGTCCTTTTCTGTGTTCCTAGTTATGTACAGATTTGTTTTTGAGGTTTGAGTAGCAGGCACAAAATAAAGGAAATGTTGTTTTTTAAGAAAATTCATTTTCATTGTTGTCCCTTTCTTTGTTTTCTGTGAAAGTCCTATACTGAGAAATTTGAATATTTTATATTAAATCATTTCCTTTTGATTTTCATTGTGATTTTCAAAGGTGGATTCCCACAGATAAAATCTTAGCTATTTTCCAAGACATAGTAAAGTGTCACATGTGTGACTTCTTATAATTGAAACAATATTCTGCCTTTGTGAGTTCACATGTCCACATTTCATCCCTTCTTCCCTCAATACCCTAGTGAGGGATGTTAAAAATGGTTGATGTATATGGAATGTCTGTTAAGCACGCACTATATATTTCATCCTCATTTATTGAGTCTTGGACTGGAGTTTTTAGCCAGTATGGACCTAACCTACTTTTTGGGATCCAATTTACTGTTTTATTACAAAAACAGTAAATCAAAATTCTGGTGTGATATGAATGTCGTGGGTCAGTCTGAATATATTTTCTTCTGTAATTTTATCATTATTACATGATGTTTGCAATAAATGCTTTTTTAAAATTTTTATTTGAAAGCAAACTTTGGGGAGGGAGAGCATTAGGACAAATACCTAATGCATGCAGGACTTAAAACCTAGATGATGAGTTGATAGGTGCAGCAAACCACCATGGCACATGTATACTTATGTAACAAACCTGCATGTTCTGCACATGTATCCCAGAACTTAAAGTAAAATAAAAAAAAAAAGCAAGCAAACTTTTCTACTGTTGAAAGACATTTTTTTGACAACTTGACCCTTACTATTATTGACTACTAAGTTGAGGACTGCATAATTTTGTTTTTTACATTTTTACATAGGGAACAAAATAACATTAATTTGAGTCCTAGCCAAATTAGGCCAGAGCAATCAGACAAGAGAAAGAAATCAAAGGCATCCTAACTGGTAAAGAGGAAGTCACATTGTCACTGTTTGCTGATCATATGATTGTATACCTAGAAAATCCTAAAGACTCATCAAAAAGCTCCTAGAACTGGTAAATGAATTCAGCAAAATTTCAGGATGCAAAATTAATGTACACAAATCAGTAGCTCTGCTATAGACCAACAGTAAGCAAGCTGAGAATCAAACAAAGAACGCAACCCCTTTTACAACAGATGCACACACAAAAAAGTAACTTAGGAATATGCCTAACCAAGGAGGTGAAAGACCTCTACAAGGAAAACTACCAAACACTGCTGAAAGAAATCATAGATGACACAAACAAATGGAAACACATCTCATGCTCATGGATGGGTAGAATCAATATTGTGAAAATAACCATACTGCCAAATGCAATCTACAGATTCAATGCAATTCCCATCAAAATACCACCATCATTCTTCACAGAACTAGAAAAAAAAACTGAAAATACATATGAAACCAAAAAAGAGTCCATATAGCCAAAGCAAGACTAAGCAAAAAGAACAAATCTGGAGGCATCACATTACCTGACTACAAACTATACTATGAGGCCATAGTCATCAAAACAGCATGGTACTTGTATAAAAAATAGGCACATACACCTGTGGAACAGAATAGAGTGCCCAGAAATAAAGTCAAATATTTATGGCCAACTGATCTTTGACAAAGCAAACAAAAACATAAGGTGAGAAAAGGATACCCTATTAAACAAATGGTGCTGGAATAATTGGCAAGCCACACGTAGAAGAAAGTGGATCCTCATCTCTCACTTTATTAAAAAATCAACTCAAGATGGGTCAAAAACTTAAATCTAAGACATGAAATCATAAAAATTCTAGAAGATAACATCAGAAAAACCCTTCTAGACATTTGCTTCTTAGATTTGCAATTTCAAAAATATGGACTCTAAGTCAAAGATTTCATGACCAAGAACCCAAAAGCAAATGCAACAAGAACAAAGATAAATAGGTGGGACTTAATTAAACTAAATAGCTTCTGCACAGCAAAATAATCAGCAAACAGACAACCCACAAAATGGGAGAAAATCTTCACAATCTATACATCGGACACAGGACTAACATCCAGAATCTACAAAGAACTGAAACAAATCAGCAAGAAAAAAACCAAACAATCCCATCAAAAAGTGGGCTAAGGATATGAATAGACAATCCTCAAAAAAGATATACAAATGGCCAACAAGCATATGGAAAAAATCCTCAACATTACTAATGAATAGGAAAATGCAAATCAAAACCACAATTTTATACTACCTCACTCCTGCAAGAATGGCCATAATCAAAAAATCTAAAAATAATAGATGTTGGCATGGATGTGGTGAAAGTGAACACTTTTACACTGCTAGTGGGAATGTAAACTAGTACAACCACTGTGGAAAACAGTATGGAGATTCCTTAAAGAACTAAAAGTTGATCTACCTTTTGATTCAGCAATCCCACTACTAGGTATCTACCCAGAGGAAAAGAAGTCATTATGTGAAAAAGATGCTTTCACACGCATGTTTATACCAGCACAATTTGCAATTGCAAAAATATGGAATCAGCCCAAATGCCCATCCATCAACGAGTGGTAGAGAAAATGTGGCATATATACACTATGGAATGCTACTCAGCCATAAAAAGGAATGAAACAATGGCATTCACAGCAACCTGGATGGAATTGGAGACTACTATTCTAAGTGAAGGAACTCAGGAATGGAAAACCAAACATCATATGCTGTCACTCATAATTGGGAGCTAAGCATGGGGACGCAAAGGCCTATGAATGATACAATGGACTTTGGGGACTTAGGGGAAAGGGTGGGAGGTGGGTGAGGGATAAAAGACTACCCACTGGGTACAGTGTACACTGCTTGGGTGATGGGTGCACCAAAATCTCAGAAATTATCACTAAAGAACTTATTCATGTAACAAAATACCACCTGTTCCCCAAAAACCTATTGAAATAAAAAATCAATTAAAAATATTAATTTGAAAAATACATATCAGTTGGTATCTCTGTATTGGTTGCAGTGGTGATACAGAATTGGTTTCACTAACTCCCACATGGTTGGGAATCACTGATCAAGAAGGTAGGAAAAAAAAAAGTTTTAAAACTTCAATCCTCAGTAGAAGTAGGTTACATTAGGTAAATTTATAAGTAATCTATGTATGTGCTAATGGAGTTGGAAAGAACCTTACAGAGCATATTACCTGAAAAACTTGAGTGGAGTGGGTTTGAGAGAACAACCTAACAGGATTATTGTGTCTTGTAGTGGGTACATGGGAGCAATTGACGTGCCCCTTTCAGAACCTTAACTGTTAGTAACAGTGGCGGTAACAACGCAAACCAGTTAGCAGAGATACAGCTCTTAGGCTAAACTGGCCTGACTATATGGCTGCAGGAGGTGACTGACCAGTGGCAGTGCTCAGCTAGACCAAGACAGGGAAGGAAGAGTCAAACAAGATTTCTGGAGGCTGAGGTGTTCCAGTGGTGGGAAAGTATGCTCCAAGCCTTCATGGATGTGTTTAGGTCTTAAGATTAGTCTCCTCTTGTTTGGATTTTACACTCACTAAATAACCTGATAATAACCTGGTTTTCCATGTAACTTCCTCTAGGAAGAAAATGTACTGTTCCTGCTGACATAGGTATTTTAGTCTGCATGGTAAAAGTTCTGCATCTTACTAGAAAATAATAAACTGGCTGGTTTATAATGTAAAAAAAATGGGCAAAGGACATGAACAGACACTTCTTAAAAGAAAACATACAAGTGGCCAAAAACATATGAAAAAATGCTCAGCATTACTAATCAGAGAAGTGCAAATCAAAACCACATTGTCATATCATCTCACACCAGTCAGAATAGCTATTACAAAAAAGAGAAAAAACAACAGATGTTGGTGAGGCTGCAGAGAAAAGGGAACACTTATACACTGTTGGTTAGAATGTAAATTAGTTCAGCCACTGTGGAAAGCAGTTTGGCAATTTCTCAAAAGACCTTAAAACAGAGCAACCATTTGGCTCAGCGGTTCCATTACTGGATATATATAACCAACGGAAAATGGATCATTATACCAAAAAGACATGTTCTCCTATGTTCATCACTGTACTATTCACAATAGCAAAGACACAGAACCAACTTAGGTGCCCATCAATGGTGGACTGGATAAAGAAAATGTGGCACATATGTACCATGGAATGCTATGCAGCTACATAAATGAATAAAACCACGTCCTTTGCAGCAACACGGATGGAGCCGGAGACCATTATCCTAAGTGAACTAATTCCAGAAGAGAAAACTAAATACCACATATTCTAACTTATAAGTGGGAGCTAATTATTGAGTACACATGACCATAAAAATGGGAACAATAGACGCTGCAAACTACTAAAGAGGAAAGGAAGGAAGAGGGGTATGGGTTGAAAAACTGCTATTGGATACTGTGCTCACTACCCTGGTGCAATATACCCATGGAACAAACCTACACATGTACCCCTAGTATCTAAAATAAAAGTGGAAATTAAAAAGAGAACTATAAAGTTGGGGTAGTTCAAAATTCTGAGACATATATTCATGTATCTTAGAGTCCTTGCTATTGCTATTGTTCTAATTGGAGCTTAGTTATGGGGAAAAGAGGAAAACATGGTATAAACTTGGAAAGCAGGCAGTTTCACTTAGGAATGTCAGTAAATTGAGAGTTCCTGCTATCAGAAAATAGGAATTAATTACATAGGAGTTGTTTAGTAAAAGGTCTGGTAAGCAAGAAATACTTGTCCCAGTAGCTAAGTATAGCATGGCATGGTTAGGAAACACATGGTTAATGTACATGACAGAGGGACAACCTAGCAATCAATTAAGGGACATTTGGTATCATATAGGAGAAATTCAGCTATTGAAACTAAATTGGAGTAAGATGTTACAGAAAGTACTTTAAGGGGTAAGTCAGAAGCCCAGTTCTAAATGAAATGCAACAGGCTGAGCCTGGAGGTCGAGGCTACTGTGAACTGTGATTACACCACTATACTCCAGTTTGGGCAACAGAGTGAGACTCCTATATCAAAAAAATAAAAACAAAAATAAATGAAATGTAATAGTAGCCAGTAAATCCAGAGAAGGGCTCATTGTCGTAGATTTAACTGTGACAATTTCTTGCTTGAATTATGGCAATAATCTTCTATATGGCTTCTCCTCCAGTCTCCCCTTCCTTTTCATTGTCCATTTGGCACCCAGATTGAAATTTCTCAAATATAAATTTGATTCTGTTCTAATTTATAACTTTTAATGGCTTCAAATTGCTTTTAAAGTTCAAACTCCCTAATATTGTCTATCAGGTCCTGTAAAATCTACTACTACTTAATTACCTGTCCTCTTCCATTACATTGCTTAACATTGTACTTCATAGCCCATCCACATGGAACTTTTTTTAGTTGCTTCAGTAGGACATCTGTTGTGGTCCCTCTTACCTATGGTTTCTCAATACTGTTCCTTCTGCTGGATTATTTCACTTATTTTCTCTGCCAGGATAACTTCTTTAGCATCCTTAAGTCTTGGTTAGAAGGGATGTCTTCTGGGAAACCCTTTTAAATTTGCTGAGTTTGGATTAATAGCCTTTGTACTAGTTCCTCCCATGGGATTAGTTCCTCTCCGGTACTTCTCACTTCCCCCACATTCTCCCATCCTCCCTCCACCCCAAACCACAAGCAAACTCTTTCAGGATAGGGACCATATGTATCTTCCTCAGTTACACCCTCCAGGGCTTAACATACACAAAATGTTCAATAAATATTTATTGAGTGAATAAATGTATGATGGAAGCTTGGCTATAAAGAACAAGTTTAGTCTCAGGTACCAGGCAATGATAATATAGGACAAGCAGCTAGACTGGCCAGATGCTAAGCTTTGAACTCTGGCCAAAAATTAACAAGATATCTGCTTGGTTATATTCAGAGATTAGAACAGGTGAATTAAGAGGCTCAGCTCTGAAGGCTACAAAGATATAAAGAGCCACATAGATTTTAATGAACATTTTATATGTTCTAGTTGTTATTTGGATAGAGCCTGAAAGTTGCTGATTTATTATTTCTTGTCTTTCCAAGTTACTAATGGAATATTAACTATGCTCACATTCCAATAATAAATATTATCTCCTCCAATCTAGATTAGTTTATAAAATATAAAATGAATAAGCATTTTAGCTATTGACTGATAAATGGAATTAATGCATATGAACAATATGAACACTATCTTTTCTTCACCAGAATTACTCAGAGCAGTCCCCTACTCTGCGTTACTTGGTCCCTCCTCTCCAATGTATTATATGTGGAAATTCTAATATTTCAGTGTATAAAAACTGTACTTGTAGCCACCTACTTTTCCATTTTCCTGATGACTCAAATCTTTGCGCCAGATTAATTTTTTGTCCTATTACATAGGATGTGCCATCACATGTAATATTACATTGTGACATGTTGTCATGTCATTACAGAGACATTAAGACCATTTGTTTCCAATGATTTTGCCAAATTTATTTTGACTAGTAATGTAGCATTGAATTACTGTTGATTTTCTTCTTCTCTAACTTGATCATGATAGTGGGAATCTATGCATTCCAAATCATATTTTACTCTATTTGAAAAAAGTCATCACTATGACTATGCTATGAGAACTGTTCTCTCTCATAGCATCCTACAATTTTGCTTCAAAGCTCTTGTCAGAGTATGAGCTTACTAATTTATTATGTTTTATAATGTGCTTCTCACTGAGTAGTTTATAAATAGGCACATTAAAGGCAGAAGTTTATCTCTTTGGCTGCTACTGTATTGCCTAGCATCTTGCATAGAACCTGGCATATATCAGGTACCAGAAAATATTTTTTGGAATTACAGAATAAGTTTGCTGAACTTTTTCATACTGAGTATGTTCAGGTTTTGTCATTTTCTGACAAAAATGGTGGGAAGAAGTTAGTTCAGAACATTGGAAGGGCTATGGGAGCAAGGTCCGGCATATTAATTTTCAGCAAATTTTAAAGTGCAAGATTGCAGTCGAGCCACTATCAATGATCTTTATTCCATGGAACACTGAAGTGGGTAATTCTCAGGAGGAAGGCTGGAGCCACTGGAAACTTCTGCTGATGATCTCAGCTGACTGCTTATAGCAGGTGATTCCTGGGAGAAGCATTGAAAGTCAAGGAGGCTGCCAACAATGATCTCATCTGCCTGTAAACAGCTGCTGCTGAGAAAAATGGTTTCTTCTATTAGTGAATGCCTCATTGGCAGAATCTAACCGTAAATGATACTGGAAAGGAATTCTGGAAAATGTAGTTCTACAGTATAGATAGGGACGAGGCTAATATCAAGATGATGAAAGGAAATTCAGCACATGGAGCCATTAGGAGGGGGTTCCTTATTAGAGTAAGAATGAACTAGTCTGTAGACACCATAAAGAGGGGACTTTTTATTTCTATTTTAAAACTTGATCTACCTCCATCACCCAGGTGCTTATGGCAGGCATGGCTAGCAGAGAGACATAGAATCACACTCCTCTTCCATAGTGTAGAGTTCTTTCTGGAAAGTGGTTACCTGACTACTTTTCCCAACTTTTCTTGCATCTAGGTGGGACTATATAACTGGTTCTTGCCAACGCACTGTGAGCAGAAGTGGTTGTGTGTGTATTTTGCGATAAGGGGGTTAAGTATTAGGCACTCAATTTTCTGAAATAATCTTCATTTTGCCTGTTGTCTGGGTTAGTGCGGAGCATCTAGTAGAGGGCTCTGAAGAGATCCTAGGACATAGTGGAGTTGCTAGTGGAAGTATCTCAAATTTAGTCATCAGCAGGACAAAAGCTGCTGATTAGGAATATCCGATTGGATTTTCTGTATAAGAACGAAATCTTGGAGTGCGAAACCAGTGAAACTTGGGGACTGCTTGTCATAGCAAGTTGGCCAACCCTAAGTGCTTAAGGAATATTTGATAATAAGCAAATAAAGTAGAAAGACTTGCCATGGCTTTTCTAAGGTCCACTGGGATCACTGCTTAAGGATGAATGCCCTGATAGGCAGACTATGCTAGCAGATTCTTGTTTGCTTCTTTACCTTAACTTCATGCTTATTCCTCAAGTATTGTTCAGGGTTACGACAAGGTTAGTTATGACTATAAAGGATTTCTCATTGTTAGAAATTAAAAACTTTTTAAACAAAACTTTCTGAAGCAAACTTTGTAGAAAAAGTCATAGAAGGGGTTAACAGAAGTGTTATCTCTTAGCATAACTAATCTGCTTGATTAAAACACAGAACTCCTGTTAGTGCTTTTGTAAGTTCAGTAGTTCCTAGCTGACAAATGAAATAAGCAAGGACCCCAAGAGCTTGTACCATACCTAAACCTTTAATCTTGTGGCAGAATCAGGTATTGAAAAATCAGCACATCACTGTTCTCTGATATACCTTTAAATCTTTCTATTAAATTGTTTTAATCCTAGCAACATAAAAATGATAGCCAACAACTGAAAGCAATAGACACTATAGTAAGTGCTTTACATGCACCACCAACTCATTAGTTCCACACACATAACAACAACCTATCATAACTATTATTCTAACCTTACTGATGAGGAACTGGATGCCCAGAGAAGTTAAGAAACATCCTAAGGCCACACAGCTACTTAATTCTTTCTTTGATCAATAAAACGCTTTATTCATTTGTTGGTAACTTGTCTGAAACACAACCAGCAGAAAGAAGTTTCTATACACCTTTTTGCTAGGTTGTGTTGGATTATTTTGCTACTAAATACTCTGCAAAAAGTGAGTTATTTCTCCACATATTTAGCAAGAAATCTCTCAGTATCAAATTTGTTCATTTTATACTCATTTCTCCAATTCTGCCTACCATATTCATTATAGAATCTTTTTTCCCATTGCTGTAAAAATCAGACCATTTGATTAAATTGGTCTCACTGAGTTAAGCCTTCTCATATCATTTCAGTATCTTAAAACTAAAAATTAAAAGGACTTTATAATAACTTCAATTGCATAACTATGGATATTGCTCATGTCAAGCTTTCAAAAACAATAAAAACTGAATAAAGTGGAAGTTCTAAGTTTGGGATGTAAGCTATTTCTGTCTAACCGCTCCAAAAACAACTTCTGCTGTGAATACAAATGCTATTATTATTCATCTTGTCAATTATTTATTGAGCACTCATTTTCATTCACCATACTAGGTACTTGCATAGAAGAATGCTAATCTTTAAAACAACCCTATAAGGTAGATACTATTATCCCTGTTTTACAGGTTAGCAAGCTGAAGCTAAGGGAGGTTAAAAACTTCCCCCATGGACATAGGACTAGTTAGTGTCAGCAGTCATATTTGAATCTTCGTTCAAATCCTGTTGTCTTTCATGAGACCACAAGGCCTCTCCCAACTCATTTATAAAGACACATCTGAAATATAGTCCAGTGTACTTACCTGGAATCAGAGAGAAATGCTCAGCCATGAATTTAAGGGGTTCCAGTGTGATACTATGGACTTCCAAATATACATATGGTTTTCTGCCTCTGTGTTTTCTCCACCCGGCGAACTACCTTCTTAATTATTTTCCACTATCCAAATCCTAGCCAACTAATAACATCCAAGCTGTACTTGTTTCAGGTGGTAGTAGATCAATGCTAACCAGATGGATACTTCGCTTATAAAGCCTTCCCAGATTTCATCCATGCAGGTGACTCCTTAGTTAAGCCTGATAGATGGAAGTGTTGCTCTTGGGGTGTGGAAAGCAAGAACCAACAGCCAGCTTAGCAGACAGGTAGTAGGACATGCATTGTTTATTTTAGCTGTGGTTGTTCATTGAGGACTGTCAAGAAAAGGTATGACATCCACCTTTAATAATAAACGGTATTGATCCCATTAACATTACTGTTTTATCACTATAATTTTATGGGACAGAAAAAGAGAAAAAAGCTAGAAGATAAAATGAAGCTTGACTCAATAAAATTAGAGGCTTTATTTCGAAATTAAAGTGTAACTTTATTCGCTGCTGGGTGGCTGCTTAACCTTATTTTGTACCTTGCTGCACCCAAAGAAATGCCCTTGCTTATACTCAGCTGTTTCCTACTCAGAAAAGCTTATACCCCAGCTGATCAGCTTTAGAGTCTGAGGGTGGAGCTAACATGTCTTGTTAGAGCAGCGATTCTACACATTGGAATCACCCGGGAAGCCTTAAAAATTCTGCTGTCTGGGTTTCCTGTTCAGAGATTCTGATTTAATTGGTCTGGGCATGGAGAATTTTAAAACCTCCCCAAGCATTTCTAACGTGTAACCAAGGTTGAGAAATAGTGAACAACTACGAAGGCCTTGGGAGCCTGGTTTTCACGTTGAAAATCTTCAGAATTCATAAGGTGAAATGACATTGAACAGCCACTCTTGTCACTTTCATCTTACATCATTTCTTCACAGTTTTTCTTTTTCTTTCTTCTTTCTCTCTTTAGAGACCATCCAACGAGAAAGCAAGGCGGCATCTAAAAAGAGTTGTTTTAGGAAAAGGGGCTTTCTGAGACTGGCTAAACTAGGTAACAATTCATTCTCTGACTTGGCTGGCTGGGAAATGAGTAGATTAGAGATGGTGGAAGATGAATTAGAGATTGAGGAAACATGGCACAGTGCAAAATTTAATTTGTAATTAAAATACTTGGATTTGTTTCTGGCTTTGCCATTTACTGTGTGACAAGAGTTTCTCTTTTTATGAGTAGAATAAGAAAATCTGATTATTTGATCCCTGAAGTATTTTTTTAAACTTTATTATTAGAGGAAACAGGCAGGAAATGTAATTGAGTTTGAAGTAAGCAATGCTGGGGTAGGCTCCACTCATTTTTGGACTTAAGGCTGGTTTGCAGAAAGCTGGGGGAAATCTTTCTTCTCCTAACACTTTCCTAGCTTTAGTAGGCACCATGGAACCTCATGAGGAAAGAAAGGTTTCTGATCCCAGGTAGTAACTGGGGCTTTTCCATTACTTAGTTTACATTTCCTTGACTCTGAGTTTGTCCAGGCCCGTGAATTTTCTGCTCTGTGGGTACAATTGCTTTACCTCTGTGATAACCTATCCCCTCATAGGATCCCTTTCCTTGGCTTTTCTCTATTTTAATTCCCACTTCTGGACACTTACATTTTCCTGCTCAGCCATTTCTGGTTCTCAGGTCCAGTTGATCTCACTGAGATGCTTTGCCCTGAATCCAAAAAATAGTTTTGCCCCTTTGAGGTGAGATGGATGCATTGGGGTTGAGAGGGCAGTGATGCTATATTTATGAGACTTGGTGATCTTATCTCTGATGGGGCCTTAGGTGGCCCTATGAATCCCCTTCTTTAATAATGAAGCCCCTTCTTCCAGGCTTTCTGCACTCGATTGGGAGAGGATTGCTCTGGGGTACTGACTCCACTTTGAGCCCCTCTGGAATCATAGTGCAGCATAAGAGCAGAAGAAGCATTTCAGAGATTGAGAGAGAGAAGGGCAGCGATTTTCTTCACTGCATGGAGGTGGGAAATGATTACAATCTATCTACTGGTTCTGAAACCTGCTTGTGTGTTGGAATCACCTGGGAATCTCTATAAACTACACTTGCCTGACTCCTAATCCTCCACATATTCTGATTTAATTAATGTGGGGGGCAACTGGAACACGGTATTGGTGATAGTGATGGGGAGGTTCAAAAGCTCTCAAGATGGTTCTAATGTGAGCAAACTTTCGGAAGAATTGATCTGTGACTTGTAGCGTAATATAGAAAGATAGCATATATTATAGAAATGTAAAATGCTACTCAGCAGTTCTCATGAGATCTGATGGTTTTACAACTGTTCGGTAGTTCCTCCTGCACACATTCTCTCTCCTGCCACCTTGTGAAGAAGGTTCCTGCCTCCCCTTCATTTTCCATGATAATTGTAAGTTTCCTGAGGCCTCCCCAGCCATAAGGATCTGTGAATTAATTAAACCTCTTTCCTTTATAAATTACCCAGTCTCAGGAAGTTCTTTATAGCAGTGTGAGAATGGACTAATAGAATACCTATCAGTGGGATTGCTGGATCATATGATAGCTTAATTTTTAGTGTTTTGAGGAACTTCCAAATTGTTCTCCATAGCGGTGGCACCAATTTACATTCACACCAACTCTGTATGAGGGTTCCCTTTTCTTCACATCCTGGACAGCATCTTTTTTTTTCTGTTGGATTCTCTCTTTTTTTTCTTCAACTTTTATTTTAAGTTCTGGGGTACATGTGCAGGATGTGCAGGGTTTTTTACATAGGTAAACGTGTGCCATGTGATTTGCTGCACAAATCAACCCATCACCTAGGTATTAAGCCAAGCACCCATTAGCTATTTTTCCTGATGCTCTTCCTCCCCCTGGCCCCCTACATAGGTCCCAGTTAGTGTTGTTTCCCCCTACTATGTGTCCATATATTCTCATCGTTCAGCTTCCACTTATAAGGGAGAACATGCAGTGTTTAGTTTTCTGTTCCTGTGTTAGTTTGCTGAGGATAACAGCTTCCAGCTCCATCCATGTCCCTGCAAAGGACATGATCTCATTCCTTTTTATGAGTGCATAGTATTTCATGGTGTATATATACCACATTTTCTTTATCCAGTCTATCTTTGATGGGCATTTGGGTTGTTTCCATGTCTTTGCTATTGTGAATAATGCTGCAATGAACATGCTCATGCATGTATCTTTATAATAGGATGACTTATATTCCTTTGGGTATATACCCAGTAATGGGATTGCTGAGTCAAATGGCATTTCTTCTTCTAGATCCTTGAGGAATCACCACACTCTCTTCCACAATATTGAGCTGATTTACATTGCCATCAACAGTGTAAAAGTGTTCCCTTTTCTCCACAACCCTGTCAGCATCTGTTGTTTCTTGACTTTTTAATTGCCATTCTGACTGGCATGAGATGATATCTCATTGTGGTTTTGACTTGCATTACTCTAAGGATCAGTGACGTTGAGCTTCTTTTTATGTTTGTTGGCTGCATGAGTGTCTTCTGTTGGGAAGTGTCTGTTCATGTCCTTTGCCTACTTTTTAATGGGGCTGTCTTTTCCTTGTAAATTTGTTTAATTTTGTTCTTTTTGCTTAGGATAGCTGTGGCTATACTGGGTCTTTTGTGGTTCTATATAAACTTTAGGATTGTTTTTTCTATTTCTGTGAAGAATGTCATTGGTATTTTGATAAGGATTGCATTGAATCTGTAGATTGCTTTGGGAAGTATGAACATTTTTATAACATTGATTTTTCCAATCCATAAACACGAATATCTTTTTTTGTGGGTGTGTCCTCTTCAATTTCTTGCATCAATGTTTTATAGTTTTCATTGTAGAGACCTTTCATTTCTTTGGTTAATTCCTAGGTATTTAATTTTATTTGTGACTATCATAAATGGGATTACCTTCCTGATTACTTTTTCAAACTGTTTGCTGTTGGTATATAGAAATACTACTAATTTTTGTATGTAGATTTTTTTCTCCTGCTACCTTATTGAATTTGGTTATCAATTCCAATAATTCTCTTCTTAAGTCTTTAGTTTTTTCCAAATATAAGATTATATCATCCACAAAGAAGGATAATTTGATTTCTTCCTTTCCAATTTGGAGGCCCCTTATTTCTTTCTCTTGTCTGATTGCTCCAGCGAGGACTTCTAGTAGTATGTTAAATAATAGTGGCAAGAGTGAGCATCCTTGTCATGTTCCACATCTTTGAGGAAAAGTTTACAGTTTTCCCCCATTTTGTATATTAGCTGTGGAGTCTGTCAGATATGGCTTTTATTATGTCGAGGTGTGTTCCTTTTATACCCAGTTTGTTTATACTTTTTATCATGAAGGGATGTTGAATTTTATCAAATCCTTTTACAACATCAATTCAAAGGATTATTTATTTTTTGTCATTCATTCTGTTGATATGATGTATCACACTGATTGATTTGCCTATGTTAAACTATCCTTGCATCCCTGGGATAAATACCACTTCATCATGACGCATGGTCTTTTTAACGTATTGTTGAATTTGGTTTGCTAGTATTTTGTTGAAGATTTCTACCTCAGTGTTCATTGGGGATACTGGCCTGTGGTTTTCTTTTCTTGATATGTCTTTGACTGATTTTGGTATCAATCAGGGTAATGCTGGCCTTATGGAATGAGTTGGGAAGTGTTCTTCTTCTATTTTTCAGAATAGTTTGAGTAGGATTAGTATTCATTCTTCTTCAAATGGATGGCAGTGAAGCCATTGGGGTTCCAGGCTTTTCTTTGCTGGGATAATTTTTAGTATGGCTTCAATCTCATTACTTGTTATTGGTTCATTCCAGCTTTGGATTTCCTCATTGTTTAATCTTCATAGGTTGTATGTGTTTAGGAATTTATCCATTTCTTTTAGATTTTCCAGTTTCACATATAGTTGCTCATAGTGGTAAGTAATGACCCTTTGAATTTCTGTTGTATTGGTTGCAATGTTGTCTTTTTCATCTCTGATTTTACTTGGGTATTTTCTCTTTTTTTACTTAGTCTGGCTAAAGGTTTGTCAATTTTATTTAACTTTTCAAAAACCAACTTTTTGTTTTGTTGATCTTTTGTATTGTTTTCTTTATTTCAATTTTATTTACTTCTGTTCTGATCTTTATTACTTCTTTGGTACTAATTTTTGGTTGGTTTGCTCTTGCTTTTCTAGTTATTTAAGACACATTGTTAGGTTTTTTATTTCAAGTTTTTCTTTGTTTTTGATCTAAGTGCTTATAATTATAAACTTCCTGCTTAGTACTGCTTTTGCTGTATCCCGTACGTTTTAGTATGTTGTGTTTCTGTTGTCATTTGTTTGAATAAATTTTTCAATTTCCTTCATTGACCCCCTGGGTTATTCAGGAGCATATTGTTTAATTTCCATGTGTTTTTATAGTTTCCCAAATTCCTCTTGTTAGTGACTTCTAGTTTTATTCCACTGTGGTCAGAGAAGATGCTTGATATAATTTCAATTTTTTTGAATGTTTTAAGACTTGTTTTGTGACCTAACATACGACTTGTCCTTGAGAATGGTCCATGTGCTGAGGAAAAGAATGTGTATTCTGCAGCCATTGGATGAAATGTTCTGTAAATCTCTATTAGGTCCATTTGGTGTATAGTGCAGATTCGGTCCAATGTTTCTTTGTTGATTTTCATCTGGAAGATCTGCCCAGTGCTCAAAGAGTGGTATTGAAGTCTCCAGCTATTATTGTATTGAGATCTATCGCTCTCATTCGTTCTAATATACTTTGTATATCTGGGTACTGCAGTGTTGGGTGCATACATATTTACAATTATATATATTTACAGTTATATATTACAATATAGTTACAATATCCTCTTGCTGGATTGAACTCTTTATCATTTTACAAAGGACTGCTTGTTCCCTTCTTACAGTTTTGTCTTGAAATCTATTTTTTTCTGATATAAGTATAGCAATTCTTGATCTTCTTTGGTTTCCATTGGCATGGAGTAGCTTTTTCAGTTGCTTTATTTTCAGCTTATGTGTGTCTTTTTAGGCGAAGGTGTGATTATTGTAGGAAACAGATCAATGGCTCTTATTTTTCTCTCTATTCAACCATTTGGTGTCTTTTGATTGGAGACTTTAGTTAATTTACATTCATTGTTATAATTGATAAATAAGGACTGACCTACTTTTGCCAATGTGTCGTTTCTTGTTTTGTGTTCTTCTCTTCCTTTTTTTCTTCTCTCCTGTCTTCCTTTTAGTCAAGGTGATTTTCTTTGGTGGTATGATTTAATTTCTTGCTCTTTATTTTTTGTGGATATGTGGTATGTTTTTTGATTTGAGATTACCATGAGACTTGCAAATACTATCTTACAACCCAAAACTGCTTGCATAAACAAACTAAGAAGCAAAAGGACAACTAATAACTATATGCTTTAACTTCATCCTTCCACTTTTTAACTTTTCTTGTTTCTGTTTAATTTTTTTAATACATCTATGTCCTTTGAGGTTGTTGTAGTTATTTTGTTTGGCTCATCATTTCGTCTTTCTACTTAAGATAAAAGTACTTCACACACCACAGTTACGTGTTATAATATTCTGTATTTTTCTGTGCATTTACCATTACCAGTGAGTTTTGTATCTTCAGCTGATTTCCTATTGCTCATTAACATCCTTTTCTTTCTGATTGAAAAACTCCCTTTAGCATTTTGTGTAGGACAGGCCTGGTGGTCATGAAATCCCTCAATTTTTGTTTGGGAAGGATTTTATTTATTCTTCATGTTTAAAGAATATTTTCACCATATATACTATTCTATGGTAAAATTTTTTTTTCTTAATAATTTTAAATATGACACACTACTTTCTGCTGGCCTATGAGATTTCCATGGAAAAGTCTGCTGCCAGATGTATTGGAGCTACATTTTATATTATTTGTTTACTTTCTCTTGCTTCTGTTAGGATTATTTCTTTATCCTTGACCTTTGGGAGTTTGATTATTAAATGCCTTGAATGAATCTTCTTTGGGTTAAATCTGCTTGGTGTTCTATGATCTTCTTATACTTGGATATTGGTATTTTTAGGTTTGGGAGGTTCTCTGTTATACTTTTGAATAAATATTCTATACCTGTCTCTTTCTCTATATCCTCTCTAAAGCCAATAACTCGTAGATTTTGTCCTTTTGAGTCTATTTTCTGGATCCTGTAGGTAGGCATCATTGTTTTTTTATTTGTTTTGTTTGTCTCCCCGACTGTGTATTTTCAAGTAGCCTGTTTTCAAGCTCTCTGATTCTTTCTTCTGCTTTATCAGTTCTGCTATTAAAAGACTCTGATGTATTCTCCAGTAAGCCACTTGTATTTTTCAGCTCCAGAATTTCTGCTTGATTATTTTTAATTATTTCAGTCTCTTCATTAAATTTATCTGATAGAATTCTGAATTCCTTCTCTATGTTATCTTGAATTTCTTTGAGTCTCCTCAAGATGGCTATTTTGAATTCTCTGAAGGTGACCTACCTCTGTTTTGAATTCTTTGAAGGTCACATATCTCTGTTTCTCCAGGATTGCTCCCTAGTACCCTATTTGGTTCATTTGGTGAGGTCATGTTTTCTTGGGTAGTCCTGATACTTGGGAATGTTCTTCTGTGTCTGGGCATTGGAGAGTGAGGTATTTATTGTAGTCTTCACAGTCTGGGCTTGTTTGCACTTGTCCATCTTGGGAAGGATTTCCAGGTATTTAAAAGGTCTTGAGTGTTGTGATCTAAGCCAGATCTGCATTAATGGGTACCTCAGGCCCAGTAACACTGTAGTTCCTGCAGACTCATAGAGGTACCGCTTTGATGGTCTTGGATAAGATCTGGAAGAATTATCTGAGTACCAGGCAGAGACTCTTGTTCTTTTCCCTTATTTTCTCTCAGATGGAGTCTCTCTGTGCTGAGACATTTGGAGCTGCAGGTGGGATGATGCAATACCCTATGGCCACCACCACTGGGACTGTGCAGGGACTCGACTCGCTCAAGGTTCACTGTAACCACTCCCAGGCTACTGCCTATGTTCACTCAAGGCCCTAGAGCTCTACAATCAGCAGGGGGCAAAGCTAGTCAGGCTTGAGCCCTTCCGTTCAGGGTGGTGAGTTCCCCCAGGGTCCAAGTAGATCCAGAGATGCCATGTGAGAGCCAGGGACTGGAGTAAAACAACCTTAGAAATCTGCCCAGTGTTCTATTCTACTGTGGTTGAGCTGGCCCTCAAACCACAAGACAGTCCTTCCTACTCTTTCCTCCCCTTTTCACAGGCAGAAGAGCCTTACCCTGTGGCCACCACTACCACAGGTTCATGGAACGTACTGCCAGGCTACCACTGATATTCACTCAAGGCCCAAAGGCTCTTCGGTCAGTTTGTGGTGAATGTTGCCAGGCCTGGGACTCGTTCTTCAGGGAGGCAGGCTCCCCTGTGGTCCAGGGCTGGTAAAATGAACTCTATTTTGAGAGCTGCACAGGAACCAGAATGCCCATTCTTTGCGATTTTGTTCAGACTTCTAGAAGGTGACTGCAGAACATGAAAAGCACCAAATGAAAACAAGGGAGCATAAAAAACAAGCTGGAGGATGGTTTTTACGACAAGGAGAAAACACTCTGAATCTCAAATATGTTAAAATATTTTCTGAAGTAGTTTTAGAATCACTGTTTATTAAATAAGTGAATTAATATCATGGTGTTTGAGTTCTAGGGGATATAAAGAGGAATGCAACCAGGTTCCTGGCTTTAGAGACCTCCCAGGCTAAAGAATGACATGCAGCTCTATAATTTAAGGAACACTGTTATAATACTGATACAATACAAAGTACTATGAAAATTTAGGGAAGGAGAGAAAATGCATATTAGGGCATCAGAAGGAGGAAAGGGCCTTTTAACATCTGCTCCTAAAACAAAGTAGGATTATCAGCAGATCTGGCTGGAGAGGGCAGAGAGACACTCCCTCTAACCAGTGCTTCCCCACTTATTTGCTCATAGTAAGGAAAGACTGACCATATTGAGAAGTCCTTGAAGGTTTTCAGAGCAGAGTTATGTCATGATGCTAGCTGTGCTTTAGGAAGAGGCTTGGGATGCTAGAGTGGTAAGTGAATTTGGCAAAGAGGGGGTTTAAAAAAAATTTAGGAGACTTGCAATAGTTTAGGAGAGAGATTATGGGGACTATAATTTGAGCAATGAAAGCAGAAGGAGTCAAGTATTAAAGGTAGGGCTTGAGGGCTGAGACACACATGATGGGACTGTTGGATAGATTAAATAAAGAGAAGACTGAGGCAAATAAATCTGCCTGAAAAGATTCTTCTAACAATAAACTCACAATGATTAGGCATACACTGATGCTTGGCACTAGATAAAGCACTTGGTATGTATTACCTAGGAGGCAGGATTTTATCCCCATCTCATGGATGAGGTAGCAGAGGTTCAGCAGTTAGTAACTTGCTGTGGTGTTAACCTGTAAGTAGAAGAGTCAAGACTTGAACCCAGCTCTCTGTTACAGATCCTATGCATTCTTAACCATGCTACAGAGGGGTCTCTGCGGGTGGTGGGCATCTGTCTTATCACTCCCCGAAAGTTTAGGATGATAAAATGGGCATGTAAAGAAGGTAAGTGCCCAGAGTCATTTCCTGCCATTAAAGGGTGCTCAAACTCTAGAAGAGTGAGGTTGGGAAGGCTAAAAGTAGCCAGGGTAAGGCTTAGAGCAGCAGTTCTCAAATTGTGGTCTCTGCATCAGCACATCAGCATCACCTGGGTACTTGTTAGAAATGGAGATTCCAGGGCCTGCTTCAGACCTGCTGAATCGGAAACTGTGAGCTCTGTAATGTGTGATTTAACAAGCCCTCCAGGTGATACTGATGCCCAATAATGTTTAAGAACCACTATCTTGGGAGAATGGCTTTCCTTTCCCGCCCTACTCCAGGCCCAGATGCAAACATGTGAGCAATGATTGCTGCTGTACAGGCCCAGGAACAGACCAAGGGGCTGTGGTGTGGCCTGGGCCCAGCTTGGCAACAGTTAGAGTAGCAGGCCTTGGCTTTAAAGGGCAGGGATGGATGGCCTGCCTCCCATGGCTGTGACTGCCTCACTTGTTTGTGGAAGGTCTTGTTCTTTTTTTCCATGCATAGGGTCTGATTTATTTCCCCTTGCTGGCGGCTCTGTGGGTCCTGCATGTGCCTTTCCTGTTTAATGCTCCCCTCTACTCCACCAGGTGAAGTGTTTGCAAGACTAGTTAATCAGCCAGAAGGTGCAGTGTGACTATGAGCCGAAGAAGAAGGACAGGGAGCTGCAGAAGCTCGAGGAGTGGGGGCAGCAAATGCGGGAAACAGCAGATGATGCAGGAGTTGCCAGGGAAGTGAGTATCAGGAGGGTTGAGGGAGGCTTTTCCAGGAGCAAGCGCCTCACCATTCATCTTCCCTCTCCTCTTTTCCCACCTACAGGCTGACATTCTCAACAACCTGAAGTGTCACGTAGGAGCCAGCCCACAGGTAAAATTGGCAAAACTCAAAGCAGGTAATATGGGGATGCTCGTGTGTAGGAAGGAGAGAGACCAGAGAGTAAAAGCATGGAAAAACGGAGTTAGCATGCTTGGGTTAGTTTTTTAACTATTTTCTTCTCTCACCTGTCTTCCATTTGGTAGAAAAGAAGTGAGTTGTTCTAGACAGTGGTGAGAAACTTTGAGAAGCAGATAGCAGCAGCTTCCAAGGAAAATGAGGAACTCAAGAAGTTGTTGATTATGCTAAACAGCTAAACAGGGTTGCAGCTGAACTCTTGAGCCGCCCTTCAACAGACCTACTGTGAATTGTTATGTGGTTGAAACAGGATTAAACCTCAGGCCAGGCTCCTGCCACACAAACAGGTCTTTTTCAACTCTTCATGAGAGTAGCTGGTGATGTTTTCTTTTCTCCAGGAACTTACCCTGCTTAGCAGGAGACAGCTAGGTAACAATCTACATTCTAAAGGTTGTCTACTTCGGTCCTCCAAAACTGCAGGCTTGATGAATTTTCTTTATTGAGAGCAGGCCCAATTTTCCCTCCTCTTTTACCAACCAGAGAGCCCAGGGGGCCAAATCTGTGGACTGTGGTGTCTTGTGGAAGCACTAGAGTTGCCTCAAGAAGGAAATAGGAGTACTTGGAGACTCAGACGGTTCCCTGTGTGGGTAAGAGCTGGGACCAGTGCCTTTCTTACAAAACACATAGCCCTGGGGCCTGGAGGCTTGAAACCCCCCTCATATGAACTCTACATCCTCACATGAACTCCCACTGGCCTTTCCTAGGCCAGGCTACAGACACCAGCATCAGCATCAAGGACCATGACCATGACAAGGAGCTGGTCCAGCTGCAGCAGGAGATACAGAAGGTTGGGACTTCATTGCCTGGCAACAGTGGTGCTTCCAGGTGAGAGATATGAAGGTGCTTCTCTATGCCCAGGGTGTAAGGCCGGGACTGCAGTCACTGGGGACTGCTTTGTGCAGAAGCAGCTTAGCTCTGGAGGGATGCTGCCAGCCCACCTCCAAGGTTCCTACTTCCTGGAGGAAGAGCAGAGGCTGCAGGAGGCCCCAACCCCTTTTGCCTAGGGGCAAACACACTGTAAAGCAGAGAGAGCCCCTTATTGCAGCTGCTATCCTTCTGGGCCAGGAGACAAGTATAGAGGGGCTCACAACATGGTCTCTGGGATTCAGATGCCCCCAGCTCCTCTGTGGCTCTTTTGATGTCTCCTCATTGTCCACACTGAGCTGGAGTGGGATCTCTCTGGAGGGAGCAGCTACTGGGATTCTCTTTCCACAATTCTTCCCAAAGATTTTACATCCCTATCTTGATGCCCTAGGGCCCTGAAGTGAGTATTGTTAGACCCCTTCCCACTTTCTACCCTGGAAAACATCTCCAGACATTGGATATTTTTGTCTTCTGGCTTCATCGTTTTGGCTGAAGCCAGCCCTCTTTTGATGTCTGTCTTGGTCCATCAATCTCTCTCAAAAGCTCTAGAAGGGGACCCTGACTTCATGCTCTGCTTCCTCTTCTATCTCTGGGCTCTGCCAAAGCTCAGGCAGGTGCCCTTGTGTCTCAGATGTTACCATGTTGGAGGTAGCTCTGATCCCAGCCTAGCACCAAGAGTTGCCTAGGAATTGCAGTCCTTGGGTCTTAGACCTTCTTGCAAGCTTACCTAAAATCCCGGAGCACTTTGGCCCACAGTGGTGAGGCTTGCCAAATAACTCAAGTTTTAACTGTTAGTATAGGCAATTCCCCTCTGGCTCGGTATGATCCACATGCTCCCTCCATGTGCAGACACTGGCTAAACCCAGCATGACTTTACTCTCCACTGTGATCATGCAGCATTGAGTTAAATGTAAAGTCACCCCGTTGCTGCACTGTCCCTCCTCAAAGTGCAAAGATTATCTCTCCATACTATAGAACTGCTGACAGGAAATGGGACATGTATGGCCTCAGGGACTCAAGACTGTCTCTCCTACCCTCTTCATAGGGCACTTCACGAATTTGTGCGTCATCCTTGCAGAAGAGCCATGCTAATCTCTGTGTCATTCTAATTTTAGTGTATGTGCTACGCTAATATGTATTAGCATTCATATTTATTATATTCCAGGTATATAATGTCACCAGGGCCAGACCTACATTGTTGGTAGGAATGTAGAATGCTTTTATACTCTAGGAGAGTGTACTTCCAGTAGGGACAAGTTTGCCACATAAATTATAAGCCAGATCAGAAAACATTTTACTGCAGGTTTTCCATTTGGTATGGCCAGGATTCTTAATAAGGTAGCATAGCCCTTGTATGTTCTGGTGATAGAATACCAAGTTGAATGGTACAAACCTCATCTCTACCCCTGGTCCCTTCTACTTTAGAGGGGTGTGTGTGTTTTGTTCTTGTTCTTTCCCATATTCCTTTACTACTCTTGGGGAAGGAGTATCATGGGTATGCTCCTGACTAGATCCTCCCAACTAATGTCATCTGCATTATTCCTAGGTGAAAATCCCCTCTGGCTTTTACTATGCCTTGTTGAGGAGGCATCCACATGGTGTGAATGATCTGATGTACTGATGTTTTATTATTTTTTAATTTATTTCTAGTGTGTCTTTCTGCATGGAAGAGCTGGAAAACAGAACACTAATTCCTTGAATCTCTAAGTTAGGGGACTAAATATGATTCATGTTCACCATTCAAATGCACTTGCATAAGATTTGAACGAAAGAAGTGAGGTACAGGTCATTCTTCTGGTTCTGCTGGCAAATGCTATCCTGAATACCCAATTTGGTGGTTGTTTCCTGATCATGGGGTGGTGGCTGTCAAGTTTTGCAGATAGGTTTCCGATTATAGAGCAGCAGTTTTATTCATAGCTCAGTGTGGTTTTCAGTCATATCTGAAAACTTAGTTTGGCATTTGTTTATTCAGCTTCCTAATGACTCTGGTAGTTATCTAATGTAAAAAAAAAGTTTTTGCTTACCTAGAGTAGATACATTATTTACCACTGGACTTCAACCAATGTGAACTTTGCAGAATTTTCTCTATTCTTATTTTTCCTCTGGGATTTGGCTTAGTTTCTAGGAAGGATTTTGGATATCTGCTACCATACCACCATCTTTTCTGGAAGTCTGTTTATAATAAATTTCAGGTAATGAAATTTCGGATATTTGTGTAAACAAAGCTTTGTTTTCCTTTCATTATTGTTTTGGGAGTTTGCTTTTAAGAAGATTGGTTTCTTGGAGATTTTATAGACACCCTACCATTTTCAAAGACTTGTTGGTAATATAAATTCCAATCATTTTACTATAAACCAGATACTAGCTTCTTTATGAATCATTTTCTATTGGTTTTTGTTGTTGTTGTTTGTTTGTTGTTTTATTGTTCTTTACCATCTTGCTCTCATAAAGCTCAGGGTAATGAGAGAGTCTGAAGTAAACAGACTGATAAAGCTGACATGTGCTTTCTCTGTGTTCCCTGTATGTGTATCTACCAGATCTTAACTGAGAATGTAAGAGAGGTGGGAGTAAAGGCTTCCTGTAGAATAACTAAGCTGATTGTTGAAGAAACTGTAGACTTTAGTGTTAAAAGAGGGAGTGACTGTGAGTGCTCTAGGTAGACAGAGCAATATTTGACAAGTGCAGTGACTTGGATGTGAGAATAATCATGGTGGCCTCTATAAACTGTCAGCAAGTATTGGAGCCAGAGCGAGTGTGATGGGCTAAGGAGGCCCAGTGAAAAAAGGATTAGTGCTTTCATGGTGGCCAAATGAGAAAAAGATTAGGGCATTTTACTTCTATAATCCTAATAGATCCCACAGTCCCACGTAGCCCAGTTTCTTTATGGGGGGGGCCTCTAAAAAAGCCCAGTCTAAGTAATCAAAAAATCATCAAGCAACTCTAATCTTAAAAATTGTACTTCTCAAAAAATATAAAAATCCTCACTTTCCTCTATCCAATTTCTATTTTCTATTCCTCCTATTTTCTAACACCTAAAAACTACCTCTGTAAATTCTTAATCCTTCAGTATTTTCGCGACATTCAGCTCTCATCTTTTCCCTTCTCCCTCTCTTTCCTTTTCACTTATCTCTTTATTAAGTTTACTTAATGTCTCCAAGTCTTTCTCATTCTCTGGTCTTTTCTTTGTCTAACCTCCTGATGACTACATCCTAAAAGATCCAGAATAGGTCTAGAGATGGAACTTTCTTGAGACAGCAGGAAAGAAAGACAGGAGCTTTGTGTACTTTTATAAACGCAGTGGTAAATTACACTTATAAACTTGGACTTAATTCTGGATCTAGTCGCAGTCACGGGAGGATTTTTAGCCAGGGAGTGATACAGTAAGATTTGCGTGTTAGAATGTTTCCTTTTATAGAATTGCAGAGAATAAACAAATAATTACTTCAGTTACACAAACATAATAGTGCTGAGCATTTATTTATTAAATTTATGTATATAATGACTATCATAGGCAATAAGGGAACTTATAATTACAAGTAACTTTAAACAACTGAGCTAAATGTAAACAGAAAATCAAGGCCAAAGAAAATATGTCTGCAAAAATGAGTGTTGTTATAGTTTCTTTTATTCAGCTCCAAACTTACCTCAGAGTTGCTGTTGGAGCAGTGAGTAAACCAGCTTACTAATTTATAGCAATTGTGGTAGTCGACTTCAAAAGTGATTTCTTGGGAGTGTGTTTTGAGAAGTTGAGGACCAAACAATAAAATGTAAATTTAATGTTAGAGACTATAAGGACTGAGTATACTGCTTTCTAGAATGTAAGAGTCAGGAACGTGAATAAATAGATTGCTAGAACATAAATGGTTAATATGTCTGTCAACTGTTGTCAGTTATTTTTCTCAGATTTGATAGGTGCTATGTTAATACTATTTTGGTCTGGAAGAATTTTAAAGCAGATGTGTTTTATTCATTCTTGACATAGAAAAACAAATTTCTGTAGGGCGCCTGGGAAAGTCTGATTCTAAGTATCATGCTGTCTGGACATGCCTATTCCATAATATGCATTCTCACATAACCGGTTTGTGATGTGGTATGATCTTATGGTGACTAATTGAATTTTGAGAAAGTTTGCCAATGACAATGATTTTATGGCATGTTGACCCTTTCTTTTCTGTAGGAGATTGAGACATCTTGATGCTCCTTCTGATTTGTAATGGGGGACTTAGTAAGATACAACATAAAGACATCATCTAAGGGATGGCCCCTAGCCAACAGGTTTTGTGTGCATTAATTATGACATGTAGGAAGTATCTGTATATAGTCAGCACATAGGAAATATTTCTCTTTATTTTCTCTGCAGGAGAATAGCTATCAGGCACCAGATGATGTTCGTGTTGTCATCAGGTGTGATTGCCAGGATGAACATAAAAAAACAAACATATCTAACCCACCAGTGGAGCTGCTTTTCCACCTTCCTTTCCCATTGGGTGTGGCTTTGTGATGCTACTAAGATCAAGAGAGAGGAAAAGAGAGTTTGGCGGTTTGGAAGAGCTGCATGGAAGATGTGATACTTGAAAGAAAGATAGCTAGGTTTAGTGAAGTAAGACAATAATCAGGTCAAATAGAGAAACAGGAACAAAAGTTGAGCTGTATGATGATGAGATGCCTGTGAGCAGAGGGAGTTCATTCTCAGTGAGGACAAGAAGATGCTCAACTAAATTAATCTAACTAGCTCTTTATTTAAAAGTCACTGGGGATTCACAGTCTACATAGTATCAAGTAAAGGATGGCCAGTTTAGCTTGTGAATGATGGCAAAATTAAGTGATTCAGAAAACAGTGACCTGTTTCACATTTATTCATTAGGTTGAATTTTGTGTTCTATTTTTATATTCAAACTCTATACCAGTTCCCCTTCTCACTGTACTAAAATGCTGAAATGTATTTATTTTTATCTATAGGTTAACATTCAGCATCAACTAATCAGGAATTTCTTCAATTTTATACGTGAAGGGTATGTTTACAAGTATAAAAAAATAAATTTAAAAATTTTTGATATAAGAAAATATCTTGCTGTTTTGGGTCCTTTCTTTTGAGAATGGGAGTATTCTAAAAACAATTTTACCTGTACCTTAGAATTGCAAATGGAAATCCTTGATATTTAAATTTAAGTGTCTTTTTAATGCTTAATATGAATTCTACATCATCAGATATGTGGCAGCAAAGTTATAATTTTTCTGAAAAATTATATTTTTTAGCAAGAATATTTGCATGCAAAGCATCTTATTTTTTTCTGAATATCAGGCTTTTCCCAGAAACCATTAATTTTCTTTCAGTATTTTAAGTCAGTATTTTTCTATTTTCTACAGTCTGTTGATAGTGGTGGGAAACTTGAAACACTGTTTAGCCATGTAGATCTTGAAATCAGTATGTCTTTCTCAATGGCAGAGAGCATTTGAACTGGGAATTAGTGTTGATTCAGGATAGAAATACTGAAGCAACATTTTGCTCTGCGATGACATAAAAATTTCAAAATGAAAATTATAAGGAGGTTGCCAAAAAAAAAAAAAGATGTCTTGAAGTTCAAACCCTCCAGAAAAATTTACTAAAACTAGCAGTGATTTTCCACAGGTCTAGTAATGACTCTGAGTTAAGCTTTTAACTAAAAAAAAAAAAAAAAAAAAAAAAAAAAAAAGCATTGCTGTTTTTTGTTTTTTGTTTTTTAAATTTCACTGGCAAAGTTAAACAAAATCAACTATAAAGGAAACCAAATGAAAAAAATTAAACAATATTTTAAAGTTCTACAGATGATCCTAACGTCCTGCCATGGTTGAGAAATCTTGCTTTGTTCTTGATGGATGACTTTTTCCTTGGCTCACTTAGCCTCAATTTCTGAAAGTAAAACATTTCTTAATTTCGTATTAAGTCAATAGTACATATGGGGCAATAGCTCTGTGTTAAAAACTCTTCACCTAGGAAACAGGCATTCTTAGGTACTATGACCTTGATTGTTCTATTCTTCTCTAGCAATTTTCTGTGATTTACCCCACCCCTTTTGTAAATCATCCTCTCTTCTTCCTACTACTATCTCTTCCTAAATCTCTTGACTCTGTAACTTTATCATTCTGCAGCTATTATTTTTCTCACCTGAAATTGCTACTTCCCCTTTTTCTTACCGTACTTTACTTTTGGCCTCTCTTTCTACTTGGATAGTTGGTTAAGCAACCCTGTTCCCCCATGATTTCACAGGCTGGTTCTGCCTATTCATTCAAACAATTTGAGATGCTGTCTGAGGTCATGAAAGCTTGGCCCTGCTTGGAGAAACTTCCATTCTTCTATTCATCTGGCCAAATTCCTTTCTACATGTGAAATGCAGTATGAATTTTGCCTCCTGATGAAAAGTAGAAAAAGGTACCCATGGATCCTGAAGTTTTGGCATGCTAAAAACACCAGTTACTCACCTTCAGGCAAATGAAGACCAACCCATCAAGGACACATTTCTAGAGATTATGGCTTTGTTTTGAAACCTTTTCAGTGATATCTCCTGATGATTTTAGAAGTTTTCTGTGAAGACAAAAGAGTCATTTTGTAAATATCCCTTCGATATTTAAATAATCATATGAACTTCCTGTACAACTGTATTACATTTTCTTCAGTGAATTTTGCGTAGGGTTTGGTTCTATGGGCTTTTCTTTTGCCATATCTAAGCCACTCTGACAATGAGTTGAACGGTACTAACATCATGTAAAAACAAACAAAATCAATTTATAAGCATAGGGCTGGGCCATTGGCTTAGCTATAGTACCTGTAAGAAGGTCTTGAGGTTAATAGAGAACATCAGCAATCAGTGAAGAATAGGACTTGGATATGAAAAAACACAATAGAAAATCAGCATTTATAAAGATAAAATATCAAAAATGAAGCGACAATTGTTCTTTTCTCCTTAGTGTTGGTTGAACTTCATTTAAAGTATCATTTTTACTCTGCAGAGCATGAGTTTAGAAAAAGACATAGACATCTCAGGAATTCAGTGGGGAGAAACCAGGAGGGTAAGGAGATCTGCGTGAGGAATAGTTAAATGAATGAGGCATTGGCCTGCAAGAGTGAATTAACTAGAGTATCCAGTCACCATTTTCAAATATTTGAGAGGCTGTTATGTGGAAGGTGCACACAACTTGTTCTGTAAATACTAATGAGGGAGAGGATTGGGACATAGGGTATGTTTATAAGGATGGAGAAACTCCCAAATTCATGATACAAAATTTTTGATTTTTGAGAAAACTTATTTCTGATATTCTAGGATTTATAACATGTTCCTACATGTTAATTTCTCAGTGGGTTGTCTCTTCCATTTAATTTATAATTTAATAAGTTGACTTAATTTATTCTATAGAACAAGTTCTATAATCTTATATTATTGAAATTTTCTTGGACTTAGTTTCCTCATCTTATTACATACTATTCCCTATGTAAATGTAATCATTGTCCAGCAGAACATAAAAAAAAGTGTTGAATATTTTACATGTACTGAGTTTAAGGGGGGAAAAAGAATGATTTTAACTAAGGTAAGTTGTTTAGGGAAGGCAGGAGAATGACTAGGTTCATTGATTTTCCAATATCATAACTTTATCTGTACATATGATAATTTTATTGGATTATGTCTACCCAAATTCACAGCTGAGAAAATATTTCAGATTAATATCAGATATTATTCAGGGCAATTGGACAGAAGCACACTTATTCATCTTGATGGAAAAAATGAATTTAAGGGGGCCTCTTCTCTTGGAAGTTTATTCGTTTTCTATCCAGTGTGAATTAATCAGAATAAAACTTTTAAAAAATCTGAAAAAAATGTTTAAACTCTTTTTAAATATATATTTGATTTTTAAAATTTGCAAATGGGTAAATATTTTTAATTTTTAATTTTTTTTTTTTTTTTGAGACGGAGTTTCCCTCTTTTGCCCAGGCTGGAGTGCAGTGGCAGGATTTTGGCTCACTGCAACCTCTGCCCCCCAGGTTCAAGTGATTCTCCTACCTCAGCCTCCTGAGTAGCTGGGATTATAGGCACCTGCCACCACGCCCAGCTAATTTTTATATCTTTAGTAGAGACGAGGTTTTTGCCATGTTGCCCAGGCTGGTCTCAGACTCCTGACCTCAGGTGATCCACCTGCCTCGGCCTTCCAAAGTGCTAGGATTACAGGTGTGAGCAACCTCACCTGGCCTATTTTTATTTATTTTTTTAACATTTATTTTAAGTTCAGGGGTACATGTGCAGGTTTGTTACCTAGGTAAACTTGTACTTTTTAACTTTGAGGAACCGTTTTCCATAATGGCTATACTAATTTACATTCCCACCAACAGTGTACAAAGTTTCCTCTTCCACTGACATCCTGCGTGGTCTGTGTTCTTTGAATGGAGACCAGGGACCAGGAACTAGTCTGCAGTGAGCAGGGTGTGAGGCCAAGGCACAAATCACGTGTGTGTTTATATCTGTATAACAAGAAAATGTGCCGCAGGCAGTTTTAACTTGTCTAGTCCCTTTCTTTACTCTTGAAAAACCAGTCCTAGAGTACTTTGGGGAAGAAGCCCAGAGTGGCAATTAATGTTATTCACCCTCCTCCCACTCTGTAAATATGGGCTTTTCCCATGGTTAAGCAGAGGCTGTTTATTAATTTTTTCCTGTACTTTCTCCCTCAGTGATCTCCTGCACTCGTGTGTCCCCATGAATGTGCCCAGCTGTGTGTTAGTCCAGTAATTGCTGTGCTTTAAAGCATCTTTTCTTCTCCCCCTTGAATTAAATCTGTCAATTGTGAACCAGTAAACCAGTTTTCTCAAGAATTTTCAGTGGTTTCTTATAAAATTAGGCCACCAGTACTTTCACTCTTTGTCAATCAAAAGGAGGAAATTCAAGCGAAGTCAAGGTGCATATGTTAGTGAAAACTGAACTCCGGATTGGATGTCAGGTTCTTGTTTCAGCTCTGCCTTTAACAAGCTGGGTGGTGTTGTGCAACTTAGTTTCCTTATTACTAGCATGGAGGGGTGGGACTAGAAGACTTCTAGTTTCCTCCCAGCTCAATGAAAGCAAAGAATGCTTTCTTCTTAAGTTTTATTAGTGTTTCTCAGTATTTCTTTAACCTTCCGTGGATGAACTGCCTGATACACTGGAAGTGCACAAATAGATTTAAAAGTTTCACTTATGAGGTAGGTAATTAGGTTTTATCCAGTTGCTTACAGCATGCTAGGTATTGAGGGGAAAGTTAACTAGTTTTATCAGCCCCTGGTTTGAGTAAGTAGTAGTCAGTGTTTTGAGGAGTTGGGACTAGAAGAAAGAAAGGAGATTTGTTAAAAAATAAAGGTGGGCTGCTGTGTACCTAAGCAAGGACATCAACCTTCAGTTATCAAACAATAATAATTCACAGAATGGTTTTCAGAAAATCTAAACATAGCAATTAAAAATTTCAAGCTGAGATTTGAAGAAATCTGGAAGTTTATCCTTCTGTCTCAGGAAGATTTTATATTTCTGTTTTAGCATTTGAAACTCCAGCTCCTGCCGAATGCTTCTGGTTTCAGAGAGCTCACAATATTATAAGTCCAACTGTTTTGTTTCCAGTGTTGATACACTTTACATGGGTACTGTGTTTTCCAGAGAGTGGAAAAGCACTTTGATTATATACAATACTCATGTGTGTATGATGGGAAAAGATAGTCACTCTATTTTCTTTTTTAGGGGAAGATTAACATTCAACTAAAGGATACTCTGAATGATCATTCTACTTGTGCATCTGACAGGTTAGAAACAGACTGCGAGATTACAATATATTACTACTAATTATTTCTCATATTTTCAACCTTGATATGAGCTATTTTATGATAAGCCCTTGTCTCCAGGAACCTGGAAGTTTCAAGAGCTCTAAAACAATCATTCATAGCAGACTTCTTTACCGTGAGGCTATTCCTGTGTTCATGTTAAGATCACATCATTCTGAGGAACATGGCTCAAAAGAATTAATTTCAAGAATAAGTAACATTGTCTAACATTCTGGCCGTAGAAGTGTTTTCTCTTCCTATATCATGTTTTCCACTTGCGAGGAAAATTTTTAATGAAAAACACTTTGGCAGCAAAAAGAACAAAGCTGGAGGCATTGTACTACTTGCCTTCAAAATAGTATAGTAATCAAAACAGCATGATACTGGCATAAAAACAGACACATAAACCAATGGAACAGAGTAGAGAGCCCAGAAATAAATCCACATATATATGGCCGTTTGATTTTTGACAAAGATGCCAAGAAAACACAGTGGGAAAAGGTCAGTCTCTTCAATAGATAGTGTTGACAAAACTGTGTATCTACGTGCAGAATAAAAATGGTCCCTTTTCTCACCATATACAAAAGTCAACTCAAAATGGATTAAAGATTTAGATGTAAGATATGAACATGTAATAATACTAGCAGAAAACATAGGGGAAAACTCTATGACATTGGCCTGGGTAATGATTTTTTTAATATGACCCAAAAGCATAGGCAAGGAAAGCAATAATAGACAAATGGGATTATACCAAACTAAAAAGCTTCTGCATAGCTAAGGAAACAACAGAGGGAAGAGACAATCAGTGAAATAGGAGAAAATATTTGCAAGTAATACATTTTATAAGGGATTAATATCCAGAATATGTAAGAAACTCAACACAAAAAGCATTAAAAAATTGCCTAAAAACAAATAACCTAATTAATAAGTAGAGGACCTAAACAGACACTTCTCAAGAGAAGACATACAGATGGCCAAAAGGTATATGAAAAATGTTCAGTATCACTTATCATCAGGGAAATGCAAATTAAAACCACAATGAGATATCACCTCACACCTGCTAGAGTGGCTATTACCAAAAAGACAAAAGATAGTTGTTGGTGAAGATATGGAGAGAAAGGAAACTTTGTACATTGTTGGTGGGAAAGTAAATTAGTATAGCCATTATGGAAAACAGTATGGAGGTTCCTCAAAGTTTAAAAATAGGGGAGGAGGTTTAAAATGGCTGACTAGAAGGATTTCATGCCTGCCTCCTCTACTTAGAAGAACCAGAATAGTGCATAGACGGTCATAATTTGAATATACTATCCAAGAGAGAATGCTGGCATGCAACAGGGAAAGGACAGAAAACATGAAAAGCAGGAAAGAGGAAGGAAAAGTGGCAGCCTGCCTGGCTGGCATTGGCTGGGAGCCAGAAGTGACTTCACAACCTGGGGAATGGGTGAGTGAGAGATTTTCAGTGGCCTACATCCCCACCATGGAATCGTGCAGTTCTGGCCATGGGAGAACCCCTTGACCCACCCAAATCCTGGGACTAACATACGGAGCTTCTGGAAGATGATGGGACAGAACTGCTTCAGGGAGGGAGCTCGCACTGGGTCCCATACCCTTTCTGAGACCCAAGCTGCTACATTTAAGACTCCATTTCCAAACCTAGCAAACTGCATGCTCTCCTGGGGCTCAGTGGTACCAGGACTGAGGAATTATGGAAACTTGGGCTGTTACTGCTGGGACAGGAGAGCAAGCTGAGAGCCCTCCTGCAGTCAGCCAGGGCTAAGAAGCAAGTGAGGCATGAGCTGCAGTGGCCAATTTCAGCAAGCAAGTGATGCTGGGATCTGAGATGGAGATGCAAGTGGGGTGCAAGCTGCTGCTAGAACTTAGTCACAAGCTGGGTGGGTGCTCCTGCAGCCAAAGTGGGGTATGAGCTAGGTGTGCCAACTACTGCCACCAAGGCATGGGGGACAAGCCCTGCTGGGTCTGGGGTGTGAAAGGAATGTGGGTTCCCTACTTGCCAGACCAGTCTGTGGGCATTAAGGATGGCTTTACACTCTCCAAGGATAAGACCTAAGCACGGCTGCTATGTATGGCCCTTCACCCAAGCACTCTGCCTCGGACCTGAGGGTTGCCGTGTCTTAACCAACTGCAGCTGGTAGCTGTTCTCACAGCTGGCGGGCTTAAGCACAAGACCACTTGGCCCAGCTTTGCTCCTCCTCAAAGACAGAGCACATAGATCTTCAAATCAAATCAATTCACCACGACAGGCACCTGAGCACTCCTCCTGGGAGCCTGAGTTTGGGCCTAACCTCCTGGCTGCTAACATCTCAGCTGGCACTTTCCTGCAAGTGATAACTGTGGGCTTGGAGACTGGCCCACCCAGCCCATCACCACCACCATCAGTGTCAACACATACAACTTGGGATCTAGAGAATTGTCTCACCACTGCAACTGTTGTTGCCCATGCCATGCCAGCCTCCCAGGCATAAGAACCCACCTGCCCATCCCATCCACTGCTGCCATTTCCAGTATCTGAGCATGCCATTAGGGGTCCAAGAATCAGCTTGCCAGTAACTACCAGCATAGGTGCCAACTTATGCTGCCCTGGGGCATAAAGATAGGCATGCTCAGCTTATTGCTGCCACCAATTGGGGCTGAAGACTGAAGTACCCAGCATCCTAGTTCTCAGCACAACTTCACCACAGCCTCCAATAATAACCATACCTAACCTACCAAGGAAACAACATATATCAACAAGGCTGTTTCCAGCTAAAGAAATCATATAGAGACTACTGAGTACACCAAAATCAAAGCTTGAGTATCTGAGCCCTTCCCTAAAAGAGGATATTGAAAAATAAGAAAAAGTAACAGTTACACTAGATGTGCAGAAATCAATGTTAAAGACACAGAAAACATGAAAAAGCAAGAAAATGCGATGCCCCAAAGGAACAATAATTCTTTAGCAATACATCTTAATCAAAAAGTAGTTTTGGAAATCAAGACAAAGAATACAAATGATTGATTTTAAAGAAGCTCAGTGAGATACAAGAGAATTCTGAAAAACAATACAAAAAACAACCAGGAAAAAAATCAGGATATGAATGAGAAATTTACCAAAGAGATGAAAACCCACAAAAGTATAAAACTTACTAGTAAAGCAATTATTCAGAGGATGAAAAGAAAGCACTCAAATGGTACCACTGCAGAATTCTATCAAATGACAATAAGAGAAAAAGGAACAAAGAATATATAAAACAACCAGAAAATCATTAACAATATGACATGAACAAAGCCTCATATACCAATTATAACCTTGAACATAAATTATCCACTTAAGATATAGAATGGCTGAATGGACAAAAAATTCTAATTTTATGTTGTTTACAAAAAAATTCACCAGTAAAGGCATATATATTTGGCGAGTAAATGGACGGGAAAAGGTATTTCATGTAAATAGAAGTGAGCAGGAGTAGCTATACTTACACCAGATAAAACATACTTTAAGTCAAAAACAATAAAAGATAAAGAAGATCATTATATAATAAAGGGATCAATTCAGCAAGAGGGTATAATAATACTAAATATATATGCACCCCACCCTGGAACAACCTGATTCATAAGGCAAATATTACTAGATTTAAAGAGAGTTAGATTGTAATACAGTAGTAGGAGACTTCAACACCCATCTGTCAACACTAGACAGATCATTGAAACAGGAAATTAAGAAACATTGGATTTAAACTGAACTTCAAACCAAATGGGTCTAATGTATAACAAATATTCTATTCAACAACTATAGAAATACCTTCTTCACATCAGCACATGGAACATTCTTCAGGATAGATCACATATAAGACTATAAAACAAGTCTCCACAAACACAAAAATTTAAATTATATCAAGTATTTTTTCAGATTACAATGGAATAAAACTAGAAATCAATACCAAGAGGAACTTTGGAAATTATACAAATACATGGAAATTAGCAAACATGCTCCTAAGTGAACTTGGGTCAATGAAGAAATTAAGATGGAAATAAAAAAGTTCCTTGCAACAAATGAAAGTGGAAACACAACATATCAAAACCCATGGGGGGGATTGTTCCAAGATGGCCGAAGAGGAACAGCCCCAGTCTAAAGCTCCCACTGTGAGTGATGTAGAAGACAGGTGATTTCTGCATTTCCAACTGAGGTACTGGGTTCATCTCATTGGGACTGGTTGGACAGTGGGTGCAGCCCACAGAGTGTGAGCTGAAGCAGGGTGGGGCATCACCTCACCCGGGAAGTGCAAGGGTTCAGGGAATTCCCTTTCCTAGCCAAGGGAAGCTGTGACAGACAGTACCTGGAAAATCAGGACACTCCCACCCTAATACTGTTCTTTTCCAACACTCTTAGCAAACGGTACACCAGGAGATTATATCCTGTGCCTGGCTCGGTGGGTCCCACACCCATGGAGCCTTGCTCACTGCTAGCACAGCAGTCTGAGATCCAACTGCAAGGTGACAGTGAGGCTAGGGGAGGGGCGTCCACCATTGCTGAGGCTTGACTAGGTAAACAAAGCAGCTGGGAACAAGGCCTGCATGCCCCTGTAGACTCCACCTCTGAGGGCAGGGCCTAGCTGAACAAAAGGCAGTAAAAACTTCTACAGACTTAAACGTCCCTGTCTGACAGCTTTGAAGAGAGCATTGGTTCTCCCAGCATGGAGTTTGAGATCTGAGAATGGACACACTGCCTCCTCAAGTAGTCCCTGACCCTTGAGTAACCTCACTGGGAGACAACTCCCAGTAGGGGCCAACTGACCCCTCATACAGCCAGATGCCCCTCTGAGACAAAGCTTCCAGAGGAAGGATCAGGCATCAACATTTGCTGTTCTGCAATATTTGCTGTTCTGCAGCCTCCGCTGGTGATACCCAGGCAAACAGGGTCTGGAGTGGACGTCCAGCAAACTCCAACAGACCTGCAGCTGAGGGTCCTGATTGTTAGAAGGAAAACTAACAGAAAGGAATAGCATCAACATCAACAAAAAGGACATCCACACCAAAACCCCATCTGTAGGTCACCAACATCAAAGACCAAAGGTAGATAAAACCACAAAGATGGGGAGAAACCAGAGAAGAAAAGCTGAAAATTCTAAAAACCAGAGTACCTCTTCTCCTCCAAAGGATTGCAGCTCCTTGCCAGCAACGGAACAAAGTTGGATGGAGAATGACTTTGATGGGTTGACAGAAGTAGGCTTCAGAAGATCGGTAATAACAAACTTCTCTGAGCTAAAGGAGGATGTTTGAACCCATCGTAAGGAAGCTAAAAACCTTGGAAAAAGATTGGACGAATGGCTAACTAGAATAAACAGCGTAGAAAAGACCTTAAATGACCTGATGGAACTGAAAACCATGGCATGAGAACTATGTGACATGTGCACAAGCTCCAGTAGCTGATTTGATCAAGTGGAAGAAAGGGTATCAGTGATTGAAGATCAAATGAATGAAATGAAGCAAGAAGAGAAGTTTAGAGAAAAAAGAGTAAAAAGAAATGAACAAAGCCTCCAAGAAATATGGGACTATGTGAAAAGACCAAATCTATGTTAGATTGGTGTACCTGAAAGTGATGGGGAGAATGGAACCAAGTTGGAAAACACTCTTCAGGATATTATCCAGGAGAACATCCCCAACCTAGTAAGGCCTAGAGCTTGCCCAGAGCTTAAAGTATAATAAAATAATAATAATAAAAAAAACAACAAACAAAATAAACTAAAACCCATGGGATACAGCAAAAACAGTGCTAAGAGGGAAATTCATAGCAATAAAGGCCTACATCAAAAAGATTAGCAATTAACAACCTAACAATGTACTTCAAGCTACTAGAAAATCAAGAACAAATCAAACTCCAAATTAGCAGAAGAAATAATAAAAATCAGAGGAGTTCTAAATGAAATAGACTTAAAAAATGCAAAGGATCAACAAAACAAAAAATTGGTTCTTTAAAAAGGTAAACAAAATTGATTAATAAATACCTATACTAACCAAGAAGAGAGGAGACCCAAAAATTAAATCAGAGAAGAAAAAGGAGACATTACAACCAATACTATAGAAATTAAAAAAAAAATCAACAGATAATTATGAACAATTATATGCTAACAAACTGGAAAACCTAGAGGAAATAGATACATTCCTGGAAACATAGAATCTACCAAGACTGAATAAGAAAGAAATAGAAAAATGAGTAGCAATATTGAATCAGTAATAAAAAGTCTCCCAACAAAGAAAAGCCCAGGACCAGATGGAGTCACAGCTAAATTCTACCAAATTTACACAGAATAACTAATACCAATCCTGAAATTATTCCAAAAATATTGAAAATGAGGGAATTCTTTATAACTCATTCCATGAGACCAGCATTATCTGATAACCAAAGCCAGACGAAGATACACAGAAAAAAAAAAAACCCAAAATAAAAAAAAAGCCCACTACCAACCAATATTCCTAATGAACCTAGATGCAAAAATCTTCATCAAAATGCTAGCAAACAAAATCCAACAGCATATAAAAAAGATAATATGCCATGGTCAAGTGGAATTTATACCAGGGATGCAAGGATGGTTCAACATATGCAAATCAAAAAATGTGATAAAACAGAATGAAACAAATACTGTATGATCATCTCAACAGAGGCAGAGCATTTGATAAAATTTAACATCTTTTCATGTAAAACCTCTCAACAAACTGGAAGGAACTTTACTCCAAATGAAAAAGGCCACGTACAACACATCTTCCACTAACATAACACTGAATGAGAAAAAGGCGAAAGCCTTTCCTCTTAGAACTGGAACAAGATAAGGATGCATACTTTAACCACTCCTATTCAACATGGTACTGGAAGTTTTAGGCTGAGCAATCAGTTAAGGAAAAGAACCAAAAGGTATCAAAATGGAAAAAGAGAAAGTCAAATTCTCCCTCTTTGCTGATAATATGATCATATATCTAGAAAAATCTAAAGACCACCAAAAAACTTTCAGATTTGATAAATGAGTTTAGTGAGCTTGCAAGATACAAAATTAATATATAAAAAACAGTAGAATTTCTATGCACAAGTGGTGATCTAGTTAAGAAAGGTATCAAGAAAACAATTTCATTTAAGACAGCTACAAAAAATAAAATACCTAGTATAAATTTAACCAAGGAGGTAAAACTTTCTACAAGAAAAACTACAAAAATCACTATTAGAAGAAGTTGAAATATACATCAACAAACGGGAAAACATCTTATGTTTGTGGATCTGAGGAATCAATATTGTTAAAATAACCATATTGCCAAAAGCAATCTACAGATTCAATGCTATTCCAATCAAACTAGACATGTTATTCTTCACAACATTGAAAAAACAATCCTAAAATTCTTATGAAACCACAATAAAGCCCACATAGCCAAAGCAATCCTAAGCAATAAGAATGAAGTTGGAGGTATCACATTATCTGACTTCAAAATATGTTGCAAGACTATAGTAACCAAAAACATATGCTACTGGTATAAAAATAGACATATAGACCAATGGAACAGAATAGAACACCCAGAAATAAACCCACATATTTACAGCCAATTGATCTTTGACAAAGCCTACGAGAACTTATGTTGGGGAAAAGCACCCTCTTCAATAAATGGTGTTGGGAAAATTTAATACTTACATGCCAAAAGATGAAACTGTACACCTGTCTCTCACCATATACAAAAGTACAACTCAAAATGGATTAAAGCCTTAAATATAAGACCCCAAACTAAAAAAAATGCTAGAAGATAACCTGGGGAAAACACTCCTGGACATTGGTCTAGGCAAAAAATTTAAGTCCTCAAAAGCACAGATAACACCACCAAAAATAGACAAATGGGACTATGTTAAACTCCTCTGCCTAGCAAAGGAAAACAATCAGCAGAGTGAAGAGCCAACCTGTTGTATGGGAGAAAATATTTCCAAACTATTCACGTGATAGACAACTAATACCCAGAATGTGGAAGGAGCTCAAACAACAGGATTTAAAACAAATACTCCAAATAAAAAGGCAAAAGTCATTAATACAAATTTCTTAAAATAAGACACACAAATGGCCAATAGGTTTATGAAAACATGCTGAACATCATGAATCATCAAAGAAATGCAAATCAAATCCACAATGAGATATTATCTTATGCCAATCAGAATGGCTATTATGAAAAAGTCAAAATTTAACACATGTTTGCAAAGATACAAAGAAAAGGTAACTCTTATATACTGTGAGAATATAAACTAGTACAGCTGCAATGAAAAACAGTATGCAGATTTCCCAAAAACTAAAAATAGAACTACTGTTCAATTCAGTAATTCTACTACTGAGTATTTACCTAAAGAAAAAGAAATCAGTACATGAAAGAGATACCTGCACTGAATCTTTCTTGCAGCACTATTCACAATAGCAAAGAGATGAAACCAACCTAAATGTCCATTAGTGGATGAATGGCTACAGAAAATGTGGTATATATATATACACACATGTATATATATATATATATATATATATATATATATATATATATGTATATATATATGTGTGTATATATATACATATATACACATATATATACATATATATACATATATACACATATATATACATATATACATATATACGTATATATATACATATATATACATATATATACATATATATACGTATATATATACGTATATATATACATATATACGTATATATGTGTATATATATGTATATATGTATATATATGTGTATATATATGTATATATATGTATATATATACGTGTGTATATATATATGTATATATATATACGTGTGTGTATATATATATGTATATATATATACGTGTGTGTGTATATATATATATATATATATATATATATATAAAATGGCATACTTTTCAGCCATAAAAGAATAAAATCATGTTATTTGAGGCAACATGGATGGAACTGGAGGTTATTATGTTAAGTGATATAAGCCAGGCACAAAAAGACAAACAGTGCATTTCTCATATTTTTGTGGGACCTAAAAAATCTGATCACATGGATGTAGAGAGTCGAAAGATAGATAACAGAGACTGGGAGATATGGAAATGGGGAGGTGTAAGGATGAGGAGAAGTGAGTTGAAGGGTACAAACATATAGTAAGAGAAGGAATAAATGTAGCATTTGATGGCACGGTAGGATGACTATACTTAACAAAAATATATACTGTACTTGGGTGATGCACACCTTAAATACCCTGACTTGATCACTATACATTTTGTCCATGTAACAAACTTCTAACATACCCCTATACATTCGCACAAGTAAAAAAAAATTAAAATAGAACTACCGTATGATCCAGTAATCCTACTACTGGCTATATATCCAAAGGAAATACAATCAGCATGTGGAAGAGATATCTGCGCTCCCATGTTCACTGCAGCATTGTTCACAATAGCCAATATATGGAAGCAACCTAAGTGTTAATCAATAGATGAATGAATTAAGATAATGTGGTATATTTACACAATGGAGTATTATTCAGCCTTAAAAAACAAAATTTTGTCAAGATTTTGTCAAAACTCACCTGATAGACGACTAATAGCCTTAAAAAAGGAAATTTTTGTCAAAATTTTAAATTTTATTTGCAACAAGTGGATGAACCTAGAGGACATTATGTTAAGTGAAATAAGCAAGGCACAGGAAGACAAATATCATATGGTTTCAGTTATATTAAAATCTAAAAACGTTGAATTCATAGCAATAGAGAGTAGGATGGTAGTTACCAGGCTGGGGCAGGGAGTGGGGCTGGGGAGATATTGGTAAAAGGAAAGAAAATTTCAGGAGTAAATTCAAGAGATCTATTGTACAACATGGTGACTCTAATTAATAAAAATGTGTTATATTCTTGAAAATTGCTAAGAGGATACATTTTAAGTGTTCTCACCACAAATAAGTATGTGAGGTGATGTATATGTTTATTAGCTCAATTTGGCCTTTCCAAAATGAAATATGAAATATACATATTTCAAGGTATCATGTCATGCATGATAAATGTATACAACATTTATTTCTCAACTAAAGAGTAAATCTGAAAAAAAGAATACTTCAGGAGAAAAAGAATCTTGTCACAAGTTCAGAGTTATAATTCTTTTTAAGGTATTTAGTGCTTGCTCAACATGAAAACAAATTAACGACATAGGATTTTGTTTTATTTTCTGTTTATGAGGACAGCAGCAAAAGAGTGGATGCCACTTATTGGGCAGCCACTGAGCACTGGGAATTTTGGCATTATTCATCCATGTAGACTTCCAACAAGTCCACAGAATTGTGATTCTTGTTTTTCAGATGACGAAACTAGGACACAGAGAGGTTAAGCTTCCTGCCCAAGGTCATGTAGCTAATAAGAGCTGGCCTCCCTCTCTACAAAGGTTATATATCTTTTCTTATACTACATGGGATTTTAAAGAAGTACTATTTTTCCATTTTAAAATGATTTTTCAATGGCTTAACAAAAAATATGCTTTCAAGCTATTATTAGAAATGACCTATGGAATTTATTTAGCATGCAATTAGAATAAGCCACAAAATACATCCATTCGTGATTTGAAAAGCAGTGGTTAGGTTTGGAGTAGTAATTTAGGTTCTAGTAGGATCACCTCTTCAGTATTGGAAGGGCCTTTTAATCCCCTCATCAAATTTTCAAGTGTAAGGATTCCCTTTGCCACATCCACTAGGAGAACTACTTGAGCTCATATAGTGATAGATATGCACTACTTTAGGTAGAACTTTCCATTTTTGAACAGCTTGAATGATTGGTAATTCTACACATTTATGTATTCTTTGCCGTTGGCATATTACTCAGCTTTTTAACACATTTTGTTTCATTCATGAATGCTTCTGTTTATTTTGAGTCCATGACTGTCCTATTTACTTTCACTCATAGGAGCAATGAAGATTTTTTTCTATACGAATATGGTACATGGGGAAGAGTTTTTGGGTTAATGTTTCTAATTTAATATTATGTATTATCTTTTTGCTGTTTGTTTTGGTGAACATATTTCTTGCAGATTTGACAATAATGAGTATTTGCTTTTCTTTTTTATGAAGTCCCTTCTATAAGATCGAGCTTTGCTAATGCAGCTCTGTATTTGCACTGCACCCTTAAAACCAGCATCTTGGAAGGCAAGAATATTTCTGACCCATAGGAATAGCTTGCCATCTTAGCAACAGCAGATCTGTTTGTGAATAGATAATTACAAAATGAAACCTTGGCAAACAAGAATGTTCCTTTAGTTTTAGGAATGGAAATTTTGACTTTTGATTTACTTATTAATTCCAATATGGAAAAACACAAAAAGGAATTTTATGTTACATACCTTCAATTGCACTTCTTGTGCTCTTTAGATACATGTGGCCTGAAGTTTTGATGATTGGAAAAAACAAGCATTGCTGTTTTTTTTCCTTCCAATTTGGAAAGGTATCATATATTTTTAACTTGAGACCCCTTAGTATAAATAAAATGCATCCTTGCTTTTTACCACATTCTTCATTCTAATATATAAGGTGCTAGTGTGCAGAAGGGAATATGAAATCAGGTATGATTCCAAAAATGCATATGCAAGACACATGGATAAAATCATAAAATTACACTAGAACCAATTCTAACTCCTACATGACTAGAATCTATGGAACATGGTTATGTGTCTCCTGGTTAAGTATCAACCACCCTCTGGATGTAGTTTTAGTGAAGTTTATATCCCTATAATTGTTGTTTGATAGGTAGATTTTACCTTTTGTGGATAAGTATGCTCTGTGATCAGAATTAAAGGTGTGTTCATCATTACTTTTATCTGATTTTTCACTTTGTCAAAGAAGATTAGAATAGCATGTGGAACTTGATTCAACTGTGATATTTTGATATATTAAGAAATATATATTTGGGTTTTATCCCTAGTTTCTGGCATAGAACTTCTAAAAGCCTTGGAATTTCCCTAGTGATGGGAGTAAGAGTAGTTTCTTATTCATAATAAGCTCCTGTCACATACCTGAGTTTATGCTAATAAGACGACCTGTGGTGGGTCCCTAGATAGCTTCAGGATGGGAGCTGGTTGCCAGACGAAACAACCATATGATTAAAGGGTTGGAACTTTGAGCCCAGCCCCTGACCCCTGGAGAGAGGAGAAAGGCTGGAGATTGAATTAATCACAAATGGTTAATAACTCAGTCAATCTCATGTATTCATAGGGGAATCTCATGTATTCATAGGGGAATCTCCATAAAACTCCTAAACAATGGTATTTAAGGAGATTCTGGCTTAGAGCTGTTCAAGTAAATTATTGAGCCTGAGGAGGGGGTCATGGAAACTCTTGATTTATAGTCCATTGAACAGAACTATAGGAGACTCAGGACTTGCATTGGTATCTGAAGTGAGGGTAGTCTTGTGGGACTGAGTAGGGTCTGTATTAACTCTGGTTAGTTAGTGCTAAAAATAAATGGAATCATTGGATACCCAGTTGGTGTCTGGAGAGTTAGAGAATTAGTTGTTGGTATGGGAAAAACAAAACAAAACAAAACTATGCATTTGATGTCAGAAATATGGGTAGAAACAGACCATGGTATCAATAATACTGATTTCTTCCAAGAATCATCCCCTTAAAGGGTTTACAAATGGATAAAATTGATATTTTCCTAATTATTCTCATTTAGAGATATTGTTTCAAACTCACAGATATTCATTTCCTCTTTAAGATAAATTAGCAATGAGTGAACTCTTTCTCAGTTTTCTAGCTCTTCCTCTAATAATCATCTTCACTCCAAAATGGTAGCTAGTGGCCTGTCTATGAGATACATTTTTAAAAATATGATTGGATTTAAAATACATTGCCTATTTTATGTGCTGGATTTATGTAATAACCACCATTTATTGAGTGCTATAGACTGGTCACTGCGTTTTAATCTTCAATTCTGAGTTAAGTAGCATTATCCCCATTTTGCAACTGAAAAGACTGATGATTGGAGTGGTTAAGTAACCTGCCTAGTGTCATTAGTAAGTAAGAGGGATTTTCTGAAGAGGTGGAAGTGAATATTGATGGGAAAGGGAAAGGTGATCAGGCAGATGCTATGGTCTGAACGTATCTCCCAAGATTTGTATGTTGAAACTTAACTTGCCATGGTGGAGCCCTTAGGGATGGGATGAGTGCCTTTATAAAAGAGGTACCAGGGAACTGTCACCCTCACTTTTTGCTCTTCTGCCTTAGGTGAGGACATGGCAAGAAGGACCTCACCAGACACCAAATGCCAACACCATAATTTTGGACTTCCCAACTTCTAGAACTGTAGAAAATACTGCCCAGTCTCACGTATTTTGTTAAAGAAACACAAACAGACTGAGACAACAAATGAGTAGAAGTTAGTGTGAAGGGCAGTAAGAAGAACTGGCCATATTTAGTCTGAGGTATATTGAGTTGAGAACATGTTACTTATCTTCAGTTAACTAAATTTTGGGGCTTATAGTTCTTCTTGCGTAATTCCAAAGGGAAGAAAAATGGTGAGTGTATTTTTGCTTGCATATAATGATATAGAGGAAAATATACTTCTAGGAAGCAGAATTCTATACTCATTTTCACCCCATCCATAAGATGCCCACATATAAGTTTTCCGAAGAAGGACTTATTAATTGTAATTGTCATAAGATGACTGGATAGGATCATCGCAGACAACTTTTTCTCTAAAAGTGTTTAAATAGACGCCAGACTAATTGCAAATAATGTTATAGAAAATATTAGATTTAGAGGTTTGGATAAATAGACCTTAGATTCTATGAAAGTAAGGATATAGAGCGTGTTTTAAAACAATAATAGTTAAAAAAAAAATGGTTTCTGAGCTGGGTGCCGTGGCTCACCCTTGTAATCCCAACACTTTGGGAGGCTGAGACAGGTGGATCACAAAGTCAGGAGTTCGAGACAAGCCTGGCCAACATGGTGAAACCCTGTCTCTACTAAAAATACAAAAATTAGCTGGGCATGGTGGCATGCACCTGTAGTACCAGCTACTAGAGAGGCTGAGGCAGGAGAATCACTTGAACCCGGGAGGTGAAGGTTGCAGTGAGCTGAGATCATGCCACTGAACACCAGCCTGAGTGACAGAGTGAGACTCCATCTCAAAAAAAAAAAAGTTTCTGTATTTATGTCCTATAAAATCTTACTGTGCTATCTATAACTTTCTAAGTAATATCCATTTTTTTCCGATGTGTACCAAACCTTTGTGAAGCAGTGGAATGTTTATGAAGCAGTATGATAAGCAGCTCTCCAGGCTGACATAGCTAATGGTTATTTATTGTAAATATACAATTGTATTGTACAAAACATATAGCCAGTCAGAATAATCAAACCTCTTTTTTATTCCTTGTCCCATTTTTGTCTCCTAAATTATCTAAGAGTTCCGGCTAAAGAAGACTTTCAGTGGTGCATTATTCAGGGAACTATCTAGGCCATACTTTCAGTAAGAAGTTGAAAACAAAAGAAGTTGATAACAAACTTATTTTCTTCTGTTGTGGGTTTTTAGTACATATTGATCACACTATAATATGAGATTTGAAGTTCTTTCAAATGTTTTCACGTCCCAAGGCATTTGTGAGAATAAACTTTTTTAATAGTCTCTTTTTAAAATCAGAAAAAGGCTAGTAATGAAGTGCAATCAGAAGGATGTTTGTATTCTTTCTTTAAACCCACATGACTTTATGTCACTGGCTACCTGTAGAATGACACCAGCCTCTTAGCACATTTGCAAGTGATTAAACAACAAGGCTGATTCAAAAGACACTCATAAAATTCTGACCATTTACAGCCATGCATATCTGCTGGATGGATAACAAACCAACAAACTTTATAAGCGACTATCCAAATTGGATCTCTTTTGTTATTTTTAGAACAAGTGTTAACCAAGTATTTCTTTTGAAATGTTGAAGCATTTCCTTAGTTTAATTTTTACACATTGAATTTCTGATTGGCTTTGAAAGAAGTCTATATAATGAGGAAGGCAATTCTCAAAATAGTCAGAAGCTATCTTGAGGAGACTTGATGGAAACAAGTTACCAAGTTTGACCTAAAACTGGAGCATAAGTGTTAAACTGCCCCCCAAATATACTGGAGGACAGAATGCTCAGGGAGATGCTAGAAGGATAAATAAAGAAAACAGAAAAAAATGGATGGCTGTGGCCTCATTTTTCTACTCTGACAGACAAGCTTAAGTCTGCTAATTGAGGAAAGTTGGACAAGGGAAGATGATGTTAGGGAGAGAACACTAATTTTGTGTCTTGTTGGGAAAGACACAATCTTTGATTATACATTCTTCACCTTTCTAAATGCTGTGCCTTCTGATTTGATGTTTTGGAACCTCTTACTAAGCAGTGAGACTGAGTTTTTGAGCACTTGAAGACATTTTCCTGCTTCTGATAACCAGTGAACAAATACGGTAATCAAACAATAGACACATAGACATGTACTCAGTAAGGTAAAGAGCTTGGTACCTTGGTACTATGGGTCAATATAATGGATCACGATAAGACAGAATGTTTCATATTAAGGAGAATATATAGCCTCAGAGGAGATGGAATATGTGTGCACCAGAGTTTCTCTGTGTCCTAATGTAATTTTTTACCACATAGGTCATGGCTGATTACTCTACTAAATTGGTAACAAAATAATAGGTTTCATTGGGGTTTTATCTTAAAATGTGACATCTGAAAGTATAAAATATTTATGAAAGTTAGGCAGTATTTATAAGTTTGTGGAATTCTTAGAAAAAAGAATAAATAAAATATGAAGTCCCTTTTTCTATTAAATTATATTATGTCATTTTGATGTATTTTCACATTTGACTTTTGTAACATGAAAAATTTTATAAATAAAAATACTTGACAGTTCTATCAAACTAAGGGTAGAGTGCATATTTCAATTAAGTATGACTGCAAGACTACAATCTCTTAAATAACACTACAACCAAAACTCCACGGTAATTCTAAAGACAACTAATCTAAGTCCTAGGTGGAAATAGACAGACACTTGAATATGTCTTAAAAATGCAATTTTATAAAGGTGGATTAAATATGCCAAAGATTTTCCAGCATTACAACAAAAGGGCCATTTAGGCAGCTTTATAATCTTATGTGTGGATGTTCATGTTTATTCCTCGAATTCTTATTAACCTTGTAAATAAATATTCATATTGTGCCTACCGTCTTGCAGCAAAGGACAAGAGAAGACATGATTGTGGTCTCTGGACACTACAAGTCTTTTATACTTTTTATATCCCACAAAAAGTATCCATCAGCCATTATCATGCTGTATTTGTATATTGAGTTCACAAAAGATACAGCTTAGCCAAAATGTACTCTATTTTAGGCCTGTCTAGTTGTCTAAAGCATTGTGTTTCTCTAGGAAGGTATGTCACTTATTTAAGAACTTTATCCTGTTGGGAGCATCAAGATATTAATTATCCTTATTGCTTCTACTCCTCTTATACTATTTTTATCAAACATTTGGATTGATAGCTATCATATCAGTCCAACTGAACTGCTGCAAGTAGCAGAAAATATTCAATATGGTAGCATTTGCAGGAGATTATTCTTAGAGAATTTGGGGTATGGAATTTATTTATACTAATTTTCATCGGAACATATAGTTCTTTAGATATTGTTTAATTTTAGTTATGTACCCCTCAAACACACACACAAAACAAAGCAAATACTCATACAACATACATAGGAAAGCTAAATCCAGGTTTTCTTTGAATAATGAACAGGTTATAAATCAAATAAACAGTCTTCCCATTATGCACTTTGGATAACAAAATAGTAATGATGAGGTAAACTCTTAATGAATGATGAATATATGGGCAGTTCCTATTATGTATACATATATCAGATGAATTTATCGATCCCAGGAGACAGTTTTTATTTTTTTAATAAAATAAGTTTTAATGTAATAAATTATTATTTATTGAAAAGTTATGTGCCAGGCACCACACAAATGATGCACATGAATTAACTCATCATCATAACTTTGAGAAAATAATGGTATGTACTATTTTTAAAATATATATTATATTATAAAATTGACATTTGGAAAGGGAATCATTTAGATTAGCTCAGAGAAGGAGAATCAGAGTGATAGAGACTCGTGGACTTATTACAGGGGTTAGACCTTACCCATTTATGGGAGCCAGTAAAACAGTCCGTGTAAGGCTGTTGCTTTTGTATTTGATGTTGGGCCTGCTGTCAGCAGAGAAGGCAATAAGATAGGAAAGATGGACATAAAGTGGTGATTGGCAAGGACAGACTTGACTTTGAGGACACACTGGAGACCATGGGGACAGACTGGAATCAATATCTGTCTGCCCTGAACCTCTGTGATGCAGGTAATCTGCAGTAGAAGCAGGCATCCTTCACTACATAGCTGCATGTGCACCTAACTCAGGTTTGACTTGCTGAAGTAGGAGCCTGATGACTTGGAGACCTGGCTGCTGTCCTGCACCAAAAGATGAACCAGCAGGTCAGTAACAGTGTTCATGGGCTGCAGCAGTATTTGCCCTGTATCAAAGTTTACAGCATAAAAGTGACTACCACTTTGATTCTGCATTCAAATCTTGTAAAAATTTCCCCTTAACTGACACTAATCTAGACCATACCAGGGGAAGAATTCTTGGAAACACATTTTCAGTTTAGATAAATAGACACCCTATATCTCTATAGAAAGGTTAAGCAACTTAGCTAGATCACACATTTAATAAGCCATAGGGCCAGTGTAGTGCATAGTCAGGTTGAATACATGGGATGAGTGGAAGCATCAAATGTCCTAATGTCTTGAGGATGGGTTGTTTGGGGCTTGGAAATGAATTTCTAGGATATCCTACAAAGATTCCAGAAGTGTGGTATCACACATCTGAGATGGGAAGTGAGGAATGTGCCAGAAACCACTGTGCTAGAAGACATGAACTCTTACTGCTTATTAATTGTGCAAAGTGAAATAATTTATTCATTTCTTAACTAAATACATTGAAAAACTATGTGTCAGGCACTGCAATAAGTATCAGAAATAAAATTGTAAACAAAAAAGACAAATAAATAAATAAACAAGCCGTAGGGCCAGGATTCACACCCAGTTCTGCCTAACACCAAAGTCTTAGATATCATTAACCACAGTTCAAGGGGCCTATTGCCTTTTACTTTGCAGGTCAAGAGAATATATTCAATAAGTAATTCAGCAAATATTTGAGAACTTTTTTAGTGTTGAACACTGTGGGTAAACACAAAGAACAAAAAGACACAGACCCTTGCTTTCCAGAGCTTATTTTAAGAGAAAATTTGGAAGAGCTAGAAAATAGAAGTGGAAAAAGGGAGTCAGCAGAAAGCTGATCAGAGAAAAACAAGATCAGAGGGCGGGAAGAGAGGGTGCAGATATAAAGGAAAAGCTTTGTCCTGGTTGTGGTGGGTGCACAATGGTTAACTCTATGCTATCCTTGCTCACAAGGAACTTTCTGTCTAGGTGAGTGGCTTATACTTTAGAGGGGAAGAAGGAGCATTAATGATTGGTCCCATCTGGGATTCTTCTCTTAGAAATTGACCCGTGTTCCTCTGTGGCAGTCTTACTATAAATTATGAGTTCTTACAGTGTTTTCTTCTAAAGATGGAGTCTTAGTCTATTAGAGCTGCTGTAACAAAAATGTCATAAATTGTATAGATTATAAATAACAGAATCTTATTTCTCATGTCCTGGAGGCTGGGAAGGGCAAGATCAAAGTATTGGTAGATTGGTGTCTGGTGAGTGCCAATTTCCACGTTCATAGAAGGCACCGTCTCACTGTATCCTCCCATGGTGGAAAAGGAGCTAGCTAGCTTTCCGAGGTCCCATCAATAAAGGCATTCATCCCATTCATGAGGACTTTGCCCCCATGACCTAATTACCTCCCAAAGGCCCCACCTCCTAATGCCCCCATGACCTAATTACCTCCCAAAGGCCCCACCTCCTAATGTCATCACCTTGGGGATTAGGATTTTGCCATACAAATTTTGTGGGGAGACAAACATTCAGACCATATCAGAGCCCTCAAGCCTAGAACACACACACTGATGCAGTTCTTAGGGAGGTCAGTACTTCATATATCCCAGCATTTTCTGTGAAAATAATAAATCATGGTCTCTGGAGTAAATCCTTTCTAAAGTGTTACAACTATGTAGGAGTCTCAGTGTTCACATTATTATTCAGCAGAAACACCAAACGAATGTATAATAAATGTAGCACTTATTCAGTTTACATATATGTATTAGAAATAAGCCTGTTTTAAAAAATTATAATCAAAATGTAGTTTGACCTTATTTAAATATTTTCTATCTTTTTACTTATATATTAACAGATATTTTCCATTTTAATTTCCAGTGCTCTGGGGTATATGATGAATGTCCAATATAGCACAAAGCAGTAAATTTCTCTTTATTGTTGTTATTTATTGTTGAGACATGCTTCATTAAACAGTCCCTGTCTTGTTACTGAAACAACTTAGTATGGTTTTGCACAACTAATGGTTTTCATCAGCATTCATCATTGAATTGTTTTCCACCGAAGAAATTGGGTTGGTGTTTTAAATGTTGTCTATGTTAGAATGGGCAATTATATTACCAAAAAGGTAGATGGGTAAGTTTTAGGAAGAAGCTAATTTAAATCAGTCAATAAAATGGTCTCTGTAGAGAGTTGCATGATACTTATAGAAATCTACTGCTTATGCTTTTATTTAGGAGGTTAAATACCTATTATTTTCTCTGCAACTTGTCAATCAGAAAGAAATACAACATTAGTTTTGGCTTGCAATGATTAGAATGGGCATTTTTTTCTTTTGTGAAGGAAAGTGTAATGAGCTAAGATCCAGGAGTATTATAGTCTAGCTGAGTTATCTATGACCCTCCACAGCCTCATCAATAAAATGACAGAAGGGCTGACATCTTTTCTCTAAATTTCCTTCAAATTCTGATGCTTTATAGTTATGAAACTATTTATTTTTACCACAAAATATCCCTTTCATATGTTAAAAAGGAATGAAGACACACAGAGAATTAGCTTACCAAAAAGCATTAGGAGGGAGTCTCCTATAATGGAAGGAGAACCCAGCTGGGAATGTGAAGACTAGAGTTCCAGTTTTAGCTCTGTCAATAGCTAGCTTTGTGACCTATTCAGTCTTCCATAAAGTTATTTTCAGTTCTAAGATTCTGTGGGCTCAACCATGAAGTAAAATTCAGCGTAAAGGCATATAACTCTACCTGATATTATTAGGAAATAAACTTTGGACGTAGGAAGATGTAGGGAACCTTGGGTGTGATGAATTTTGTTTTTTTCCTTAGCATCTACCTTGTTAGGTAGGTGTTAAAAACTACATACATAGCTTTCTAGATTACTTTTGACATGACTTTGTTGAGGTTTGAACAGGTGTAGGATCATTACCCTGACCCCGTAAATCCTCTCTGAGTTTGGAACTGGTTGAGAAATTGTCAAGAGTCAGATAGTTCAGGATTAAATGATCAGCTATTAACATTGGATTTGTGTGTGAGCTTAGATGCTTCCTAAGTAGTGGAAAATTGAATTGTTTCTGTTTTTCCTTAAGCTTATGCTTTGGGATAATCCATCAGAACAACGTAAAGAAGGCCAACTTAGATCGTTACTGCCTCATCTCTACTGAACCCTAGTAGAGGAGACAGGGGGATAAGGTGCTCCAAGAAGGAAGTTTGAGCCTTGACCCACGTATATTTACTACATTAAGTTTAGGATCTAGAAGAGAAGGCCAGCGGCAATGAGAGAAGAGGGGAATTCACTACAAACAATTGGGATTTGTGGTCTGGAAGAAGTGTGGATCTGAATACAGACCTCTGTAAAGATATTGTTAGTTCACCCTTTCTTGGAGGCCTCAAAATATTTGTCACCAGGGCCTGTTGCCCTCATAAAAGACCCCTATTCTCTACATATCTTAGTGACTATAAAGGGGCTGAGCCATACTTCCAGTGTCTTGTTTTAATCTCCCCAATTACCTGTGTCTCTCCTCCTCATTTAAAAAACACAGAAGATATGTGAGGACTCTAGAGGAAGTGTTATTCCAGAAGCCCCTTCTTGGAAACATGATACTAGGACATTGGCAGTTTTCCCTAACAGACTTTCTTATCTTTCTGCTTGTGGCAGCAAATATTTATTAGAAATACATTTTTTCCTATTAACATTAAAGCTGAATATACTCAAGGCAAGCTGATGTCCATAAACAATTATGCATCAGTTAGCCAGAAATTTTTTTTCTGACTCTTGGGTGTTAATCTGGGGAAAACATATTAATTCTTGTTTAAGGATTCTATAGAAGTGTTCTGGTCTTCTAAAAGGTCCTTGTAAGAATGAGTTAGTATAAGGTTTGCTCATGAAGCTCAAAGGGCTGTTTAGAAATCTTCAGATCATAGTGAGATTTGTTTCTCTGGGGGAACTAACCTAATACACTGCTAATCACTGTTGCCCTAGTTTCTCCTTTACAAAAGTTTTGGACTGTCATATTTGGTTTTATATTAGATCATGCTAGATTAGCTTTCTTGCATGTAGAAGAAATCCTGGGAGCTTTGATGATGATGGCAAAAATACAGATGCCTTGGTGTAGCAATTGTGTAAATATGGTGTAGCCTAGAGAAAAAGGACAGCTCTCATCCTCCCAAATGTCCCTTTACCTGTCTTTGTGAATATACTTTATAAATAATCTCCCTCATTCTCCTTCTATATACATCAGAAAAGATAGGATTAGAATTGTGTCAGAGCTGGGCAAGAATACTAAGGGATGTTGGTGACTAGAAGACCAGGAAGACAATGAAATAGAAAGGTATCTAGAAATCTAAAGGCTAGAAATAAGGTAAAATCTAAAATAAAACTAGGATTTGTGCTAGCAAAGCAGAGCTGACCACGAATTCAATTACCAAAATCTGTGGCTGTTACTTTTTGACGACACTGAAAATCTACACAAGTAGTCTTGCAGTGCATCAATTAAATGCAAAGAAAAACCGTAAAGCTAAGTGCTATTCCAGATGTGTGGAGGATGGAGAAGACAAAGCCCTGTTTTTATTACAATCTTGAGCTGGCTTGCCTGGGTTAGAATCTTGGCTTCTCATGTTATCTTGGATAAATTGTTTAAAGTATTATATCTGTGTTTTAGTTTCATCATCTCTAAAATGAGGTTAAAAATAGTACCTACTCTTCTAAGAATGTATATTTTGGCTGGGGTATGGTAAAGTTAGTGCAGCCGCAAGAGAAAACAAGAACAAAGCTTAGAAAGGAATTTATTCTACTCACAGGGCCCAATGAGGTAGTCACCACACACCATGCAGGACCACAGGGGGAAAGCACCAGTGTCAGTCAAGAGCCAGAAGACAGGAACAAGGGGCAAGTCTAGGCCAGAGCCTTTCTTGAGGTTTCTGTGCGAAAAGGAAGGCAGAGCAGAGTAAACAGTTTAGGATTGGCCAGTTTGAATGATTCCAGAGGACTTTGGGCTATAAGGGTGATCTCTAGTTGCCTGGTAACTGGGAAGATTTAGGGCAAGGGAAATATTGGTTTGTTGTGTGAGAGTTAGATAAGGAGTTTGGGGCTGTAGATTCAGGATTGGTTGGTTTGTACGTGAGAGCTGTGCTCTCAGCTAAGACCTTCGCCGACTCTCAGAATTAGCCAGCTCTAGGGAAGATAGTCTCTTTCTGGGTCTGTAAGGCCACCAGATTCTAGAGCATCAAGAACTATAGAAATTAAGAAAATGTAGTTTAATAAAGCTGGCCCTGTTTTGAATGGATGCCTCACAGACGAATACAGAATCCAAGAAATCACAGCATACCTACCTTATTGTGAGGTTTAATGATTTAACACATACATAGTTGAATGACCCAGACTGGTTGCATGTCCCCAGTCTAACTGCATGAGAGGTTGGGGCATAGAGAGGAGCACATAGAATACTTGAGGAACACGGCTATCTGTGCTGTGCAGATGGGGCTCAGAACAACTATGCTTTGTAGAGCATATAGGAGAGTTTGGAAGGCCATTGGGATACTTTAAACAATTGGCTGTGGTGAGTGCTATATTGCACAGAATAATTAAGTTGAAACAATATATATATCTACATGATTTTCAAGCAGCTAATTTTATAAAATGTGCTTGTAAGTATATAGAGCATCAAATGGACTAAAAGTTATATACAGAATTTTAAACATTTTTACTGGTTTGATTGGCCTTTTGTTGATATCCAGGATGAAAAACAGGGCACAAAAGAAAATGCACTAATAAGGGATGTTTTATTTTACATCACAATAGAGATCAGTAGTTACTTTGGTTGAGACATGTTGGAGACAGCCATGCTGTCTGTAGGAGGGTAATGTGAGCCTTTAGGAAGCCATGGATGTGACACTATGAAGGACAAATTTTGCCATCGCTGCCACCACGCCTGTGAAACTGGGTTAAATGGTGGTGGTGGGGAATGGATGGGTTTTGGCCTGGAATCTATAAGACCTGAGTATGGATCTGTCTTTGCCACTTCTTAACTATGTGACTTTGAGCCATTCCCTATGTAAGATGGAGACAACAATGATTTGCCAACCTGGTGGTAGGGTTTCAGGAGATGTTTATGAAAGTATTTCCAGAGAGAGCTCATTTCCACTCTCCTAGTTCTGTTTCTATCATAATGGCTGCCCCACAGGTATCCCAAATTTCATATAAACTTCACTAGGAAAGTAGATATTTCACTCTTGCAATTCTTATGTTGTTTCATTGTATATGTAAATGGATAAAAGTTTAGGCTTTGCATTGTCTGACTTTACTTCTCTAAGAGTTAGTTTACTCATCCTTAAAATGATGATGATAATAGCATCAACCTAATGGGTAGTTACGATAATTAAATGCAGTTACACAAGTAGGACACTCAGTTCCTGACACATAACAATCACTCAATAAATGGTTGCTGTTATTAGTTTCATTTCATTACACATGAAGGACTTTGATCTACACTTCTGAGATTTAGATGCAAAATAATCTATGACTCATTAGCAGAATCAGTGAGAAAATAAGCAGAATGAGTGACTAATGTTAAGCAGAAACTATTGGTCAAAGGAACTGCTATGAAAGGACAAATGAATCTTCTATATCTTCAGCAAGCCTCTACTATAGTTCAGGGTGTTTCATAGAGAAACTATACCACTAATAAAAAGCTATTGACGTTTTGTAATTCTAAAAAAAAAATGCCACCAAATTCCTTACATATCTTGATTCACAATGAACTTTTATTGTTACATTGGCAACTTAAAGTAAAAATAAAAGAGCTATTGTTTCACTTAGATGGAAATTATTTAAGAAAAAAATACTCTGATGACTGTTCAGTTATATAACTAACAAGCATCTATTCATTGGGCACTGAAGTAGGTATCTCAGGAGATAAAATGTCAATAATAACTAATATTTGCCATGAAAAAATGTATTCAAAGCAATGAGACCAGGCTGGTACTGAGAGCCCCAAAACGTTAATTCTTCCTTATTCCTCCTGAGGAAATTTTAAGTGATTTGGAGGGATAAGACATATGAAAAATAAGGCTTAATACAAGAAACAGTTAAAAGAAAACAAAAACAAACCCTATCACTTGAGTAGAGCCTGTAGGGAATGGCATAGGATTTCCACGGTTCATCCTCAAGAAAAGCTTCTAGGGGTGGTGGGATTTTAATGTTCCTGGGAGCAGTAGAAATTGTGAGATAATGCCTGGTAATTACCATAAACTTGAAGCCAAATAGCTGGGAAAACATGTTCCAGGACATTGCAGATCAAATCATATTTCTATAAAAAGAATCTGCTGGATGTTCAGCTGACAGAATATCAACCATAAAAGGATAGTTTAATGGATTTCAATCATTATCTAAACACAAAATCACAGAGCCAAGTTTATGTGCATTGTTAATCATATGCTGTGAATCCGGTAAAAGAAAATGTAATACAAGCATCAGATGAGATGTTTTTTCTTTTCTGATTTTTAAATGGTAACATTTTATTTTTGAGAACCATTAAAAAAGAGTGATTGCTTGGAGCAGCCATCTAAGGGAAGTCCATTCTCTTTGTAAGGAAACAAAATGGTGCTCCAGTGGAAGAGCTCTGGAAACAGTGAGTGGTTCATAGAGCTACTGAATTCCTTGCTTTTGCTAATACTCAAATTTTAAAAGAAAACATGTCCCAATCCAAGGATTCTTGTGATATATTTGTGTTGGTGTGTGTGTGTGTGTGTGTGTGTGTGTGTGTGTCTAAATTTTAAATTTATATTTTAAACCAGCAGTCACTTTTCCCATTTTAAATTATACAATCACTTAGTTGTTTCCTGAACTATTTTAAATCAACAAGTTTTCTTTGAAAATATTTTTTTAAAAAATAGATCTTGCAGACTTAAGAAAATAAGAGTATTCCTTAAGGTAGATGGTGTAAAATAAATAAAATCAGTAGATTTCTAACACGTTCTTGAATAGAAAACACAAACGGAAATTATCCCATTTACATTTATAACTAAGCAACATTTAATATCTAGAAATAGTCTTAAGAAATGTAAAATGAACAAGATATGTAAAATTATAACATTTTATATGATAATAAAAGATTTGAGAACATTACAAAACATTTGATTAAGTGGGGAGACACAATTTAGAAAAAGTAGGCTTTATTTTTTAAAAGAGGTCAATTCTGTTTGAATTTATTCTATTTGCATTGTAATATCAATCAAAATTCTCATTTGCTGTGGGAAGGTGGTGAGGAGCTTGATAAAATGATTTCAAATTTTACTTTGAAGAATAAACATGCAAGAACAGCTAGAAGAATTCTGAAAAACAAAAATATGAAGAATGAGCCTTGCCTTGTCAGGTGTTAAGATGTACCACAAAAACACTGAAGTTAAAACAATGTGGAACTGGCTAGGAAATAGATGGTTGAGAAACAAAACATCTAACCTCAGATCCAACTATGTATAGGGATATTTAGTATATAATAAAGTTAGCATTTTGAATCAGTAGGGAAAAATGCATTAATGAATAAATGCTTATCCAATATGTAATAATTTGGGGAAACACATCATTCCTACAGTGTTCTTTACATAATTTGTACTTGTTTTAAAAGCCTGTAAAACTAACAGCAGAAAATATAATTAGATTTTAAATGTAATATTAGGGTGGGAAGGCCTTTGTAAGCATAACACAAAAAAACTGAAACAATAAAAAACAAGATTGACAAACGTAAATATAAAAATTACATCTATTCACAAGGTCAGGGGCTCGAGACCATCCTGGCCAAAATGGTGAAGCCCTGTGTCTACTAAAATACATAAAATTAGCCGGGCGTGGTGGTGCATGCCTGTAGTCCCAGCTACTCTGGAGGCTGAGGCAGGGGAATTGCTTGAACCCGGGAGGCGGAGGTTGCAGTGAGCTGAGATGTGCAACTGCACTCCAGCCTGGTGACAGAGTAAGACTCCTGTCTCAAAAAATAAAATAAAATAAAATAAATAAAATAAAATAAAATAAAATAAAATGTACTTCTATATCAGATAAACAGTCCAAGTGAGGTTGAATGACAGATGACCAGTAGAAAAAAGCATTTTTCATGTATGTGATACAAAGAGGCCTATTATTCTTAATATACAAAAATCTCTTACAAATCAATAAGAGTTTACATCTCAATAAAAAATGTACAGCAAAAATACAGCATACACCAAAAGCGCTTTGTTCAAGATAATTAATGAGACACCAAGACCTGAAGAGGAGGAGAACTAATATTGCACTTAAGAGATAAAATATAAATCAGAATTGTTGGTAGTGGAATAATGAAATATTTTTGTTATGGTGAAAAGTGTTTCAAACTTTGCTACATTGTTTACAGAAATACCTGTGTTAGATACTGAATGTGATTCTAATCTTCACTAAAGATCTTTTAAAATTAAACTTTTTTTTTAACTGACAAACAGGGCATTTTTAGTTCATATAACTGAAAAGTCCAGAGAATATACTACTTTCAGACACAATTGAATCCAGGGTCACAAACTTTGTCATTAAGACTAAAGTCTTTGCATCTTTTGGTTTTGCTTTCCTTTGTACTACATTCTCTGACTGGCACATTTGATGTGGTGGGCCTGTTGGTTGGAGCTTTTACTTAACAATACTTAGCAACTTCAGCAAAAAGGGCTTATCCTTTCTTATAGTTTAGTAAAACCCATAGGTTTGAGTATACTGCACCAACTTAAATCATATGACTATTCATGAACCAATCACTATGGTCAAAAAGATAGACTATGCTCATTGATCGGGTCTGAATTACAGGTCCACCTACTAAGTCCAAGGTTGGCTTTGAACATCTGAACCACATGGACTGAAAATAAGGAAAAGTGGCTGCAAGAAACATTAGGGTGTTGTTATAAAAAGAGGAAATCAATGCTGGGCAGAAGGTTTTTGATTTTCAGATAATTGTAGACTTGTATGCAGTTATAAGAAATAATACAGAGTGATCCTTTTACCTAATTTTTCCCCAATGATAAAATCTTATAAAATGATAGTACCATATCACAACCAAGATATTGACATTGATACAGTTAAGATACAAACAGTTTCCTAATCACAAGATTCTTTATGTTGCCCTTTTAAAGCCATATCCACTTCCTTTCTATCCTTATGCCATCCTAAACCTCTGGAAGCCACTAATCTGTTCTACAGTTTCAAAATTTTGTCATTACGAAAGTATTATTATATAAATAGAATCACACAGTTTGTAATTGTCATTTGGGAAATGGCTTTTTAAATTCAGTATGATTCTTTGGAGAGTCATCTAGGTTGCTGAGTGTACCAATAGTTTGTTCTTTTTATTGTTGAGTGGTATTCTATGGTATAGATGTACTGCAGTTTAACTATTTACCTGCTGCAAAACATCTGGGTTGCTTCCATTTTTTGGCTATTACTCATAAAGCTACTATAATCATTGGTATACAGTCTTCTGTATAAGCATACATTTTCATTTCTCTGGGATAAATGTCAAAGAGTAAAATAAAAGTGGATTTAAGTGACGGTTATTCCATCACAAAGAACTTCTCCAAAAATTTTTTAGACTTCTTCAATAAAGATAATTCCCCTTTGACTTTAGCTGAAGGGCTGATTACAAAGATAGAGTTAAGCAACCAAAGAAAAAGTATTTGTAGAGTTTCTGAAATAGTGTGGATGAGCAAACAGTTGAATGGATAATCCCTAGCTTTAATTCCCTTAATCATTCCTTAAGTTGATATGCTAAAGCAATTTCAAGCAAAATTCCATGAAACATAAAGACTTCCTTGGAAGCTTTGAGGTTTGACAAATGCCAGCTGGACCATCTCAGAACTTTCGATGATACCCTTTAAAGTAATAGCTATGTGAATGAGTTCGAAATTCTTTTTATTATATGCTTCTTCTAAGTGCAATAATTTAAAAAATGATAAAAAAAATCTCCTAGGAATACTTTTAGGTAGAGCTATGATTTAAACTTAGTTTTATATTTAAAAAATCATTTTGCCCTCCTTTGGTTTACTTGTAGGAAAGAATGATTTTTTATTTTAGGATTGAGAATCATTGCAGTCTGATAATAAATGTTTTTGAGAAGTAATTTATTATAGTAAATTATGAGTCTTACTTTCCTGCAGTTGAATCATACCAATACAGAATTTTAAAACACGTCTTTATTTGAGCAGAACACATTCCTAAAGAGACCCAGGTAAGCTGACTGACAAACCGTATGTAGTTTGCATCCACTTCCATAAAACAATTTTATTATAGGATCTCATACGCTTCAAAAACAGAATAGCAAGTTGTAACAATGTCAGGGAACCTAAATGATACCCACAGCAGTATTATTATAATTTAATATTGGTTGAGCATCAGCAATAAGTAGACATTTTATAAAACACAGCAGGAGAGCTGGTTCCTGTCCTTTAGACAACCATCTTGTATATCAAACTAGTATTGAAGTCTTTTGTTTATGTATAAAAACAAAGCACAAGAAATTGTCATTTGGGAACATATAGAATCATTAAGTAAAAACTCAACATTTAAATCAACTGTAGCATTGTGCCTTACATATAAGTAGAAAGCGATTAATTTTTGACTGATTTATCTGATTATGGACCACTTATTTAAACTTAACATTTTATCAGCCAGTTCATATCTTTCATTTTATAAAGTGTAATAAATACTATATGCAAAGCTAGGTAGAAAAAAGATATGAAGATAGGGAAGTGTATGATGTTTGGGGCAATGATGAATGTCCAATGGGACTGCATTGCAGGCATGAAGCAGAAGTTATTGAATAGGCTGCGTTGGCTGCAGGTAATAAAGAACATGACTAACAGTGGCATTTTCATTTTAAATTATTTATCTAATGCAGGCAACCTTTTAAAAATTATACTTTAAGTTGTGGGATACATGTGCAGAACGTGCAGGTTTGTTACATAGGTATACACGTGCCTTGGTGGTTTGTGCACCCATCAACCCATCATCTACATTAGGTATTTCTGCTAATGCTATCCCTCCCCTACCCCTCTACCCACTGACAGGCCCCAGTTTGTGATATTCCCCTCCCTGTGTCCATGTGTTCTCATTGTTCAACTGCCACTTATGAGTGAGAACATGCCATGTTTGGTTTTCTGTTCTTGTATTAGTTTCCTGAGAATGATGGTTTCCAGTTTCATCCATGTCCCTGCAAAGGACATGAACTCATTCTTTTTTATGGCTGCATAGTATTCCATGGTGTATATGTGCCACATTTTCTTAATCCAGTCTATCATTGATGGGCATTTGGGTTGGTTGCAAGTTTTTGCTATTGTAAATAGTGCTGCAATAAACATACGTGTGCATGTCTTTATAGTAGAATGATTTATAATCCTTTGAGTATATACCCAGTAATGGGATTGTTGGGTCAAATGGCATTTCTGGTTCTAGATCCTTGAGGAGTTGCCACACTGTCTTCCACAATGGTTGAACTAATTTACACACCCACCAACAGTGTAAATGCGTTCCTATTTCTCCACATCCTCTCCAGCATCTGTTGTTTACTGACTTTTTAATGATTGCCATTCTAACTGGTGTAAGATGGTATCTCATTGTGGTTTTAATTTGCATTTCTCTAATGACCAGTGATGATGAGCTTTTCTTCATATGTTTGTTGGCCACATAAATGTTTTCTTTTGAGAAGACATTTATGTTCATATCCTTCGCCCATTTTTTGATGGGGTTGTTTATTTCTTGTAAATTTATTTAAATTCTTTGTAGATTCTGGATATTAGCCCTTTGTCAGACGGGTAGATTGCAAACATTTTCTCCCATTGCGTAGGTTGCCTGTACACTCCGATGCTAGTTTCTTTTGCTGTGCAGAAGCTGTTTAGTTTAATTAGATCCCATTTGTCACTTTTGGCTTTTGTTGCCATTGCTTTTGGTGTTTTAGTCATGAAGCCTTTGCCCATGCCTATGTCCTGAATGGTATTGCCTAGTTTTTCTTCTAGGGTTTTTATGGTTTTAGGTCTTACATTTAAGTCTTTAATCCATTTTTCAGTTTTCTGCATATGGCTAGCCAGTTTTCCCAACACCATTTATTAGATAGGAAATCCTTTCCCCATTGCTTGTTTTTGTCAGGAATGTTGAAGATCAGATGGTTGTACATGTGTGGCATTATTTCTGAGGCCTCTATCCTGTCCTATTGGTCTATATATCTGTTTTGGTACCAGTACCATGCTGTTTTGGTTACTGTAGCTTTGTAGTATAGTTTGAAGTCAGGTAGCGTGATGCCTCCTGCTTTGTTCTTTTTGCTTAGGATTGTCTCGGCTATATGGGCTGTTTTTTGTTCTATATGAAATTTAAAGTAGTTTTTTCTAATTCTTTGAAGAAAGTCAATGGTAGGTTGACAGGGATAGCATAGAATCTATAAATTACTTTGGTGAGTATGGCAATTTTCACAATGTTGATTTTTCCTATCCATGAGCATGGAATGTTTTTCCATTTGTTTGTGTCCTCTCTTATTTCCTTGAGGAGTGGTTTGTAGTTCTCCTTGAAGAGGTCCTTCACGTCCCTTGTAAGTTGTATTCCTAGGTATTTTATTCTCTTTGTAGTAATTGTGAATGAAGTTCATTCATAATTTGGCTCTATTTTTGTCTATTATTGGTATAAAGGAATGCTTGTAATTTTTGTACATTGATTTTGTATCTGAAACTTTACTGAAGTTGCTTATCAGCTTAAGGAGATTTTGGGCTGAGATGATGGGGTTTTCTAAATATACAATCATGTCATCTGTAAACAGAGGCAATTTGACTTCCTCTCTTCCTATTTGAATACACTTTATTTCTTTCTCTTGCCTGATTGCGTAGCCAGAACTTCCAATACTGTGTTGAATAGGAGTGGGGAGAGAGGGCTTCCAGTTTTTGCCCATTCAATATGATATTGGCTGTGGGTTAGTCATAAATAGCTCTTATTATTTTGATGTATGTTCCATCAATACCTAGTTTATTGAGAGTTTTTAGCATGAAGGGGTGTTGTATTTTGTTGAAGACCTTTTCTGCATCCATTGAGATAATCATGTGTTTTTTGTCATTGGTTCTGTTTATGTGATGGATTATGTTTATTGATTTGCAGATGTTGAACCAGCCTTGCATCCCAGGGATGAAGCCAACTTGATCATGGTGGATAAGCTTTGTGATGGGCTGCTGGATTCAGTTTGCCAGTATTTTATTGAGGATTTTTACATTGACATTCTTCAGGAATATTGGCCTGAAATTTTCTTTTTTGTTGTTGTTGTGTCTCTGCCAGGTTTTGGTATCAGGATGATGCTGGCATCATAAAATGAGTTAGGGAGGAGTCCCTCTTTTTCTGTTGACTGGAATAGTTTCAGAAGGAATAGTACCAGCTCTTCTGTGTACCTCTGGTAGAATTCGGCTGTGAATCTGTCTGGTCCTGGACTTTTTTTGGTTGGTAGGCTATTAATTACTGCTTCCATTTCAGAACTTGTTATTGGTCTATTCAGGGATTGGACTTCTTCCTTGTTTAGTCTTGGTAGGGTGTATGTATCCAGGAATTTATCCATTTCTTCTAGATTTTCTAGTCTATTTGCGTGGAGGTTTTTATAGTATTCTCTGATGGTAGTTTGCATTTTTGTGGGATCAGTGGTGATATCCCCTTTATCATTTTTATCGTGTCTATTTGATTCTTCTCTCCTTTCTTCTTTACTAGTCTGGCAACTGGTCTATTTTGTTGATCTTTTGAAAAAACCAGCTCCTGTATTCATTGATTTTTTGAAGGGCTTTTTATGTCTCTATCTCCTTCAGTTCTGCTCTAATCTTAGTTATTTCTTGTCTTCTGCTAGTTTTTTAGTTTGCTTGCTCTTGCTTCTCTAGTTCTTTTAATTGTGATGTTAGGGTGCCAATTTTAGATCTTTTCTGTTTTCTCCTGTGGGCATTTAGTGCTATACATTTCCCACTAAACACTGCTTTAGCTCTGTCCCAGAGATTCTGGTACATTGTATGTTTGTTCTCATTGGTTTCAAAGAGCTCAATTATTTAAGCCTTAATTTTGTTATTTACTCAGTAGTCATTCAGAAACAGGTTGTTCAGCTTCCATGTAGTCATGTGGTTTGAGTGAGTTTCTTAATCATGAGTTCTAATTTGATTTCACTGTGGTCTGAGAGACTGTTATGATTTCCATTCTTTTGCGTTTGCTGAAGAGTGTTTTACTTCCAATTATGTGGTCAATTTTAGAATAAGTGTGATGTGGTGCTGAGAAGAATGTATATTCTTTTGATTTGGGGTGGAGAGTTCTGTAGATGTCTATTAGGTCCATTTGGTCTAGAGCTGAATTGAAGTCCTGAATATCCTTGTTACTTTTTTGTCTCATTGATTTGTCTAATATTGACAGTGGGGTGTTAAAGTTTCTCATTATTATTGTGTGGGAGTCTAAGTCTCTTTGTAGGTCTCTAAGATCTTATTATATGAGTCTGGGTGCTCCTTTTTTGTCATTTTTTATCTTTGTTGGTTTAAAGTCTGTTTTATCAGAGACTAGGATGGCAACCCCTGCTTTTTTTTTCTTTCCATTTACTTGCTAAATATTCCTCCATTCCTTTATTTGCATGTGAGATGGGTCTCCTGAATACAACACACTGATGGTTCTTGACTCTTTATCCAGTTTGCCAGTCTGTGTCTTGGGGCATTTAGCCCGTTTACATTTAAGGTTAATATTGTTATGTGTGAATTGGATCCTATCATTATGATGCTAGCTGGCTATTTTGCCCATTAGTTGCTGCAGTTTCTTCACAATGTCAATGGTCTTTACAATTTGTTATGTTTTTGCAGTGGCTGGTACCGGTTGCTCCTTTCCATGTTTAGTGCTTTCTTCAGGATCTCCTGTAAGGCAGGCCTGGTGGTGACAAAATCTCTCAGCATTTGCTTGTCTGTAAAGGATTTTATTTCTCCTTCACTTATGAAGCTTAGTTTGGCTGGATATGAAATTCTGGGTTGAAAATTCTTTTCTTTAAGAGTGTTGAATATTGGCCCCTACTTACTTCTGGCTTGTAGGGTTTCTGCAGAGAGATCCACTGTTAGTCTGATGGGCTTCCCTTTGTGGGTAACCTGACCTTTCTCTCTGGCTGCCCTTAACATTTTTCCCTTCATTTCAACCTTGGTGAATCTGATGATTGTGTGTCTTGGGGTTGCTCTTATTGAGTAATATCTTAGTGGTGTTCTCTGTATTTCCTGAATTTGAATGTTGGCCTGCCTTGCTAGGTTGGGGAAGTTCTCCTGGATGATATCCTGAAGAGTATTTTCCAACTTGGTTTCATTCTCCCCATCACTTTCATGTACACCAATCAAATATAGGTTTGGTCTTTTCACATAGTCCATATTTTCTTGGAGGCTTTGTTCATTCCTTTTCATTCTTTATTCTCTAATCTTGTCTTCATGCTTTATTTTATTAAGGTGATCTTCAATCTCTGAAATCCTTTCTTCTGCTTGATCAATTTGGCTATTGATATTTGTGTATGCTTCACAAAGTTCTTGTGCTGTGTTTTTCAGCTCCATCAGGTCATTTATGTTCCTCTTTAAACTGGTTATTCTAGTTAGCAATTCCTCTAACTTTTTTCCAAGGTTCTTAGCTTCCTTGCATTGGGTTAGAACATGCTCCTTTAGCTCGGCAGAGTTTGTTATTACCCACCTCCTGAAGCCTACTTCCTTCAATTGGTCAAACTCATTCTCCATCCAGTTTTGTTCCCTTGCTGGCAAGGAGTTGTGATCCTTTGGAGGAGAAGAGGCATTTTGGTTTTTGGAATTTTCAGCCTTTTTTTGTGCTGGTTTTTCCTCATCTTCCTGGATTTATCTACCTTTGGTCTTTGATGTTGGTGACCTTCAGATGGGGTTCCTGTGTGGACGTCCTTTTTGTTGACATTGATCCTATTCCTTTGTGTTTGTTAGTTTTCTTTCTAACAGGCCTCTCTGCTGCAGGTCTGCTGCAGTTTGCTGGAGGTCCACTCCAGACCCTGTGTGCCTGGGTATCACCAGCAGAGGCTGCAGAACAGCAAAGATTGCTGCTGTTCCTTCCTCTGGAAGCTTCATCTTAGAGGGGCTCCTGCCAGATGCCAGCTGGAGCTTTCCTATATGAGGTGTCTGCTGACCCCTGCTGGGAGGTTTCTCCCTGTCAGAAGTCACGGGGTTCAGGGACCCACTTGAGGAGGCAGTCTGTCCCTTAGCAGATCTCAAGGGCTGTGCTGGGAGATCTGCTGCTCTTTTCAGAGCCAGCAGGCAGGAACATTTAAGTCTGCTGAACCTGTGCCCACAGCCACCCCTTCCCCCAGGTGCTCTGTCCCAGGGAGATGGGAGTTTGATCTATAAGCCCCTGACTGGGGCTGCCACCTTTCTTTCAGAGATGCCCTGCCCAGAGAAAAGGAATCTAGAGAGACAGTCTGGCTACAGTGGCTTAGCCAAGCTGTGGTGGGCTCCGCCCAGTTCAAACTTCCTGGCCGCTTTGTTTACACTGTGAGGGGAAAACCACCTACTCAAGCCTCAGTAATGGCAGACGCCCCTCCTCCCACCAAGCTCCAGCATGCCAGATTGACTTCAGACTGCTCTGCTGGCAGTGAGAATTTCAAGCCAGTGGATCTTAGCTTGCTGGGCTCCCTTGGGGTGGGATCCTCTAAGCTAGACCACTTGGCTCCCTGACTTCAGCCCCCTTTCCAGGGGTCTAACTTTTTCTGTCTTGCTGGTGTTCCAGGCACCACTGGAGTATGAAAAAATTTCCTGCAGCTAGCTCGATGTCTGCCCAAATGACTGCCCAGTTTTGTGCTTGAAACCCAGGGCCCTGGTGATGTAGGTACCGGAGGGAATCTCCTGGTCTGCAGGTTGCGAAGACCGTGGGAAAAGCATATTATCTTGGCCAGGGTGCACTGTTCCTTACAGCACAGTCCCTCAGGGCTTTCCTTGGGTAGAGGAGGGAGTTCCCTGACCCCTTGTGCTTCCTGTGTGAGGTGACATCCCACCCTGCTTCAGCTCACTCTCCATGGGCTGCACCCGCTGTCTAACCAGTTCCAGTGAGATGAGCTGTGCACCTCAGTTGGAAATGCAGAAATCACCCACCTTCTGCGTTGATCTCGCTGGGAGCTACAGACCGGAGCTGTTCCTATTCAGACATCTTGCCAGCCACAATCCAACAGTGGCTTTAGTAAATAAGGAATTATTTTTTCCTACAGAGCAAGAAGTAAGAATATAGAAAATTGCTGGCATTGCTCCCATTGTTCATGATGCTGTCAAGGATATAGGCTCTTTCTACCTTGCATTCTCCTTCCTTCATTTGCTGGCTTTTTCCCCTTTGGCTGAAGGCCCCACGGTTTTTAATATGGCTACCACAACACCAGGCATCATATCCATGCAGGAAGAAGAAGAAAGAGGGAAGGGGAGAGTCCAGCTCCATTGGTCTCTTTTATTAGAAAATATCCCTCCTAGTTGCAAAGGAGAGTGAAAAAATGACTATATGGCAAAGGGAAAGAACATTGTGATTATCACCTTAGAATGGTTGTTCATCACCTCCTAGAGATGAGCACATTGCTCTTGTATACAGACAAGTTCTGATAGCAGAAACAGGGGAGATTAGTCATTGATTGGCAGTTTTTAGTCTTCCACTGTGGAGGAAGAAAATGGAATTGGTGGCAGTCTTGAAGGCCTTTTTGGTAGGTTTAGGAGTTTCAGCTTTATCAACAAATATGTAGTATTTAGTATGTGTCTCCAGTAATTGAATGTGTGTGTTGTCATAAACCATAAGATATTTCAAGAGTTTTAGGTTGAGTTATGTTTATAAAAATTTTTTATCATATTCTAGTTTTATGTACTAGAAAAAATACTTGTCAAATAGGCCTTACATAGGGAGGGTTTTTACAACTTACTTAGAAAAATAACCAGAAATGGTGGACCTATTTATCCACCAGAAGCCGGATGTATTCTGGAGCAGCCTATATGGTTTTAGAATTTCATCCAAATTTGATGCAAGGAGATGCAAGTACTCTCTACAACCTGGCAATGCCAAGTCCCCCAATACATGCCCTTAGTAGGATTTGTGAACACTTAGCCGACAAGTATATACTCAGTGTCTCATGTCTAAATGTGACACAAAAACAGCAATGAGATACTTTTGGAATGACATTTCATCTCATACACAGAATTTGCCTGACTATATGTAATTATGTTAATACTTCAAGTGTTCATTTAATTATCTTTCTGTTAAAATGTATTTAACTTATCATTAAAGTACCAATAATCTTTAGACCAATAAAGTAGATAGTAGGAGGTCTAAAATACAATGATTTATACTATTTTGGAAAAGAAAAATCCCTTTAAGGAAAGTGTTACAAATAAAATTTCTTTAACTCTTTAATCAGGTATTTTCCTACTTAGTGAATATTTATGTGTATGGAAATTCATCACAGGATTGCTTTTATGTCTTTGCTTTTAATACTTGGTGCTAAATTTTAGTGATTATGTAGATTGGTTAAAGTTTTGACCTTTTGGAAGTTTGTTTTCTTGTTGTTGTTATTGATTTTAATTACTTTGTAATAAATTCTAGATCTTTGTAAGATATGTGACCATTATTGGCATCAGTTTGTAAAAGCTATAAGCCATAGTGGTTTCCTTATATGCAAATGAAAGAATGCAGAGGTATACACAGAGCGATTCAGAGGCATATTCAGGAAAGGGGGAGATCATTACATCTTAACCTATTTCTATTTTACCATGTTCCTTTCCTGTGGGAAAACATGAAAATGTGGTGATTCATTAAGACATGTTAACCAGGAAGTAGAGTCCCTATGGCCATTTCACATCTAGAAGAAAAATTTTATAACTGTTGCTAAATAGATTTAATCAATAGGAACTAAGACTTGAGATAATGACAGATAAACAGAGGTACAAGTACTAGAGATATTGCCGTCAAAAATATTTGGTGATTTTTAACTGACCTCAAAGACCATCTACAAGCATTTTATTAGGATTCCTATGTTGTCATTCTCATATAACAACTTGATACCACCATTTCATGTAACATTATTCTGCCATATCTACTAGAAATTAAGAATTGTTGGGGGGCTAGCTAATGTGCTAGGTCCAGAATGTACATTTTTGGAGCAATCATATAAGGATCTAGCTATAAGGATTGTGGATCCATATGAATTCTGTAGGTCATCTCAAAATCTCTGCATATCTAACTTTATTTTTTTCTTTTCTTTCTCTCTTTCTCTCTCTCTCTTCCTTTCCTTTCTCTTTCTTTTTCTCTTTCCTCTTTCCTTTCCTTTCTCTCCACAGAGTCTAACTCTGTCACCTAAGCAGGAGTACAGTGGCATGAACATAGCTTGCTGCAGCTTCAAACTCCTATGCTCAAGTGGTTTTCCTGCCTCAGCTTCCTGAGTAACTAGGACTACAGGTGCGTGCCACCATGCCCAGCTAATTTTTGTATTTTTTGTAGAGATAAGATCTTACTATGTTACCCAGGATGGTCTTGAAGTCCTGGCTTCAAGTGATCATCCAGCCTTGGTCTCCTAAAGTACTGGGATTACAGGCATGAGCTACCATGCCTGGCCGGGATATCTAAGTTTTGTGTGTAATAACCTTATTTCTTGTGTTGAGGCTTTTCTCTACTATTATATATAATAGTGTAGAAAAAGGATATATATATATATATATACATCTCTCTCTCCTTTTGTTTCTGTGATGTATAGATCACTCACTTCAATTTTCTGTGGACAGTTTTTTAAACACAGATGTGTTTTTGTGACTAATGGTGGCTGTTGGGTTGTTAGAGATCCAAAGACAGAATAAAATCACAGGGAGAACCTTCAAGTATTACAGAGCAGGACCAAGTAGATGGTGTCTTTCTCCCTACCTCCATGCTTCCTTCCTCCCTCCCTTCTTTCCTTTGCTTGCTTCTCCTTTCTGGGTAGGCATTTGTAGGAACTGTTTTAGCCTCTAGAATCATACAATATTTGACAAAAGAAAAAAATAAAGATGGAGAGGCTCATAGCTGTAGAATTTGAATTGCTCACTTTTGACTCAATGCACTTTCTAACACTGCTTTTAAGTACTAGGTGACAAAATAAAATGATACACTACTTTACGGACATATATAGTTTTAGAAAGTATTCGATTGAGTTACAGAATGTTGTCCAGGCAATTAAGAACAGTATTTACCTATGTTCTTTATCTTGTGACTGGTTTAATGGGTCTACCCTGAGAATAGTTCTATTTGATGATACTTTCCCTTAAAAAGATACTAAGATATTTGTAGCTGTACAAAGTAAGTTACTTCTGTTTGAAGAGCACTGGATTCTTTATGAAAGGTGTTCATCCCATTATGATTGTATAATAAACATAAAGATTTTTAAATCACCGTTGTGTTCAAGTAGGTAAATGGAAACTCTGCAAAGAATCTGCTTACTACTGGGGATGGAGGTGGGAAGAGCCTTTTTGGAATGATGTGTTACAGAGAAACTTTGCTCTCTGGAGTCCATATATCATTTACAGCAAAAAGAAGAAACACATTGCTTATAGACGAGAGAGTCTTGGATTAGGAATTCATAATGTGCTAGGGGATGCTGATGAAGCTTCTACCTGGAATAATGAATGTGAACTGTACATTCAGGGTAAAAATAACATTAGTTATGAGATTCTCTAAGTTGCTTGACATGACATGTTCTAACTTATACTTTAAGCTTGACTGCCTTCAAATATCTCTTAAATAGCAAAGCTATATATAAATGAGCCCATTTATTTTGGATGACTGGTTATAGGAGTAATGCATGCCATTTCCATCATCTTATATTTCTAATTTAGCTGGACTGAAATGATGTTCATCTTTTATGATGGGATTAACATTTGGAAACTCTGCCAGTTTTCTAGATGCTGGCATTCTGTGGTTTGTAGAGCCTGTAGAACTGTCTTCTACTGGGGATGGGAGGCGGGTGGGATGGTTCAGGCTTGATCTACATGAAAATGCACATCACACCTGGTTTGCTCTAGGTGATTATCTGCTAGCTAGTGCGCTTTAGGAGCTGGTTGAAAAGGTGGAGTGTGTGTGTGTGTGTGTGTGTGTGTGTGTGTGTGTGTGTGGAGGGGTAGTTTTGCTTGTCACAGGTCATTTCTTGTTTAGTTGGGCTTGTTGAATCTCCTCATAGAAAACATCCATGTCCTGTTTATCAGGTTTCTTTAAAGTCCTTTTTCTCATTGCTATCCAAAATGCACTACTATTTTCCTGCGTGTCAACATGCCTTCTTTTTTCAGCATGGCAAACAAGGCAGCCTCCCTTCAAATGTATTCCAATTCCTACGGGCAAATATTTTCATCATCATTTATGTGGGTAATTACAGGTATTCCTTCTGTAATTTATAAAATTATAGGAAGTTTAATTTATCTTTGTTGTGGGTTTCGATTACAGAAAGTTGTCTAGTTCCAGCGCTTTGCTCTCAAATCTGTTGTAATATATTAATTTTCGACTTTAAATTAAAGCTTTATTATTTCTATCACCACAATGGGAATAGATGGGGTAGAAGAACTTAAATTTAAAAAAGAAATGAGGGTCCTTCAAGCAATTCTGATTTTAGTGTGGCTGAAGTGTTTGTTTTTGCTGTTTTTAAGTCTCTCTACCACCACCCCTGCTCCCTGCCACTGGGATTTAGGAATGACTAGCAGTTTACAGGTCTTAAAAAATATTCATTGTAATAATAAGGGCTAGGTTATTTTTCTCTATTTTCCTACAGTGTGTTAGTTTATAAACAAAAGGATTTTTAAAAAAACAATTAAAATATAAGTAAAGAAGTAAGGACTAAATTTTAATCATGCTTTGTTTAGAAATAAGGTTTTTCTTTAATGATAGTAACATGTTTTCCTTCTCTTGAATAATTTACACATTTTGTTATCAGAATGTCTTCTGCATAAAAGAGGTTAAAATAAATCATTAGATGATTTTAGGGAAGTCAATGTAAAATTAAATATACTATTTGAAACAGTCTAAAAGTGCAGACACTGTGTGTATTTAAATTTCCCATGTAAGGAGTCATCAATCTTTGGCAATAAATTTTTCTGAGTGTAGCAAAATATGGCTTCTCTACAGGGAGCAAAAGTAAAGAAATTTAAAACCTATACAAGTTTCTCTGGGATTCTGGCCAACCAAGATAAGATGATATAATGTAAAGTTGATAAGAACATTTTCCCCCTAATTAAAACAAAAGAAAAAGGACGAAGAAACTTTCTCTGGCACAAATATAAATGAAATGTATCTCCAGACTGACCCAAGAAAAGAAGAGAGAGGTTGTTATTGTTGTTGTTATTATTGATTTTTTTTCAGGAGGAAATCTTCAGAAATACTTTAAGCAGGACCAGTTTTTTTAATCAAACAGAAATATAATATTTACAGTCTTTCTGCCTAAATCTTTCCTGTAGAAGATGAGAAAATGTATAACAGTATCAGGGCCAGGAGGTCCTCATGCGGTCTTTGTTTTGAGCGGTTCCTGCCTATCATTTTTTCATATGCTCTTGTAGCTTCTGATCTCTTCTAGCACAAATAAAATTTTCTGTATGATATCTTTTTAGCCTGAAAGTATTAATGTGCTTCCTTTTTTAAACCAAGCTTATCTAACCTTCGTGGCCCAGGATGGCTATGAATGTTTCCCAACACAAATTCGTAAATTTTCTTAAAACATTATGAGATTTTTTTTTTATTTTTTTAGCTCATCAGTTATCGCTAATGCTAGTGTATTTTATGTGTGGCCCAAGATAATTCTTATTCTTACAATACAGCTCAGGGAAGCCAAAAGATTGGATACCCCTCCTTTAAACCAATAGTTTATTCTATTTTATTCTTAAACTAGATTATATATAAGTTAATATCTATCTAATATAATTTATTATAGTAGTACTTATTAAGATTATGTAATTTTTTCCCTCAAGGAAAGCTGTAGAGTAAGTTATGTTTATGGACATGGAACTGGGTTTTGTGGGTTCAATTGCTTAAGCCACCCAGTGTAACGTATTTTTGTTTAAAAAGCAGATCAAACTGACTAAGACAATATAACTTTGGAACAGGATATTATTATGCAATTTCCCTGGGCTCAGGGATCCAAGACAGAGGCAACCAAATGACACCCCCTGGCATATCTTTGGTACATGGAGCTTAGATTTTTGGCAGAGGAAAGTTGGGCAGCCTATTTACATGGATGTTATATAGGAGATACTATACAGGAAAGACTTTTAAGAAAGAAACCCCGACTTTAAGATATTTTTTCTTTTTAGTTTAAAAGTTATTAAAACCTACGGGATAGACTGGGTAATGCTGACCTAGTCAAGATGTCAATAAAGTGCAAAAAAAATGCTGATATGATAAAGAATACATTAAGAGGATGTGACTAAGCCAACCAGTGAATGGAAAAATGCATCAAGGAAAATTTGGTTCTGGTTCTACAGATAGCTTTACTTGGAATCTGTCTAAACCGTATTATTTTGGTAACCCATTTGCCTAATAGAAGTGGATGTATCCGTGAATGCAAAGAGTTGCAACTTTGGGAGTTCAAGCCAAATTTGACACAGTTAAGAACTCCTTACCTAGGCCAAAATCTGAGCTGGATGTTCTGGCAAAGGTCAGAGTAGATTTCTCACTTCAAGTCCATCTCTGTGGGTTGCCTTGGCTCTCGTGGTAGCCATGATAGTGAGCAAGGACATAAGGAAAGCCAAATGTGATCCATTCAAGAGGCACCTTCAGGTTATGTTAGGCATGGACACCAGGTCTTCAGCATTGAACACAAGACAGTAAGGAGGATCTGGAACAACCAGAATTGAGAGCAGTCATGTAGACCTCCAGCCTAAGAAGGGACATTTAGTTTTGGATCTATTAGCAAGATGAAATCAAACAGTGTTGATCCTTTGTACAGAAGAAACACTATGGGGATAATTGGATATACTGGGGCAAAGAATTAAAAAAAATACTGGAAAACTTGAAATTGTACTTTGAAATTTTTCTGCAGAGTAACACTGTATCTCAAGCTGTGGAAGAAGAAGATACCAGTGACATGCTGATACTCACTGTCACATACAAAACTATATTGTGGGTGATTTCCTAAATCATTCAAGGTTTTTCAGAATCATGCATTTGAATAACTTCACATTAGTTCATATTATAGATGTGAGAAGACACATTTTCTAAGGTGCTCAATATGGAACAAATGAGAAAAACAGACATATCAGAATCCAGTCCCATAGTGTACATAGTGAACAGAACATAGCACTGGAGTCTGAGACCTGTGTTCAAATCCTGATTATTTTTATGGCTATTTTATTAAATTATTTAAACTTTCAAAGTTTTCAAATTATTTAAACTTCCTGAGCTTCATTTTCTTCATCTGCAAAACAGTGGTAATCATATTTGCTTTGCAGGATGCCTGTGGGGTTTAAATAAAGTAATAAACCTTAAAGAACATAAGTAACAATAGGCAACCAATACAAGGTAGCTATTGTAATGTGTTCTGTGCTGGTAAATTATTCAACTTCTCTTTTCAGTGATGCTTAAATTTCTATCATTAATGTGGCAGTTAAATAAGGCACAGGCTTTTTTTGATGGTGATTTTTGAAAATCCTTCCTATGTTTAAGAGAAAAATGCCTAAAGAAAACAGAAGACCCAAAAACAACCTCCTCCTTTGACAACATCATTCTCCAAAGATCATTTGCACAATTGTTGATTGGCAACATTGCATTGGCTTACAAAAAATAACACTATAAAAGTACAACATGTTAAGTAAACAAACTGTCTTTACAACACTCAGAAGTTCATGTGGGTAATACCACAAGAAAAATTTTTATAACATAAACGATACTTATTTTGATCATTTTGTTTTTTAGAATTTGTTTACACATACACTATTCCTTTTAAGCTAGATTTCCAAATTATAAAGTAGAGAAGATAATTAAAACAATTATTTGAAAAACAAACCTCTAAAGAAAAGGACATTCATGGTTGACAGAACAAAGATGGCCCTTGGCGTGGCATCTGTGAGCTAGGTTTACTTCATGGAGAATGTTTGTCTTTTATCCAGAGTTGTTTGTTTATTTTAAAGGACAAGTGAATTTAGTATTGAAATACCGAATAGTATATTTTTTATTGACTGAGATGTATTAGCATTTGTTTTAAAATTTCACTTAGTATATTTTTATTATTATAAAGGTAATATATTTTCCTGGTAGAGAATTTGGAAAATGTAGATAAATAAAAAGAAGAAAATAAAACCATCTATGATCCTGCCAAAGATAACTACTCAGCATATTTCTCCTTTTAAAAATTCATTTACTCCTATATACACACATGTATAAAACAAAAACACAATCACATATTTGTAATTTACATTTTTTAACCTAGTAATATATTTTGAACATTTGCCTATGTTGCTTAGTGCTTTTTCATTTCATTTTTAATACTTGCACAGATTTTCATTGTATAAATAAACCATAGTTTATTAAACCATTCTTCTTAGAATAATAAATAATTATTAGTAGTAAATACATTTTACTCTGGTAAAAATAAATTTCTAACATTTTACCTTTTTACTAATTTTCATCCACTATGAATATTTCTACAAACAATTTTGTGGCTCACTCTCTACACCACTATGATTTTGTATAGGATGAATTTGTGGGTCAAATATGATATGCAAAAATCTTAGTGTTTTATACGTGTTCTATATTGCCTTCCAAAAGAAAGTTAAAGAATAACATTTCTTTCTCTGGTCCTTCAGTGCATATTTCCACAAATCCTCTACACGGCTTATTTCTTTAAAAAATATTTACTAAATTGTTGGTAGAATGGATACAATTTTATATTTGTCCTTATTATTTGTGTGATTGGATAAATTCATTTCTTGTATGTATTTGTCTATTATTTGTAAAGGATCCCAAACAGGTGTGCAAAAGTATTAAAGTTTAGCATTGAGTAGAGATAAAGGATATGTCACTTGCTTTCCTTACTTAAGTTAAGGCTTTACTTCTTCAGTCCTTCTTGGTATAGCATCTCATACAATTCCTTAAGTAAAGTCGTCATATTTTAAATTACAGGGAACTGAAAATTGATTTGACTTGGATGTTCAAATGATAGATCAAATCTATGATTTATGCTATGTAGAAAAGCGCTTGCTAAAAATCAAAACTCCATAAACGCACATTACCTCGAATTAGTCTTGCACCTTTCATCTACAGACCTGGTGGGACTAAAAAAGAATAAATATAAATATTATTAATTGTCATTCAGAATCTTTGGTGAATGAAAAGGGCCATTACTAGATTCTGGTTCTGGTTTACCAACCTAGTCAGTTCATAGAGGAAGCTGGGGCCTGTTGAGGCAACATGGTACAATGGAAAGCTTTTAGACTCTGCCCGGGTTCAAATCCTGGTTCTGCCACTTACAAAATGTAAATAGAAGGAAAATGTACTTAATTTCTTGGAGCTTTATTTTTACGCCATTTCTCAGACATGTGAGTGTTAGTGGGTTCTTTGGATTATTGTGAGGTCAGTTCCTCTCATTTTAAATGACTTTCCCAGGGTCACTTAACTAATTAGGCAGAGTGGACTAGAGTGTTTATCCCCTGATGGTTCATCATATGCTCTGTTCAGTATACCATGGCTACTTTTCTAGCTAAGGATTTTGAAGCATGCCATATTAAGGCACATCATTTTAATTATAAATAGACTAGAATGAAACAAAGGTGTGACAAATACTGTGGTTTGGTTGATCCAATCTGTTGTTAATGTCATCCAGCTAAAGACCACCAGGAACATACCTGTAATCGAGCAAGTCTGACTTATTAATAGATGCAAGAAAGGAGACCACACACCATGGGAAATGTGGGGCATTTCAGTAAGAGGGTGTTTGGAAGGATTATTACAGGATCTGGTCTCAGGTGATTTTTGGGGAGGGCTTAAGAAAGTGGCTTTGCTCTGAATTGGATGCTATCAGGAATTGGGGGTAAATATATGATTGCTTATTTTAAAAATCTTATCTATAATATGGGAAAAATAAAGTGAGGCTAAAGAATCAAACTGGGAAAGAAGCAGCAGCTACTGATATTAGCCAGGCTATGAAGGTGCTTGGTATTTTTGTGGTTTGCACAATGATCTTGTTTATGTGCTTAGACAAGGTTATAGAGTGGTCTTTTTTTTTTTTCAGTTCATCATGGTCACTGATGTTGGTGATTTGGAAGCTTGTTTATGTTCAACAGGATATCATCAAGGCCTATTTATGAACATAGCTAGCTTTTCACAACATCAAGGCCTAGCTATATAGCTGCAGTTTCTGAAATGTCAAAAGCTGCTCTTCTTTTTCTCTCTGCATCTCTTTTCTCTCCAGCCACCTTTCTGCAAGGACTGGCTCCGGGGCAAAATTATAGCCAAAGAAACATACACAGAAGTTTCCTGGGAGCTTCCTAATAAAACTTTTACTTTCAAATATTGGTACCACCCATTCTCCTTGCTACATCCTCTTTCTTCTTGTTGGAAAGGGGATATAATTGTAGAAGCCACAACAGCTTTTTTGTAATTGTGAGGACAAAGTAAAGTGATCTCAGAGTCTTTGGCATCATTGATCTGCTGAACCAGCCCAGCACTGCTAAACTCTGGATTTCTCATTATGGGAGAAAAATACTTCTCATTTTTTTCAAGCCACTGTAGTCAGGCTTCCTGTTTGTTACCTGTTGCTGAAAGCATTCCAAAAACATTGGGCATTCACCTTCATTATTTACTAAACTAGATACTCTTCTGGCAGCCAAATTTTTATGATGACTCAGAACATATTCCATTTGGAAATAGAGCTTGGCAATTATTCTCCCCTTTTAAAAATTAGTCTTAAGTAAATGAATTACTGTTCTTTCTGCTTCATAAGGTTTGTCATTATTACTTCACTCAGATGCAATTGCTTTCAGAAACCTGAATAAGAAAGAAAGCTTTAGAAACCTTCCAGATTAAGTTCTGCAGGAAGAAGTGTGGGTACATTTGTAGACTTGATTATTTAAAGGGTGGATACAGCTATAAACCTAATTGCTAGATAATTGTGACTTCACCACTGCAATTTGTTGGGTCCCTATTCCCATTGTGATTTGTCAAGCTTCACAGTGTATTGGTTGTTTTTAATGATCATTGACTTAGAGGTGAAAAGAACTCCTGTTTTCCTAGGGGATAATTCCCTGGTTATTCTGTGCTATAGTGGTTAGAAGGTTAGATTGCATATTACAGAATCAATGCCCACTGGAAAACTAATAGCATGTTTGGAAGTGATGATGAGGACAATAGCTAATTACTATTAACTGTGTAGGAAAACTAAACTGCAGGGCCGGTAGGAATCCAGCGCCTGCTAGATGCTGGATGAGAGTTCTTAACAAAAGAAAAGTGAAAAGGTTCAGGGAAACTTCATGTATTGACAGCTGGGATTTGTACATTAAAAATCTTGTGCCTGTGGTCAGAATAAATTTTACTCTGGTCAAAATAAATTTTTTCTCTACCCACCAACTGGTAATTATTTTACAAGTGATAGTTTTTTATTTTTTTAAAAAATCTCCTTCTGCACCTTACACATAATAGATACAAAATAATTACTGTTCAAGAAATGCTTGAAAATATATTAAAATTGGACTCTAAAGAATAGTTTAATTTCTGCAATAATGACAGTAATAATTTATCAAAATGTTCTCCATAAATAGTAAATTATTTAGCAGATCACCATTCATATATAACAGATATATTACTGAATAAAATATATTAATGTTCACTGTGGTTAACATAAAATATCCAGATGGGAGGGAATTTAATAATTTATGGGGATGATTCTTGTCCACTTAACTAAGTAGGATGTGAATTTTGCATAAAGTGCTTGACCGTTCCATGAAAACTTGTCACTGTTTGAGAGAGACCAGGATCTTATTTTTCAAGAAAAACTTAATAGTAAATTACAACAAAATAGTTTCACAATATAATTTTCATGTCTTACACTTCAAATGCTTACAAAAAGTCTGCTTTTTCTGCCAGTTCTTGTAGGCATATGGAATAAATCTATCTAAATGATGTGATCCATATAAACTTAATCCACTGGTGGGGTATTGGTTGTAGGTCTATGTTGAAATTACAGTTACTATACACCTTCACATAGTTTTAGTAAATTTCAGGGGTTTGGTAAATGAGGAACATGCAGAATCATAGTTTTATAGCCATATTGAGTGTGATGTTTATTACATAGCCTTCTCAGAGTTCCTCACCATTTTGTTTCTCTAGAAAGCATGCTCTTTGAAATGGATGGTAGATATATGTTGGAAGATCTATTGGAAAAAAGGGGGGTCGTTACAAGCTTATCCAGGTTTTCCTATTTTGGGATTTTTTTAATGATACGATCTATCTTCCTGCAGATTAAGTTCTGGCAAAGTATATGTTTTAATTAACTTATTTTGAGAGAATGAATGAATGAATGAGAACTCTCAACCTTTATTTAAAAATAAATTTACTAGGAACTTCTCTCTAAATCTGTTAAAAGCCATAATGAAGGTGGGGAAAGGGACAATTGTAATTCAGTAAAATAAATACAAAATTGGATATATAAACTCTGCAATGAGAAATACAGGAGGGAATCTAGGAGTGGACTTATTTCTCTGGAGTGATGTCTGAGATAACTCTTGAGAGAGAAGTCATTGTTTTCTAGGTAGACAAGGAGTTGGGAGGGCAGAACAAAGTTTCATACTGTGGCCAGGAATGTCCTAAAAAGTGCCATGGAATACTGTGGAATCTTAGAAGTTTAATGAGTTCGTTATGTTAGAAGTCTTATGGCTTTTTTTTTTTCTGACAGAGAAGAGCCAAGAGATGGTGTTATGCAGGTGGTTTGGAGTTAGCTCATGCAGGCACTAAAGGCATGCTAAAGAGTTTTAAGTTGCGTCTTGCAGTTGCTATCCGCTAAGCTCCAGTACAGCAGCAACCATGCCTGCCTCACTCAAGTGGCAATCCAGAGGGCTGGGAGAGTGTCTGACACATTGTAGTTGCTTAGTGTGTTTTTATTAAGTGAATGAGTTAGAAGCGATTGAAGGAATTTGAGAAAAGGAATAACCCATTAAGATTTGAAATTTAGGACTGTCACTGACAGCAGTACAAACATGGAAGAGAAAGGTGTATGGTTTCAATGGCTGCTATAACAAATTGCCACAAAGTTAGTGACTTAAAACACCAATTTATCTTATAGTTCTTTAGGACTGACATCCAGCACAGGTCTCACTATACTAAAGTCAAGGTATGGGCAGCGCCGTATTCCTTTCTGGAGGCTGGAAGCGACAAAATCCCTTTCTTTGCCTTTCCCAGCCTCTAGAGGCTGCCCATTTTTCTTGGCTCACGGCTCTCTTCCTCCATCTTTCTCCAGCCACATTGCGCTCTCTGACCAGTCTTCCATCTTCACATGTCTCTAACCACAGACCAGAAATGTTCTTTGATTTTAAAGGCTCATGTGATTAGATTGAGGCTACCTGAGTAATCCAGGAAAATCTCCTCATATCAAGGTCCTTAACTTTAATCACATCTGCAAAAGTTCATTTTTTTCCATAAAACATATTCACCGGTTCTGGGGACTAGGATGTGGACATTTCTGGTAGGCTGTTATTCTACCTACCTCAAGGGGCCTGAGGGGTGCTCCATATAGGAGACTAGTAACGAAAGAGTGTATGAAGGGATAAAGCCAGTTCCCGGTTCACCAAACCGTTTTGCTTTCCTCTTTGTTAGAGAGGTAGACTGAATTTTGTTCCTTTTTTTTTTTTGAGACAGAGTCTTGCTCTGTCACTCAGGCTGGAGCACAGTAGCGTGATCTCAGCTCACTGCAACCTCCGCCTCTTGGGTTCAAGCGATTCTCCTGCCTCAGCCTCTTGAGTAGCTGGGACTACAGGTGTGTGCCACCTCGCCCAGCTAATTTTTTTGTATTTTTAATAGAGACAGGGTTTCACCATGTTAGCCAGACTGGTCTCGAACTTCTGACCTCAGGCAATATGCCTGCCTCGGCCTCCCAAAGTGCTGGTATTACATGTGTGAGCCACTGCACCCGGCCCCTTCTTTGTATTGTTGTGGCTAATATGACCAAGCTCTGTGCAGTAGGAGTTAATGCGTGCCTTATCCGGGCCCCTAAAACACTTCTCATGTAATCCTCCATGCTTTTTCTTTTCTCTCTTCTACTGGTTGAATGTAGAGGGATCTGGCACAGTACTTGGAGGCACTGCGGGATGGCAGGGTCTCTAGCCAGAAGCAGCTAGAACCCTAAGAGGAGCAGAGATCCCTACCAAGCACATTGCACTCCGTTTGCATGAGAAATAAAGCTTTTCTTGTGTTAAGCCACTGAAATTTGCAAAGTATTTGCCAGAGCAAACACTCTAACATGACCTTTGAATTTCAATGTGGTGGTAGGGTGTTGATGATATAACAAAAATACAAATCAGTGCAGGTGGCATTGACTTAGTGTTTGGCCCATGGGCAGGACCCTTCTATTAGGGGCTGGAAATAAACTATGTTATAAAGGGGAGCAATTTTTATAAGTTGTTGTCTGGAATAACTTGGAAGGCAGACATTATGCCTAAAGATCTCTACAGTTTAACACAGTGATTCTTAACCTTGGCTGCATTTCAAAATCACCTGAGGAATTTAAAAAACTTATTCCTACTCAAAGACCACTCCCAGAGATTCTGATTTAATTAAATGGTTTCTGTGTATGTGTTGAGGGGAAGGCGGCGTTAGTATTATTTAACAGCTAGGATTGAGAACCAAAGCTGTAGGGCAAGGATCAGCAAACTCTTTCCGTAAAAGGCCAGATAGTAAGAATTTTAGGAGTTGGCCTTGGGAGTAATACTATCTCTGTTGCAATTATTTAACTCTGCTATTACAACATGAAAGCAACATGACAACAGGTAAGCAAATGGTTGTGGCTGTGTTCTAAAAAAAAAAACTTTATAAAACAGGCAATGAGCTGGTTTTTATATGCAGGCCATATTTTGCTGATTCATATCTAGGACAGTGATTCTCAAACTTTTTATTCTCAGAGCTGTTTTACCCTTTTACAAACTATTGAGGACCATAAAAATCTTTTGTTTATAAGTTATATCTAGCAAAAATTACCATTTAAAATTGAAATAAACATTTAAAAAATAATGAATTGAAAATAGTAAGTATCATGTTAACATAAATAACATTAAAGAAAATTAAAATTGTCATAATGGATATATTTGTGGTGTGCATAGTGATGTTTTGCTACATGTAAAGTGATCAGATCAGGGTAATTATCATATCCATCATCTCAAACGTTTATCATTTATTTGTGTTGGAAACATTCAATATCCTCTTCTTAGCTATTTGAAACTATATATTATTGTTAACTATAGTCATTCTACAGTGGTATAGAACACAAAGAACCTACTTATCCTACCTGGCTATAATTTTATATCTTTATATAATTTTATATACAATTTTATATCTTTTATATAATAAATATCTATCCCCTCTCCCCCTCCTCTTCTAGCCAATTACTTCTGTGAGATCAACTTATTTTTTTACTTTCAACATGTAAGTGAGAACATGTGGTGTTCAACTTTCTGGTCAGCACCAGAAAATGGTTTATTTCACTTAACATAATGAATTCCAGTTGCATCGATGTTGCTGAGAGTGACAGGATTTCATTCTCTTTCATGGCTGAATAGTAGTCCATTGTGTGTGTATATATGTATGTATATACACATACATATACATACCACATTTTCTTTATCCATTCATCTGTTGTTGGACACCTAGGCTGATTCTGTATCTTGGCTCTTGTAAATAGTGTTGTAATAAACATGGAGGTACAGATGTCTTTTTGATACACTGACTTCCTTTCCTTTGGATAAATGCCCAGTAGTGGGATTGCTGGATCATATGGTAGTTCTATTTTAGTTTTTGGAGGAACCGCCATACTCTTCTTCATAGTGGTTGGACTAGTTTATATTCTCACCAAAAGTGTATAAGAATTTTATTTTCTCTGTAAAAATGTATTTTTAGGATAATTATATTTGCAAAATAAATAGTAAAAAGAACGGCATTGTTTTACATTTTTGCAAAACTCTATATTGTCTAGTTAATAGAGGACATTTAGATTCTTACTTGCTTCTTCATCCATTCTGTTGTGATATGTTGTCTTAATTGAAATAAGTGAAGAAAATCTAGTCCCATATAGATGTGTAGGTATTTCTTGTTGGAAGAACAATACTCCTTCTTTTGAAGGAATATTTTAATAGTCTTTTCACATAATTGTTGACATTCTTTTATATTATATCATGACTCAAAAGTGAAAATTTTATAAAAGTATATTGCAACGTGGAATCTGAAACCGTATCAATAAACTTTTCACACTCTAGTACATTAAATCCACTTTAAATGGATCCTTTACCTATGCATGATTTTATAATATCTTGTATTGATTGGAAAATATTATTTCACTGAGTTATGTAATAGGCACATTTCCTTATATAATATTTTTTAAAATAACATTTGTTAATATCACCATGGATCTCATAAAAATTCTTTAAGTATTCAGAAGCTGTCAAGCTCACAGTAGTGGATACAAGTTTTCCAAAATTCTAATTTTCAGTTGAAAGCTCAGATTTTATCATTGGCACCAAATACCGTCAGGTTGTTTGCCTTCAAGTGACAGGCTCACTTCACTTATTTTCAAGAAAATGACTGCCAAATATCCAAGTATGAATAACCATATTTTGTTTATCACTTGTTCTTTCAAGCAAAAGTGGTATTCCACGAAAAAGAGACAAGTTCAGTTTGCAACTCAAACAATCACACATTGCTTTTCCTCAAGACAACCATTGTACTTGGGTATGCAGCAGAAGTGCTTTATGTGTTCTTTCCTTGTAGTCCCACAGAATACTTAAAAGATTTGTAACTCAAGTGTTGAGCTTTAAGAAAATGCATAAATTTTAACTGTTTCATTAGGGTATTCTTAAGCAAAACTTTTTAAACCTGTGAGATCATGGTGATGAAAGTGATGCAATGACATAATAAAATGATATGATACAATTTGGTAATTTTGCCTTGATTTATGCTAAAGAACTGATATGGTTTTGCTGTGTCACAACCCAAATCTCATCTTGAATTGTAGCTCCCACAATGCCCACATGTCATGGGAGGGACCTAGTGAGAGGTAATTGAATGATGGGGGTGAGTCTTTCTCATGACAGTGAATAAGTCTTATGAGATCTGATGGTTTTATAAAGAGGAGGTCCCCTGCAGAAGCTCTCTTTTTCTTGACTGTTGCCATCCATGTAAGACATGACTTGCTCCTCCTTGCCGTCTACCGTGATTTGTGAGGCCTCCCCAGTCATGTGGAACTGTGAGTCTATTAAACCTCATTTCTTTATAAATTACCCGGTCTCAGGTATGTCTTTATTAACAACATGATAACAGATGAATACAAGCACCAACAGTTTTACTCACCATTGCTTTGGCACCATTGGTGCAAATGTCAATACAGTAGAAAAAGCAAATACATCTTAATATTATTATGAAAATAATTTTGACCTCATGGATCCACTAAAAGAGTCTTTGGGATTTCCAGAATTGTGCAGATTATGCTTTGAAAACTGCTGCTTGTGGGGACTGGTTTTAAAAGAACCACAGTGTTACTGTGTCATAGCTCTTATTGGCTTCCTTTGGTAAGGTGTTTCAAGAAAGAGATGAACTCAGACAGAAATGGCTAGTTTCCAAGCCAGATGGAAAACAATAGAAAGTATCCAGACTTGAGTGAACGATGGTGGAAATCCATCTGCTTCTAGATCCCACACAGAACCACAAGGCCCAGAAAGACTTTTTAGCTGAACACTATGACTTAGATACAGATCAGATTAATGGCCAAAGAGAGCTGGAGAGAGAGAGAGAGAAAAAAAAAAAAGGAGAAAAGACCTGAGAATTGTACATAGAAGCAAATACAACAGAAGCCTACCAAGATTTTGAAGAACTTGTATTGTCAAGAAATCCAAAATATCTGATTAAAACAGCTTTGTCTGACCTTTAAAATCACCTTTTTACTTTGGCTACACTCATTTCAGCTGTGTCCAAAAGGAATAAATAAACAATAAGAACTTCTAAAGGGAAAGGCTGAGGGTCAAACAAGAAAAAGACAAAAGACTTATTTCCAGAGAGCAGAATTAAAATCTAATCCACAAATTTATCCTCTCCCCAGGCTAGGGGACATCTCGAGGCCTGCCAAACAGGATTGTAGAATTGTAGTGGCCTAGTGAACATGTACATCCTCTGATTCCCTTTTTTGAATGGGAATTTTAATTGTAGTTACGCTGTCCCTGCTCCACCACTGTATATACAGCAAGCCCATAACCAAACTCCACTCTCCCTTCCCTCACCTGCCTGCCAGATACAAGGGTTTGGGGGAAATTTTAAGCTACTAGGGGGTGGTATAACTACTAGAAGGAAGAAGCCTGGTCACCTGAATGAAGCAGATCCTGTCCACCAACCTGTGCTGGATTGTGACATGAACAAGAAATACATGTTTATTGTGCTAAACCACTGAGATTTTGGTTCCAGCATTTGCCACAAACATTCTTTATCACAACACTGAGAAGACTCTGAATAATATGGAGGCTATTCCATTGATCTGCCCGGAGGAACTGAACTATGGCAGTGGCAGAAATAAGAAGAAATACATATTTTAGAGGTAGAACCAATAAGCTATCACTAGTGGGATAGCAGAGCAGAATGAGGTAGAGTAAGGAGTCTGGGATGTGTTCCAGCTTTCTATCTTGGGTTAAAGTGGGTGGAGTTTTGGATGGCACTCAGAACAACCCAGTGAATTTATCCAATAGGCAGGAGCTTGGGACAGAGATGTGGAAAGCAGGCACATATAGGGCAATCATCAGCTTATAGGTGATGGTTGAAGCCATGAGGCAGGAGGAATAGTGGATAAAATATTTTGGGAAGACAGTTCAGAGGGAGAAGAGCACAGAGGTCGCTTAATGAACAGCAGAGAGAGCAGTCTGCAAAAGAGTGAAAAATGGACCCCTAGAAAGGAAAAAAAAAAGGCAGAAAAGGATAGGTCACAGAAACCAAAATAGAATTAAAGAGCACTTTAAAAACACTTTAAACACTTTAAATTAAAAGAACACTTTTAAGAACTGTGAAATGATAAACAATCAAATATGTCAAAAAGGTGAAATATAATCAGAGCTAAATATTTATGAAATTTTAGAATTAAAAGAGTATGGGTGATCTTCATGAAGATAATTTCAATGGAGCATTGATACAAAATTCAGATCATTATGTGACAAGTGTCTTTTGATTTTATAGATGAAAAAACAGAAGTGTTACATCTTGACCAAGATTGACAGCACATGTTGGAGCTTTACTTTGAACTCTTGCGTATTCAACACCATAACCCATGCTCTTCCATTCTTCCAAACTGAATCTGAAAAACTCACTTAAGTATAAGATGGATTCAGATAAAATTTTGATTATAATCTTGCTAAAGCTGGGTAAAATAGAAAGGTATTGAATTCATAGGATTGATATTTTCAGAGAGGAAGGTGTAGAGAGGTGACTAATGTTCTATCGTATTTCTGAGAGGTTTCTTTTTCTCTCTCCCCTCCCTCTTTTTATTCTCTTCAGCAGATTCTATTGATAATATTGGTAACCAGCAGTTAAGTTTTGTAACATGAATAGGTTAAATGTTATATTATGAATATGATTTTTATATTCATAACATGAATATAAAAATCAACTATTTACGACTATTTAACTGGCTTGGGGACAAAGGTGGTAAGAGCTGTTGGCCACAGCTATCTTATTTTTAACAATAGGGCTATTTTGGTTTTAGAACATAGGATGTATGAATCTTCTAAAATCACTTCTTCCTAAAATTATAAGGTTGCAGTTGACTGATGAAATTTTTCTCTCTTATAAAACGAATTGACAAGATCAAAGGCTGCAAGAGTTTGAGCGCTACCTTCACATTTACCAGAGGCTTTGGTGGCAATTCAGTATTTAAAGTATAATTTCCAAACAAGCTAAAAACAGAGCCAAACATTTTTAGGAGATTTATCCTATGATCTTCTTTTCATTAATAAACATAAAGGTTAATGTTACCCTAAATGTTATCATAGGACACTATTTCAAAATAAGCGCATTAGCAAATTAAATGAAAGACATGTCAAAACCTGAAGCAGCATTTATTCTTGTGAGCCAAGGTGTCTACAAATCTTGTGCAGGAAATGTAACTTTTCTTCATTTCATACAATGACATTTTGTATGTGCTGAAATTTTGAAATACTGTGCACTGACGTGTTTCACAATGAGCATTACAGAATTTTGAGGCATTTGAGGGGACACATACTCAGTAGTTGTCTGGGTCATTACTGCCTTAGTGAGAACATTTGCACATTCTCACAATTGTAAGGTTTCCCCACTATTTTCATGACCAATATTACTGTAAAGGTATTTGTTTTTTTGCAGTTCACAGGGTATTGATAAGCTGCAGTACTATGTAAATTTAATAAGTCATAAACAGCATTTATTACCTTGGTATATTATTAAAAAATGAAATTTTGTATGAAATGAAGAAAAGTAATTGGCATTATTTGAATCCATTATTTATTAAATTTTACCATTTTTGTACAAATGAACCTTTCTTGGCATGTACTGATTTTCTAATCTAGAATGCATGCTAAAATATTTTCATTTTGGTAGCGAAGTACCTTCCAATTTGGGACTCAGAACATTCAATTTAGAGTATACATAAAGTCAAGAATACATACAGTCAGCATTATTAAACATAAACCTTGATACTGCCCTACTTTAGTTGCAATTTTTTGACAGCATAATTCAGTATTTGTCCCCTTTGCATTTCTATAGCAACTATTTCTGTGAAAGTTATGTGTTTGGTTGAAATTTTCTAGAGCAGAAAAGAATCATTTGTAATTTTTATTTGAAGGTTGTGTTGCAGTGATGAGGAATTGAGAGATGTCCTTCATTGTATGCAAAATTATTTTTAAAAGCCCTCTACCCTACACATACACGTGTGTGCACACACATCTGCATGTCCAGTGTTATAGATACTAAGTACCATCTAATTACTCACATTCTCTTAAAACAGGGTAGCAGTTCATAGGTAATCACTTTTTAAAAATTAGTTAATTGAAAGAAGACAATCTAAAAAGACAGAAAAAAACACCTAACCCCATTCTGAAAGTTCATGTTATTTTTAAATTGCATATGAGAATTTTTGTAAAAGATAGGTTGAAAAATGTACCTATTACCTGCTGCTTACACATTTAATGTCAGAGATAAGGCAACATTTTAAGGGACGCTATTTGGCAATACGCACTACCACACAGAAAATTTAAAGAAAACAAAAAAAGTTTAAGAAAAAAAACAAAAATAAACTTAATTTTGTTTCCAAATCAAGCTTATTTCTATAGCAGTTTTAAAACATTTTATTTGGTTGTTCTCATCAAGACTTTCTATCCTATTCTAATAACTAAGAGAATCCTAAAGCTTTCTACTTTTGTAATTTAATATTTGAAGAGATAGATTTCTAGAGAATATTTTCCAAATCTATTATAGGCTGGAAGAACAGTATCATAGCTTCTGAATTTCTTCTCAAATGTCAGTATTGTTTAACACATTTACAAAGGCAATGAAAATAGAAAACTTATATGCTGATTTTAAGTTCTACATATCTGAAATTCTTAAGCAATAAACATGTTTGTAGACAGGTAAACTAACAAGGCTAAAACTTTGATTTTTAAAATTAGAACACTTATATCTTTTATTGTCATTAGTTATATATATTAAAGTCAAATGAAAGAGCTATTTGGTAATTTTATAATACTGATTTCATTCATTAATTTAACAAGTATGAATTGATTATTTACTCTGTGACAAGATATTATACCTATATCCCTGGACACAGAACAAAGGGTTAGCCATTCAATAGTTTCTGAAATGTCAGGATTAATTCTGGCTGTCATTATAAAGGAAGACCATTTGGGGAGTAAAATTTTAAACTGAACTGAGTAAAATTTTAAAAAGCACATAAAACAAAAACTGTATATCAATGAGTAACAAAAACTACTATTTAACTGGGTTGGGTCAAAGGTTGTAAGAGCTGTTGGCCCCAACTATCTGAAAAGAAACCAAAATGTCAAGTTGACCTCTTAATGGTGACTGGGTAAATACCAAGGTTCAGTGGTTTGTTCTTGATGCACATCCAAACATTTGGACATCTGTCCAATATTTCTAGCTAGTTTTTTCTTTTACTAACGTAGTTTTGAAAAATGTAAAATATGTGACTTGCTATAGAACATTCATGGTCTATTTTTGTCATATTAAACAAATGAAAAAGTTCCATATTTTGAAAGCATTTAATTTTCATATGTTCACAAATACAAGTAGCATGACATTAGTTATCTATGAATCATTTTTGATAGCAAAAATTCTGTATTGTGAATTCAGAACTGAAGAGTAAGAGAAAATAAGATTGTTACAGACTGTGATGCAGTTTGTGAAAAAGCGAAATGGTTGGTGTGAATCATAGTGGCTGGGGTTGGGGTAGGGGTGGGAAAGAGGTCAAGAAGGACCTCTGTGAGGAGGTAACATATGAGCTGAGATTTGAAGGATGAGCCCTGGGAAGAACCAGGGAAAGATTCTTGCAGGTAAAGAGAAAAAAATGTAGCAATATGAGGTGAAAGGAACTTCATTAAGAAAAGGAAGGAGGAAATCTTAAACTCCCCTGAATAGGATCTTTCCGACATAGATTATTTCGTATCAGGTGGAGAGTGCTCTGCTATGCAGCAGGACAGCCTAGGTCCTGCAACAGTAATCGACCATCCCCCAATTCCAGATGCTCTAAACCACTAGGTTCATTTCTCACTCACTCTACGTGTCCATTGCAGGTTGGCTAAGTGCTGTGCTCTGCATCCTCCTCTCTCCAGGACCCACGCAGACAGAGTAGTCACTATCTGGAACACAGAGGTTTTGGTGACAAAGCAAAAAGAGAAAGCATGGCAAATTGCGTACAGGCTCTTAAAGGTTCTGAAAACTTCCATTCACACTTCATTGGCCAAAGCTGTGACTTATCTCAAGTCAGCAAGGAAGTGTAATTCTCCAGTGTGCCCGGAAGAGGAGTAGAACCGGAAATACGAATGAGCGACAGTAACATCTCCTAGAGGGGGTCTGTGAGCAACCTGGAATTGTATGTACATTTGTGTGTGTGTGTGTCTGTGTCGGTATGTGCGTGTCTCTGGGGAGAAGATCCATTTCTTTAATCAGATTTTCAAGGGATCTGTGACATGACAACGATTAAAAACCACTGGACCAGTTGAAAACTGCCATGTAAACAGATAATTACTATACAAGACAATTTGCAGCATGAGTGAGAGGCTGAAATGATTAAAGAATTGTGCTTCTGTGTGTGTGTGTGTTTGCACACATGCATGCTCACACATGGTGACAAGGAAAAAGCTGAGCCAATGTGTAGACTGAAATGTAGAAGGCAGAGTTCAGAGAGTGATAGATTAAAGACACCAAAGTGTGAGGGGACATGCCTGATGTAATGAGGTCCCTGAAGATGCCTGAGGAGATGGTGTCCAATATTCTATAACTTCAGGGATTTGAAGAGATTACTCTTCTTTGACTTGCAAAAAAAGGAGGGAAAAGCTAGGTGTCCTCATGGGTCAGTTTGCTGATGGAGGGGAAGAAGAGGAGCTCTATTTTGTTTGTGATAAATGAGCAAGGTCATCTGCTTAGAATGAGGGGATTGTAGAGCATGTTAATAGTTTGGAACAGCTGTAAGGGAAATCTGAAACTGAGCTGACTGGGGAGAAATAAAAGGACCGCCAGTAGCACAGAGGGCCCAGCTGATACTGGAGAACATAGATTTGTCAGAGTGCCAGTAAATGGAGTTATGTGATTTTTCTCTGCCCATGCTCAGCTGCCTGGAAGCGGGAGCTGAGAAAGTTAACAGTTGGATGGATGCAGGGCTGGGGATTGGCAGGGCAGGTGCAGCAACATGTTTTACTTATAATTTGAAGTTCAAGAGTCTGAACAGGCAAAAGAGCTAATTTTGCCTCCAATTTTAAAAGATAAGTTGGTAAATAATGGTGATAATGGTGAGAATAAGCTGTATATATAGCTATAACCTGTAGTTATCCTTTGTGAGTTGCTATTCTTGCTCCCTGGAGTTCATAACTGATGCAACTACTATAACTATGGCTAAGGATAAGTAGTGTAGCTTATTTCTTATTGCTTAAGTAAAATTAATCATGCTTCAGCCACATGAGTTTTTTTTTATGTTCCTAATACTCCCTTATTCTTCTGGTAAAATCTGGCAGAAGGAAGGTAAGAGAAAAAAATTAAACCTCTGAAAATGTAATTACATACTCAGAGACAGAATCACTTAGCTAAGCATCTTGCTATTAATTAGTACGTTGTAAATTTTGCTGCCTTGGCTGATACTAAGTCATTGTGTTTAGAAGAGCCATTAAATGAAGACAAAAGAAAAACACCTGGAGTAGCTTAGCTCCAAAGTAGACCTCAGGCTGAAATAGCATTGTATTGCATTTCTCTTTTCCCAATTGCCTGCCAAATTCCCCATTTTCCCTGATTTCTGTGAGGTTACATCATAAACATTTGATAAAAAATAATGTTGCTCTTCATAAAGGCTGCATATGCACACTGAAGGCAAACACAGCCCTGATAGTAATTCTGGATTAAGCTCTGTCATTTTATTTTCCATTTCTTCAGAACAGAGGTTTCTTCTCTCAAATATTGATGACTGACAGATGAGGTGAGCAAGCCAGGTGTGATCATTTAGAATTGCATTTAGGGCTGAAAGTAAATGTGACTTTTCACATCCTTCCTCAACACAAAGGATTTAGCAGGAGGCAAGCATGTTAAAATTCTAAAAGGAGATTATTGCTGCAAATGGCTTTTCCCCAGAAGACCCTCTCTCAGAATTTCAGTTGTTGATAACTAGCAGGTTTTATCTCTAAGAACTAAGATCATTTTCTCATCACTTCTGGCCTGCCAACTTGTAGACTGTCTTCAGCTGAAGCAGTGCTGCCAGAATGAATAACTGGAGAAGTTACTCAACTCTATTTATTTTAGAGTATGATAATTTGAGGGAAAATTAAAATTGTCAGTTTTCCATTACACCCTCAAGCTCTCAGTGCTGGTTATCTCATCAGACTTAAAAAACATACTTTGGCGGAAAATTGTGTAAACAGACGGAAAAGCCAAGAAAAATAAGGAACTAATGTCTCATCAAGGGCCACATGGTATGTTTAGGGCAGAGCTGGGCACCTGAACATCCTTACTGACCCGAGGACTTCTTGCTCTAGTCCCAGGACAGGGAGATGTGTAGATGCTGAGTATCTGAAGTAAACACTGGGCAGTTATCTGAGGTCTGGTTATCTAAGTGGCAAGGGAAATGGATATTTAAATGTTCAAATTTTGACCTGCAATGATCTGTACCAGAGGCCTAGAGACTCTGAGCGCTCTGAGGGCAAGGACACTGTAGAGTTCATCTTTGTCTACCTGGCTCCAAGCCCAGTGGCTGGCATAAGACTAGAAAGCCAATCAACGTTTAAGAAATTCTGAATAAATTCAGATCCTTTAAAAATGTTGTCGGCCGGGCGCGGTGGCTCACGCCTGTAATCCCAGCACTTTGGGAGGTCGAGGCGGGCGGATCACGAGGTCAGGAGATCGAGCCCATCCTGGATAACACGGTGAAACCCCGTCTCTACTAAAAATACAGAAAATTAGCCGGGCGTGGTAGCAGGCGCCTGTAGTCCCAGCTACTTGGGAGGCTGAGGCAGGAGAATGGCGTGAACCCGGGAGGCGGAGCTTGCAGTGAGCCGAGATCGCGCCACTGCACTCCAGCCTGGGCGACAGAGCGAGACTCCGCCTCAAAAAAAAAAAAAAGTTGTCGGATAACCTCATTTCTCTACTCAGAATGCTGCAGTAGCTTCTCATTTCACTCGAGGTAAAAGTCAAAGCCCTGACAGATCTGGTCTTTGCTGCCTCCTCTCCCTTCCCGATTCTCGCCCCCACACACCCTCTGGTGGCTCCTTGTTCACAGGAGGCAGCTCCCTTTGCACCGGCTGTTCTTTAAGCCTGAACTCTTACTCTACATACCTAACAGGCTACCTCCCTTATTTTCTTTAAATTTTGTTCAAATGTCACTTTTCATTGAGTAATATTTCCACTGTCCTTTACAAAAATTGCAGCTCTGTTACACCCCCCGCCGTTCACACTGGCGATCCTGCTTAGCCTGCTACATCTTTTCATAACACTTATCACTTTCTAACTCTAACTTACCATACCGTTTACTATTAGTATGTTTATGTTTTGTTGTCTCTCTCCTTCTAACAAGGGCAAGGATTTTTGTCACTTCTGTTCACTGGTATTCCCAGTGTTTCAGCCACTGTCTGACACATAGAGGATGCTTTGTAAATAATTGTATGAATAAATGAACAAAGCTGGATTAGTGAAGCAAGTGAGTGTACATGTCTCATAGTGAAAGAGATGCACTCTTAAAGACAGGCGTAAAGGTTAAAGGGGCCATTAGTTTTGGTAAATTTATAAAGGTGTACACTCATTTTCATATTCAAAAGCCCTTGTAATTCTGGATAAACTTTGCCAACCTCCAGACTCAAAACTATGGACTTCCAACCTGTTAACTGTGAAGTTTTCTTGGTAAGAACGTGTGGTTCAATTCTTGATGAATTCAGACAGTGAGCACATGTGTGGATTGGTATTTCTCAAAGTAGACTTATGAGGCCCCTGCCTTAGGAACACTTAAGTACTGTATTCCAATTCCCCAGCCCTTTCCAGTTTACTGAGTGATTAGATCTCCAGGTGACTCAAATCCATGCTAAAATTTGAGAATTATCAGTATATAAAAATCTGCCAAAGGTGATGAGACTATAATAGAACAGGATTGCCCCTGTTGTAGTATAATTATTCCACAGGATGTTGATAAGATTGCAGTTAGAAAAAAAGTGTTCGTTAAAATAATAAAATAAGGTAATACTGAATTAAATGGGTATTTAAGTAACAGGAGTTCACAGAACCTTTAATAAGCTGACATAATTGTGCATTCCCAAGAGTAGGCTAAAGTATGTAGCATCACAGATTTATTCCATCATGAACATCTCTTTTTAGGCAACTCATTAGCTTTTGGGGAGAGGTGTTTTTTTTTTTTTCCTTTAAAGAAAAAGTCTGGGCACTTCTGTTATACATAATCTCTAATATTTATTCCTGATTCTAACACTGTATAATTCTCTATAATTTTGTTTTCTCTCTTGTCAACTCCCCTTAGTTTATAGTCTAGTTGCAGCTTTTTATACCTAAGAAAAAATATGAAATAGTATTTCTATATTTCATGGTGTCTAGGACTCATCCTTGCAAACAAGAAAGGTCTTTCTGTGTATGAGACATACACACACGTGCTCACACACACACATACAGAAAGAGAGAAAGAGAGAGTGAGATTGTGAATGAGAATAAGGTAAATGCCAGTCCAGAGAGGTGACACAAAGAAGCCTGTACATGGTGTACTTAAGTGAGTGAATCTGCTTGTTAAAAGTAAAATTTAGTAGATTTGTAAGTGAGGGTTTTGCCTTTTATGTAAAGTGGTATGTTAGTGATATACACATATAAAATCCCACTGGGTGTAAGCACATGTGGGGACTGGTTTTTCTGTATTGATTACCATTAATCTATTCCTTATGTCACTTTCCATTGCTGTGGCATGGCCCGTGGAAACAAGATAGGTATGTGCCTGGAATAAACATCTTTTTCCCTTTCTGAAAGCCGTGTGAAGTCTACAGCACATTACATCCTTCTGTGTAATGGAAGTATCCACACATGGACAATCGCTGTCTACAGATGTAATGAACCAAGTGGGAGGTAATGAGAAGTGACTGTCATGCCATCCCTAGGGCCCCCTTTCTCCCACCACACAATTACACTGTGACCCTAGAGGAACCAAGAAGACTGTAACATTCTCCCCTTTCCTAATGGTCTTAAAATCAGCCCTAGCTTACCAGGGATAACTAAAATGCAGCATTATTCAATTGGCAGTCCAGAGGATGTCCAAGGAAATATATGTTTATAACATGGGAGGCAGTTCTGTTTACACTCATACACTGTTTCCTCAGTGTGGACTTGGCCTCTTGCCTGAAAGATGCCAGCACACGAGGGTCCCTTCCTGTTTTCCCTTAGTGTGTGATTTTGGGGTAAGAGCTGTTGCTGTGTTTGTAATGAGAGTCCAGGGAGGAGGCTGGTGGTCAGAACCACATTTGTTAAATGTGTTTAAAAAAAAAAAAGCTCCTTTAAATAATGATGATAAGTGCAGTGATAGCAATGTATCACCCATTTTATTTCTGAGTTTTGTTTCAAGGAGAGCATTGATTACAGCAACCAATTTTATGTGACTTATGCTTGTGGTGAGAGGGAGATGTCAGAGCTGAGGAAAGGTAGAGGGTTGCCCACTGAGTCAACTTGAAGAGAGCACACAAAAAATGCAAAAAGGTATAAGAATTAAAATTCTTTTCTTTGTCTTCATTTTGCTCTTATAGCTGAGGCTTGCCCACATTCTGGGGGAAGTCTGCCAACTGTTCCCTGAATGGTGAATGGAAACAAGCTGGTCTGCTGTGTTGCTTGGCAAAGACAGAATAGCAGCACAGGCTTGCTGCTGGCTGGACGACACCATTTTCCACTCCTCTGCTCCTCTGCCTGGAGGAAGCCCCCAGGTGGCATTAGGGAGAATTAGCGTGTAAATTACAGGGCCTCCTAATTTCTCACCACTTCATTAGTTGACAGTTCAGTGAAAGAGCTCCCCTGCCATTCACCTCACGTCTGTGGCACTGACACTTCTCATCAGCAGAAGCAGAGTTCAGTCGTGTTGTGTTGACATGCTTGTGACTTTTCGGTTCCCCTCCTTAGTGTGTGCTAGTTTATTCTCTGACCCTGTTACTAGCAATTATGTCCTTGGATGTCCCTGCAACATCTACCTCAAACCTTCTTTTGGTTCAAACTTGATTCAGTGTCACCAGGAAAAGTTAGAAATTGCTCTTGATCCTGTCCATACCGTTTTACAGAATGGGTTCAAACTATGCCACAAAGAAAGGAAAAATAAAAATAATACCCTATATAAAAATAAACTCTTCTCCATAATATTCTTCATAGCTAGTATTTTTTGAGTGCTTATTCTGTGTCAGGCATTGTTCTAAATACTCCAGAGACTGTTAAATCTTTTTTTTTTCCTTATTGTTTGTTTCATTCAGGAGAAATCTGAGGCACAGAGAGGTTAGGTTTATTGCCTAGGACACACAGCTTTTGAATATTGGAAGTTTGGATCCACAACCCACACTCTAAGTACTGGAGCATTTTGCCTTACTTAGCCAATTACTTAGTTAATTCCTGAATTCATTCAACAAACTTTCATGAAGCACCAGCTATATATAACTTACTATGCCAGAGTTTCTTAGTCTATCAATCCTTCCATTTCCATTGGTGAGAAGCTATTTGTTGAGTACTTCCTATCTCCCCAGGGATATGCTCATGTAGATACAAGAGAAATGCAGGATGGGACCTTACCATCAGAGAATTGAAGTACACGTAGATAGTTGACAAACTTTTCTCTCTAAAGGGCCAGACACAAAATATTTTTGGCTTTGGAGGTCACGTGGTTTCTGCCCCAACAAGTGTGAAGCAGCTGCAAATATTATCTAAATGAATTAGTATGTCTATTCTGATAAAACTTTACAAAAAAATTAGCACCAGAGCATATTTGGCCCACAGGCTGCCTGCTGTGGAGGATAGAAGAAGCCCGAAGAAAAATACGGGACCATAAATACTGACGGTACGACTGAGAGTGGAGCTTGTGCATTATTGCCTGTCCACATCTGTGAGGTCAGTGAAATAAGGTGTCAGGGAGCAAGAACACCTGTGTGCATTTTGGTAATTAGGCAAATTATTTCTAGAGGAGGTGGAGCAGGAGCCTTCCCTCAAGAATGGGAAGTATTTGACATACACCTGTGAGGTTGTTAGGTGGGTGTCACCAACTGCCATAGTTCTTATTACTATGTGTGGCAGGCAAGTTGGTTACGTAATGTCCATTTTCCTCTCCTTCCTTGTTAACCCCATTTTTGTTTGGTGCCACTACAGGTTCAGCCCTAAGCAATGGCTCATAGTTGATAACAGTACATCTCGATAATTGTGTTCTCAATTTCCCTGCCTCTTTTGCGGTTGAAAGTGGTCATGTGACCTAGTTCTGACCAATTAGAAGTAGGTTTGCCTGCTGGGTGGAGTCAGGAGGGACTCTTGGGAAGACTTTTGCTTGTCTGATCAAAGGAACAGACAAGTTAATGTCACACCTCCCTTATATTTTGTTGCCACAAGTTTAAACATGAAGATGAACTGGGACAGACATATTGGGGCCTTGAGGGAGGAAGCCAACGTGTTATAGATGGAGAATGTGGACAAAGAAAAAGAGCCTGGACCTCTGATGACACCAGGGAGCTACTACATGGGTGCTGCTGCCACCCTCCAGCCTTCTAATTTTAAGAGTTTACTACTTTTATTATTATTATTATTGATTTAAGTCACTGTTAGTTGAATAACAAATGTGTCTTTAAAAATATTTCGGGAAATGTCAACTAGAAATTACTTCTAGAAATGTTCCATCATCTTAGATATTTCAGAAAATTGTACCAAATCAAATGAGATTGTTTCTAATTTCTTTCACTTTCTTAGTAATCTTTCTTCACAGTATACTACTAAGGAGAAAAAAGTACATTACAGATAAATATTAGCCTATTTTTCATTTAAATATCATAAATGTCTTAAAGTAAGAACAACAGGTTAGTAGTGGTTGTGTCTGGGTAATTGACACTAGCTGTTGGAATTAGGAGTGTGTTTATTGTTTTGCTTTATTTTTCTAACTTTTCTATAGAAAACATATAAATGAAAAAATTTAAAATCATACTAAAAAATCAAACTAATTTTATTTTTAATGCAAGTTTCTTTTCTGACTTATACTATTTTCCTAACCTAGTTTTTCCTTTGGCTAAGCTCATTTCCTTTTAGTTTTCTTTCCCATATTGTTTTTTGTTCATTAGTTGTGTACTGTGCCTGCTTGCCTGCTTTCCTTTCTTTTCCCTCTCTTCCTCCCTCCTTCCCTTCTGATATGGTTTGGCTGTGTCCCCACCCAAATCTCATCTTGAATTGTAACTCCTATAATCCCCACACATCATGGGAGGAACCCAGTGGGAGGTGATTGCATTATGGGGGTGGGTCTTTCCTGCACTGTTCTTGTGATAGTGAATGAGTCTCATGAGATCTTATTGTTTTAAAGAGTTCCCCTGCACAAGTTCTCTCTCTTTTTGCCTGCTGCCATCCATTTAAGACATGCCTTTGCTCCTCCTTGCCTTCTGCCATGATTGTGAGGCTTCCCCAGCCACATGGAACTGTAAGTCCAATTAAACCTCTTTCTTTTGTAAATTGCCCAATCTTGGCATGTCTTTATCAGCAGCATGAAAATGGACTAATCCTCCTTCCCTCCTTCTTTTTTCTTTCAACAAGTTCTTGCTTTGTCACTCAGTCTGGAGTGCAGTGGTGTGAACACAGCTCACCATAGCCTTGACCTCCTGAACTCAAGCCATTCTTCCACCTAAGTCTCCCAAGTAGCTAAGACTACATGCACCCACCACCACACCTGGCTAATTTTTGTATTTTTAATAGAGACAGGTTCTCGCCATGTTGCTCAGGCTAGTCTCGAACTCCTGGGCTCAAGTGATCCTCCTGCCTTGGCCTTCCAAAGTGCTGTGATTACAGGTGTGAGCCACCACACTCGGCCTATATACTGTCTTTCTACATTTTTTTTTTTTTCATTTGAATGCAGTCTGTGGTATGATGCTGCAAACTTCAAGTTTGTTCTTGAAGTTTGAGCCTTATGTTACTAAGTTTCATCAAACCATCATCTTCATTCATTTAATAAATGTTGTTAGTGCCAGCCACTATATGTGCTTTAGAATTAGGAGGAATGAACATCGGAAACTGTGCTCTTTTCTCTTCCTCCGCTTTCCTTGGACTGACATACATCTCGTTCTGTAAGACCCAATATAAATGTGATTTCCTTCATAAAACCTGAAGTTATCAACTCAATGAATTATTAACCCACTCCTCTACATTTCTATTACACTATTGTTTCTAACTCTATTTTCTTATTTGATAGTATTTGATGATATGTGTGTTTATTAGTATATATTCTTGCCTAGACTGTGGGTTTATTTAGGAGGACTACTGCATCATTTTATCTTTGCCTGGTGTCCATCCCTGTGTTGCTCCTTTAGGCAGCCATATCTGTAGGAAAGATGATAAGCCACATAAATTGCATGCTTGGAAATGAGCTTTCTGAGAATAATATCCTGAACCTGACCTATATTTTGCCACACCATATCTCGATTGTCAGTCACTTCTCTCGGACTCCAGTGCCACTTTGTGGTGTCCTTTATTTTCTCCCCTCCTTCAGGTATACATCATCCCTTGTCTCTTCTAGACTTTCTCAATCGTGCCCCTTCCCCAGCTTTTTTACTTTGACACAGCTTTTTCTTGGAGGTTCAGATCCTGGAGAAAGATCTGGAGACCAGTTACATTTTATACTGAGCAAGCTTTCAATTGTTAGTCTATTCAATAAATAGGTGGGTAAGCAAGTGAATGCTCAGAGGAAACAGACATTTAAAAACTTAATGCTTTTTATAGTAAGTTTGGGGTGAAAGGCAATAAAAAACAATACCATTGGCTGTTTGTGGTATTTATTGGAATGTGGGAAGGCACACAATATAGGCCTGAAAACTTCACTGTGGCATGTGGCCAGTATACTCCTGGTCACCCAGTCCTTCTGCGTCACCATTCTTGTTGATACAGTAATCCTCTTTAAATAAGGGGGAAATAAGAAAAACACAACTCTTTGAACTCAAGTTAGATCAGGAAATTGTGGCAATTTCTGGAATGTCAAGAGTAAAAATAAGAAAGGAAGAATTAATCCTGCTAGCCCAAAATGAGAAGCTGTCACCATCAAAGCTGTAACTCTCTAAATGAATATAACACCTCTGAAAACTCTCACAACTGTGCCAAGTATTTACATGTTCTCTCTGAATGTGGCATCTACAGCAAGTGGTTTTGGTCGTGAAGCACACCATCTGTGTGATTACCCACCCCTTGCTAGAGTACTCTGAACTCAGCAGTTGTACAACAGATGCATTTAAATATACAGTATTCCTGCTCTCATAGTTCAGAATGGGTGTTAGAAACTGAGGGAAAACAACCAGCTTCCTTGAAAACTCAGACTCCATCTGACATTTTTCCAGACACCTTTTGTAACCATGCTCCATGCTATCCTGAAAGATAACAACATTATCATAATAGATTTACACATAGTTAAACCAGGTCAGCCTGACCCAGAACATCAGCAGCTGCTGTCATAATCATTAATGAGTCAGTTAATCCAGAAGGTGAAACCAGATCACTGTTTGGTTTTCATTCAAGTGAAGATCAGTGTAGTCATGGGAAAAACAAGGGTACAGGAGTCAGATTATAAGCAATCCAGTTAGATGAAAAAAAATAGTTTTACTATAATTCATTACTATGATGTATTAGTAGATGTGTCTTTGAAAAGACAACACTAGATGGTTTTTGAGGAACTTACACAATTAAGAATGAAGGATTGAATTCCATCCCCCTCTTTTATGTTTGTTTAAATACTGCACATGCATTCACCAAGGTGTTTTATTCAGGGATGAATTCATCCTAAATGCAGGACTGAGATCTAAAGTTGCATTCATCAGAATGTGTTCCTTAGTAAATGCTGTTGATCCCTTCTGAATCATGGCCTCTCTTGCCTCCAATTGATGCAGTAACATAATGTTCTTTCAGCTGGTCATACGCCATGCTGAATGAGGGACGGATATTTCTTACATAAATAGCATAGGTTTTTTTTTTTCTTCATTTTTTCCTGTAGGCCCCTCTCCTGTTTTCCCCATAGTAGTGGTGTATGGGAGACAGGGATAGGGTCAACATTGAAAAACAGCACATGCCAGGAATGGACTGATATCAAGAATTTAAGAGGAGCTACGGATAAAAGATGTATTATGCACATTTATGCAATAAAAGCCTGAACCGTAAATTTAACATGGCCAGAAAATAAATTGTTATTAACATTTTCCTGCAAATTCTGGGTAAGACTTGCATTGTGGTCATCATCATGAGGCACATTAACAATCTTGGGAAGACTCATTGGGAACCAGTGTTCACAGGTGGCCTGATGGTTGAGGAAGCATTGTAAGTGATGTTGTAACCATCATTGTGTAAATAATAAATTTAGGAAACTGCAGAGGCAAGAAGAATTAAATTGTATCAATACAGACTCCAAAGAGCCTTGGTATTGTGAGTCATAACAGCACTGCTACTTTCTTCTCTCAGTGGAAAAAATAAGAAAAACACGAGTGTTTTTGAACTCTAATTAGGTCAGAAACTGGCAGCAATTTCTGGAAATGGAGAATTAACTCTGCTAGCACAAAATGAGGAGTTATCACCATAAAAAGAACATGACAAGATGTTTTTCGGACCTGAACAGGAAGAGATGGTGCCAGGACCCTATGAAGAATCTTCACCTGCCCCAAATGAGTGATAAACAAATATGTAAGTCCCTCTCCTCTGCCCATTGTTTTAAATCTCCATCAATACATTACCTCACATGGGACTATGGATTCTGAATACAATTTTGATCAAAATAGTTGTATAGACAGAGACTCTGCACAAAAAGATTTGCCACCCAGGACTGCATATACCCCAGAGGTGGCCCTGGTCTGGAAAGCCAGATTAGGTCCTTTTAACTGTTTGATAATTAATAAGTAAAAACTGAAATAATATTTAGATAATGTAACACAATCAAATTTTATTTCAGAATTGTACTATGCAGAGAGGCTGTGTGAGATGAGTTAATAGTTGTGAAAGGAGTGATCATAGGCATGAGAATAGGCGGGAGGCAAATGCAACTGTCCTCATGAGGCTGACTCACATTCAAGTGAAGGAATTGAGGGTCCAGACCTGGCAGGAAATGAGATGGTCATGTCTTTAACAGAATTCGTGATGTCTGAAAGAGAAAGATGAGTTTTGAGGGGAAAGAAAATATGTTTGGAATTTTACATTTTAGAACATTGGTTATTTCATTTGAATTTTGAGAATAATGACAATGGTGGAATATCTGATGAAATTTTGGTTACACTGAAATCCAAAGGTCTTTTGCTATAATTTCTCAGAAACTGTAATTAAACCTTGTAGTAATTAGAAAGTGTATTCAGACATTCAGCAGACCTGCCTTTATCTAAGCATTTCCAAATTAGTTAAATTAGTTCCCAAAACAAGTAGGAGAGAAATGGTTTGGTTTTCTCTGTTTAGAGCTACCTTCATCCTTATCTATATATAGCACAAATTTGAGATCCAATAGAAGGCTACTGGTAAAAAGGTAACCATCAGTTTTGACTTATTTCTGCTGAGGAAAATACAATTTGAAATACATCACCAAATGATTATTCAGTAACGATCCTTGACTTCCATACTGCCCCAGAATGGAAACAGGCCCAATCAATATTAACACATGGGTACAGGAGCATTGCTAAGAGTGGAAGAGAGGTGTTTAGAGGTAGGGGTGTGTGTGGTGTGTGTGTGTGTGTGTGTGTGTGATTAGCACAATGTCTCAGGCCCTCACCAGATGGAAAGTACCCACAGTGGCAAACAATTCAATATCAAGCAAGAATATGAGAGATAAAAATAATTATCAATGGTTATGAAAATTTGACTAATATTTATGTTATTGTAATAAAGGTCCCAGACAGTCTTGGTGACTAAGATTTTCATAGAATATTTGTTGTTTTTACCACGTTGCGAGTTTTCATACATCATGATTACTTTGGCAAAATTCGAAGTGCTGCATACTGAATGATGTGGTTCACAGCAGTGGCAGTAAAAGGACTCTACCTACAATCAAAGAGTCATACTGGGTTATTTTGGATTTAAAAAGATTTAGTAATAGGCTAACATTGGAATAAAATTAAAATTTAAAATTAATGTTTTTGAAGAATTTGTAATAACAATGATAAGTTGTTTTTTTGAAGTTTACAAAAACTTTCTCCCCAGCACTTTTCTTATTACATGTGTAAGATGAGTTAATGGGTGTGAAAGGAGTGATCACAGGCATGAGAATGGGTGGGAGACAAGTACAACTGTCCTTATGAGGGCTGACTCATAAACAAGTGAAGGAATTGAAAATATGGTTGATAAAAGTAATGTTTTGATGATGAGAAAAATTAAAGCACAGAGTTTAAGAAAATTTGATAAACTTAATTAAGCCAAAGGCAGAAAAAATAAGAACTAGAACTTCCAACCCCCTCTATTCACTTTTCTCAATTTAAAATTTCATCTTTAGAAGGTGATGTTTATCAGACATAAAATCCAAATCAATTAGATCTAAATGTTGGGAACCTTGAAAGGTTTAGTCATTCTACTGTTTAAGTTCTGTAATGACTAAGAACGTATCTTTTCCTTGTGTTCATCTTCATTGTTCCTATTTTACCCAGAGGGAAACATTCTTTGAGTAGGTTTATAGTAAGAATAGACAAACAATTTAAAACTCAGCTTGTTATACTAATGATTGACAGCTAACTATGTTGTATAATGGGAAGATGTGTTGGCTAGATAACAGAACTTATTATAGACCAGTACTCCCATTATCTAGTTAAGTGTTTTAGGAAAGACTTTCTTTATTCCCTCTCCCCATCTCACCACTCTCCTTCCCTCTCCCTTCCTTCTTTTCCTTCTGTTCTTTAAGAACCCCACTGTTCTCACCTGAGGAAAGATTGAGGATAATAAGGCCTACCACATAACTAACTGAACCTCCATGTTAGAGAGCTGTTGGGACAATTATATGAGACATGTAAATAACTTTACCCCTTTTTTCCTGTCTCAGTAAATACTACCACAATCCTTCCAGGTCCTCATTAAAACCTTTGGAGTCATCCTGTTTTTTTTCTTCTCCCCCAAACCTATCCAACTACAAGTCCGTTAAGATGTACCCCATATTTACTTTCTCCTTCTCCACTGCTACCATTCCATCGTAGGCCATCCAGAAAACTATAATCACCTCTAACTGGTTACCTTGCTTCTTCTCTTGTCCTCATTCAATTTATTCTCTATCTAGCAGCCAAAATGGGCTCTTAAAAACAAAAATAAAATCATGTAATTTCTCTGTTGAAAAGTCTCCAGCCATTTCCCATAACACTCAGAATAAAATGCAGATTACCTACCATGGCCTCTGAGGCAGGTTCAAGATGGCCACAGATTCTGTGACATTCCCATAGAAAAGAGAAGTGTCTGACTTTCTTCCCTTTGAATGTGGGCTGGCCTTAATGCCTTGTATGATTAACCAAAAAGGGCAAAGTGGCAGGAGTGATGTTCTGAGACTTCCAGGAGAGGTCATAAGAAGGCGTGGAGCTTGGATCAAGGCCTGCTCTGGGGGAAACCAGTCATCACATAAGTCTAACAGTAGTTAGAGACAGCCACGAGACCGCCATGATGCCAACTTGTGAGAAGAGCACGCCATGTGGAGAGGCCCTAGAATAGGAGATGCCATGTGAACAAAGAGCACCAAGGGAACAGACATTGAATGAAATCACCTAGTTTTGCAGCTTTAGCTGCCCCAGTAATACTACCCGCATCAGAGATAAATGTCCAGAAGAACTTTCCCATATCGCTGAACTCCAAATTGTGAGCAAAATAAGATGTTTGTTTTAAGCCACTAAGTTTGGAGATATGTCACAGAAATGGATAGCCCCATAGCCTCTCATGCCATAAAAGTGTAATTCTTTCCCCTATCTTGGAGTTCATCCCCTTCCATTTTCCCCTTTGCTTGCTGCCCCTGAGCTGCTGTGGCTTCTCTGAACACGTCAAGCTTATTCCTGTGCCACCACCTTGACACGTGTCATAGTCTTTACCCAAATTCGGACCCCAGACCTTTTCATACTTGTGTCCTTGTCATGGAGCTGAAGTGTTAAGTATCAATGGGACTTTCTGATCACTCCATCTGAATTAGCCTCACCATGCCTACATCGTTCTACTTCCTCAGTGTACTTTATTTTTCATAGCACTTATAATTCCCTGAAATGATTTTGTTCCTTTATTTATTTCCTACTAACCCTTTTGCAAATGCAAAGTAAACTTTTTGAGACCAGGGTCTTTTCTGTGTTTTTCACAAATGCTATTTATAGGGCTATTTATATTCAGTGCTATTTATATTCAATATTTTTCAATGCATGCATGTAAAAGTGCTTCAAACCTAAACAAGTTTTATTATTATTGCACCACAAGAAACTATTGCAAAAAACCATTGAGAGCTGGAGAAATATTGACTAGAATCTGCTCAGACATGTTCTAATAAGATATACCAATAAGATGTAGAGAATTAAAAATATCCAACAACATCAAACTTTAAGTCCACTTGAGTCAATCATAACAGTACATTTTCATGTTAATATCTCCTTTAGAAAACTGACAGTTTGGTTGTACTATTTTTCTATTCTCCCTTGGCACATGGCTCAATCTTTAGTTTTTTTTTTTCTTTTAACATCTGTCCTTTAATAACAATATTAAAAGTAAGGTGTTTTGGGGTTTAGCCATCCATAAAGTTATGGGACAAAGAGTCCATGAGACTGTTAAGTGTGTTAATCATTTAATATAGGAGGCACTGACCCCTTTCAAAGAAGGAAGAATAAACTCACAATCTGATTTATGTGAATTTTTGTTTTGCTTTACATTTTAACACCCAGTGACCACTTAGGGAGAAGGCTATCACCAATCAATAGTATTTAGGCTACTCAAGAGGAGAGATAACAGAGAGAGCCTAACATATTTGTAGAAAGAGCATCTCTACAAGGATTTAAGAGACAAAAAATTTTGATTCTGTTTCAATAAACTTATTGGTGTGATAAACTGTGTAATTGTCAGTATGTACCAGGAGAGCAAGTTTAATATATATTACAGTAGTACACATTTTAATATAGTCAGCCAGAGAAACTTACTGACTAGTAAGAAACTGAAATGTTAAAATGAAAATCCAGGCGTTGAGATTCCTAGAATCTCTGAAACCATCTTGCATCTCTCTCTCCATCTGCCTGTCAACGTGACTTTCTGAAATAACTAATCTCAAAGGAAGATTTTAGAAAAAAAAATCATGTGGATGTGTTTTTTTTCCCCTAATAAATGCCAATCTTAGGCAGTGTTTTTGTCAGGAGTCTCTGTTCAAGCTTTAAAAGCCAAAAGAAAGATGAAAATGAATACACCAAAATGTAATTTAAAATGCAAATGAAGGATCTGCAGAAAAGCAGCAAAGGCTAATTGTAGTTTTTCTTCATGCTTGGCTCTGTAGACAAAATGTGTTGATGTTACCTTCCTCCTGCTGGGAATGCCCAGGCTGTAGCTGTATTGCCACACTCTGACCTCTCAGATTAAATACACTTGATCTTAAAAAAAAACCCAAACCCCAGTCAGAAATCAGTAGGTACTTAACCCTGTATAGGAATAGGTGGAGAGGCAACCATATGTGACAGTGTGGTTGTTAACCTCTGAGGAATAGAATAGAATAGAATAGAATAGAATAGAATAGAATAGAATAGAATAGAATAGAATAGAATAGAAAACAGTAGTTTCATATTATAAAGAAAGGGCAACTAATCTATATACTCCAAGGGCTCACGTAGTATAGATTTTTAAAAAATCGAGTCCTGAATCAAGGACACCATTTGTTTTTAAATGACCAAGGCTTCAGAAATACTTTAGATTAAGTTGGAGTCAATTCTAAAATGTGCAGTTGTAGCTTCTTTCTTTTTTTTCAGTCCTGTCATACCTGGACACTATGTGCTCTACATTTTGTGGTGAGATTGGATAAATGCATTACTTGCAGCAAAACCTTGTTCACTCTTTTAAAATCTTAGAACTTGTCCAATTAAAAAAAAGCACAAAATAATTTGTAAATTCCAACTTTTACTTTGCTTTTTTTCTTTTCCTGGAATGGATGGATGTTATAATAAATACAAGCAACATTTTATCACAAATGTGAGTGGTCTTGCATATGTGCATTAAGACAGCCTACTCAAAGGTATTACATAAAGTCCTGGAGAAAGAATGGATTTACCAAATAAAATAACTGCTTGGAAAAGTTTAGGTCCAAAAATTATAATTTAGAATTATTTTTAATAGCTCTGGGACTCAAGTGGGATCCATTTCTCCATTATATGTATTAATTAGGGCCACAGAACCTGTGGACAGAAGAGATTGTTTTCTAATTCTCATTCTTCACTATCAAAACTTTGACCACCGTTAATAGAGTTCTACTGGTTCTTCATGCTATTTCCTGCCCTCCAGTATGGGTAATACTGCATTAGAAATTGGTCAGATGGAAACAAGAAGGAGCCTATAAAGGGAAGAGTGTGGATAATTGTATGAACCACACCAGGACATAATGTGGTCTCAGATGTCTCCACATATGCCAAGATTGAGAGGCTGTTGGGATCCTAAGTTAGGGAGGACACAGAGATTCCCTTGTACAGCTTAAGACAGCACAAGGGCTTGGGACTCACAGCTATTGTATTATGTTGCTTTGGACCTATTTCTTCAATTTCTTCGTCTTCCAAGATTTACCATCTGTGTCTTATCCTGCCTGAGAGCCATGGCTCCTTTTAGTAACACATACTTGTACACGTTAAGAGGAAAGGAAGACTTCCTTGTTAAACTCTATCAATTACTCTGTTCAGGGAATCACATCCACCTGTTTGCATGTCTGATGTGGTGTGTTTGAGGGTTTGGCCAGCACATGAAGAAGAGGAAAAGGAGTTGAAGTTCGCTTCTGAACTTTGTGGGACATAGTTTAACCACATGAAGAACAAGATTTAAAGCAAGTTTATAGGTCCAGTCTTAAAATACGCAAAACTGTATTAGGGTTCTTCATGCATAACTGGTTTATTTTCTCTGGGATTTCTTGCCTTTGGTTCTAAAGTTTTGAACCCATTATTTTTTCTTTTGAGGAGGGGAGGAAGTGAACTCTGGTGTTTCCTTCTCAGAAGCCACATGACTGAGTTCACTGGTGTGAAAATAAAACCCTTTTATAACAACACTCAGAAATACATTGTTTTCTTCTAGTAATTATTTTTCCATGAATATTTTACTTTGTTTTATAAAATTAAGACTAGGGCTGTCCTTAACTGCCTCTGATGAACAGAATGAGGAGACATTCTAAACACATTTGTTTAGTTGTTTATTTACGATGTGTTATAAATATGATACATATGACATCAAATTGAAAAATAAAATCAGGGGAGGTAAGAGAAGTCCTAATGCAGAAGGATAACAGAAGGTTAATCAGAAAATAAAATTTTTATGAAAAGGAAAATTTTATGAAATGAATGAAATGAATTTTATGAAAATGAAAATTTTATGAAAATGCTCATAAAAATCCCACTTTAGTCCTCTCGTTAATCTTTGGTTGTCAGTGTTGCTTTACATTGACAGTTCTCACCTTTCTCAAGTGCTTGAATGTTCCCTTCCCACCCGAACGAAAGGCTAATTTCCTACTTTTCTCAGATAGCCAGTTGTTATTTCTAATGTGAACCTGGCAGTCTGAATAACAACAAAGATACCTTATTTTAAAGTCTACAATTATTGGCTACAAAATATCCAAATATCCTTTTCTGTATCACTAGCTCAGGACAAAGTCTATCCAAAATAAGTAACGAATCTAAGATATTAAGATATTATTTGATTTAGCCTCTACATGATTGTCAAATGTGTTTTAGTATGTATGTTTCTCTGAATTCTTCCTTCCTTAGGACCCTCACATTAAAGTATTTTATTTATGATAATCTTTCCCTTATGCACCTCCATAGAATGATTTTAATAACTGTAGTAACACATTATTTTCCTTAATGATTGCAAACACTATAGTATTACTATGCATTAGGCACTATGGTAAATACTAATTGTTAACCCATTTATACTTTAACAACCCTGGATTATAAATACTATGACTGTCTACATTTTACAAATTAGGAAACTGAGGCACAGAGGAATTGATTAGCTGAACAAAGACAACACAGCCAGTAAGCTTGGAATTGCAATTCAAAAGCAGCCGGTGTGGGTCCAGAATTAATGTTATTAACCACATTGATGTGCTTTTTTTCTATAATAATTACTAAAACTTGTGTGTTTATCATCAACAGTGTAATGGAAGAGTAAAGTAATATATCTCCACTGTTATTATAGTAGTGGTATTATTGGTAGTGTAGCACTTACTCTACCTAGTATCTACGTGATGCCTTGAAATTGAGGTGCCAAGGAAAACAGATTATTTTCAGCCACTGGGAAATTTGTATAGGGTTACGTGGCTATGCAGTGTGTTTTAGATTCCTAGATCTGAAGAAATAACTCTGTGTCAAAGGTGGTTTGCACAGATTTCTGGATCATTATGAGGAGCCCTGTGGGAGCACAGCATCTGTAGTGGGGTCCAGCTCTGGATTTAGTTACATGACTTTGGGCGAGTTATCTGATCTCTATAAAACTCTGATTCTTTCTTTATAAAAAATCAGATAATTATGATCCCTCAGGATGCTGGGAGGTGATATTAAAAACTGACAACTGTCATGTGCTGTATCAATAAAAGTTTTGCTAGAGTTTTAGCAGAGAAAAATAATTGTAGACTTGAATCACCACTTTGCATATAACAGTTAAGGCAAGTAGAAGTCAAAGGAACCTGCACTGTAGAGGTTTCCACATTGTAAGTAGGCATATCCAATGTGTGTCATTCTTGTATGGACCAAATGGCAATAGTTTATTAGCAGTGAATGTGCTATTGATTATATTAACAGATGCATTAGATTTTTATAATGCAGACTTAAAAAATAAAACATATGACCGAGATTGATAGTTCCTACTTCAGTATCCATTTTCCTGTCTTGCCTTAGTAACAAACCTGGCACATTGTGGCCTAGAAATTAAAAATGTACAAACAAACGACATTACCCTTCTTTCTTTGCAACTAGGTATCACTATGTGACTAAGTTTTGGAAAATATAATGTAAGTGGAAATATTTTGTTGAAATTATGGGAAGATTGTTTAAAGGGAACCAAGTCAGTAGGGAAGATTTTTTTTTATCCCTTTATATTTACTCCCTCTTTTGCCGTGACTGTGGATATGATGTTTGGAACTCCAGCATGAGCTTCATGGGCTATGAAACAAAAGTGAAAGACAGCTTTCTTTTCCATCTTGCAAGATGGCAGACGAAAAAGTTGATAAGCTGGATACTAAGGAGGAAAAACCTGATGCCAAGAAGGCTGATGCCAGTGGTAACATTAAAAAGGCTAACCTTCAGGCTAAAAAGTCCAAGAAGAGGAAGGCCCACTGCAGCCAAGGTCCTGTTCTCATCACAGGAATTGGCAGATATTTTTGGTCTGCCATGTATTCCCAAAAGGCCATGAACAAGAAGTACTCAACTGCTAAATACAGAATTGAAAGATTCTTGCAACTGTTACAAAACCAGTTGATGGTGACAAGAATGGTGGTAACCCGGTGGTTAAACTTTGCATAATGTGTAGCTATGATCCTATTGAAGATGTGCCTTCAAAGCCGTTGAGCCACAGCAAGAAACCCTTCAATCGGCATGTGAGAAAACTATAGGCTAGCATCTTTCCTGGGACCATTCTGATCATCCTCACTGAATGCCACAGAGGCAAGCAGGTGGTTTTTCTGAAGCAGCTGGGCAATGGCTTGCAACTTGTGACTGGAATACTGGTCCTCAATCTAGTTCCTCTATGAAGAACACACCAAAAATTTGTCATTGGCACTTCCACAAAAATTGATATCAGCAGTGTGAAAATCCCAAAACATCTCACTGATGTATACTTCAAGAAAAAGCAGCTGTGGAAACACAGACACTAGGAAGGTGAGATTTTTGACCAAGAAAATGAGAAATACAAGACTATAGAGCAGTGCAAGGCTGATCAGAGAGCTGTGGACTCACAAACTTTACCAAAAATCAAAGCGAGCTGTCAGCTCCAGGGCTACCTGTGATCTGTTTGCCCCAATGAATGGAGTTTATCCTCAAATATTGGTGCTGTAAATTTCTTACAAAGAACCCAATTAAATAACCAATATATTTTTAAGTAGAAGATGGGATTTATAACAATGGAGCAGAATTATAGCAGCCAGAATTCTTGATGATATCATGGGTTCCTTGTATCAGTTATGGGCTATTTCAAGATTTCTTTTATGATAAGAATATTAAAAGAAAAAAAACTAAAGACATTTAAATAACTGGTATTTTGATATCAATTACCAAATCAGTCTTAACTTGCATACCATATTACTAATCTTCAATTAAATTAAGTAAAAATTTTTATATAGTTATTGAGTGTACATCAGCTTGTGAAAATACATTGTTATTGAGTTTTGATTGAATCTAAGGTCTGACTATCCTGAAGTAGCAAAGGAATCTTAAAGTTATTAAATATATGTACTTAAGTTAAAAAGGCATTTTTCTGCATTAGATCACTGAATTCAGAAAATTTATATATAGAATCAGACTTGAAGCTGTAATAATATCTACTATTTATAACCAACACTTTGGTTTTAGTAAAATAACATTATGTTAAATTAAGTTGATAACTTTATTATATTCATAGTTTTGACTACATCTATTTTATTATCAATGTTGTTTATCTCTAAGCATAAGAAGTTTTTATTTAATATGAAAAGGAGCTTCCATGATTATTATTTTCTTTTAGAAGGGAAGAATAATTTTTTCAAGTTTGAAAAATAACACTTCTGAGTATGACAAAAATTATATTACTATATTAGCTATAAATCAATCTGAAGACAATAGATAGAATTGATAGAGAACAGAGAATTCAGCTACAACAGTTTTTGCTGAAGTATCCCTGTCCTGAATCCGTCTCCCTGTCCTAAATCCAGAAGGTTTTTTTCCTGACTTACTAAGAAATTTATATCGTCACTTTATTTAAGCAAAACAAACTCTAGGATTGCCTGAGAAATGTCTCCATCATTGTAATAGTAACTTTAAAAATTAGCCCCTTTATCTTCATCCAACTGTCTTTCTCTTCCAACTATATCTGGCCTGTTCCAGACTATATTCTCTCTTGTATTTACTTTTAATTCAGTCTTGAGGTCTCCTCTGGAGAGTGGCTATAAGCTCTAGCCTTGCCCTGATGGGGTTCCAGGAGTGACCATAGTTGATGTTTACAATATGGCTTTCACAGGATTCTTCTTTATCCTGGCGGATGGCCTAACACCTAAGTATCTGACCTGTGACCAGGCGTCCCTCTCCTGGGAAACTTGTTTATGCCATCGGATGCACTGTGGTTCTTCTCTAATCTGTGCCCAGTTTATCCCTACCAAGACAGCCACCTTCCAGAACAGCACTGATCAGAAGGAGAGTTCGGTTCAGATGTATTAGTCAGGTGAGACAGAGGTGGCAGCACAACAAACACGTAAAATAACAGAAGAAATTTTTACTACTTACCAATCTTAGAGAAAAGAGGGCAATACGTCTTGCAGGACCAGTGGGGTCTGGGACACACATGCTCAACTAGCAGGTGGGGAGCAAGAGAGAGAGGAGGGACCAGAGGACCAAAGCCTTTATTGGGGTTCAGGGTGTTACCCAAACAGGTTTCCCAGGGCAAGTTCTAATTGGTGGGTTTAAAGCAAGCAGGCACGTGTTCCAGGACGTCATGCTATGACTGAGAAGTGGTCAGTGTGACATATCTGAACAGAGTGGGAGGTCTGTGGGGACAGTCAAGTAGGTTGGACCTAGCTGTCCCATGTGGAAAGGGTCACCAGGAAGTTGTTGTTGCACAAGGCAAACATCTGGATCAATCACATTGAGGAACTGGTAGGAGGCAGAGAATTGGAAACTGTCAAGAGTGACTATGCCCTGTTTCTGTATAAGAAAGTCCAACTTATACTTAAAATGAATACGGAGGCAATATAAAATTATAAGAATTCACTAGATCCTGAATTCCAGAGCCATTTTTTTCTGGTAAGAAACAAGCCACTTCTTGATTAGCCATGCATGGGGGTATTATTGTTATAGTAGCAAACACAACCATGTGAAAATAATTAAGATTCACCCTCAATGGTGGAGAATGGCTGGTTGCTTCATAATGCAAGCTGTGGCAGAAATGGAGTGAACACGCTGACTCTCAAGGAGAGCTCAATGGCCCTTATAACTTTTCTGGAAGGAACACCATAATGTGTAATAGAACCAACACTGGCTTTGGAGGAAGAAACTCATGGGTTTGAAGCTCCACTCTGCCACTTAGTTCTGTATGTCTGTTGGTAAATAATTTGCCCTCTCTGAACGGAAGTTTCCTTGTACATAAAATAGGGGTAATAATACTTATCTTGGAAGACTGTTGTGAAGATTATGGATTGTATGGACTTATGGGCAAAATGCTAATGCAGGACCTGACACCGCAGGTGTTCAGCTCATGGTAGCTGTTATTATTACCAGCCTCGATTGTGACTTTCTTATATTGTGATGAAGAAATGCAATGAAAGCCTCAAGGTCTCAAAGGTGAAAGAGGCAAAAAATTAAGAAACAGGGCAAAGTAATAATACCACAGTGAATCAACTTATATCCTTGTCATGTTCCTGTTTTCAAGGGAGGATGTTGTCTTTTTCTCCCCTTCACAATCTAGCCCATGACAAGCATCCTCTAAGGTGGCTGTGTATAACATGGCACTATGGTGGAGGAAAAAAGTGCTACCAATTTATTACCAATTACAGTTTATAATCTGGGATGAGGTTAAAAATACTTGATAACTGAATAGCAGAAGCACCTGTGTTGCACACACCAACTACTAGCCTATATCAGCCTCACTTCTTTCCAAGAACAGTCAGAATGAACACTTAGACTATGCCAGCGTGGACCTTTTCACTAAGTAAGCAGCTGTTTTGATATATTAGGAAATGCCTGAATAAGAAGGAACACGACTGTAACTACATGACTTTACTACTCTTATGCGAGCTGCTTGGAGACATACTCTGTAAAATGTATCAACTTTTGCTTGGTTTTCACTTTCAAAAATTGTTTCTGTCAACAAGGAAAATTTCCAGTTCCTTAACAAGTGGAAAATAATCAGAGTTTTAATCTTGCACCTCATAGTAATAGCGTAGTAACTGGTATTTTCTCAGTATGCGCACCAAATATTAAAAAAAAAAACTTGAGAACTTTCACCTTGGCAAATATGTAATTTTAAAAGATCATAGGCGGTGGCTCACGCCTGTAATCCCAGCACTTTGGGAGGCCGAGGCGGGTGGATCATGAGGTCAGGAGATCGAGACCATCCTGGCTAACAAGGTGAAACCCCGTCTCTACTAAAAATACAAAAAATTAGCCGGGCGCAGTGGCGGGTGCCTGTAGTCCCAGCTACTCGGGAGGCTGAGGCAGGAGAATGGCGTGAACCCGGGAAGCGGAGCTTGCAGTGAGCCGAGATTGCGCCACTGCAGTCCGCAGTCCGGCCTGGGCGACAGAGCGAGACTCCGTCTCAAAAAAAAAAAAAAAAAAAAAAAAAAAAAAAGATCATAGGAGACAGAGTAACCAAATATCCAATATTTCAATTTAGTCTAAAATCAGCAGTAATTCAAGTAAATAGGAACTGGGTGGTTTTTTTAAATATGAAAATGCGACTTTGTTTCTAAAATTTGGCTTGGAGACATGTTAAATTGGTCTGGGAAGTTTCTAAGAATCCCTTTACCTTCAGGCTGAGGAGAAACATTTAGCAAGCTCACACTAACAGTGTTGGAAAGGGAAGAAGTATAGGAAACCAAAACTCAGTTTTTGATTAGCACTATACTCATGATACTTCTAAAGACAAATCGGTTGTTTCCAAATCCTTTGGCTGGTCGGAATCCTAGGGAATTTGCCCATTGTTGGCACTGTGGTCTTTGGAGTGTATTTGTATACTGGAAACCCAAAGGATGCAGGAAACGTGGGTTGGTTACATATTCTAAACCTCTTAAGGGTGACAAAAAAGCACCCACAGCTCTGCAGGGTATGGTATTTTAGGAAGAATCATTGCTTGTACTGTGCTGTATTCCCATTTAATGTACGTTAGGAATGTCTGAAAGGTATTCAAAACCTCCAGATTCACTTTCTATTGACTAGATGGACCATACTGGTAGAGCTCCTGGTACGCTGATTCTCAATCTGAAGCCAAGGGTACAGCTAGGGCTGTGTTTTCTCTGCCAGTACAGTGAATTAATCGTGGGATAACTGGCAGAATTCAGCTCTGGGTCAATTTTCAGTACAAACTCTATTACTGTGTCTAACAAGGCTGTATGAACTGCCTATTTATGTATGCAGAAATGCTCTATATAGACAACATTATCTGGTATAAACTGAACTGCACTTGTGCCAAGAAAATAGCTCCACATGCTGCAGACATCTTGGCTCTCTTCTGCTGCTTTTCAGGTGGTGTGAATTCTGGCAGGAGCCAAAAGTCAAACTCCAGGATAGAGCCTGGGTCTCTGGCCCACCAGCTATGGTGGGCAGCTTCATAGAGCACATGAGGCAGCTCCAGTTGGCAAGCAGCCCCTTCCTTTTAATTAAAGCCATTGGCACCTTCGGTAGGGGAGAAACAGAAATGGGAATGAGTTGGTCTTCACTGTACACTGAGGGTGTCAAAACTGATATCTTCATTAAAATAGCTTAAGCTGAACTTATCTGAAAATATCAAAAATTTATTACAGGGAGTCTAAAGCTTTATTATCATCATCATCATTGGGGAGGGATCAGGGGCAGACTTATATAATATCTTGAAGACTCCTAGGCTCCTGGAGTGAAACTGTTATGACTTGGCACCAATGTTGCTAGAACATCTTGTAAGCAGGTACAATGCCAAATGAACACATGTGAACAAGAATGCTCAGCAAGGAGGAAATGTTTATTTTATCAGTGAGTATCATAACTAGAAATAGGATAGAACTGATCCATCTGCTTCATGGACACAGCCATCCAGGCTTCAAGACAATAGATAACTGGTGCAGAAGTTGGTGGCAAAAAGAAAAAAAAAAAAAGATTGTGCATCTGTCCCCTAGTCAAGCCTACTAAACAAGCATTTTCTAAGGTCTAAGCATATTTTACCTGCCCATGCTCCCAGAGAAGGGAAACATTGGAAATCAAATCTGTATGCTTTGCTGCTCATTAGACATTGTTATTCTCTGGGCAAGTAGGGAGAAGAGTGGCTAATTGTTTTGCTGCCTTTTGCATGTATATTATTGATGAAGACTACATAGTTTCATTGATAGTTCATAAATTTGCAGATAATATGAGAAGGAAAAGGAAATTCAGTGTGTGTCAAGAGCAGACAACTTGGTTTATTTCTTCTTATATGGTACCCTAACATTGTCTTTGGAGAGAGTTTTCCTTTTCTTTCCTTTTTAAAGTACAACTTTATTGAAATATAAGTGACATACATTATACTGCATATATGTAAAGTGTAAAATTGATAAGGTTATGTATCTATCCATGAAATATCACAAGTAAGATAATTAACATATTCATCACTCCCAAAGGTTTTCTTATGCCTTGTTGTAATCCTTTCTTCCTGTTACACCCCATCTTTCTCACTCTCTTTCCCTTTTCCCAGGCAACCACTCAGCTGCTTTTTGTTCCTATAGATTACTTTGCATTTTCTAGAATTTTATCTAATTAGGATCATATAAAATGTCTTCTTTTTTGTCTAGTTTCTTTAACTTATTACACTTATTTTGAGATTCATCCATATGATTATGTGCCAACAGTTCATTCTTTTGTATTGTAGAGCAGTAGCCTGTTACATGGATAAAGGACCATTTGTTTTTTCATTCACATTTTGATGGTATTTGGATTTTTTCCATTTTTTTTTTACTATTACAAATAAAACTGCTATGAACATTCAAGTACAATACTTTGCATGGACAGTTGCTTTTATTTCTCTTGGGTAAATATCTAGGAGTAAAATGGCTGACTCTTATTTATTTAAGAAACTGTCTACCTGTTTTCCAAAGCGGTTGCGCTGTTTTACATTTCCATCAGCAGTGTATAAGGTTCTAGTTCTTCCACATTCTTATAGACATTAGATATGGTAAGTTTTAAAATTTTATTCATCTTAATAGGTGTGTCATGGTACCTCAATGCAGTTTTAATTTTCATTTCCTTAATGACTAATGATGTTGAACATCTTTTCATCTGTTTATTTGCAGTCAGCATGAATTCTTTGGGGGAGGTGTCTGTTCAAATATTTTGCCCATTAAAATTTTTTTCTTATTGAGTTTTGAGATTTCTTTATGTATCCTTTAAGTTCATCCTTTATCAAATATATGATTTGCAAATCTTGTCTTCCTAATCTGTGGCATTTCACTCTCTTAATGGCATTTTTAAAAGAGGGGGTTTTTAATTTTGATGAAGTCCAATTTCTCAATTTTGTTTTGATAGATCTTACTTTTGGTGCAGTACTCAAGGAGTCTTAGCTTAACCTAAGGTCCCGTTCTTCTACATTTCCTGTTTCTCTCTCTTTTTATTCCTTGGTGCCTGGAGCAGAAGTGGCAGAGCTGGTTTGTAGATGTGAAGAGATTCCTGTTTTCTGCATTCAATAGCTCTGTGCAATCTGGCTACTTGCCATTTGGATTTAAAGCATTAGAAAAAAGACAGGAGCAGGAGACTTGAAAAGTTTCTGTGAAACCTCACATTATAACTAAGAAAAGAAAGCCACTAATTGCTTTCAGAGAACTTGTCAAGAAGGTTTCAGATGTACTCGCAGTCGGTTTTTCCAAGAAAAAGCAAAAGCAGTTTTATACGGTATTTTGAAATGTTAACCAGATTTCTTAAAACTTGTGTTTTGATAGCTAAACAATAATAGAAATAAAATCTGGTAAAAGTTGTTACCTAATTCAGTGAACTTTTCAAAGTTTTTATTTTCTTATTTTTATGGAAAAGAATAACCAAAACATTCACAGAGTGAAAAGTCTGCAATACTAGGGCAAAGCACTTGTTTGGCACAACAGGAAAATAACTGCATCATACCAGAGTGGGAATACATGCAGCTCTTCTCTAGTTTCTAAATCTGAAAGCAGCATTATTATCAGGTGGTGATTACATTTTTGGAGTGAAACAGTGAATTTGTCAAAGCACTTATCTATTCTGCTTTTGGTAATACTAGCTTATGCTTTTTTCTTTTCCAAATGCTTTTTATATAAACTATCTGATGGCATTCTCATCACTGACATTACTATACATATTAGAGAAGTTAGGAACTTGAAGAAAAGTTAAGTATTTTGCTCAAGGTAACATTGCCAGTTAGCAGAAAAACCAGGATATAAACATTTTCTTTCTCTAATAGTTTCTCCGCTGTTAGGTGCTGCTCCTTAAAAAAAACAAAGCACCTCTTTCTGTCAGTGGGATGTTTAACTGTACCCACTTCTGCTTCTGTTAATATCCATCAATAGATGAGAGTTAAAATATTCTTTCTCTTACTTTGTGTTCTCTCTAATTTAGATTTTATATTTTTGTAATATGAGCTTAGAGAATGACTCAAAATAAACAATGTTGGTACTGAATGAGCAGTTCTAAAAACTTAAAATTTAATTCACTTAGGTTATAATAATGCAGATCTCAATATTCCATTTGGTCACAATTTTAGGAAATATTTGTTATTAATTATAATTCTGGTATAAACTACATTTGTTGAAATTGCTTTAATTCAAGGCAGCTTCTATAGGATATTTTTCAAAACATCCCAGTGTTCTGAGTGACCAAATACAGAAATAAAGCCTGTCCCTTAAGACATCTACCTTAAAGGAAACCTTATAACTGTGAAAAGAAAATTATTTGAAAAGTTTCCATTTAACTTAATTAAATATTTATAGAGCAGATAATCTAAAAGAGTTGCTTAGTTAATGCTAGGTGATCCTTTTACTGAATATCTATTTTGATCTTATCACTCATATTGCTCATTACTTTTAAGACTTTTGATCATTTTACAGAAGACTTGGGTCTTCTGTGTTCTGAGGTTTAGGTTTAAAACTATGACACTACACCGAGGAGGGTGTCTATTGCTAAAGCTGGTTTAAATAGTTTAACATGCAGTCAGAAAATTTGTTTTGCATTGACAATATAAAAGCTAGCTGAAGGGTATGGAAATGCTCATATAGGAGGGAGGGAGAGAAGGTTAAATTTCTTGCCATGGGCCACGCTGGAGCAACTGTTAACAATTTAAACAAGGATTTTTTTTTTTTAACCAAAACCGTGCAAGCATGGTTTCTTTCCTTGAGGCAGGCAAAGGACATGGCTGGGCTCATACATTTTTAGCAGCTGGCATGTTAATGAGATAATTTCTATTGAAATGAGCTAAATACTATTACCATTTGTGGACTTCCAGCTGATTCTAAGGCATTTATTGAACTTCAAAAAGTGCTCCAGAATCAATTCAAAGTACATTTTTAGATTCATGTGTATGTTGGTACCTATATACATGAACAGTCAATGTTTATGCTTATGTGACTTGGCTCATGAAGTGTCCAGATTTCTTAAAGCTTGTGTTTTGATAGCTAAACAATAATAGAAATAAAATCTGGTAAAAGTTGTTACCTAATTCAGTGAACTTTTCAAAGTTTTTATTTTCTTATTTTTATAGAAAAGAATAACCAAAACATTCACGGAGTGAAAAGTCTGCAATACTAGGGCAAAGCACTTGTTTGGCACAACAGGAAAATAACTGTGTCATACCAGAGTGGGAACACACTTGAGAATTTCAGATTTAAACTCATTATTTTTAATTATAACACTGTCATAACAAAGCACCATAGAGTTTGTGGCTTAAACAACAGAGATTTATTTTCTTACAGTTCTGAAGGCCAGAAGTCCCTGATCAGTGTCTGATGAGGGCTTTTTTCTTCGCTTTCTGATGGCTGCCTTCTCTGTGTATCCTCACGTGGCCTTCCCTCATTGAGTACATGTGGAGAAAAAGAGAGACACCAAGCTCTCTGGTGTCTCCTTTTTACAATGGCATTAATCTCATCATGAGGGCATCACCCTCATTTAACCCTAAGTACCTCCCAAAGATCCCACTCCAAATACCATGACATTGGGGGTTAAAGTTTCAACATATACATTTGAGGGGGAGACAGACATTCAGTCCATAAGAAATGGCATATGTGGCATCCATATGTGGGGAAGTTGTCCCTCAGCTGTTGTAAATGTGGGTCTGGACTCAAGAGTGAGATCTGATGTGGAGTTAGATATATCTTGATAGATATAGATGAGTTTCCTCTGCAGGTCACTGTTTCCCCAACTTCTCTTTACTGTGAGTATTGTCAAGGTCTCAGCCCCAGGAATTCTTACTTCTCATGCTACTACAACACTCCCTGGCAATCTCATACTTGCTTATGGCTTCTACCACCACATTCAAATTGGTTAAAAATAATGCAAAACTTCCCAATCTAGTGTCCTATTTTTTCTGACATTTCTTCCAACTATATCCTAAACATTTCCTTCTAAATGTCCGTATTGGTGTCTGACACTTGAGAATTTCAGATTTAAACTCATTATTTTTTCTGAAATATCCACCCTCAATAACAAATAAGTAAACTTTTTATTTCCTCTGCCTAAAATAACAACACCACTCATCATTCAGGTGACCATTCAGTGATGAAGCCCTGTCTCCCTGTACTCGTTTCCTATTGCTATCACATATCACCACAATTGTAGTAGCTTAAACAGTACAAATTTATTATGTACAGTTTGGAGGTCAGAAGTCTGACACGTTTCTAACTGGGCTAACATAAGGTGTCGGCAGGGCTGTGTTCCTTTCTGGAGGCTCTGGGGGAATCTATTTCTTTGCCAGCTGGAGGCCGCCCACATTCCTTGGTTCATGGCCTTTCTTCCACCTTCAAAGTCTTCAACATCAAGCCGAGTCATTTTCAGACTGCCGTCTCTGTTTCTTCGGATTTCCTCTCCTACTTTTAAGTATAAACTTGTGATTAATTGGGCTCACCCAGATAATTCAGAGTAACCATGCTATTTTAAGTTCAGGTGATCATCTTCCTTAATTCCACCTACATCCTTAACTTATCTTTGTCATGTGACATAACATATTCACAGGTTCTGGGGTTTAGGACTTGGACATCTCTGAGGGGCCATAATTCTTCTTCCCACACTCTCCTCTATTCCATATCCCATGAACCCACAACCCCTTCAACATACCTTATCCTGCTTTATTTTTCTTCATTGCATTTATTATTATCTAATGTATGATTATAGATTTACTTATTTTTTGCTTCCTGCACTGGAATGCAAGCATCACAAGGCAAAGACTTCGTCTTCTCTGTGGCTGCATCTAGAGCCATGCCAGAGACATAGTAGGTGCTCAAGAAATATCCTTTGAATACATGAATGAAAGAAAATCTGGTTTCTCACTGAAGACTGTCAGTTTGACCTAGATGGCGTGTTTCCATATCCATTCCCTTTTATTCATATTCACTGTCCTTTGTATTATTTCACTTTTTTTCCCTCAAGAATTTTCACCATTTTAGTAAATTAATAGACAGTGTACTTCAGTTTCTATCCTGTTTCTAAATCACAAATCTGTTCATCTTAACCTTCTACTTAAAACCCTTCAATGGCTCTTTGGCAAAGTTTATGAGATTATGTGTAATCCGCCTCTGCCCATCATTTCCTCATATTCTTCTTTACACTACATACTCCATGTTCCAGAGATTCTGGAATATTTGTTCATGTTTCGTATCTTACCTTCTTTGACTATATAAAGAAATATCCCTTCTCCACATTGAGTTCCTCTTTTTCCATAATTTCAGTGGAAATCTCTGCAAAAAGTTAACTACTTCCTCCTTTGAGGCTATCATTGTCAGGAATAACAGGAAGGGTGGCTCAGACTGTGAACATATATGAGATATTTTGGATATTTCTTAATTCTAAAAGAAAGATTTAAATTTAGATTCTGCTGATAGAATTCAGATTATTGTGTTATTACTCATATTGTGACTTTATTTATTTTTTTGAGATGGAGTCTCACTCTATTGCCCAGGCTGGAGTGCAGTGGTGTGATCTCAGTTCATCGCAATCTCTGCTTCCTGGGGTTCAAGTGATTCTCCTGCCTCAGCCTCCCTCGTAGCTGGGATTATAGATGTACACCACAACACCTGGCTAATTTTTTTTGAATTTTTAGTAGAGGCAGAGTTTCACCATGTTGGCCGGGCTGGTCTCGAACTCCTGATTTCAAATGGTCAGGCTCAGCCTCCAAAAGTGCTGGGATTACAGGCATCAGCCACCATGCCTGGCAATATTGTGACTTTTTAAATCATTCTTTTTCTCTCCCCAACTCCCACGGACATACATAGCCTACTCGGGTCTTTTGAGTTTGTGAGGCTCATTGAATTTCAGATTATGCCATTGATATTTAATATTCATCATTTTATTGTACTAGACATTATATATATTACAAGTAAATATATTTTTATAAATTATATATGTCTTTATTTTTTTTTACTCTGTGGGCTCTTATGTCAGTTTTTCTGGGCTCAAATGTTAACTCTTACTTTGCCAGCTATGTAACCATTGAGTGAGTGAGTTAAGCTCTCTCAGTCTCATCTTTTTCATCTGGAAAATGGAGATAATAATAGTCTCATTTTATAAATTGATTGGTAAATAACACATGTAGCATGCTTAATCAGTGCTAGGCACATGTGCCTAATATGTGTTAGTCTTTATTATTATTCTAGAAGGTGAATTTTCTGAGGGAAAATACTATTTGTAATTCACCTCTGTATCCTCATAATCAGGCATAATTTTGATACATAGCAGACAATGAATACATATTTGTTGAGCAATGAATATATATTAACTATTCTCAGAGTGTCAGAACATAGTTAATGTATGGGAAACCAATCCAGAAATAAGCCTTATGGTGAAAAGATTTTAAAAATTATGATACTAATTTCCTTCTTTCTTTTTCCCCTCATTCTGTGAATTAGAATTTTGACTTAGATAGAATGCATCAATATATAATTAGATGGTGTTATCGAATGTGAAATTTAATAAACAAAAACTAATTTGTTGGAATTATTTGTTCAGTAAATAAATATTTATCAAGGGACTAGTACATGTAGGGCATTCTTGTAGGTACTGGAGTCGCAATGTTGCATTCTTTGTAACTGGAATCAGACACATTTTTCTACATATTTCTAAGCAGAGTAAATGACGGGGTCTGCTAAGGCCTGGAATCTGCTCTGTTTTCTCCTCATTAAGCCTTCAGGGACAAACTTAGACCAGAGTGAAAGGGGAACAAGCTAAGTGTGCTGTTCTCTGTCAAGTCCCATGTTGTTTGTACCAGGATGACCTTGACTTTGTGGGAGGCATCATCCAGACTCCCCTGCTCAGCTTTCTGAGCATGGATTGCTGCAGGACTAGGTGTCTTCCCTCTCTCTGTTTCTTCTGGTTCTTAGCCCTATTAGCCTCCCTTTTCTCCCCCAACAGAAAATCTCTTTCACAGACATGGTCCAAAGTGACTCTGGTAATTTTCCTGATTTTCAGGCTTTTAAACAAGGTTGGCTCTTGAAGTACTACTTCAGAATAGAGTGCAGCTCTTGGCTGGCTAGTCCTCTTATTGCAAGCCATTTCCATATCTTTGGCATATAATCGACATTTGTAAGTAAAAGCCGGCTTATATGAATCCCGGTTCATCTTTAATTACTGACTCCTGAGATCCCTAGGACTGAATATCTCGCCATATGCCCATTCCAGAATTGTATAGTATTCTTCTGCTATGCAGTTGCAATCTACCCAAGCCTTAGAGTAGAAAATCTGATTATATTCTCCGTGTACTTTCTCTGTCAGGAATAGTTTACCCTATTATAATCTTCTAACCAGCACCCTCTATGGGAAATAGTCTCTCTAATATCTGAGTATGGCTATGTAATCTGAGAAACGTCATATAGTGAAACTTACACTGTTTAACAGTCCTTTCCCTGATTAGCAACATTAATCAGCAACTCAGCCACCCACCCCTACTTATTTCTGTCTCAGTTGCTTCATATGTAGAAGGAGAGTGATACTAGTACCTAGCGCTTAGGCTTGCTGCATGGATAAAATGAATTAACATGTGTTGTGCTTAGCATGCTTCCAGCACTTTGTAAGTGCTCAATAAATGATAGTTTTTATGGTTCTTATTAGTATTATTACATAGTTCCCAAGGGACAAAAAGATATTAGTTGTAAGTGTTCCTAATATATTCTTTTATTTAATTGGGATATTGTAGATTCATTAAAAAAACTTTTGAGAACAATTTTAGATTTACGGAAAAGTTGCAAAGACAGTCTAGAGCATTCCTATGTACCCCACACCCAGTTTCTCCCATTGTTAACACCGGACATTACTATGGTACCTTTGTCACCACTAAGAAACCAACATTGATACATTACTATCAACTCCATACTTTGTTGGAATTCACTGGTTTTTCTCTCATGTCTCCATCCTGGGCTCCCATGCATGATACTAGGTTAAGCTCAGTCATTATGTCTCCTTAGGTCCCCCCGGCAGTGACAATTTCTGAGATTTTCCTTGTTTTTGTTGACTGTCAGTTTTGAAGAGTGCTGGTTGGGTATTTTGTAGAATTCTCTTTGTTTTGAATTTGTCATGATATTTTTTCATGGCTAGACTGGAGTTATATGTTATCAAGAAGACAGTGGAAGCAAAGTGCCCTTCTCATCACATTTTATGATTAATACAGTACATACTATTAATCTGACTTATGTTGATAGTAACCTTGATCATCTGGCTGAGGTAATATTATGTTTCTTCATGGTAAAGTTAATTTTACTTTGTTTTAAAAGAAATTTGTCATAGATCTTTGGGAGGTGTGCAAAATATAAAACATCTCACATGTCAAATGTAAGAATACCAAAGGCTTACTTTAATAGAGAAGCAGAATCCTACCTCTCATTTGGAATATATTCCTTGAATCCTATCAGAACCAACTATTGTGATGAAAAGATAGAAAGCACATCACCTCACTACTGCTTCCAACATGCTTTTTTGCCCCTTTCTTCACACAGTTGGCTGGAAAGCTAGGCAGGTATGAAATTGGTGGTAGGAATTAAAGGAGAACATACAGCTTAGAAGATTTAAATAATGGCAAATGGGTCAGGAAGAAAATTGTGTGGTAAACATAATTAGGATGTCAGTGAAGGAGGAATGTCTCAGGGATGAGGCTTCTTACTGAAGAAATGGGGTACTATGAATAAGGAGGGCTTGAAGGACAGGGTTATGGGTTAAGACTAAATGAAATGAGGAAACAAACTATGTATGAAATGGGGAAAGAACATCCTAGGTGCAGGCATAGCAAGTATAAAGGCCTAGAGGCTTTGCTGATGTGTTCTAAGAATGGTAAAAATACATTCTAATTGCCAGTGATTTCTAGATGCTTCTTAGGAACTTACTCTGGTTATGAACTCTGCAGAAAATTTAGCCTGGTTCTGAACTGTGTGAAGTCATGGATGTGTTTTTGGACCAAAATATTGTCATACTGTCTTAACTTTGAACAGGCTAAACTCATTTTTTCTTTCTTGACATTTTTCCCAAATGAGTCTTTGGAAATACTAAGAAAAAATTAATACAGCAAGGATTTGACTTCATTGCTTACTCCTGGAAATTCTCTAACTCCCCAGGAATATCCGTGGAGATTTTCCTCTAAAATATATTGCTCTCTAAAATGTTTCATTAACTCTCAGCTGTGGGTTCAATCTTGTGATCAGCGTGTCCAGGGAAGCCAGAGAAGCTTTTGTTAAGCTTGTTTATTTGTAGCAGGTGTTTGAATTTGACATTTGATTTGACTTAACCATATTTTGGGAGACTGCAAATTAAGAAAGCTTCTGAAATATGCAGAATCTGTTATGCAGAAACATACTTACAGATATATGGGTGGAATTAAAGGAAAAAGCTTTCAATAAAACTCTTCTTTTTACTTGAGGTTTGAAAAGGCTTGATACTTTTGTAATGATCCACAGCCAGCTGATTTCAGTTCAGGAGGCTAAAAGGGATATAATAAGAAACCCGTTCTTGTAAAATTTCAGTCTGTCTGAAACAAGTCTGAGCAGGAAATGTTTGTGAGAAACCTGTTCTCTCAGAGTCTTCCCTCCTGGTTCCTCATTTCAGGAGGCTTCTTCCACACCCAAATGAATATCTGAAAGGTTAGTGATTTTTTTTCATCCATATTAAGACTATTAATAGAAAATAGGCTGGTGGGTCCAAGTTTTCAATACAGCCTAGTGACATAGCATTTCTTGTTTGCTCCTGATCAGTTCAACATGGTTTCATCATTCTTGAAAGCTGACTTTGATATTCAAACTTAGGAAAACTGTAAGCATTTCATGTCCCTCTCTCCGTTGCAGACCCTGTTCATTGGCACTCCCCTCTAAGCTGTGAAAGCAGAACCACATCTGTCTTGTTCTCTACTATGTCTCTCCCTCAGAGAAATGCCTGCCACATGGAATGTGTCCAGTGAAAATGTATTAAATATATGAATGACTAGTACATAACAACTGTGTGGCATCTAATTTGGAGAACTCAAAAGCCATACCAGGCTCTAGGAATTCTTTACCCAGAATTCACCATCTCATGTCTCCAGCATTCATGCAATTTTCATCCTAGGAATGACTCAAATTAATTACTCTTAATAACTCTTAAGGTAAGGAGGTAGATAATTTTATAAAAATTATTTTTATATAAATCCATTAAAACAAAAGAATGTCACATGATGTGTTTGCAATCAGATTATTACTTTACTACTAATTTTATGTTCATAAGAATTATATTGCCAATAAGATTGGTAATAGTAATAACAATAAATAATCTTTAGTCCTTAAAATTTAAAGCCATACACTATATTAGAACCAACTAAATATTAAGTACTATAATAGATGCTATGGTTGAATACAGAAGAATCTAAAGAAATAGATGTTTAATTCTGAGTCATTTAATAATAATAATAATATTTGCTGAACACCTATCATGTGACAAACACTGAACTAAATCTATACATTAAATAATTTAGTCCTCATAAAAGGTCTATGAGCTAGTTACTACTGGTTTCCACATTTTACAAATGAGGAAGTTAAGGTTTGGGAAGATTAAGTAAATTGTCCATTTTCAAGCTAATAGGAAATGATGAAAGTAGAAGTTGAACTTGCTTTTTTGATATCACAAGCTACTCTTTTTCCTTGGACATTTAACTTCATTGTTTGTTCTTCAAGTTTATATTTTAGTTGAGGATTCAGAACATACACATGAAATAGTACTTGCCAAACAATACGTAAATGACCATAGTAACTATAATACAGATTTCCAAAACCCGAGAAGGTATGTTCAACTGAAAAGGAAATTCATATTGGAAGCATTTCCTCAAGAAAGTAAGTTTGAATCCATATGGGAAACTGGGAAGTAATTTTTGTGTAGGTGAATATAAGAGATAGACCGCAACTAATTAGGTTAAAAGATAAGTCTTTACTTTTCAAATTTATAATTCTAGGCTCCTGGTTAGATAATAGTAACAACAGTAACAAAAATAATACCACTTTATATCTGTATAACATGTAAGGGTTTAAGCAGACACAATTTGATTTTATTTGTAGATTAATGATCCTTCGTATGCTATGATCCTCTTTAATATTAGAAAAAAGCAACTAGAACAAACTTCATGATAAAGCTTGGAAAAGCACAGTATTTGAGAACCTTAACATTCAATATATGCTGAAGTAATGAAAACCATCCATAGTCTTGCCATGAATTCCTTTTAAATTGCTTATGAAATTGTGAGAGTCAGCCTGCAAATTCTTCCCTTCTCTACTCCACCCTATCCCATCTCACCCAGTTCCCAGCACACACACAGTTCTGCTATTTTTGAAAAGAAAGAAAAAAGTCTCCACATTATTGGTGTGGTTTCTATGATCATGGGCAGAACTGCTCAGAATATTCACCAACTATGGGAGTATACATTATCTGACTCAATTCAAGTCTGGTCTTTGCCAGTAGGAAACCCTTGTGTTAATTTCTATTTCTATTATTGTCAAAGATGACACTTCCACTTCTCTATTTTATTTTTGCGTCTTTCATATTTACGAATTCAAATTTCATATTTTCTTCAGAGGAGGTACATGTGTTTGTAATAAGGAAAGTCTCCAATTCATGAGGACTCCTTTTGTCTACTTTCCCCTTTTCAGAAAAGCGTGTTAAATTAACTAAAGAAATAATTGGAGAAAAAGCAAGTTAGAATATTATAGAAAAGAATAAAATGATGAAACATATGTTTCATTTTATTTCTTTTTTGAGACAGAGTGAGACCTTGTCTCATATATATATACATATATATATACCTTGTCATATATATACCTTGTCATATATATGTCACATATATATACCTTGTCATATATGTATCAGACAAGGTCTCACTCTGTCACCCAGGCTGGAGTGCAATCATGTGATTATAGCTCACTTCAGCCTTGAACTCCTAGGCTCAAGTGATCTTCTTGCCTCAGCCTCCTGAGTATATGGGACTACAAGTGTGCACCACCATACCTAGTAATTTGTTCATTATTATTATTATTTGTAGAGATGAGATCTCACTATATTTCCCAGGGTCTTTTTTTTTAAGCATGCTGATAGGATATAGATAGGAATGAAAGGGGCAACAGAGATTTGCCTTTACAATGATGTAAAATGCTACCAAACCTTCAGTAATAATATTCAGTCATTAGTGGAATTGAGTGACAGTATAAACTATGTGTCATAGATTTCTGCATTAATCCACAGTGAGTCTTAGCATTTTTGTATATTTTACAACATATAGGAGAAAATAGATGTTGTTAAAGAGTATCTCCTGAATTTACAAAATAATAAATTTAAAAAGCAATTGTCTATCCACTCCTTCTATAAGACATAATGAATAAGAGCCTTGTATGATGGCACAAAGCAAACCATCATTAGACAGGGGTGATAAGAAAGAAAAGAGTAGCTTTAAGCCAGAGGGAGAAAATAGTGAATGAGAAGACCAAGTTTTATTTCAGGAATAAACTGGATTTATACCAGAAAAATTATTTGTTTTGATATGAAAATCATACCTTTGGGTTAACACCTCTCCTAGTAATCTAGATTAATTTAATATCCATTTGTAATACATTTTAGTGTCCTTCATAAATGCTAAAAATAAGTGTACTTACACATTTACCAGTGTGTGGTCCCCCATGGGAAGGAAAGGGAAATAAATAGAGGGATTAGAAGTCACTTCTGGGTCACGTGTTCCCCAATACCATTTTATTCTTGATCCTACATACCTACTGGTGTTCACAGAATAATAAAAAATAAAGACTCCAAATTCCTTTCTAATTCTAGATGCATTTTTTACCTTACATGTGGTATATTTAATAAACTTAAATATCAGAGCTATTCCACCTCTTAATATAATATTTACATTTGAACCTGCATAGCAAGGTGGCCCTTTTCATTGTATTAGTGTTTAGTTATTTTAATAAATATTGAAATTGAGTAACAGAAGCAATAACAAAAAATGAATATTGAATATATACTTATTCCCACTCAAAATTAAACTAAAATCAGTTGCATCAAGCTTTCAGTCATATTTGTGTCAAACATTTATGTTTTTCCTAAAAGCAGTAAACAAAAACTAAGGGTGCCAATGTTTCTTAACCGAAACCTTAAAATATTATCTTTATATTTGGGGAGATTTAGAACCTGAGAACAAGATTTCTATGCATTTTAAAGTGAGGCCTATTTATTCTTAACTGCCAAAAGAACTTATAGTAAGGATTTATAAATTTAGGACAGGTTGGCAGTGGATGGGTAGGTTAAGGCTATAAAAATGTTCATTAAATATTTTTTAATGAATGAAATTAGGTAATCTAAATTCATTCATTAAAAAATATTTAATGAATGTTTTCTATGCTCCATACCTCTTTGCTAAATCCTAGAGATGTCCATAATGGCGAACAAAGCCAGACCCATCCTGCTGTCTTTTAGCTAGCAGTCTAGAAGGGAAGAAAATATTAGTTCATCAACAAACGTGTGAAACCGCCACTGTGAGAAGTACTCTGAGGGGGAGGTAAGTGCTGTAATGAGTGGATTTTAAACAGTTGGGGTGTCAGAGAAGTCTTCCTCAAGGAAGATGCCTAAATGAGATCTGCAAGTTGAATAAGCAGATAGGTGACAAGGTGTGTCCCTGACAGTGAAAGCAGGAGTAGGAGAACAGTGAATTGAAACCGACAACACTCAGACAAATGGGAAGCAGGGGCTGGGGACATAAGTAGAAAGCAGATCATACAGGTCCTTGTAGGCCACATGAAGAATTTATCTTTATTCTAAGGTAGGTGACTTAATCAAACCTCCTGCCTTGCATTTTGAAAGAAGCACTCTAGCTGCTTTGTGGTGAATTGGTTATAGCTAGTATGGGGTAGTTAGGTTAGAGGGAGGCAGTCCCAGCAGGCAATTATTAGGCAAGTCCAGGCAAGTGATATTGTGTCAGGGGTTAGTGGGAGTGGGTATGGAAAAGGTAAAGGGATTCAAAAGATCTATAAGAGATAGGTACATTGCCATGGCTAGATGATAGAGCGGTTATGGGCTCTCTCCCTCTTTATGTATGAATTCACATATCATATATTACTCATATTCTCCATCGACATTATATAATACACATATACTATGGATATATGTAGATAAATGTAAACGTGTAGGAGTGTGTGTATACATATATGTGTATGTGTGTGTGTGTGTATATATATATATATATATATTTATTTATTTATTTATTTATTTATTTCAGAGTAGTGCCTAATAAAGGATGCTCAAATAGAGCAATACTTTATGGTTAATATCTCTTTTACAGCAGATCTTCACGCTTTCTCTTATTTTTCCCTACTAAGTACAGTAGTCAGGAATTTCATGTAAACAGACAATATGGGATAATTGAGTGAAAATAGACGGATACATTTTGTCTTTATTGAAATGATTTTGACCAGTTTAAGATAATTACAGCACACACATTATACTTTTTCACACTGAATTATGCCAAGTTTCCCAAAACCACTAATCAAAGAAGTCATTTAAATAATGACTAAATTATGATAATGTATTACAGTTGAAATGACAATAGAGAAGAATTAAAAGTAAAGAATGCTAAATAATGCTTAATTGCCATTATCTAGGTAAAACACAAATGAAATAGGGTCAGCCTGAAGAATGATATTGGAAAAGTGACTGGGTTCTGGAATTGAGGCTTAAAGTTACTAAATTTTTTTGTTGTATTGATTTTTCCCTGTCATGATCATACCTTTCTTTTTGATGAATTTTGCAACTTTTATAATTCTGATTTGTGACATAGTTTTAAAAAAGTGTAAAGTATAATTAAAGTTTCCATGTGCTTCTCATACCAAGTTTTATTCAGCTAGCTGTTAAGTAAGTGATTACCCTATAAGTACAACTTTAATACCCTAGTCACCTGTATGGGTTCTGCCACTGGATGTTTTATTGAAGAATTTTTTTGGGGGTGAATTTATATTTCTCTTGTACAGGGCTCATTGTTTATTGAATAATTGGAGGTGGGTTATATCTAGCTATAGGAGATACCAATGTTTATACAACATGAGCACTTAGATCTTTTGCATGACATTTGGATATAAATGAAATTTCCTTTTGAAAATAATGAGCAATGGGAAATGGCATGCATTTTAAAGGATGAATTAAGTTGACACAAAGCGCTAAGATATGTTAAGATTTTATGGTATGATTTACTCAAGTAGGGCTTTGGTTGACTAAGATGAACAGATCTTGTCAGCATCCCTGGTAAGTGTTTGGGATGTTTTGCTGTGGTATGTTTTCTAAATTGTATCACTATACTTTCAAGACTCTAAATGAAGCAGTGTGCTGTTTATTACTGTACTACCTCAACCTGCTCATAGCAGAAGGAACATTTTAAAACACATTACAAGTGCTCTCTCACTCAGTCTTTCATCTTCTGTCCATTATTAAAAACGACCTATAAGAAATCACATGGCAACCTAGAGTAGTTCAGGGAAATATTGAGCTTTGACTTCAAGTGTGTCTTCCTTGTAATACAAATAGCCATTTTCAGTTGATATGTTCTATCCTGAATGATTTGGCTTGAAATGTCTTTCTATATTACCATTAATATTTTTTGTTTGTTTCTGAAACAAATATGAAATGGAAATGTCATGGACAGGGAAATTTTAAATGGCTACTTCTGTGACTCACAGCCATTTTAGCTTAGGCTTCCTATTTGCAATACCTTCCTGACAGCAGTGTTTCTTTCTGCCTTTTTGACAATATTATTTCTGGGAAATCAAGCTAATTTCTATTTTTCATTCCCTGTTGAAAGGATTACTCATATCCTCTCTCTTACTCCTCATGTGTCCTTATCTCTAATTAAGATGATCAATAATAATAATCCATGAGACTCTTTTGAAATTGTTTTTCCTTTAATGAATGCTATTAACTTTTTCCCCCATTTAACTCTGTATATTGATTTTTGGTTCCAATTCTACCACTTTTATGTACCTTTTCTTTTTTCCAATTCTTCTTTCACCTTGGAATATTCTTTAACTCTAAGAAGATAAATTAATTCAAGATTTTATATGTTTACAGTGTTACTTATAACACAATTTATGTTATATTTTAAAAAGTTTTATAAAGTATTTACAGACTCAATCTCATTTCATTTTTTTTTACTATGGTAGAGGTAATTGTCCTTATTTTGGAGTTGAAAAAATCAGGGCTTAGAGAAATTAAGTAAGTGACTTGCCCATGGTAATATTTTTGGAAAATGACAAAGTCAGGACATAAGCTAAGCAATATTATTACTTTAAAAATATACAGCCTAATATTTAGTAAATCAGATATGTGAAGCAATGCCCTTGGCATTGGGGATAGGGTAGAGCTAATTCCACAACTGGGTATTTTGACTCGATTTGTTTCAATATAAATACAAAACCCAGATGACATTGCTTATGCAATCAGTTTATCAGGAGTTACAGGCATACCTCATTTTATTAGGCTTGACCTCATTGTGCTTCACAGATATGGTGTTTTGAAGGTTCGTGGCAACCCTCCTTGAGCAAGTCTATTGGTGTCATTTTTCCAAAGTATATACTTACTTTGTGTCTCTGTGTCGCATTTTAGTAATGCTTAGAATATTTATAACTTTTTCTCATTATCTGTTAGTGTGAGCTGTGATCAGTGACCTTTGATGTTATTCTTGCAATTGTTTTAGGGTGCCATGAACCATGGCCAAATAAGGTAGTAAACTTAATCCGTAAATGTTGTGTGTGTTCTGACTGCTTCACTGACCAGCCATTCCCCTATTTCTTTTTTTTTTTTTTTTTTTTTTTTTTTTGAGACGGAGTCTCGCTCTGTCGCCCAGGCCGGACTGCGGACTGCAGTGGCGCAATCTCGGCTCACTGCAAGCTCCGCTTCCCGGGTTCACGCCATTCTCCTGCCTCAGCCTCCCGAGTAGCTGGGACTACAGGCGCCCGCCACCGCGCCCGGCTAATTTTTTGTATTTTTAGTAGAGACGGGGTTTCACCTTGTTAGCCAGGATGGTCTCGATCTCCTGACCTCATGATCCACCCGCCTCGGCCTCCCAAAGTGCTGGGATTACAGGCGTGAGCCACCGCGCCCGGCCGCCATTCCCCTATTTCTTTCCCTCTCTTTAGGCCTTTCTATTCTCTAAGGCACAGCAATATTGATTTTAGGCCAATTAATAACCCTGCAATGATTTCTAAGTGTTCAAGTGAAAGAAAGAGTCATGCATCTTTCAATTTAGGTGGAAAGTTAGAAATGATTAAGCTTAGTGAGAAAGGCATGTCCAAAGCTGAAATAGGCTGATAGCTAGTCATCTTGTGTCAAATGGTAGCCAAGTTGTGGATGCAAAGGAAAAGTTTCTAAAGGAAAAGTGCTATTCTAGTGAAGACCCGAATGATAAGAAAACAAAACAGATTATTGCTGATATGGAAAAAGTTTTAATTGGAGAGAAGATCAAACCAGCCACAGCATTACCTTAAATCAAATTCTAATCCAGAGCAAGGCCCTAACTCTCTTCAATTCTGTGAAGGTGGATAGAGGTGAAATGGCTGTAGAAGAAAAATTGGAAGCTAGCAGGAAGTTGGAAGAAGAAAACCTCACAAAAAAAAGTTGGTTTCTGAGGTTTTACGGAAAGAAGCCATTTCTGTAACATAAAAGTATAAGATAAGGCTGCAAATGCTGATGGAGAATTTGCAGTAAGTTATCCAGAAGACTTAGCTAGCTAAGATCATTGATGAAGATGGCTACACTAAACAACAGATTTTCAATGTAGTTATAAAAGCCTTGAAAGATGAAAAATCTTGAAAGAAGATGCCATCTAGGACTTTCCTAGATAGATAGAAGTAGAAGTTAGTGTTTGGTTTCTAAGTTTCAAAGATTGGCCCTCTTATTAGGGGCTAATGCAGCTGGTAACTTTAAGTTTAAGCTAATGCTCATTTAGCATTCTGAAAATCCTGGGGCCCTTAAAAATTAAGCTAAATTTACTCTGCCAGTGGTCTATAAATAACAGAACAAAGCCTGGATGACAGCACATTTATTTACAGAATGGTTCACTGAATATTTTAAGCCCACTGTTGAGACCTACTGGTCCCTTGAGATGGAGTCTACACCTGAGGGAGATGCTATGAAAATTGTTGAAATAACAACAAAGGATTTAGAATATTACAGAAACTGAGTTGACAAAGTAGCTGCCTAGGTTAAGGGGACAGAATCCAGTTTTGAAAGAGGTATTATGTGGGTAAAATGCTATCAAATAGCGTCACATTCTACAGAGAAAACTCTTGTGACAGGAAGAGTCAATCTATGCAGCAAACTTCATTGTTGTCTTACTTGAAGAAATTGCTACAGCCACCCTAGCCTTCAGCAACCCCTACCCTGATCAGTCAGCAGGGATCAGCACTGAGGCAATACCCTCCACAGGCAGAACAGTTAAGAGTCACTGAAGGCTAAGATGATTGTTAGCATTTTTAGCAACAAAATATTTTTAAATTAAGATATTTACATGGTTTCTTTAGACATAATGCTATTGAACATTTAATAGACTACCATATAGTGTAAACATAACTTTTATGTGTGCAGGGAAACAAAAAAATTATGTGACTCGCTTTATTGTGATATTTCCTTTATTGCAGCTTTCTGGAACAGAACCCACAAGATCTCTGAGGCATGCCTGTCCTTAATTTACCCTAATCATGGAGGTGCTTTTTATTTGTTTTAAAAGAAAGGAACATCATATTAATATAACCACTGAACTCACATAAATACAATATGTTCTTCAAATTTCTCTACATGGAATAAGAATAGAGCTTGCAATTTTTTTTTTGTATTTAACTGATAGTGTTTATGGATAGCATTTAACTGATAGCATTTTCAGAACAATGGGTTGAGTTGAGGGGTGCTGTGGCAACCATTATATGGAGCCAGGCTACTGATCTGTACACAGAATGGCCTCCTAGTCTTGGCAAAGCTTTGAACCTCATGAGTGGGCCAGCTAATAGAACACGCCAAGAGACCATAGTCTAGCTGCTGCTGGAGAGCTTATATTGACTGCTGACGTTGATAATTATTCTGTTAACTTATATCGAGAAATACTTCCTCTCTAAAACCCCTAACACAGAGCAAGAATTATAATATCTACATCATTTTAGTACATTCCACAAAATAACAAGTCATGTACTGTATGAGTTAACTGTTCCATGTCCTCTAAGCACTTAGGTGGAAACTTGGTGACCCCCAAATATACTGGAAAATATTTTTTTCCCTGAACTTTTCTGTAAGAATTCTTAGAAGGTAGAGTGTCTGATTAATATTCTAGCATAGCAATACAAGTTTAGAGCCCTTAGTTGTGTGGAAAATATCTTAGGAGAAAACTGTCACAGAGATTTAACCCTTGGGATAGTATTTAGAGTGGAAACAAAATAATTACCTAGAGTGTTAGAACATTTTCCTGATCTTAAGTTTCTTTGAAAATAATATATTTTGAGGTCAGTAAGTCAGAGACTTCTAAGAAATAATCGAGAGGACCCAAGTTTGATGCTCACTGGCTGTTGCTTACAATTTTAAACAAGATAGTGATTAAGCTCTGTACAAAAAAATATAAAGCTATATCATTAGAAGAAGCTTTGTCTTGGGTTCGTGAAATGTTTTGAAATAATGTTTGCAATGAGTAAACTAGTTTCATATTGGCATTGTGATATAAAGCCTTCTTTAAAACAAATAAGCAAACAAACAAACACATACCCCTTAGGCTTGATACGTGTAAATGGTAGTTTAGAAGATGCCTTCCTTTTAAATCCTATTTGGCCAGAGAAAAAGGCTGCAGTTCTACACATTTCCAGCAGGGGTCAATATGCTTTCATCATTACTGAATGCTCAGTGAGCAAGCAGCAGAAGTGTTGATCCTAATTGGAGCAGACACAAGGATCTTCTATAATCCTCTGACATCCTTTTCAAATAATAATTCTTAGGTGGGTGGTGGGCTGGTGGCTGCAATGCCAGTGCAGGCTTCTCTACAATGAAGCCTAACCATTGTCAATTATTTTTGATGTATGCTAGCTTAACTTAAGTCTCTTCTTCCTGGCTTTTCCAACCCACAGAAGGGTATTCTTCCTCCTAATTATTGTCACAGTACCTAGGATGGTCAGAACAAGTGTGTTATTTTGGCTTGATGTGCTCTCCAAAACCCATTCCTTTCCTTTCCTGCCTCTCTGTGCTCTTCCTACAAAGTACGAAGAGCAAGCATATACTTTCAGTCAAATATCTGAGGAGTATTTTACTTATAACCTTAATTGCCATAGTCATTGGACTTTAACTCATTAAATGCCAGCATTTGGAGGCAACTGGAGATATGATAATGAGTATATATGATTATAGTTGCATATATATAGCTTCCAGTAGGTTAATAATTGGGACTAAATCCTCCTCCACCCACACACTTTCTAATAATTTGTTCAGGGGCTCTGCCAGCCAGTGATATTCAGGGAACAAATTGTCATCCTTTATGTGCATTTTAAAGACTGGCGTTTGCTGGAGACTCACACTGTCGTGCAGAAGCTTGAGTTCTCTGAGTCAAAAAAAAAAAAAACAAAAAAAAAAACAATGTATGTCCTGCCCCACATTCGTAAGCTCATATTTTACTCTCCTTGGCCCTGACTACAGCCCTTTCTGCTGAGCGGGGAAGCGAATGTCTCTGTGTAGAGACATTTTCAGAAATCCGATTCTGGAGAGCTGAGGAGTGTTGCGGCAGGAATGTATTACCAGGACACTTAGAAGGTGGTTAACTGCTTGAGTGCTGCTGCCTGCACTAGAGAGAGAAGGGAGGGACCGCAGTTGTAATATAGCTCCAGCTCCACTCAGCTTAGCCAAAGTGGGGTTTTAAAGCGGTGCCCTCATATATCTCTGTAGGTAGTCGGGGGTGGGGGTGTCATTTGCAAGGTAAAACATAGGTAAAAAGTAAGGACAGAGTTAGCACGGCAAAAGCAGCAGTTATTTATCTTGAACTAGGTTCACAGGGATTGAGATAATTTTCCACTTATATAGAGCTTGAGAGGCTCCTAAAAATAAATATTCTATCACAGATTTCAGTCAGATAGAAAGGAATATATTCATTCCTACATGTAGGTACATTTTAAATGTTCTCTTTAAAATTGTGGAGATTTCTTTTGCTTTCAGAGATTACCAGTACCCTTTAATGAATCAATAATAAAAACAAATTCATTTATCTCTGTTATTTGCAAATCTTGCTTTAAAATTCATATTTAAGCAAAGCAAGTGATGAAATTCTTTGATGGGACTACTCCTTATCTCCTTTACTTTAATTCTATGTTTACTTTAAAAACAAAACTTACATACCTTCCTCAAATTTAGAGTAAGGTATGAGGCATAAATGTAAGTTGATGGAGAGGACAGCAGCTATTTCAGCTTGGGTCTGACAGCCATCTGACAGGTGATACTCTATGTCTCTGACGGATAGTCAAGAGAAGCTGGGAGGAATTTTGAGCTCATTCTTGGCAGTTGCAGCAGCAGATTAATTTATTTTTTTTAAAGGTCATCGTTAGCATGAATGGAAAAATGGGTTGGATGCCTAATAATGCATCTCTTAAAAGAAGCATATATTTATTTAGTCAAGACGTATTTATTGAGTGCCTACTATATGCCAGACACTGATAGAACTATTGGGCTATATTGATGAATAAGATAGGCAAGGGCTGTATTCTCATGGGGCTTACATTCTGCTTGTTAAAATACACATGCTTTGAAAGTGTATAAGTATATGTTCTAAAAAAAACTTCAGTGCATTTTTATTTCCTCATTTCACACATTTGCTTCTTCATATTTAAAATGTAGGCTGAAACACTCCTTATATTCTTTGAAGGTGAAAAAAATATATCACTGCAGGGTGAACTACAGAATTTCAGTGACTACAGAAGTGCTTCAAAACCTAAATTGGGAACAGAGTGGATGTAAAATGGTTTACAAATAATTAGCAGATTAGGATGCTTTTTAGTTACTGCGTCCATTCATAAAACTGAGCAAAGTGTGTCTGGAGCAGCTGACACCAGAGTTCAAGGTTGCCCATCTCCTCTGCAGGAGGTCGTGATAACTAAACATGACCATTTCTTGTTCTCACAGCATGGCTTCAGGAAAACCAAATGGTCTCTACACTCAGAGTCCTGACCTCATGAATTAGAAGAAGTGAAAGAAGATGGCTTCCAAATTATGTTTGAAAACTTGTGAGGATTTAAACTCTCTCCATAGAACTTACCATTACACACTGAAGCAACCTTGAATCAGAATAAATTGATGTCTGTTTCATTTATTTATTCAAATATACCTCTATACTCAAAAAATAATCCCCTAATAGAATAATTTTTAGGAAAATGTTTTTGAAAACTTAGATGAAACCCATCATTTAAGCTATGCTATCTCTATCTTGGCAAATTTTTCAAGGTGTCTGGGAAGCGGGACCTTGGGCATCTAGCCTCTATGTAATGGGCATGCCAATTTTTACAAGCTTAACTTTGAATCTTTACTATCCACTCACTTGGAGAGGAAAAAGTCCAGGACCAAAGATCAGATCCAGTTTTTTCTTTTCCCTATGAACCTTTGTCCTAACTTTCATTTCCCTCTACTTTTCTCCTCAAAAGATGTGATATCCAACATTTTCTTGTTCACAGTTAGCTTGAACTAATAAATAGTCACAAACTTTCAGATCTCCCTGCTTTGAGGACTTTTTTACTATAAGAAATCAGCCAAAATTTTTAAGAGTAATGTTGAAATTTTCTTTTGGAAGGTGTTAGAAAATCAGGTACTCTCTTATTTTTGAGACTCTTTTAAGAAAAGAGGTTATCATTTTCCTAAAGCACATTTTCTGTTTCTAGACTTATTACAACTCCTTGATAGATAATGTACTCTTCACAATAAATAGAGAGTTTACCAACAGAGAAAATATTATTGCTTCTCTTAAGAGTTCTCTCTCTCTCCCCCACCCCCTTATCTTTCCCCTGTCCCTCTCCTCCCTCTCTCCCCCCACCCCCATCTTTCTGTCTCTAAAAGACTGCGTTAATGTTTGGGCATTTATTATGCGTGAGTATTTCTCTATTTCTTACATGATTGTTGATTTTCTTGATTATTGCAAAGTTATTAAAAGTTATAAATAGATTTTGAAATAAAAGGAGTTGGTTGTGATAGAGTTTTTCAGAAACTGTCCAGGCTGTAATTTTCTGTGGATGCTAAGATAAATGTCTAAGGAAATAATCATTGCAGAAAATTATTCTGGTAGGCAACTTTTAAGATAATTTTTGGTTTTCAGCTTGGAGCAGAATATTTATTTTTCACTATAAGGAAACTTGCTTTTATTATAGTGAATTCTCTCCTTCTCTACGAGGTGTGAGATACAAGTGTCATGTAAAATCTGTGTATTCTATTGAGGCCCATTAACCTGAGGCAGTGGGCAGTAGCTCAGACCTTAGGCTATATCTTGAAAATGTAGTATCTCCAAGTTCTAATTCCTCTTTTACATTGTTACTTGACCTTGAAGAAAAACAGTTGAACTATTTCCTTTTTTTTTCTTATTTACTAGGAAATTCAAACCAAATTTGGAAACTATCTGTAGCAATTATATGCCTTAGGAATGCATTTTGTGGCTTATGTTTTGTAACTCTATTTTACTTTTTAACCTTTTCTTTTCTTTTGATTTTATTTTTTCCTGTTGAATTGTATATGTGTTCACATATACCATCTCAAATAATGTTAGAAGGAAATTAGCTTATAAGTAAGTACGTAAAATTATAGTTACATTTATTGGTTTCTTGCTAGTTGTTAGATTTTCAGTTAAGCATTTTATACACACTACCACACATGATATACATAACAACCCCATTGGTACCATATCAGTTAGAAATGCATTCGTTTGCCAGTAGCTGAATATCTAGTGAATAGTAAGCTAAATAAAGAAGGGAGTATTTATCTTTTAACCTAACAAGAAGTCTAGAGAAGAGTAGCAGTTGACATTGATTTGAAAGCTCATTGGTGTCAGATCTAGCATCACTGAGATTCATTTACTCTTTGCTTCATGTACTTAAGATGGTTTCAGTAGCTCAGAACATAATGCCAGTATTTAACAAAAGAATAAGGTGGAAAGGTTAGAAAAGTCATGTGTGTTGCTTTTATCAGGAAGCAAACTTTCTCCTGAAATCTTCCTCTAGCTTCTGCTTACATCTCATGGCCAGAAATGTGACACATGGCCCCTCTTAGAACTTAGAAATAGATGCTAGCAAAAGGAAAGTGATTTGACAGTGGATATGGAAAAGGACAATTTTAAAAATATTTAACAACTGCTACAGCACAGACACTAAGAAATTAGAATGGACACACTGGCTATAAATAATTGGTAGAAACTTACTAGTGAGTGTATACAGAATATAAACCCTGAGTGCAGGATTAATCTGCAGCTATTTTTATCCAATGTGCTACACTGTGTATCCCAAAATACATACTTTTAAAAATAATATACCTGTATGCATACTGATATTATATTAGCACTAATAAAACTAGACTTCCCAGGACACATTCTGGTCTTGCTTGATACCTACTAAAATGAACACACATAATCACTTCCAAAATATATTGAGGTAATTCAGCTTTTGATCATGGCAGAGCAGCTTGTACTGAACTAGCCGTGGCATAGATAACAATTATAAATTCTGGGTAAACCTTAAATCACTAGTAACAAGTATTTGAAGACTGAAGCTAGAGGGAAGCCAGCCTTTGAAGATAAGATGGTGCATTGGGTGAGAAGCACTTCATATAAATCAACTCCAAGATGTCACAAAGGGTATTTAGGAAACAAAGACTTTAATGAGATTATTAATTTGTTTAACTCCGGTAATCATTTCACTAGTACATGTATATCAAAACAGTGTGTGGTATGCCTTTAATATATTCAATAATAAAACAATTATAGTCATATTTAACAGACAGGTAGGACATCACAGCCAAGAATGAAGACTATAAATAAGAACCAAATGGAAATTTTGGAACTGAAAAGTTCAGTAACTGAGATTACAAATTGTAATGGAAGGCTTAGGAGGATATTGGAAACAGCAGAAAAAAGATTCAGTGAACACTGAGATACATCGAAAGAAATTGTCCAATCTGAGAAACAAAAATTGAAAATAATGAACAGAACCTTATCACCTATGGAACAATAGGAGGTATTCTAATATGTGCAATTAGAGTACTAGAAGCTGAGCAGAGAGAGAGAAAGGAAAAAAAAGATAGGAGCAAAAATAATATTTGAATACATAATAACTGAAACATCTCCAAATTTGGAGGAAAATGTCTTACAGAGTCTTAAAGTTAAGCAAGCACTAACCTATATATAAATTAAAACCCCACATGGTCCAGCTGCCAGAAACCCATATTGAAAACAACCAGAGAAAAATGACAAATTTTATATAGAGGCTGGTAATATGAATGATGGCTGACTTCTCAACAGAAATAATGACACCAAAAGACAATGGAGAAATGTGTTTAAAATGTTAAGAGAAAAAATAAAAAAGAAGAGTCAGCATACAATTGTATTCCCAGTGAAAATATCCTTAACAAAAGAAGGTGGAGTAAAAACATTTTCAGACAAAGGAAAACAGGAAATTCATCACTAGTAGACCTGTCTTGCAATAAATGCCAAAAAAAACTTCTTGAGGCTGAAGGAAAATCACACTAGATGGAAATTCATATCTATAGGAAGGAATGAAGAACATTAAATGGTAAATATAAAATACATTCTATCACTTAATGTCAGAATGACATAAATGTGTATTTCCTAACAAAGACTCAGAATACATAAAGCAAAGCTGACAAAGGGAAATAAAGACAAATTCACCATTATTATTAGATTTTAACACACTTTGGCATTAGTTTGGGTCTTGGAGAAATAGAATCCAAGGTGGGATTAGATTTATTGAGAAAGAGAGCAAAACAAGGAGGGTACAAGAAGAGAGGATGTAAGCCCAACACCTGTGGAAAGAGAGAGGCAGGAAAGAGGACTGGAGAGAAGAGTAATACAATACAGTTCAAGAAAGATTTGCCAGACCAATGAAGAGCTCTTGAACCAAAGTTGCTCTTTGGAACAGTTCTCTGTCTTGCCAGAAAGGGCCTGCCTCAGTCCTCTCAATGTGCTCAGTAATCAGCTGTGAGCAACCTGTAGAAGCAATTTTGATGACCTGCTGGAGGCTGAGTGTGCACTAATGTGAGAGTGAGAAACTTTTGGAGGCTACACACTTTTCTAGGCTTCTCTTTAAACAGTACTGCCAGGTGCTCATGGGGGAATATCAGAGAAAGAGCCTCTCATGGCTCTGGCAGGGAGAAGGAAAGAACCAGCATTAAATATGCCCAAAGGATTCTTCATGAAAAGGTCCTCGGAAAAAGACTTTGCCAGAGTCCACTACCGAAACTTTTTCCCAGCTGAACTTCTCCATATTCCCATTCCCTCCAGCCTTCTTGTCTCGCCAGGGGAAAAGAAAAAAGGATAATAGTCAATAGGGTGTTAGGTTTCTTCTTTTTTTTTTTTTTTTTTTTTTTTTTGAGACGGAGTCTCGCTGTCGCCCAGGTTGGAGTGCAGTGGCGCGATCTCGGCTCACTGCAGGCTCCGCCTCCCGGGTTCACGCCATTCTCCTGCCTCAGCCTTTTGAGTAGCTGGGACTACAGGTGCCCGCCACCTCGCCCGGCTAATTTTTTGTATTTTTAGTAGAGATGGGGTTTCACCGTGTTAGCCAGGATGGTCTCGATTTCCTGACCTCGTGATCCGCCCACCTCGGCCTCCCAAAGTGCTGGGATTACAGGCGTGAGCCACCGCGCCCAGCCGGTGTTAGGCTTTAAAAAATAGATTGATAACACTACAACCAGGGAAGGGAGTGCAGTGCAAGCAGAAAAAAACTGTACCACTGGAGAGACTCTTCTGAAGATTATAGCCTCAAGATACAGGCCCACTGGATGACTGAACTTTAACTGGGATATTATAGAATGTCTTCCCTCCTCAATGTCTTATTACCACATTAAAATGGCTCTAGTAACCGTGGATTACAGTTGAAAGAGCTGCAAGACACAGTCTTTTTCTGAGCAGCAGTACATAAGGAAGCCCAAAATTAAAGGGGAGACAAAAACAAGGACTCTAGATCCTTGCCCAGATCAGTGTTGTGGAGCTTTTCCCTTATGTTTTCTTCTAATAGTTTTAGTTATAAATCTTATGTTTAAGTCTTTAATACATTTTTAGTTGATTTTCATGCTTCATAAATGTAATACAATTATGATTTGTCAATGAAAAATAATATTAATGAAAAAGGCATCAAAGGAATATATGCCAAAATAATTAATCTATGGCAAATCCACAGCCAACATCGTATTGAGCAGGCAAAAGCTAGAAATAAAAAACACGTGAACAGAAATGAAGAATGCCTTTCATGGAAATATTAGCAGACTTGACGTGGATGAGGAAGGAATCAATGATGATAAAGATAAGTCAATGAAAATTTCCCAAACTGTGATGCAATTAGACAAAAATAAAATAACATCCAAACACTGAGGGACAATCTTAAAATGTATACCATATGTGTGATTAGAATACCAGAAGAAGAAAGAAAGAATGAACTAGACAAAAGTAGTTGATATAACAATGGCTGAGAACTTTTCACAAATAATAACAAGCACCAAACTACAGATCCAAGAAGCTCAGAGAACACCAAATAGAACAATTCCCATAATATAAACAGAATCAACAAAACCCTCAAATATACTCAGGCATATTGTAGTCAAACTGCAGAAAATCAAATACAAAGAGATAATATTGAAGGAAACCACAGAAGAAAAATAACCTTACCTATAGAGAAACAGGGTATTATAGTGGATTTCTTGTAACAATGTATTAAGTAAATATAGCATGTGGATAAATGAAATAAATAACAGCAGTATCATAAGACATGAGAGAGAAATTAGGAATACTTTGTTATAACATACTTATACTATATGTAAAGTGCTATTGTGCTATTTGAATGTGGATTTATATAAGTTTAATATATATATTGCATATAGCAAACTCTAGGGCAACAACTAAATTTAAAAAATGTATAATTGATATATTCTAAGACACTAGATAAAGTGTTCAATTAAAACCAGAGAAGATAGAAATGGTAGGGAATGGTGGTGGGGGAGGGGACAAAGAGCAAATTAAATGCATCGAAAACAGTTACAAATACGGTGCATACTAATCCAGATACATTTGTAATCACTTATGTGAACAGTCTACATACATCAGTTACAGAGATGGACACTGGATTAAAAAACAAAACCCAATTATATTTTGTCTACCAGAAACCCACTTTAAATATAAAGATTCAACTAAATTAAAAGTAAAGGGATAGTTAAAGGTATACCATGCCAACACTACTAAAAAGAAAAATAAAGCTGAAATAGCTATATCAATTTTAGACAAATGAGACTAAAGAACAAGGAGGAGTATCAAGAATACAAAGGGAGGTTATGTAATCATGAAGGAGTCCATTTTCCAAGATGATCTAACAATCCTAACTATCTGTGGACCTAACAACCAAGCTTTGAAATAAATGAGGCAAGAACTGAGAAGAGACATAGACAAATCATATATCCACTATTACAGTTGGAAACTCTGTCTATATTTGATAGATTAAACAGGCAGAAAATCAGTAAAGATAGAAATAACTGAAATAGCACTGTCAATCAACTTAATCTATTCAACATATATAGAATACTTCATATAACAAGAGCAGAGTACACATTTTCTGAAGTCCACTTGGACCATATGTCAAGATAGATCACATTCTGAACCAGAAAATACACCTTAACAAATTTAAAATAATAAAAATTATATAAAATACATTTTTTCCAACCAGATGAAATGAAACTAAAAATTATTATCAGAAAGATATAGTTCAGTTTTGTTTCTTAATCCACTGTGACAATCTCTGTCTTTTTTTTTTTTTTTTGAGACAGAGTCTCACTCTGTCACCCAGGCTGGAGTGCAGTGGTGCTATCTCGGCTCACTGCGGCCCCTGTCTCCTGGGTTCAAGCAATTCTCCTGCATCAGCCTCCTGAGTAGCTGGGATTACAGGTGCCTGCCACCATGCCCATCTAATTTTCGTATTTTTAGTAGAGACGGGGTTTCACCATGTTGGCCAGGCTGGTCTAGAACTCCTGATCTCAAATGATCCACCTGCCTTGGCCTCCCAAAGTGCTGGTATTTCAGGTATGAGCCACCACGCCTGGCCCGATCTCGTTTAATCAATGTATGTAGACTATTCATATATAAAGTGATTACAAATGTAGCTGGATTAGTATGTACCATATTTGTAACTGTTTTCTACTCATTTAATTTGGTCTTTGCTCCTTCCCCTACTACCATTCCAAATTCTAAACTATTGGGAGACTAAGCCATAAACATTGAAGTAACATATGAGTTCAAGAAAAATTAGATATTAAAAATATTTTGAACTCAATGTAAAAATACATAATGTTATAGCATGAAATACATATATTACAAAAGAAGAAAGGTCTAGAGTCAATATTAAACTAAATATCACCTTTGGAGTCTAGGAAGAGTAAATTAAAGCCAAACAAAAATAATGAAAGAAATAATAAAGCTTAGAGAAAATTTTAAAAAATGAAATTTGGAGCCAGCTGAAAGAGCTCCCAATGGCCAAAGCTGGAACAATTTGAACAATAAAATATAGTAGTTATGCAGCCATAAGGAATGAGATCATGTCCCTTGCAGGGACATGGATGAAGCTGGAAGCCATCATCCTCAGCAAACTAACACAGGAACAGAAAACCAAACACCACGTGTTCTCACTCGTAAGTGGGAGCTGAACAATGAGAACACATGGACACAGGGAGGGGAACAACATACACTGAGGTCTGTGCGAGGGGTGAGGGGAAAGAGAGCATCAGAATAAATAGCTAATGCATGAGGGGCTTAATACCTAGGTGATGGGTTGATAGGTGCCGCAAACCACCGTGGCACATGTTTACCTATGTAGCAAACCAGCACGTCCGTACATGTATTCTAGAACTTAAAGTAAATCTAAGTCATATACGTAGTAGTATTGGATTATAACTGAAAATACAAAATAGGTTCATGCTGATATACATAAATGATGAAATAAATAAATGGCACAAATAGACAAATCTGTGTGGAACAATTTCAGATAATTTATGCACATACTTCATCCTCAAAGAAGTAGCATATTACTTCCCTTTCCTTAAGTGTGGGTTGGACACAGAGACTTTTCTTCCCAAATACTTTAGTATAAAAAAGGAGAAAAAAAACAACAAGCTCTAGCTTGGCCAGGTAATCAAAGTAATCAATAATAAGTCATATTGATAGTATATACCCTTGATGTGATATGATAAGAATGTCATTTACCTCTGTCATCTCCCTCCTAAAACACCCATAACCCCAGACAGATTATGATAAAAAATCCCAATTGATAGATATTCTACAAAATATCTGACCAATATTTCTCAAAATTGTCAAGATCATCAAAAACAAGAAAAGTCTGAGAAACTGTCACAGCCAAGAAGACGTCATGACTACATGTAATATAATATCCTGGACAAAATCTTGGAATAAAAAAATAGTATTAGGTAAATGTTTATTAAAAAATCTTAAACTGTGGGATTTAGTAAATTGTTCTTTAATTTTAACATATGTAGCATATTAATGTAAGATATTAATAAAGGAAAATTACATATGGGATACATGGGTATTCTCACTATCATCACAATTTTTTATAGGTTTAAACTATTTTATTTAAAATTATTATTATTTTTTGAGGCAAGTATTTCATTCTGTTGCCCGGGCTGGAGTGCGTTCGTGCAATCTCAGCTCACTGCAGTGTCGACCTTCCAGGGCTCAAACAATCCTCCCACTTCAGCTCCCAAGTAGCTGAGACTACAGACGCATGCCACATGCCTAGCTAGTTTTTTAATTTTTTGTAGAGACAGGAATTTGCTATGTTGCCAGGGCTGGTCTCAAACACCTGAGCTCAAGAAATCCTCCCACTTCGACCTCACAAAGTGTTGGGATCACAGACGTGAGCCACTGTGCCTGGCCTACAACTATGTTAAATAATTATCGTTTAAAAAGTCATAAGGAGCAGCTTGGAGGGCTTCCCATTGGCCAAACGTGGAACAAATTATTATTAAAATACAAATAATATAATGGATATGATCCATTGAATAAAATAAAAATACACGAGTTCTTACTGATATAAATAAACAACTAAACAATTGAGAGAGAAAGGAATCCCTTTACAGTAAAATATCAACTAATGATGTAGAAAGAGTTATGGAATTAGAATATTATCAATGGATTCTAAAACTAGTGAATGAATGTTTGATGAGGAATAGGAAATTTACATGTTCTCAAATATTGCCCCACAAATGACTAATAACTACAGTGGAAAAATTATTAACTTGATAATTGAGAAACCACCTTAACCACGGGACCAAAGTTAACATTACCAATATTGGTCTCATTGCTATCATGTGCTTCCTGCTGTGATATACTGGGAAGTATTTATCATCATGTCCATGATATACCTGACAAAAAGGAATCATATGAATTTAACTATGTAGAAGCATCAGACAAACCCAAATTGATAGAAGTTCTACAAAAACAAGTCAGCACAGTAGTCTCCCCTTGTCTGCAGTTTTGCTTTCCCTGGTTTCAGTTACCTGTTGTCAACTGCAGTCTGAAAGTATTATGGTATTTTGAGAAAGAAAGAGAAAGAGACCATGATCACGTAACTTATTTACAAATTATACTTTATCATAGGTATGTATCTATAGGAGAAAACATAAGGATTGGGTACTATCCATGGTTTCAGGCATTCACTGGGTGTCTGGGAAGGCGTCTCCCATGGATAGAGTGGGACAACTGTACTTTTAAAAGTATCAAGGTCAGGCCGGGCGTGGTGGCTCATGCCTATAATCTCAGCACTTTGGGAGGCCGAAGCAGGCGGATCATTTGAGGGTAGGTGTTCGAGACCAGCCTGGGCAACATGGTGAAACCCTGTCTCTACTAAAAATAAATAAATAAAAAAAAATTAGCTGGGCGTGGTGGTGGGTGCCTATAATCCCAGCTACTCGGGAGACTGGAGAGGCTGAGGCAGGAGAATTGCTTGAACCTGGGAGGCGGAGGTTGCAGTGAGCTGAGATGGCGCCCCTGTAGTCCAGCCAGGGTGACAGAGCGAGACTCATCTCAAACAAACAAACACAAAGAAAGACTCTCATGACACTTAAAAACCTTTCTAAAATGTAAATATTCTCTATCTCATGATCACAAACAGTATTTCACATTCTAATTGATATTGCCAGCTACACGGGAGGCCGAGGCAGGAGAATCACTTGAATCCTGGGAGCCGGAGGCTGCAGTGAGCCAGGATTGCACCAGTGAGCCAGGATTGCACCACTGCACTCCAGGCTGGGCAACAGAGTGACTGTCTCAAAAAAAAAAAAAAAAAAAGTATTGAGGCCATAAACAAAGACAAACTGTGTTATGGGTTAAATGACACTGAAGAGTTATAACAACTAACTTTAAGTCATGATACTAGATTGGATCCTGGCCTGGAAAAAATAGCTATTAAATGTATTATTGTGATATATGATGAAATTGTGTATGGACTATGAATTAGACAATAGTATATTAAACGTACTACTATGCTAAACATTCTGATTTTGATCGTTGTACTATGGTTATGTAACAGAATGCCCTTTTTGGGGGAAAATCACTGAAATATTTTAAGAGAAAAAGGTACAATATTTCAATCTATTCTCAAATGGTTCCAAAATATTATTCATATTTCTGTCTCTCATTCCATTCACCTATCTATCATCAATCATCTATTGAGAAAATTATAAAGTAGATTATGTTAAATAATAGTAAATTTGGATAAAGAATGTATGGCAGTTCCTTGTGCCATTCTTGTAATGCTTCTGTAATTTGGAAATTATATAAGAATAAAAAGTCACAAAGTAAGTTCTGTGGGGACTCTGACCTTTAGGCACTTGGTACTCAAAATGTGGTCCATACACCATTGGTATTGCCATAATCTGTGAGCATTTCTAAATCCCTAGTCTCATTCCACACCCATGATCGACTCTAGCAGAATTTGCATTATAACCACATCACCAGTTAATTTTAATTAACATTAAAGACTAAACAGCTTGTTCTTTGAAACTTTATTTCTGTAAAAGTATTCAGCACCACCTGCAGGTGCTGTAGAAATTCAGAATAGTTTGTCATTAACCCTTTTGTATCACCAGATTGGCCCCACGGATGTGCCACCCCCATTGCCATTTCTCTTCTTCACTCATGTTCCTTTCTGGTGTACATCCTACAATAATGCATTCAGATATGTTCCATTCAGTGAAATCAGCTTAATGTATCTCCTGCCTTTATTTTATCTATTCTCATTTAAGACTCGGTTTGAACCTTACCTCACCCATAAACACTTTTTAAAACTCCTTAGACATCTTTAAACTTCTGTGACACTGTAAGTCTTAAGAAACAATTTGATCTTTTACTTTTTATTGTGTGCTATTTTATTGTTCTTTTCATGAATTCCAAATGGATTGTATGTGTCCTGCAGTTATGGATCAGATTTTATGAACTAGAACCTGTCCTTCTGGTTCTCTATTACAATTATCTCCACAATAAAACAATATGGTGTTTATTTTCTAAAGTGTGAGGAAAAGCATTCATTAGGAAGAGAAAAAATATTAAAGTTTCTGGTTGTTTATCAAAAATGGAAAAAAGAATATATTTTATTAGTAATTGATAGATTGACAGTATATATATAATTCATAGTTTTATAAAATATGTTTAGAGATATAAGCTCAATACTTTTTGCTGATATGGGCATGTAATTGAAAAAGTTTGGAGACCACTGCTTTAGAGTGCTATAGAAAATATTCATTATATACTTTGTATTACATTTAGTAATGAAAAAAACACTGAAGGAGGAGGCAATGACAATCAGTGTTTGGCCTGAGTCCTCATTATGGATACTTTGGGTTCAGAGACTAACCCATTCATTACCAGCTAGGAATATGGCTATGGGAATAATTATTAGATGACAATTTACTAAAATTACTATAATAAATTAGTATTCAAATGTCTATTTACCAGTGGCTTCTCATTTTATTAATATATTGGGCATCCTAGCACAACCTGGCATCAAATCAAATAAACTCAGAGATTTTATGGTTGTAGGAAAGATGAAGCATTTTTTTGTAAAATCTTTTATCTAGTTTCATATTCACCTTTTATAAATATTAGCCCTTAAAAATAATACACTAGAGCTAATCTCATTAAATTTTATTTGATGAAGTCCTGATGTAGCTCCTTGTTGACTAAGAGATATAAAGCAGAACTTCTGTCATTCCTGAAATCTAAAGACCCTTTGTTAGAGTAGATGGAAATAGCTAATTTGAGTGATTGTATCTTTGAAATATTTGACATATTATTACTTTCAAGACACAAATTAACTTAGATTATTTCTAATTTTGAGTAGAAATTCTGATTTGGGACATCAACAAATTATGTTATTTGCACATGAATAGGTACTTCCAGTTTTAAAACTAGTTCTTTTAAGTAAACATTACAAATCAACAACATCTATCTTAGACTACTATCACATTTACACTCACCGTTGTTTCTTAGTGCATTTGCAAACTTTACACTTAAAGTTAAAATTAAATCAGTAATTTAAAAAGTAGTATCTAAAGATCTCAGTATCTAAGTAAGTTTTGTTTCACCAGCTGTAACTTAAACTGAAAGTCCTATCTTTTCAGTTAGATCCCTACAGCCATTTTCCACAATGTCTCTCAATGCCCTACATTTTCATCATTAAAAATAACACCTTTATGAACACACACACACACACACACACCTGCATCCCCCCTACCCCCAACAAGACAGGACTTCTGATATGCCTTTTAAAAATACACTAAGTGATGCTATTCACTGAAGTTTGGCCCTGCTTAATCCAAGTTTCAAACATTACTTACATATTTGATTCAGGTAACTGAGGAGTTTAAAACTGGGTTTAAGAGCAGTTGAAAAAGCAGTTATCTTTTAAGAAATTTTCTGAAATAGCTGCTGTATCTCAAAAAAAAGAGAAAGTTTAATAGTATTATTAGCTTTCTTGTAAAGTTAATATTTTGATTATAGTTGATAATTTTTTTTCCTTATTTGTGTTTATAATCTTAAAATCAGGACTCTAACTCATCTGTTAATGTTTATTTTTCATGTATGTGTATATATATATATGTTTGTAATTTTATATATATATATACACACACACACACATATATCCACATAGCCATATATGTATACACATGACTGTCCAGTCATGTGTCACTTAATGACAGGGATATGTTCTGAGAAATGCATTTGGTGATTTTCTCATCATGTGAACATCGTTGAGTGTACCTTTACGAACCTAGATGGTACAGCCTACTATACACCTAGGCTATATGGTATAGCCTATTGATCCTAGGCTACAAACCTATATACATGTTTCTATACTCAATACTATAGGCAATTATAACACAATGATAAGTATTTGTGTATCTGAACATAGAAAAAGTACAGTAAAAATATGGTAGAAACAATGATGCCCCTCTATAGGGCACTTAACATGAATGGAGCTTGCAGGACTAGAAGTTTCTCTGGGTGAGTCAGTGAGTCAGTGGTGAGTGAATATAAAGGCCCAGGGTATTATTATACACTACTGTAGACTTTATAAATACTGTATACTTAGACTACATTAAATTTATTAAAAATTTCTTCAATAATAAATTAATCTTAGCTTACTCTAACTTTTCTACTTTACAAACTGTATTTTTTTCACTTTTTAACTTTTTTGTAATAATAGCGTAAAACACAAACACATTTGTACAGCTATACAAAAATATTTTCTTTGTATCCTTATTCTATAAGCTTTTTTCTATTTTAAAATTATTTTTATTTTTAACTTTCTACACTTTTTTGTTAAAAACTAAGACACAAACACACACATTAGCCTAGGCCTACATAGGATCAGAATCATCAATATCATTGTCATCCACCTCCACATCTTGTCCCATTGGAAGGTCTTCAGTGGGGATAACATGCACGGAGATGTCATTTCCTATAAGAATACCTTCTTCTGGAATACTTTCTGAAGAACTGCCTGAGGCTGTTTTACAGTTAACTTTTGTTTTTAACAAGTAGAAGTGTACTCTAAAGTAATGATAAAAAGTATAGCATAGTAAATACATAAAACAGTAACATAGTCATTTGTTGTCTTTATTAAGTAGTAGGTACTGTATATAATTGTACCTGATATACTCTTATATGACTGGCAGCACAATAGGTTTTTTTATACCAGCTCCACCATAACATGTGAGTAGTGTGTTGTGCTACAATGTTACCCTGACTACCACTAGATAGGAATTTTTCAGCTCCATTATAATCTTATGGGATCGTTGTATATGTATCCATCATTGATGAAAACATTGCTATGGGGTGCCCGACTATATTCATAAAGTGTACATACACTTTTAAAATGAGTAAATGAAAGTATTATTCCCATAAAATGTCATTGCTCCAGCATAGGTGCCAAATTAAAATCTCTTTTGTTATTGCCAACTTAAGGAAAACACTAAGTTTTTGGAAATTTAGGATTTTTTTTTTTTTTTTTGTAGTTTTAGAGGTAGGACTTCATTTTTATGAAAACTACTGCACTCTATTGGTAATTGCCAAAAATTCTCGAGGACTTAAAATTTTGGCTTCGTTGTTGCACCTACAGGACAAATTCTGTTATGTGCTGGGTCATTCTGTCTTTCAAAAATAATTAGCAGTGGCAAATGCGACCCCAATGGTCACAGATGCCAAACTAGTGCACTTCTGATTTCAGTTCATACTGTGGAGTTATCTGCACTCTGAAACCAAAATGATTTGATTAACTTGTTATTTTGTCAGGCAGAAACTCTATTAGGAGCTGCATAATAATTGCTGTATTTTGGATATATGTTTTATTACCTCATTTTTCCAGCTTTAAAATACGCTTAATATTTTTCTTTTAAAAACTTTAAAAAGTTTTTGCTTATTAAAGTAAAATATGCTAAAATTAACCAAAGCTAAAGTCCTCATTAACTCTCTTCATTTTATTTATGTACTTTGAGAATCTTGTACTTCCTTGGGAACTCTTTCTGCTTCAGTCAACCCCACCTATTCCCATTTCTGTTGCAGAATAGGTCTCTTTTTCTGTTTTTGTGCTATTAAAATTTTTTTCTCTACCTGAGAAGAAGCCTAGAGAAAAAAAATTCAACTGTTTATTGATCTGTATGCTAAGTTGTATACTCGCTATGAGTGGCATGTTGTATGTTTGTATTGGGTAGAATGTGGGAATAGAATGGGAATATATAAAGATAAATAATATACGGCTGTGATCCTGTAGTACTTTATCTTCTGTAGGCAGAGTCAAAAATAGAGAATTACATTAAGAAACTCTGTGAAAGGAGTAATAACATACAATGAATATAGCAGGAGAGAGCATAAGGACAAATAGTTTTGATGAGTAAAGAGGAAAATTAATTTGTATAAAAATATTTAAATATTTGAGTGGCAACTATGTTAAAAATATTTTATATAGGAGCTGGGGATAGAGTGAAGAATAAGAATGTTCTCTGAATTTAGGGAGCACACATTCTAGTGAGGGGACACTGACAATAAACAAGTAAAAAAAAGCAAACAAGTTATTTTAGACAATGGTAAGTCCCACTGATGACAACAAAACAGGAAATATTGGAGAATGTCTGGGAGCTTCTCCAGGTAAGATGGCAGGGAATGTGATATGGTTTGTCTGTGTCCCCCATCCAAATCTCAACTTGAATTTTATCTCCCAGACTTCCCACATTTCCACATGTTGTGGGAGGGACCCAAGGGGAGGTAACTGAATCATGGGGGCCTGTCTTTCCCATGCTATTCTCATGATACTGAATAAGTTTCATGAGATCTGATGGGTTTATCAGGGGTTTCTGCTTTTGTTTCCTCCTATTTTTCTCTTGCCACCACCATGTAAGACGTGCCTTTCACCTTCTTCCATGATTCTGAGGCCTCCCCAGTCATGTGGAACTATAAGTAAAAAGCAAAATCCCTGCCTGTCTTGCGTATGTCTTTATCAGTGGCATGAAAATGAACTAATACAGTAAATTGCTACCAGTAAAGTGGGGCATTGCTGAAAAGATACCAGAAAATGTGGAAGTGACTTTGGAAATCAGTAACAGGCAGAGACTGGAACAGTTCAAAGTGCTCAGAAGAAGACAGGGAAATGTGGGAAAGTTTGGAACTTCCTAGAGACTTGTTGAATGGCTCTGCTCAAAATGGGGATAGTGATATGGACAATAAAATCCAGGCTGGGGTGGTCTCATGTGGAGATGAGGAACTTGTTGAGAACTGGAGCAAAGTTGACCCTTGTTACATTTTAGCAAAGAGACTGGCGGCATTTTGCCCCTACCCTAGAGATTTGTGGAACTTTGAACTTGAGAGAGATGATTTAGAGTATCTGACGGAAAACATTTCTAAGCAGCGAAGCATTCAAGAGGTGACTTTGGTGCTGTTAAAGGCATTCAGTTTTATAAGGGAAGCAGGACATAAAAGTTTGGGAAATTTGCAGCCTGAGCATATGATAGAAAAGAAAAACCCATTTTCTGGGGAGAAATTCAAGCCAGCTGCAGAAATTTGCGTAAGTAGCAAGAAGCCTAATGTTAATCCCCAAGACAATGGGGAAAATGTCTCTAGGCCATGTCAGAGACCTTTATGGTAGCTCCTCCCATCATAGGCCTGGAGGCCTAGGAGGAAAACATGGTTTTGTGGGCTGGGTCCAGGATACCCATGCTGTGTGCAGCCTAGGGACTTACCCTATGTCCCCCCAGGCACTCTAGCTGTGGTTGAAAGGGGCCAACGTACAGCTTGGGCTGTGGCTTCAGAGGGTGGAAACCCCAAGCCTTGGCAACTTCCATGTGTCATTGAGCCTGCGGGTGCACAGAAGTCAAGAATTGAGGTTTGGGAACCTCCACTTAGATTGCAGAAGGTGTATGGAAATGCCTGGATGCCCAGGCAAAAGTTTGCTGCAGGGTGGGGTCCTCATGGAGAACCTCTGCTAGGGCAGTGCGGAATGGAAATGTGGGGTCGTAGCCCCCACACAGAGTCCCGACTGGGGCACCACCTAGTGGAGCTGTGAGAAAAGGGCCACCATCCTCCAGACCCCAGAATGCCAGATCCACTGATAGCTTGCTCCGTGTGCCTGGAAAAGTTGCAGACAATCAACACCAGCCCATTAGAGCAGCCAGGAGGGAGGCTGTACCCTGCAAACCCACAGGGGTGGAGCTGCCCAAGACCATGAGAACCCACCTTTTGGATCAGTGTGACCTGGATGGGAGACCTGGAGTCAAAGGAGATCATTTAGGAGCTTTAAAATTTGACTGCCTTACTGGATTTCAGACTTGCATGGGCCCTGTAACCCCTTGGTTTTGGCCAATTTCTCCCACATGGAACAGCTGTATTTACCCAATTTCTGTACCCCCACTGTAACTAGGAAGTAACTAGCTTGCTTTTGATTTTACAGGCTCATAGGCGGAAGTGACTTGCCTTGTCTCAGATGAGACTTTGGACTGTGGACTTTTGGGTTAATGCTGAAATGAGTTAAGACTTTGTGGGACTGTTGGGGAGGCATGATTGGTTTTGAAATGTGAGATGAGATTTATATGGGCCAGGGGCAGAATGATATGGTTTGGCTCTTTGTCCCCACCCAACTCTCAACTTGAATTTTATCTCCCAGAATTCCTATGTGTTGTGGGAGGGACCCAGGGGGAGGTAATTGAATCATGGGGGCTGGTCTTTCCTATGCTATTCTCATGGCAGTGAATAAGTCTCCTGAGATCTGATGGGTTTATCAGGGGTTTCTGCATTTGCTTCCTCCTCATTTTCTCTTGCCACCACCATGTAAGAAATGCCTTTCACCTCCTGCCAGGATTCTGAGGACCCCCTAGCCATGTGGAACTGTAAGTCCAGTTAAATCTCTTTTTCTTCCCAATCTTTGGTATGTCTTTATTAGTGGCATGAAAACAAACTAATACAGAAGCCTTCATTTAGGGGGTGACATGAGAGCTATGAGTGAGTTGATATTCATTTTATCTTCCCTTCTCCACTTTTCCTCAAAACTAAGTTGATATCTGGTCTCCCAGAATTGCTGCCCTATCTCCTAACATGTCTTCACTGTCAAGTTTCTGGAAAGTCTAGTTGAATCAATTTATCCTCCATATTGATGATATAAACATCTAATTACTAGCCCAGGTCTGACTCCTGAATGACACAGCAAAGATCCATTGGAATTATCCACTTGGCTGTCTCAAAGGCAAATTGAATGTCACACTGCATAATATACTCTTCATCTTGTATAGTCCATCTTGGTTTTGGTTACCTACTACACAATGCTTCAAGTCATCTTTGACTTTCCCCCATCTAGTTTGTGATGAATACCTTTCAATTCTGCCTCTATCATATGACCTTCTTTTTTCTATGTTCTACTACCATTGACATGGCCTTAGTTCAGACACTTGTTATATCTCTCCCTGAGTCTACTAGAGCCTTCTGACCAATCTCTGTATTTTCAAGTATGCTTCCATACTCTTTTTATTTGCACTGAGGCAGGTATAAAAGGAGTTATAATCCAAAACTCTTAAGCATATTTCCATTCTTCTTAAAATGTATCAATGGCTCTCTTTGCCTCTAAGATGAAATCCAAACTCTTTAGCATCACCATAAAGCATTTCATGTCCTGAGCCCTGTATATCTCCCAGACACATGTCTCCATTCTTCCCCATTCTCCATTCCTGAACTCTGTGCAGTGATGAGCTGCAAGAGATGGTTCTTTTTTTAGTTCTTGTTCTAAACACGCAAGTTCTTTCTTCATTTCTTATTTTCAAATAACATATAATACCATAAATTCTATTTTAAACAATATTTACTTTGACCTCTATGGGAACTAAAATATGATATTTATGAAATAAAATTAATATACTCTAGGGTTTACTAAAGACTGTAATTTAGTGTTTTATTACAAAGTCTTGTTACCACTACTCATGTGCACATTCAGATAGAAGGTCCACATTTTGAGAAGTAGGTTCTATTAGTGGGTTGTCTTTGTTGTGAGTTAGTAGTGGTTTTCCAGCTGCTGTGATTCTGACTTGGATTGTCTTTATTGTAAGTTTTAGTATTCCTGTGGATTATTTTATTTAACCTACAGGGTTGTCTTAGGCCATTTTTGCATTTCTATAAAGGAATACCAGAGACAGGGTAATTTACAAAGAAAAGAGGTTTAATTGGCTCATTTTCTACAGGCTGTACAAGCATGGCACTGGCATTGGCTCAGCTTCTGGGGAGGCTTCAGGGAGCTTTTACTCATGGTGGAAGGTGAAGTGGAAGGAGGCACTTCACATGGTGAGAACAGGAGCAAGAGAGTGAGAGGGGGAAGATGCCACATACTTACGTAGCTAGATCTCACAAGAACTCACTATCACAAGGACAGCACAAAGGGCATGTCTGAAGTATTCATGAGAAATCTGCCCCTGTGATCCAGTCACCTCCCACCAGGCCCCACCTTCAACACTGGGAATTACAATTTAACATGAGATTTAGACATAACATCCAAACTATATCAAAGGTGCAGTAGAACAAATCTATATGGCCGATGGTTTTTTAAACACCAATTTCTAAGAGAGTTTAAACTATAGTTTATGTGTGAAATATTTATATTTTATTACTAAAGCTAGTGTATATACATAGTTTATATGCTCTAAATTTATTTGTACAATAATTCTTCATCAGAATGCACTGCCTGTGAATATGCGCTATTTAAATGATTTTCTAAGTGATACAATGTCTGCAAGCCGTATTGCAGACAAAAGTCTCATCTTCCTAATATATAAATAACTCCCATAAATTGATAGAAATAAAAAAGACCAATTACTGCATTAAAAAATGGACAATAGATGTGAACAAACATGTATGGGTAAGGGAGTACAAGTGACTCATAAACATATGGTAAGACATATAAATTAAAACCATACTGAAATATTATGTATCAACCATAAAATTAGTAAAAGTTCTAATGCTCAGTAATACTTTCTGCTTTTGAGACCTTGGCATATACATTTGTGTAACCTGTATTTAAGGCAACTTGGTTATAAATATTAACATAACAGTACTTATATATTTTGATCTAGCAATTCACTTGGAAAACTATTCTAGATATACTTGCGTATGTTGGAAATAATGTATATATAATGCCATTAATATATATATAGAGAGACTTTCACTGTATAGATTTGAATTTAAAAAGTAACTATATTTTCAAATTTATAACCTTATGAGTTATTTATTAAAATTAATTTATAATAGCGTGTTCTTCTCTATGCATATCAAGCAGCTCACTTTTTATTATGTGATGTTTATCATTATCAAATGATTAAGTTAGCGCATGTCAACTTTCTTCACTGTAAAGTTATTTTTTCTTTTGTAATTAATAGTTGCTAGTAGGAGATACTTTATGAATAGGTAAATTCTGTTTCTCAAACTTTTGTCCACAAATTTTGTCCACAATTTTTTGCCAAATTTGTAGATGTTGTCTGCAACAGTTTGGTACAGAAAATTGTGTGGTGTTCGCCTAATGTTGATTTTTTATTTTCTCCTTTTAATTCATTAAGTTGAATTTTCTTGCAAGAGCCATTCTTTTTCCCATTTATTTACTTACTCAATTATTTATGTAAATATATACTTATGATTTTATTTTATAGATTAAAATTCAATACCATCATTATTTGCTGCTCATATCCATTCAGCATTGGTCATTAAGACCATTAGGTCTTTAGGTCATTAAGTCCGACTGGCTCCTGTGTTCTTTCAAAATGCTCCCATCTTCTTCTGAGCATTTTCTTACTTTCCCACACCACCAGATATTCCAGTGTTACCTAGGATTTTCTCTGTCTCAGCCCTGCAATGAACTACTTAAAGTGTCCCTAGAGGCATCATATTTTGTGCCAATCATGCAAGAAATGTGAAATATTCTAAGCGTGAGAAAACATTAGACAAAGCCATATTGAGGGAAATTCTACAAAATAACTGATTAGTATTCTTCAAATATGAAATGAATAAAAAACAAGGAAAGACTAAGGAGCTGTTACAGACTGGAAGGCAGAAGGGGAAGTAACCATTCAGTGCAAGGTAGGATTCTGAATAAGATCCTGGAATAGAGACATGAGTGGAAAATTTGCTGAAATTGAAATAATATCTATGGTTTAATTGATAATGTAACAATCTTTATTTCTTGTTTTTCGTAATTACAGTATAGTTATGTAAGATGTTAACATTGTGGAAAATGTGGTGAGAGATACAAGAAAACTCTTGTAGTTTCACAACTTTTCCATGTCTAAAATTAATTCAAGTAAAAAGTTAAAAATAGTAAATTAAAAAAGCATAACACTCATTAAAGTAGTCTGGAAAGCTCTCCAAAATATATTTTAATTTTGGGAAAGAAAAGTTCACCAACTGTATATATGTGTGGAAATATATCTGTTTGTGAATGCATATAATACCCTTGGAAGGACACACAGGAAACTAAATATATGTAACCTCTGTGGGGATATTGGGAGACAGGGAGTAAAACTTAATTTTTTTTTCTTCTTTTTTTTTCAATCATGTGCATGTACTGCCTGTACAAAAAAGCAAAATTAAAAAAACTGGCATTATATTGCTAAAATAAGTATAACGATTTACAGAGTTAATTTTAAATGTGTAGATTATTATTTAAACATATAAATATATGCAGTAATATTATCATATTAATAAAAAGAATACATGTTAACATTAAAAGTTTACTGAAACTTATTTATTTCATATCTTTTAAATTTTTTAATCACTTTTTTCCCTAAGGAGAGGAAATAGTTGTTTTAGAAGGGCTGTAAATGACGAGTTAATGGGTGCAGCACACCAACATGGCACACGTATACATATGTAACTAACCTGCACATTGTGCACATGTACCCTAAAACGTAAAGTATAATAAAAAGAAAAAAGAAAAAAAAATTGAGTACTATGCTTAGTACCCAGGTGACAAAATAATCTGTACACCAAACTCCCAAGTCACAAGTATACCTGTATAACAAACCTGCACATCTAACCCTGAACCTAAAATACCAGTTAAAAAAAAAAAAAGAATAAAATACCAAAACAGTTAAAAAGAAAAAGAAAAAAGAAAAAGAAGGGCTGTAGGTCTTGGACTCCACCCAATTGGCCTGTAAATTGTAAAATGCTTGATCACCACTGATGTAAAGCTCTGCTTTCTCTCAATAATTGATTCTTTTTCACAGCTATTCTCTTGCCTAGAATGCCTTCCTGACCTTTTTATTACCTGGCTATCTCCTCTTCTTTGAAGCTCAACTTACATATTATCTTCTCCAGAAAGCTTTTTCTGATCCCTAAACCCCAAATTTGGACTTGAAACCAATCTTATATGCTTCCATTATACTGTGTGTTTATCTCTGTCATAACCTCCACTGTATTATAATTATTTATTTTTGTCTCTTTGTTAGATTATATGCAATTTAAGGTAGTGATTAGATTATTATATTTGTATCTACCATTCATAATTCAGAGAATGACAGTCTTGCAATTAATGTAAGTTTAAAATACAAATCTAGAAATCTCATGCTTCCTGGAATGAGCAGATCAAAACAGGATTAAGTCATGTATATGAAAACAGAGTGAAATCACAAGGTCTAAGGCCTGAATACATTACACAAAATTTAAATAAAATAGTAGATAATAGCACTTGCAGTAATCTTAGTGATGAACAACCAGATCCCACTTTTTATTCTTGTAACTTGCTATCTATGTTAGTTTCTTTGGACTTTGTGAAACAGATTCAATCAGCAGAAGAAAAGCTTATTCTGACATTTCAGTTGGGGTGATAAGTGTGCAAATTAGAAGGCACGTGGACCAAATTCATGAATCCTGAAAGGTGCTCCTTTGTCCACGCCACCATAACACTAAATGTAGGCTGTGTATCACTGCTGTCTCCCAGCCTGGTCCTGACACTTCTGCAAAAGGACAGCCCTTACAAACATTCAATGTGGTCCTAGACAAGAGACATTAAACGTCACAGGAACCTCAGAACAATTAGATACCCAGAAGATAAGTTCGGATCCACTGTAGTACTGGGAGCCTAGTAGTAAGAGTACTGGGTATCCTTCCGATAACTCTCCCCATGCTGTCTTTCTCAGTGTGTCTGTTTGCTTCTACTCCTATTACCAATAGGCTCCTTCTAATCTGCATATATTAAAAACAAAAAGCAGGGCAAAAACATTATCTCACAGCTTCTAAATAAATTTTGTGATTTATCCTAATCCTGACTTTGAAGATCCTCATGGCCTCTACTTGGGGTTTCTCTTTATATATAGATTTTTCAGCCTTAGTTCTCACTACCTCATTCTCCTTCTATTTTGCAGTTTTGTTTCTGTAGACAGTATAACCGAACCTGCTCATTTATTGCATGTGTATGTGAGTGTATGTGTCTAGGTTATGGATTCTTGGCTTATGAAATAGCTACTTTCGAATAGGTTAGGATTCCACATTTGATAGTCTCAGTTATAGCTAGAGGAGGGGGTTGGGAGGTGAGATGGGGCTTCTTTTTTTCAAATATGACCTCCTAAATGTGACACAGCCTACTTTTAGTGTTATGGTGGCCAGCATTCTGAAAAAAAAATCAAAATCAGAAAATATAATGGACAAAATTAAGATTACAGTTCTTTAGGCATTGCTGGTCTATAGAACAAAATTGAGTTGGAAATAAGGCAAAAATAAAATGTTAGGTTTTAAAAGTCAAATTACATAGATGTTGCACTTGTTTGTTTATATACATAGTAAAATGAAAGTCCTGGGGATCAATAACTGCTGTGGATGTGTTAAGTTTAACACCTTATACACCACGGACATTCCATCAATATTGAACAAGTGTTTTAACAGCTGGAGCTATTTCACATGATGCATTTTTTTTCTCTCTTTTCCTGTTAGTGTTCTTAAGCTTGCTTATACTTGTTTTAATAAATATTTCACATAAGTTTCTAGAACTCCAAATTTAATGTCTATGAAAACATCCTGAAATTTAAACATCTGAACCTCATTTAAGGTATTTTTAGATAGTTATTCATTAATTTTTTCTTTGCAATGAAGTAATATTTTTCAAAGTTATTGTTATTTGAAAATGCACAAGCAAACCAAGATATTGGTGCTATTTTTCTCTGAAGATCTTAAGATTTCTTTCTACAGTTATTTAAAGAATATGCTAAATCATTCCTTTTCTTTCTTTTTCCAACATCTGGGACAGAATTCTTTTATGATAGACCTCAATAGTTATTCAATAATCTCTCTTTCTCACTCTCAATGTAGCACCAGAAGTATAGATATTATTTGGGTTGGGTTCACGTCTATAATATAGTATATTTAAGGTGTTATAGAAAAAAGTCCACATATGCAGATTTTATACTTGCAACTTCAAGAAATGTAATTCCTTGTATAAATGAAAGTGATTCAAAGTTCACAGCTCCTAGCAAAAATTTTAGATGTTGTAAATAATGAAGATAAATCTTACAGACTTAGTGTGAAGAAAGTGATTCTCAAGTAGTAACGCTGTTTGCTAATTGCATACCACCAAGTTTAATCCACTTAAAAATGGTTATAGCTTCAGGCACCATTTCTATGCTGTTGGTTTCCAATATCTATTTTCAATTGAACTCATTTCCCTAAGCTTCAGGCCCATATAATCAAGTGCCTACTGGACATTTCTATTTGGGTATTCTACAAAGAACTGAATAAAAATTGTACCAACATATCCTTGTCAGTTTGCCATCTCATTTGCCTGGGTTCCTATTTTATTGAATGACACGGGCATCTACTTAGCTCTTCAAAGCAGAAATTTACTATCTTCCTTTCTTTCATCCTCATATTGGATATGTCTCCCAAATAACCAAATCTTGGTTTTTCTACCTGAGAAATATTTCTTAAATACAAGTTTTCTATTTATTTTTATGTGTAGTCCTCAAGCTACCAATTTCTTTCATTTTAAATACTGCAATTATTTTAACTTAAATACTGCAAGTAATGTCTCTAACCTCATTTTGTAAAGTTTTTTTCCTCTCTGAAGCCAGAGTGATTTTTCTAAGATGTGAACCTGGGCATTTCTCTTTACTGCATGCTCTTTAACAGGATCTCTCTCACCCTCACAGTATATTTTAGCTTTCCTGAAATTATTTTGTTTTACTGACTACACCAGTCTCACACTTTGCTCTAGGCCTGTTCGCTTACTGCCTGTTTATCTGAGAAACACTTTCTTAGTTTCTTTGTCTGGCTAATCCTTACCAATGCTTTGGCCATCTGCTTCAAAGTTATTTGTGTAGAATTCTTCAGTTTTACAAGGTTAAATATTTCACCTAGGAACATCCAGACTACTCTCTTATGATTTTGAACTAAAATTGTTTATTCAATTGACGTTTGCCTTGTAGGTTATAAATGTTATGAGGATGTAAACCATGTCTACTTTCTTCATCCTCTTAACTCCAACATCTACAAGAATTTCTGTACCTAGTAGGTTTCAATAGATGCTTGTTAAATGAATGAATGATGGAAAGTGTTCTGATTTAACATCTTAAATTTCATGATAGTATATGCTTAATTGATTATCAGATAACACAAGTCTTCCCATAATTGCTATGGAGAGGACACTTTTTTCACAATCCTAATGATTCTTGCCATGTGAACAATTCCTTTCACATAACAATCATGGCCTATCTCCCCATCATAACATGCTTTTTTTCTGGAGGGACTGAGTGGGTTATGTGATTGCTGTATTTTGGAGGAATAAGTTGAATATGCTAGCTCAGTCATTTCTTTTTTGTATTTCTCTTTGGGTCCAAACCTATTTACAGAGAGCATGCAGTCTGCTCTGCTTTTTTATGTGTAAGGCTGACAAAAGCAGAATCTCATATAAGAAGGTCTATGGTGACTTAGTGCTGCCTGTGTCTAGGTTGGTGTCTGTTAAAATCTAGGTTCACAAACATAAATTCTGCTTGCTACAGATAAGTCTCATTTTCTCTTATCAGATTGTTTAGCATTAACAGCAATATCTGTATTAAGTTTTCTATTTCCCTTTCTCTCTTTTGTTTTTTAGCTGGTTCAGAAAAAAAAAGAATGTTATATATTGGGCCTCATTGCATCCCAACATTGTCACGATAGCATTACTGCATTCTAAGCTTATTTCATTCATGTATTCATTTAGGCAGCACATACTTATTGTGTCACTACTATTTGCCAGGTAATCTCAAGGAAGATTAATTTTTCCACTTGAGCTTTAAAAACTAGAAATAGGCATTAGAGAGTTCATGATTCCATTTCCACTGGAATATAAACTTCATGTTGAAGTTAGGTTGGCTAGTATTGGAGTTCATATTCTAAATGAATTTCAAAGTATGTACAGTTTAGTTTGAAAATATTCTGTTTGATTGTTCATCTTAGGGAACTAGTTTATGTATTTTTTTCCTTTGCCATTACTCCTCTTAATTCTTCTAGGTAAGTAGAATAAACTGTTCTTTAGGCTCCTAAATGTTTCCAACATTGTATCTCTGCCTTCAATTAATTTAATTTGTACTTAAAGAATATCTAAAACTACATTTAAGCAAAAACAGTTTCCATGGAAACATCATAGACTGTCTAAATTCAGACTATGATGTAATCAACTAAAATGACTATCATACCTAAATCCTTGTTTATTTCATCTGTAGTATATTTTATTTAAATCTATTGTATCAAACACAGATTTTCCACATCTGAATTTAATTTGGAGGTATAGGACATTTTCTCATTGTTTCTATTTTAGAAACTTGTGTTTGATTTCACAGTATTTTAGAATTCACATTTCTGCTAGAGTTAAGATATCGACAGAATGGGCTGGATTATGTAGAATGTAACTATATGATGTTGACCTAGTTTTACAAAATTATAGAAATTTTCTACCCATGCTGACAGAGTGTGGAATGTCACTGTAGTCAAAAATATTATGGAAGAGTGAATCTTACACACTAAATTCATTGTTAACTGTTTGACTTATTAACATCTTACGAGGTAGTTGAGAATCTTGCCCTTGACTTTCTAAAGTATACAATCTAATAAGACTATTTTTGACATATATATATAGACATATATATATATATATATAGACATATATATATATATATATATAGACATATATATATATATATATATAATATCAATTATTGATTTAATTGCTTTTTCTTTAAGGAGTAGTTGTGAATAACCATTCTATATATACTGGTATACAATTGACACTACTCTGTATAGCACTGTACTGTAATGGTGAAAAATGTCAAGATCTTTGCATTTGAGTTCAGATTTTAGATATTTGTTTGTGTAAGTCTTGCCTTTTGAGCCTGTAAACTCTGGAGGGATAATTTCAAAAGTGGCTTTTCTTTGCTTATATAAAATTATTCTTCTTTTGCTTTTGTTTCTCACTTATGGCCTCAGTTAGAAACATAAAGATATGCAGGATAGACTATCCAGAGTATTTGTTTGTGGAAATAGTGTAGTTATTTCCTAGAGGATAAAAGAAATATAGAGAAAGAAGAAAAAGTCCTTATATATGTTACTGCTGTCCAAGATGCCCATGTAAGGCCCCAGAAGAGTTCGAAATGGTCAGGGCATTTATGGAGCTATAGTTCAGTGGGAATGCTTTATAATAATTTCCCAAGATACACCTGGTTGCTTTTTTCTCTCTACATTTACAGAAGATTACTCATTTTATAGCATATCATATATATAATATTATTATATCTGTAAATATCTCTTCTACAAGTCTCAAAGTTCCAAAAGGATAAGATGTTGCAAGAAAGCAGTTATCAATGTTGGCAACAGTTTCAGAGAGATCAAATAAGGATGAAAATGCATTGGGTTTGAGAAATTTGGAGATTACAGGTGATATTTGTTAGAATAGATTCAGGAAGGTGTTGGGTATATTTCCTCAGCCCTCAGGGTAAATACACCATTCCATGGGTATATTTCTTCAGTACTCAGGGTAAATACACCATTCCATGTACTCTATACGTAGAGAGTTTAATGTAAAATTAGGGGTTTACAGAACTTGTTGGAAGACTGATGGAATGAAGCTCAGGGAATTTGCCACTGAGGATAAGGGAAGCTGTTGCCCAACAGTAGGAGAAATTGACCCTGAAGATCACAGTCTAATAAACTAAAGCAAATCATTTTAAAAGCTGCTAGAAACTGGTAGATGTCCTCAACAATCTGTGGGAAGCTCCCAGCAACTGTCTCAGTTTGTGAAGAAGATGGGTCTCAAGAGCTTCTCTGAAAGCCATGGTGACTCACCTCTCTATATCTCTCTCATATGTCAATTGCTTCTAGGGAATGTGGCTTCTGCTTCACTTCAGGCAAGTTCTCATCTGAATATCTCACATTGATAAATTTTAACCTAGAACCAGGTTGTGAGGAATGAATTTCACAGGCTTTGATAAGAGTGATAGTAGTACTGAGTTGATAACAAACAGTCCAGGTCCAGAGTGTGAGCAAGAGTGGTTACCATGACTTAAGAGAAGAAGTAGATGAGAAAATAGACTTTTTTTTTTCTTAAAAGAAAATTGATAGAATAAGAATGAGGGATAATAGGGCATATTAGAGGTCAGCAAATGATTTAGATTTTTTTTGTTGTTGCTTTTAAGGAGTGGTAATACCTGGCTAGATTTTTATGCAGAAGGGAAGAAGCTAGTAGAGAAGGACAGATTGTAGTATGATAAAATGAGGTGATTGTTAATGAGGCAAGGTTTCTGAAGGAGGTGGGAGAGGTTGAGAGCAATGCATAATTGGGGAGTTTAGTTTTGAATATGAGGCAGGACAAGCCTTTCTATAAAACTGCAAATGAGACAGCGTGGTGCAAAAATAGATTAATTTATTGGATTTGGAGTGATGAATTGAGGGAATGTATGGGTGATGACCTCTATTTTCTCTGTGAAGTAGGAAGTAATGATGCCTGCTGAGAGGAGATCTGGCAGGGGTTAATTTTGAGAAGAGTGGACCTGTTTGAAATAATGCTGAGGGGAATGGAGATAAGAGTTATCCATGAACAAAGAAAAGATTGCTGCATTTACTGAAAGCCCAGAGAAGGCCAGAGCCCATACATGGGCAGTGGCATCAATCCGCATAGCTGCTGGATTTTCCTTACCTGAGCTTACCATCTTTGATGAATTTATAGCTCACTTGGGTTCCTCTTTTCTGTGATGTTAATGAGTGTCCTGTGCTTGTCTTCCTCTTGGACATTCCCCGGACAGCAAAAATTGCCTATTTGGTCTATTTGTGTGTGTGTGTGTGTGTGTGTGTTTTTTTTGTTTTTTTGTTTTTTTGTTTTTTTTTTTGGTCGAGATGCGTCTTGCTACATTTCCAAGGCTGGCTAGAGAAACTTGGCCCAGGTTTAGCGAGTTGCGGAGTATATAATGTAAAAACATAGAGAACTAGGGAGTTGGTGGGGAGTATCTGTGACAATGTTCCTGCAATGATTGAATAAAGAGTCTAGGCTGTGTAGGAAAGAAAATGAGGCCTGGAATGTGGGCTAATAAAGGGTAAAAATGAAGGGGAAAAGAGAATAAATGTCTTGAAAGATATAAAAACAGACTTTGTAGGAATAAAGGGGTGAGAAAACTAGAAAAAGACCCAACAGGAATTATAGTCAAAGAGTGGTTTATTAGAGATATTTTCAGAGATGTAGTACTTCTAGATAATAGAGAAAAAAGATTCCAGTAATATCCATGGAATCAGTGAAGGACAATGAAACTCAGAACATCAAACAACCAAACAATATGGTGCTGGGCAGAGCCACAACTTGCAGTTGTGTGCTATACCACTCCAATCTACATTACAATCATGGATTGTTCCCACAAAGGTATGCATTGCACAGCTAGTGTGGCCACCCATGGTGGTCCTGGACTGTGTGTTATTCATGTGGACCTTGTGTTCACACACTACCATGGCAGCTATTTCCAATTTCTATATGGTCCTTATAGTTACATAAGTGGGAAGATAGGTCACTTTATGATTTGAGGCTCTTTGGAGAGAGCAGAAGGAGAAATAAAATCCAATTGAGAGGTTTTATAGCATAGTATGGTACCTTAGATATGATAAACCTTTTGACAGACAGAAAAAAATAAATAAATGCTTCATAAATAAGAGACCAATAAGAACAAAGGCCTAAAAACAAAACATTGCTTTGGTTGTATAAACAATACATTTTATATTTTTCAGAGCTGTTTAGAAGATAGACTTTACCATGATAAATGTTTCATGATAGCGGCCTTGGTATTATGATGAGAATAAAAATCCTGAGTATGGGAGTCCATTGGCCCTTGGAAAATATATTCCAGTAAAGGGAAACAATTTTGGACTTAGAAGAGCAGGTCAGGGTAGGAAGTTATCTACTTTTAGTGGATGAACAGAAGATACAAATCAGAGCCAGAAATTCTCTGCTGCTTTTATAAAAAGTACAGTTTGGATTTTAAAAAAGTAAATTGGATTTAAAAAATTAGTTTTCTTTATTACTAGAGAAAATCATTAGTATTTTCTAAGTGTTTTAGCTTTATAAATATAAAAAAGAAAAAATGGATAGATTGTACCAAGTGCTTTCTTATTTCACGATAATATTCTGATATATTCATATGTTTCCTTCAGGGAAACAATTGTTTCTACAAATTATTGTTTCATATTTATATTACACAGTATTCATTAAAATTATAGTATATAGTAAAATTAGTATCATTATTTTACTTTATATGAAGACTTGGCTCCAAGAACCCCTGAAAGATTTGTAAAAATGCTGCAATAATTCCTATAATATCCTTATGTAAGAGGTAAATTTTATTAAGATTTTGTTGGTAGTAACTCTCAGAAGCAGTGAACTAGTCGCCCATATAAAAGCAATATTATTGGAGGAAAGAAGATGCATGGCAGAAAATAAGAAAGGGTTCTTTAAATTTCTGCAATTGAATTAGCTATGATTAGCTGCTACAAGAAGTAAACTCTGATAGCTCAGTAACTAAAAACAGAAATTTATTTTTAGCTTCTCTTCAATCCTGTTGATGGTGAGGAGTGAGGAGTTATGTGGGAGTGAAGTAGGCAATGATGTAGGTACAGGAATTTCAGGAACCTTTATTATTTTCAATATATGTCTTCCAAGGCTGTCCTAGACATGGTCTTATTGACTACTGATGGCAGAGTTGAGGGATAGAGAATTATGCATGAGATTTTTATTGGCTATTCACTCTCCATAGGCCAGAGCATAGTCACATGAGCACACCTATCTGCAAAGAAGACCAAGAAATGTAGCTGGATATCAGAAAGAAAGAGAAATGGGTTTGAGGGACAACTTGTCAGTTTCTGCTAAAATCATTATTCAGCAGCACACAAAACATGCATGCTTTCTGATGTGAGATTATAAAATCTGGCCTGAGTTTCTTTAGCAGTTTTTTGACATTTTGACATAGGCTAAGGTACAGTGAAATTTTCCAGGAAAGAGAGTTCCAAAATAACACTTTCTGTAGTAAAAATACCTGGCATGACATAATTGTTTGGGCCATGTGTATATGATTGGATGCTACAACTTTAAATGAATCCACAATAGTGAAAAAAGAGAAGAAAGCAAGCATTCCCTCTCATCCATCACACACACATCCATTACAACACATAAATATTCTAAACATGATAATAATGCTGGCTCAGATATGGTAGAAGGAGGAGAACAACTAAGATTTGTTTGACTCTCTCAGAAGAAAGTTGGCTTGGATCTGAATCAGAAAAGTAGAGACTAAGAATATTTTGATTACGAGGAACAGAAAACTTCTGAGGAATGATTCCTATGTCATAGAAATGATATCTAAGGATAGAAGCAGCACCTGGAAGAATATCTATGATATGCAAACCGGAATTTCCAGTTTTGGTCACATGGGGTACTATTGTCCTGGACTCCTTTTCCACTACCAACAAAAAAGAGAGAATACAAACCATGATTTTAAAATACCTAGCTGAGAACAAAGAAAGAAAAGGAAATCCCAGTGTTAGGGGCAAAGATGGGCAGAATAGTAAGCTCATCACTCATCACTCATCAGTCATCAGGCATTTCCAGGTTGGACTTGGAAAATAGAGAGCACATAAATAATATCTAAAATGTAGATTTTACATATTTAGATTTTAGATATTTATATTTTGATATTATTTAAAAACCCATTAAAACTGGCATTTTAATGTTCGTGTAGGAACAGAAGTTATGGCCTTGGGTCTGCATGAGAAAAGAAGGAGATCCTGTGTAAAGCCTGGAAGCTGAAGTGGCTCTCCCCTATGAAAAGGGCACTGTAAAAAAATTCAATTGCCAGTCCAACTAAGTGGCAAAAATTTTCTGTTTAGGTCTCTGAGTATTAAAAAAAAAATCTCCCATAAGAAGCCTGGGTTATACATAGTAAAGATCCCAAGTTGAAAAATTAACAAAAATACCAGTCCCAGACTGGATTCTCACAGGAAAACCTAGTGTGTGGAGAAATAATCCTCATTGAAAATGAGCTCCTAAAGGAAAATAACTTATGAACACAAAGAAGGAAACAACAGACACCAGAGTCTACTTGAGGGTGAGGGTGGGAGGAGGGAGAGGAGCAGAAAATATGACCATTGGGTACTAGGCTTAACACCTGGGTAGTGTAATAATCATCACCCAGGTCTGATGTACAACAAACCCTCATGACATGAGTTTACATATGTAACAAACCTTCACATGTACCCCTGAATCTAAAATAAAAGTTAAAAAAAATGAAGAGAAAGAAAATAAAATATCAATGTTTTATTAAATGCAAATAAGCATACCGACAAAAGACAAACATTAACTGAGTGGATTAAAAATATGCCCTACTAGACATGCTGTCTATAAGAAACTCATTTCAAATATAATAATACAGGCAAGTTGAAAGTGAAAGGATAGAAAAAGATGTATCATGTAAACACTAATCAAAGGAAAACAGAGTTCTATTTATATGGGGATAAGATAGACTTAAGAGCAACTAAAATTACCAGGGACAGAAAGAGATGTTATGCAATGTAAAAGGGTCAATCCACCCAAGAAGTCATAGCAATCCTAAATTTGTATGCACCAATCAACAGAGCTGTAAAAATATGTGAAGAAAAAACTAATAGAACTCAAAGAAGAAATTAACAAATCCACAATTCTAATTGGAGACTTCAACAACTCTCTCTCTCAATAACTGATAGAAGAAGTAGACAGAAAATCAGCAGCATTATAGGAAAACTCAACAACATCTAGTATCTAGTCATTTATGGAACACTCCAAACATTCCACCAAACAGCAGAATATACTTTCTTTTCAAGTGCTTTTATGTACCTCAAGATAAACTGTATCCAGATCCATTAAACAAAGCTCAACAAATCTGAAAGAATTGAAACTGGAGAGAGCATGCACTCTGACTACAATGAATCAAACTGGAAATGAATAGCAGAAAGAGAGGAGGAAAATGTAAATTCTTGAAAACTAAACAACACAATTCTAAATAACAGGTCAAAGAAAAACAGAAAATGAGCTCCAAAACATAAATTACAAACTACACAAAGAAATGGTTTACTCTAAGGTGAGTTACCGGATACAATAAAAAGCAGGATTAGATCTCCAGATAATAGAATAATCTGAAAGAATCTAAAAATAAGCATTTATAAAGTGAGTAAAGAGTAAAGTGATAAAATGAAGGATAGAAAATATCATGAAAGACCAGAATACTGTCTGAAAAGGAAATAAGAGATTTAAACAAACAGTAACATCTAAAGATAAGTTTGGATTTTATTTGCATTGACACAAATGTCAGCAACTGAGTTAGATGAATATCCATAGGGTAATTGAACTAACCATATTTTTAGTTACTTTTTGTTTTTAACTCGTTTTAATTATTATCTAACTTAAGTTCAGGGGTACATGTGCAGGTTTATTACATAGGTAAACGTATGTCAAGGGGGTTTGTTGTACAGATTATTTCATCACCCAGGTTTTAAGCCTTTTACCTATTAGTTATTTTCCTGATCCTCTCCCTCCTCCCTCCCTACCCTCTGGTAGGCCCCAGTGCGTGTTGTTCCCCTCTGTGTATCCATGTGTTCTCATAGTTAAAGCATATTCTTAATAAGAGTCCCAAAAAGGAGAGACAAGAGGAAAGAAGATAGAAGTCAAAAGACAAAGACTTCAAAATACCCAGTAAAACATAAATCCTTAGATGGAGAGGAGCATGCCTGGTCTTTAAGCAGGCTGAAGCACACTTGTCCACACAAACACAGCCTAGTGAAATCATGATTACTGCATAAAGACATCTGAAACAAGGAAATCTTAAAAGCAATCAGAGAGAAAAGGCAACATAATCAACATTCTCTCAGCAGTGGTTGCAAATGGATCTACCAAGCAACTGGAAGAACAATGGAAAGATATGGGCAATGCAGGACAGGCCTGAAACAAAAGCAGATGGTTCCCAAAACTGCAGAGACTGACCCTCTCAACAAGAAAGTAGGATACTTTTAAAAAACACCATTAACTCAGCTCATTCTCCATTTTTTGAGGGCTTTTTTTTTCTTTTAACATATGCTTGGCTTTTTTTTCTTTTTAAGAAAATTAAGAAACCTGACAACTGCAGGATAACTCTGGATTTATTTCCATTCAGGTGTTTTATATTCGCATACATGTTTTACTGTGAATTGTACACCATTTTTGAGTGTGTAGGATGAATCTACCAGAGCAGATGCTTTGTTAAATTTGTCTATGTGACTTTGATTACCGGATGTAGATGTATGTTACTTCATCTCACAGAGTTTCTAAATAGGCATGTAGCAAGAAACTACATTTTAAAATGGGGAATGTGTTAATTAAAACATTAACCCATTCTGTGTGTGTATGTGCATGTGTGTGCTTAGATTTCTATCTTATGTTATTCCAGTAAGGATCTGAGACGATGTGAAAGAAAAATAAAACACTGAAACAATAAGGCCAAAACCCAACCCAATGCAAGTGAAAACCACTATTAATAACTCTGGAAGGAAACCATAGATATTAAGCAGAAAACTGTAATTTCTTACTGCTAAGAATGCTAATTCTATCTTCGTTGTTATCTAGAGATAGAGGGGCATTCAACTTCCAGATCACTCAACCACACATGTCATACATACATTATTGTATACAGTTTTTTCTACACCACCTCATTTCAGATAAACTGATATTCAAGTATGTTAATTTTGGTTGACCAAGATCTATAATGTTTTAATTTTTATTTTATAATCCTAAACACTCATGATGTTCCTCAGACTTACATTACATTCTAATTGTAGACTTTCAGGCTGTGCTAATCTAACCCTCCTTATATTCTTTTTTGACAATTGCCTATATTTTCTTTCCCACACATTGACTCTAGGCAATCTCTAAAAAAAAAAAAAAAAAAAAAGCCAGGTTAAAAACAAACAAAAACAAAACAAATGCAAAGTAATCTTTCATATAAACTTCCACATGATGCTCTTCAGGTAGCTTGAATCCTTGACCCTGAATGCCAAGTTCTATATTTGTTTCTTATATAAAGCCTTCAAGACTATATCTACTTAGCTTCGCTTAATGTGACTATATTAATTTTATAGACTTTGTTTTTTTCTTTTCTTGAAAACATAGAAATAAAAAATAGGAAAAAATAGAAATTAACAAAAGGTGGGTATGTTTACATAAATATATAATAAAGAGAAAATGATCACACAGAATAATTTATATAGAACAGGGAGTAGCCATTAAAAAATAATTAGTAAGGTTCTCTTTTTGTTTTCATTAGAAAGTAGAAACTTTTGTTAGATTAAGAAAACAGTTGCCTCGGTGACAATTGTCTTTTCTTAAGTAAAATATTGATGATTGGAACATTGCTACTGAGCAATTCAGTACTATGGGTAGTAAAAATATCAAGGACCCTAACTCATTCACATGTGGCAGTGATGTCAGTAAACAAAGAAAACCTCAGCAAACTAATGAATTGGTATAGAAGTATTAAATTACCTTAATAAATGCATTTTATAATAGTTTTCCCCCAGTCTATTAGCTCATTTAGAGGAATGTTATTTAAGCACTTTGGAGATAGACAACTCATCTTTCTTTTTTTATTATTATACTTTAAGTTTTAGGGTACATGTGCACAACGTGCAGGTTTGTTACATATGTATACATGTACCATGTTGGTGTGCTGCACCCATTAATTCATCATTTAACATTAGGTATATCTCCTAATGGTATCTCTCCCCACTACCCCCACCCCACAACAGGCCCAGGTGTGTGATGTTCCCCTTCCTGTGTCCATGTGTTCTCATTGTTCAATTCCCACCTATGAGTGAGAACATGCGGTGTTTGGTTTTTTGTCCTTGCGATAGTTTGCTGAGAATGATGGTTTCCAGCTTCATCCATGTCCCCACAAAGGACAGGAACTCATCATTTTTTATGGCTGCATAGTATTCCATGGTGTATATGTGCCACATTTTCTTAATCCAGTCTATCATTGTTGGACATTTGGCTTGGTTCCAAGTCTTTGCTATTGTGAATAGTGCTGCAATAAACATACGTGTGTATGTGTCTTTATAGCAGCATGATTTATAATCCTTTGGGTATATACCCAGTAATGAGATTGCTGGGTCAAATGGTATTTCTAGTTCTAGATCCCTGAGGAATCGCCACACTGACTTCCACAATGGTTGAACTAGTTTACAGTCCCACCAACAGTGTAAAAGTGTTCCTATTTCTCCACATCCTCTCCAGCACCTGTTGTTTCCTGACTTTTTAATGATCACCATTCTAACTGGTGTGAGATGGTATCTCATTGTGGTTTTGATTTGCATTTCTCTGATGGCCAGTGATGATGAGCATTTTTTCATGTGTCTTTTGGCTGTATAAATGTCTTCTTTTGAGAAGTGTCTGTTCATATCCTTTGCCCACTTTTTGATGGGGTTGTTTGTTTTTTTCTTGTAAATTTGTTTGAGTTCATTGTAGATTCTGGTTATTAGCCCTTTGTCAGATGAGTAGGTTGCAAAAATTTTCTCCCATTTTGTAGGTTGCCTGTTCACTCTGATGGTAGTTTCTTTTGCTGTGCAGAAGCTCTTTAGTTTACTTAGATCCCATTTGTCAATTTTGGCTTTTGTTGCCATTGTTTTTGGTGTTTTAGACATGAAGTCCTTGCCCATGCCTATGTCCTGAATGGTATTGCCTAGGTTTTCTTCTAGGGTTTTTATGATTTCAGGTCTAGCATGTAAGTCTTTAATCCATCTTGAATTAATTTTTGTATAAGGTGTAAGGAAGGGATCCAGTTTCAGCTTTCTACATATGGCTAGCCAGTTTTCCCAGCACCATTTATGAAATAGGGAATCCTTTCCCCATTGCTTGTTTTTGTCAGGTTTGTCAAAGATCAGATAGTTGTAGATATGTGGCATTATTTCTGAGGGCTCTGTTCTGTTCCATTGATCTATATCTCTGTTTTGGTACCAGAACCATGCTGTTTTGGTTACTGTAGCCTTGTAATATAGTTTGAAGTCAGGTAGCATGATGCCTCCAGCTTTATTCTTTTGGCTTAGGATTGACTTGGCAATGCAGGCTCTTTTTTGGTTCCATATGAACTTTAAAGTAGTTTTTTCCAATTCTGTGAAGAAAGTCATTGGTAGCTTGATGGGGATGGCATTGAATCTATAAATTACCTTGGGCAGTATGGCCATTTTCATGATATTGATTCTTCCTATCCATGAGCATGGAATGTTCTTCCATTTGTTTGTATCCTCTTTTATTTCATTGAGGAGTGGTTTGTAGTTCTCCTTGAAGAGGTCCTTCACATCCCTTGTAAGTTGGATTCCTAGGTATTTTATTCTCTTTGAAGCAATTGTGAATGGGAGTTCACTCAAGATTTATCTCTCCGTTTGTCTGTTATTGGTGTATAAGAATGCTTGTGATTTTTGCACATTGATTTTGTATCCTGAGACTTTGCTGAAGTTGCTTATCAGCTTAAGGAGATTTTGGGCTGAGACAAATGGGGTTTTCTAAATATACAATCATGTCATCTGCAAACAGGGACAGTCTGACTTCCACTTTTCCTAATTGAATACCCTTTATTTCTTTCTCCTGTCTGATTGCCCATATCCAACACTATGTTGAATAGGAGTGGCAAGAGAGGGCGTACCTGTCTTGTGCCAGTTTTCAAAGGGAATGCTTCCAGTTTTTGCCCATAGATGCAGAAAAGGCCTTTTACAAAATTCAACAACGCTTCACGCTAAAAACTCTCAGTAAATTAGGTATTGATGGGATGTATCTCAAAATAATAAGAGCTATCTATGACAAACCCACAGCTAATATCATACCTAATGAGAAGTCATCTTAAAGATAGCTGGGAGTACTCATGCCCTACTACCATCAGTAGATAAATGGTATAGATTGGCTGTTCATTCTTTCACTCACTTAATCCACAGAAAATACTCCTATTGGTTTTATCTTTCTCAAGTTCCTTTTCCCAATTTGATATTAAATAACAGGTCTTAAAATGGACAAATATTCTAAAATGAAATTAGCATAATTAAAATATTAGCTTTTATTTTTAATATGTTGATATATTCTATTGTGATGTTCTGCAAATTTTTCACCTTCTAGGGAATATTCTTTCCCAATTACGTTTTTCAGATTTCACAATGAAACTGACATTAAAGAACAAAAACTCTTCAGTTATCTTTTAAAATTCTAGGTGATAGATAATGGAGACTTGGAAGATTGAGGGGCTGTGAGGAGTAAGGATAATAAGAGATTAAATAACAGGTACGATGTATGTTATTTGACTGATGGATACCCTAAATGCCCTGACTTGACCACCACACAACCTATGCATTTAAAAAACTGCACATATATCACATAAATTTATGCAAAAAAATTCTAGGAACACAATATCTCCTTTAGGAAATTCCATGGCAACTTCTTCTATCTGTTAATAGAAAAATAATGAAGCCAGTCATTGTGACAAACTAATACTGTCTATTATTTCTCCATTAATTTTTGTCCTGTACATGAACATTTATAGTCCAATATTATTTTCATCAACTTTTCAGGTATTTGACCTAAATATGAAGCATTCTTTAATTTAAAAATTCCCAGATTAAGTCAGCACAATTTAATTCAATCAATATTTATTAGTTTTCCAATTTGTGCATGATATTTAAGAGACATACAAATAAATAAAATGTTTGCTGATGTCAAAAAAATTTTACTTGCTTTTATACATACATATTTTTGTAGTCGATAATGGTTTTACTATCTTTGAATTCTGCAATATGTCTGCTGCAAAAACTTGTAAATGACTTCTCTGTATTGTAGTGAGAGAGTTTTTAAAAGCCCATTGCTTTTGGTGGGAAACAACATGTCTCTAAGACAGATGCTATCAGGAGTCTTTTCTTGCATTTCTCAGAGATATTTACATGATGTTTACTTCCTGTGTGATATTATCCATTTCTGCACTGCTTTCGGTAGTTAAGGTTAAACACTATTCGTTTTCTGTTTCCCTGTGGTTTGACTGTGTAACTCTTTCATGTTTTCTTATATTCACGTTACCATTTTACTATATAAGGAATCCTGAAAAAGTTTAGAGGGCCTAAAGTGGTGCTTCAATAAACACATTTTAATTCATTCTGTTATTTTCCCGGTAATTTCCCCAATCTCACTTTTGGGGCTCCCTTTCCTCAGGCAAGCACTCTTGTAAAATAGATATCTGCCCTAAAATCCCAACAATATAAGAGGCAAAAAAATACAAAGAAAGTATTAGTATCTCACACCAGGCCTCTTGCAGGATGGGAGGAAATGTAGGGAGAGCATTAGGACAAATACCTAATGCACGCAGGGCTTAAAACGTAGATGACGGGTTGATAGGTGCAGCAAACCACCGTGGCACATATATACCTGTGTAACAAACCTGCACGTTCTGCACTTGTATCCCGGAACTTAAAGTATAATTTTTTTTTTAAAAAAAGCATATGTGGTAAGACAGAATGCAGAGAGATATCTCTTCTAGGTCTTTGAATTATGAATTCTCTGATGCAAAATATACAGTAAAGGAAAATAATCAGTACAAATTCAAAAAGTTACCAAGTTAGGATTTTTAAAAAATCTTAGGAAAGTCACAGAAATTACTATATTTGCTTCTACTGTTATAGATGCCTTGGCTTTAACAAAGCTTATGAAGACAGGGGACTGTCTGTCTATGACTTTTAAGTTTTACTTTGTGCTAAACTTGAATGAATTATTTCAAAATTCTGTAGTTGTCCCATCAAATTCCAAAGTTTGGCTTAGGTATGGTGGCTAAATAATTGATAACGCCTTGCCTTCTCAGTTTTTTTTAATTTGTATAAATTTAAGCTAGTGCAAGTGCAATGTTGTTATATGCATATGTTGTGTAGTGGTGAAGTCTTGGCTTTATTGTATCTACCATCTGAATAGTGTACATTGTACCCATTATGTAATTTCTTATCAATTTCTCTCTTACCGCCTCCCCCACTTCCAAGTCTCCAATGTCTGTCATTCTCCTCTTTGTTCATGCGTACACATTATTTAGCTCCCACTAATAAAGGAAAACTTGGTATTTGAAAAAAATAACGAGTTACCACAATATTTCCATTAGAATTGCTAAAATTAACAAGACTGACAATGTCAAGTCTATCTGAGGATGTGATGTAACTGATACTCTACACATTGATTGTGGGTAACCCAAATGTTACAATTACTTTGACAAACAGTAGAAATTTGCTCAGGAGAAATGAAAACATAGGTTCACACAAAGACTTGTACACTAATGTACACAGAAGCTTTATTTATAGTAGCTCCAAATTTGTTCAACTCCAAATATATATCAGCAGGTTAATGGACAAATTGTGTTATATCCATACAGTGGAATACTATTTTATACTATTAGTATCAATATTATGCAATATTGTTTATACTATTTGGCAATAAGAAGTGAACTGCTGATATACTCAATAACATGGATGAAGCAAAGTCATTGTGCTGATTCACAGAGCCAGTCTAAAATAGAAGATAGTTTATGATTCAATTTTATGCGATAGAAAGATAAATATAGCCCATTGTTACTAAAAGGAAATCAGTACCATAGTTGTCTGTAGCCAGAGTGTAAATGGGAACCTGATTTCAAAGAGTACTAGAGAAATTTGGGGGGCAATAATAATGTTTTATTACTTGTCTGGATTGCTATTTCAGTGCATGTATTTGTCAAAATTCATCCCCTGTACATTTAAAATAAGTTTATTTTATTTTTACTTAAATGAAGTTGTTTCTTAGTAAAACTCTTACCAACCTAAAATAAGAAGTTCAAGTAACAGTGTTAGATGAAAGTGGTCAGAGCTGCCTTCTGTTTTTCATTCTAGTAGTGCGTAATGGTGTTTGCCTATTATGATTGGATATGGACCCTGACAAGGATACATATGACTTATTCCTATGGGATATTCAAAAATTTGTCTTTATGTGTATGTATACATTGTGTGTGTGTGTGTGTGTGTATCAAAGTATATACATATGCACTTTAAAAATGTGTGACCAGGCAAAGTTTGTCAATGTTCATCTTAATAGAAGTTTAATTTCAATAAATAATGAACAGGTGTGAAGACAATGTGTGATATCAGGAGCAATGAAGAGGAAAGCAGGGTACTTTGCATAGGAGGCTGTGGGTACAGCTGGTGTTATTATATAGGAGTTAATGTAAGGGCAATAGACAAGTTTCTGAGGGTGTCCGCTGGCAATGTAGCACCTTTGAATGTTGGTTTTAGAGCCTGTATCTCTGTCATAGGGCTCCAAGTCCAACCAGTAAGCTGATTTAGATGGTTAGCCTACTTTGATGCTACCTGGGAACTTCACCATCTCCGGAATCACTCTCCCTCTCATCTCTGTTCTTCCTGTCTTTATTTTCTTTATGCCAGAATGCATGGCCATCCTATCTAGGTGTCTTATCAGTCAAGGAAGCAGCACCTCTTCCTACTTATACTAACAACTTTCTCTCACTTTTTATTATATAGTTTCTTAATGTCTGAAAGGTAACTCACGTGAAAGAAGATCTCCCATGATCATGCAAGGTATTTTCAGAGACCCATCTCTGGGTGTTTTCTTTAAGCCCCATTTTTTTTTCTAGTACCAATTCTTATTTGCCCAGTATGCATGACTCTTCTCCCTATATTAAGCAAATGAAAAATGCAGAATGAAAAAGTCTAAGAACCACTTCAGACCTCTGTACTCTGTAGCCACTGCTTCCCCTTTTCATGTGCCCTGCCCCCAGCCACTTTTTCATACCTTCTGTTCAAGTTCCAAAGTAGACCTCATCAGTCTTGTTTCTGTAGTACTCCTTGTCCTTAACTTCACCTCATTGCTCTTGCAAATCCTCTGACATGCACCCATGTAATCTGGTTTCCTGGGAAACAAACTTGCTTATTCCTTGAAAGCTTCAGTTACTCATATTTATACAGTGACTATCATTCTCACTTTTTATAGACTATATCTTTGTTGGCTCTACATAAGCAAATAATTGAGAGTCGAAGCAGTTTCTCCTTACAACACTCAACATACTAGCTGTAGCTAAAGGCATTTGGAATAAGCTGTAACTTTGTCTTAATACCTTTCTCTTTCTACTTAATACTATAAGGATATGAGAAAAACAGTTAGTTGTCACTTCTATTTTTCATTTCTTCTCAAAGATAGCTGACTTTTCTTGTTCATGTCATTACTGTCTGAGGAACTTTCATTTTCTTGTGTTCCTATTGTCTTAGTAAATTTGTGCTTCTATAACAAAATATCTGACTCTGGGTGATTTATAAAGAATAGAAATTTATTTCTTACTCTCTAGAGGCTGAGAAGTCCAAGATCACTGTGCTGACAGGCTTTGTGTCTGGTGAGGGCTTCCCTCTCTTCTTCAACATGGCACTGTTTCTGTGTACTCACATGACAGAAGGTGGAAGGGCAAAGGAGTGGCATCAGATGATGCCTCTTTTATAAGGCATTAATCCCATTCATAATGACAGAGCCCTCATGATCTAATCATCTCCTGAAGTCCCCAACTTCTAATATATCACCTTGGTGATTAAGTTTCTTCCTCTTCTTTTTTTTTTTTTTCATTATACTTCAAGTTCTGGGATACATGTGCAGAATGTGCAGGTTTGTTACATAGGTATACATATGCCATGGTGGTTTGCTGCACCCATCAACCTGTCATTTGGGTTTTAAGCCCCCCATGCATTAGGTATTTGTCCTAATGCTATCCCTCCCATTGCTCTCCACCCCCAACAGGCCCCATGTGTGAAGTTCTTCTCCCTGTGTCCATGTATTCTCATTGTTCAACTCCCACTAATTATTGAGAATATGTGGTGTTTGTTTTTCTGTTCCTGTGTTAGTTTGCTGAGAATGATGGTTTCCAGCTTCATTCATGTCCCTGCAAAGGACATGAACTCATTCTTTTTATGGCTGCATGGTATTCTATGGTATATATGTGCCACATTTTCTTTATCCAGTCCATCATTGATCGGCATTTGGGTTGGTTCCAAGTCTTTGCTATTGTAAATAGTGCTGCAATAAACATATGTGTGCATGCATCTTTATAGTAAAATAATTTATAATCCTTTGGGTATATATCTAGTAATGGAATTACTAGGTCAAATGGTATTTCTGGTTCTAGATCCTTGAGGAATTACCACACTGTCTTCCACTGTTACACAATGATTGAACTAATTTACACTCCCACCAACAGTGTAAAAGCATTCCTATTTCTCTACATCTTCTCCAGCATCTGTGTTTCCTGACTTTTTTTCTTTTTCTTTAAGACACAGTCTCGCTCTGTCACCCAGGCTGGAGTGCAGTGGTGCGATCTTGGCTCACTGCAACCTTTGCTTCCCAGGTTCAAGCAATTCTCCCTGCCTCAGCCTCCGGAGTAGCTGGGATTACAGGTGCATGCTACTGTGCCCGGCTAATTTTTGTATTTTTAGTAGAGATGGGGTTTCACCAAGTTGGTCAGGCTGGTCTTGAACTCCTGACCTCAGGTGATCCGCCTGCCTCTGACTCCCAAAGTGCTGCTGTTACAGGCATAAGCCACCGCACCTGGCCTGTTTCCTGACCTTTTAATGATCACCATTCTAACTGGCATGAGATGGTACCTCATTGCGGTTTCGATTTGCATTTCTCTAATTACCAGTGATGATAAGCTTTCTTTAGTATGTTTGTTGGCCACATAAATGTCTTCTTTTGAGAAGTGTCTGCTCATAATATTTGCCCACTTTTTGATAGGGTTGCTTTTTTCTTGTAAAATTGTTTAAGTTCCTTGTAGATTCTGGATATTAGCCCTTTCTCAGATGGACAGATTGTAAAAATTTTCTCCCATTCTGTAGGTTGCCTGTTTACTCTGATGTTAGGTTCTTTTGCTGTGCAGAAACTCTTTAGTTTAACTGGATCCCATTTGTCAATTTTGGCTTTTGTTGCAATTGCTTTGGTGTTTTAGTCACGAAGTCTTTACCTATGCCTGTGTCCTGGATGGTATTGCCTAGGTTTTCTTCTAGGGTTTTTATGGTTTTAGGTCTTACATTAAGTCTTTAATCCATCTTGAGTTAATTTTTGTATAAGGTGTAAGGAGGGTCCAGTTTCACCTTTCTACATATGGCCAGCCAGTTTTCCCAGCACCATTTATTAAATAGGGAATCCTTTCCCCATTTCTTGCTTTTTGTCAGGTTTGTCAATGACTAGATGTTTGTAGATGTGTGGTGTTATTTCTGAGGCCTCTGTTCTGTTCCATTGGTTTATATATCTGCTTTGATACCAGTACCTTGCTGTTTTGGTTACTGTATCCTTGTAGTATAGTTTGAAGTCAGGTAGCATGGTATCTCCAGTTTTGTTCTTTTTGCTTAGGATTGTCTTGGCTATACAGGCTCTTTTTTGGTTCCATATGAAATTTAAAGTAGATTTTTCTAATTCTGTGAGAAAAGTCAGTAGTAGCTTGATGGATATAATTGAATCTATAAATTACTTTGGGCAATAAAGCCATTTTCACAATAAGTTTCAACATGTAAATTTTGGAACAGACATAAACATTCAAATTATAGCACCTATTTTTAAAGCATTTGTTTTCAGTAGAATCTTGGTTTGCAGTCATTCTAGTTTTATTGTCTTATGGGGTCTCTGAAGACTCTCCAAGGGAATTACCTCTTTAACAAGATTTTTGGGGTTTAGAGTTGATATTCAATTACATTTTATTCCTCTTAGTTCTATTACCTCAGATTAGTAAAGTTCATTCCACCTAGATATATCATTGTTTCAGAAGTTGAGAGGGAAATTCTTAAGATTAGTTAGCTAACATTTTGTATTATATAAATTTTTTAATCCTCATTTTGTGGACAGAAATCCAGACTATAGCAGATTATTTGAGATATTCTAGGAGCGAAGTAATATTTGTCGAATTATCATTAGATATTTTCACCATGTTCAATATGTTATCTTTACTGGTCAGAATAGGAGATACAGGTCTCTGTAATTTGGGAAGTTTGTATCAAAAAGTCATAATACGGGAGAAATTACAATAAATGCTTGGGCTTTTCTGTTATGTATCCCTGGTCAAAAGTTCTAAGAGAACTTTTTAGCCTGATTTTCCCAGAAAGAAGAGCCCAAACAGTCTAATGTGCTCTTATTTTATAGGAAAGACAATTCCAGGGACTAGAAGTGAAGAACAACAGTAAAAAAAATTCAAGAAAAGAGGTAGAGCCCAAATGGGGCTGTGGTATTGAGCTGACTGTAGTGTTACACCATGGAAATGACTGTAACTATATCTCCGGACAATCCTGGAGAGGGAAGGTAATAAGGTTTGGCTTTGTGTCCCCACCCATATCTCACCTTGAATTGTAATAATCCCCACATGTCAAGGGTGGGGCCAGGTGGAGAAAATTGAGTTTTGGTGGTGGATCCCCCATACTGTTCTCGTGGTAGTGAATAAGTCTCATGAGATCTGTTAGTTTCATAAATGGGAGTTCCCTTGCACAAGCTCTCTTGTCTGTTGCCATGTAAGACATGTCTTGCTTCTGCTTCACCCTCTGCCATAATTGTGAGGCCTCCCCAGCCATGTGGAATTGTGAGTCCATTAAACCTTTTATTCTTTATAAATTACCCAGTCTTGTGTATGTCTTTATTGGCAGCATGAGAACAGACTAATACCGAAGGCAAAAAACAAAAATAATTGATCTACTAGGCCTTCTTAGCAATTAGTAAGCTTTACCCCATGATGTAATAACTCCCCCATACCACCAGGTTGTGCATGCTGGGCATAGGAGCTGAATGGAGCCCTGTGGTATCACCAGCAAGGCCGCCCTTGGGTGGGAAGCCAGAGGGGAAGGGAAGGGGCTGAAGACGAGGCAGCATCCAGTTACATCTGTGTGAATTTGGTCTGAACACATGGAAACCTGGAACAGGGATGTCAAAAGGGTCTGAAGAAAAGGATAATTGGTGTTGCATACAAAGGTCTTTATTTCTTTTTGCAAGCATGTTTTATCTAAATGTATCTTATATCTCATGGTCTTAGTCTCTGGACTGCCGATGTCCTCTTTCTTACTGAGATTATTTCCCTATTGTATATTGCTGATGGTATTTCTGCTGCTAAATGATACGCATGGAGAATGTTCTAAGATAGATGGAGAGCCTTAGGGGCCATATCTGTAGAGGGAAAAATCTAAGAACATGCTTGGAAGCACAGTTCTTCTCTCCTTTGACTACTTCCTTAGGAGTACTCTTTAAGGACAATTTCTGGCTTGTTACAAGGAGATCTCACATATGTGAGGGCTGTGTATTACACACTTGAGAGTGGCTAAGAACAGCTGGCCATATAGCTGCCAACATTATAACTGACAGAGGATGCTCTGAATCAAAGCCCAAGTGAGGATGTGCAGAATCCTCTGAGGGGGATAAAAACACATTGAAAATAATGCTAAGAAAGAAGTCTCTGTTCACAAGACAATACTGATTTCAAATTTCTTGAAAAATTCTCAGGCTGCAATCATAAATATTACTCTACTTAAAATACACTGATATATGAGTTATGTCATTTGCAAAAAAATATTGTGTAACAGAAAAGGTAAACAGATACATTAGTGTCTACCCACTTTAATTTTATCCTAGGACTAGAATCCAGTCAGATTTTTTTTCTTCCTAGGGTAGGCAGTGCTCCACCAAGAAAGCTATAAATATATTTTCTCGGAAAAATACACTTTGCACATGAACTGTACCGAGATGAGTGCACATACACAAGTTTGCAAGAAATGTCAGACCCTTGAAGTTTCCTTCTTTAATAAATGCAGAAAAAATGATAATTTGACATAGTTTTTTTATGAAACTGGTAATAAGAATTAACTTTTAGCAAACCCAATTTCCCCAATAGAACTGCATGCTTACTTTCTAACAAATTAGGTAAATAATACATGGAACTTTTTTTTTTCATTTTCAGGCAATTATAAAATTTTAAATGTAATTTTTCTCTTTATGAACAAACCTATCTAAGTTCAAATATAAGCCTCAAAATATGAGAAATTCAGGAAGGATAGGATATATGATGAAAGGATAGTAGAGCTGAGAATTTCCCAGTATGGAGACAAAAAGGCTAAGGGGAGGTATGATAGCTTCTGAAAATATGTTAAGGGATGTTATCAGGAGGACAGGGACCAATTCTTATTAGCCAATGAGAGCAGAACAGGAAGTAATGAACTTCAACTACAGCAGGGAAATTTAAGTGAAATATAAGAAAACTTTTAAACTGTCAGAACAATTAAGCAAAGGTACAAATAATAAATTCACCTTTACTGATCATATTCAATGATGCTCTGATGAGCATCATTTTACTCTCTCTCCATGAGTTCATTTTTTTTACGTCCTATATATAAGTGAGTACATGCAGTATGTATCTTTCTGTGCCTGGCTTATTTCACTTAACACAGTGTCCTCCAGTTCCATCCATATTGTTGCAAATGCCAGGATTTTATTCTTTGTTATGGCTGAATAATATTTTATTGTGTATATGTACCACATTTTCTTTATCCATTTATCTCTTGATGAACACTTGATGACTCCATATCTTGGCTATTGTGAATACTGCTGCAATAAACATGAGAGTGCAGACATCTCTTCCATATACTGATTTCCATTCTTTTGGATATATCCCAAGTGATGGGATTGCTGGATCATATGGTTGCTCTATTTTTAGCTTTGTGAGAAACCTCCATACTGTTCTCCATTGTGGTTATACTAATTTACATTCCCACCAACAGCATATGAGAGTTCCCTTTTCTCCATATCCTTGCCAGTATCTGTTATTGCCTGTCCTTTTGATAAAAACCATTTTAACTGGGGTGAAATGATATCTCATTGTTTTGATTCACATTCCTCTGATGATTAATGTGTTGAGCACTTTTCATATGCCCATTGGCCACTTGTATGTCTTCTTTTGAGAAATGCCTATTCAGATTTTTTTCTTTAAAATTTTTTAACTTTCAAGTTCATATCATTTGCCCATTTTTTTGTTTTTATTTCTTTTTATTAGAGAACACATACAAAAGAAGGGAGAACAGTGTATAGTAAAGCTTCATGCACCCATCACCCAGTTTCCACAATGATCAATGTTTAGCCCCTCATTTTTTTGGTGGGGGAAGTAATAATATAATTATTATAAATTAATAGCATAATTATATAGAATTTAGTTATTAAAGTAATAATTATATAGTTATGAATTGTATTGTTATAGACTATATAATATGCAATAATGTAATATATAATTTATAATATAATAATTATGTATACTATATAATATAATAATCTTATTGGCAAGGAGTTATTTTTTCTTTATTTTAATAGGTTTTTGGAGAACAGGTGGTTTTTGGTTATATGGATAAGCTCTTTAGCGGTGATTTCTGAGATTTTGGTGCACCCATCACCCGAGCAGTGTACACTGTACCCAATGTGTAGTCTTTCATCCCTCAGCCCCCTCCCACCTTCCCCCGAATTCTCAAAGTTCATTGTGTCATTCTTATACCTTTGTGTCCTCATAGCTAACTTCCACTTATAAGTGAGAACATATGATGTTTGGTTTTTCATTCCTGAGTTACTTCACATAGAATAATGATCTCCAACTCCATCCAGGTTGCTGAGAATGACATTATTTTGTTCCTTTTTATGGCTGAGTAGTATTCTATGGTACATACATACCGTATTTTCTTTATCCACTCATTGATTGATGGGCATTTGGGCTGGTTCCATATTTTTGCAATTGCAAATTGTGCTGCTATAAACATGCGTATACAAGTGTCTTTTTTATATAATGACTTCTTTTCCTTTGGGTAGATACCCAGTAGTGGGATTGGTGGATCAAATGGTAGATCCACTTTTAGTTCTTTAAGGAATATCCACACTGTTTTCCATAGTGGTTATACTACTTTACATTCCCACCAGTAGTGTAAAAGTGTTCCCTTTTCCTCACATCCACATCAACATCTATTATTGATTTTTTAATTATGGCCATTTTTGCAGGAATAAGATGATATTGCATTGTTGTTTTGATTTGAATTTCCCTGATAATTGGTGATATTGAGTATTTTTTCATATGTTTGTTGGTTACTTGTATATCTTCTTTTTAGAATTGTGTATGCATGTCCTTAGCCCACTTTTTGATGGGATTGTTCATTTTGTTCTTGCTGATTTGAGTTTCTTGTAGATTATAGATATTAGTCCTTTGTTGGATGCATAGTTTGCAAAGATTTTCTCCCACGCTGGGTTGTTTGTTTACTCTGTTGATTATTTATTTTGCTATGCAGAAGCTTTTTTAGCTTAATAAATTCTCATTTATTTATCTTTGTTTTTGTTGCATTTGCTCTTGGATTCTTGGTCATGAAGTCGTTGTCTAAGCCAATATCTAGAAGGGTTTTGTTCAGTGTTATCTTCCACAGTTTTTATGGTTTCAGGTCTTAGATTTAAGACTTTGATTCATCTAGAGTTGATTTTTGTGTAAGGTGAGAAATGAGGATCCAGTTTTATTCTTCTACATGTGGCTTGCCAATTATCTCTGCCTTCTGCCTGTTTTAAAAATTAAATTATGGCTGGGCGTGGTGGCTCACACATGTAATCCTAGCACTTTGGGAGGCCAAGGCGGGTGGATAACCTGAGGTCAGGAGTTCGAGACCAACTGGGCCAACATGGCAAAACGCTGTCTCTACCCAAAATGCAAAAATTAGCTGGGCGTGGTGATGGACACCTGTGATCCCAGCTACTCCGGAGGCTGAGGCAGGAGAACCGCTTGAACCCGGGGAGCGGAGGTTGCAGTGAGCCAAGATCATGCTACTGTACTCCAGCCTGGGCGTAAGAATGAGACTCGGCGGGGCGCGGTGGCTCTCGCCTGTAATCCCAGCACTTTGGGAGGCCGAGGCAGGTGGATCATGAGGTCAGGATATCAAGACCATCCTGGCTAACACAGTGAAACCCTGTGTCTACTAAAAATACAAAAAATTAGCCGGGCGTTGTGGCAGGTGCCTGTAGTCCCAGCTACTCAGGAGGCTGAGGCAGGAGAATGGCATCAACCTGGGAGGCGGAGCTTGCAGTGAACCGCAGTGAGCCGAGATTGTGTCACTGCACTCCAGCCTGGGCAACAGTGCGAGACTCCGTCTCAAAAAAAAAAAAAAAAAAAAAAAAAAGAGAAAAAGAAAATTATATGTTTTTTTTTTGTTTTTGTTTTTCCTAATTAGTTTGAACTCCTTTCATATTCTGGTTATTAATCCTTGTCACACGAGTAGTTTGCAAATATTTTCTTCCATTCTATCAGTTGTTTCTTTACTGTGTTGATTTTTTTTTTTTCTGTGTAGAAGTTTTTGTTGTTATCCTATTTATATACTTTTGCTTTGGTTGCCTGTGCATTTGAGGTCTTAGGAAATTTTTGCCTAGGCCAATGTCCTGGGGCTTTTCCCCAATGTTTTGTTCTAGTAGTTTCATAGTTTCAGGCCTTAGATTTAAATCTTTAATCCGTTTTTATTTGATTTTTTATATAGTGAGAGGTAAGAGTCTAGTTTTCTTCTTCTACATATGAATATCCAGTTTGCCCAGCACCATTTATTGAAGAGACTCTTTCCCCAATGTGTGTCCTTCATGCCTTTGTTGAAAATGAGTTGATTGTAAATCTGTGGATTTATTTCTGGGTTCTCTATTTTGTTCTTTTGGTTTATGTGTCTGCTTTTATGCCAGTACCATGCTATTTTGCTTACTTTTAGTATTAGAGTTTTAGTATAATTTAAAGTCAGGTAATATGATGCCTCCAGCTTTTCTTTTCCCCCTCTCAGGATTGCTTTCCCTATTCAGGCTCTTTTTTGGCTCCACATGAATTTTCAGATTATTTTTTCTATTTCTGTGATGAATGTCATTGCTATTTTGATGGGGATTGCATTGAATATGTAATTCACTTTGGGAAGTATGAACATTTAAAAAATATTGATTCTTTTGATCAATGAACATAGAATATTTTTTAATTTTTGTGTGCTTTAATTTCTTTTTCTTTTTTTTACTCTAAGTTTTAGGGTACATGTGCACAACGTGCAGGTTTCTTACATATATATATATGTGCCATGTTGGTGTGCTGCACCCATTAACTCCTCATTTAACATTAGGTATATCTCCTAATGCTATCCCTCCCCTCTAACCCCACCCCACAACAGGCCCAGGTGTGTGATGTTCCCCTTCCTGTGTCCACGTGTTCTCATTGTTCAATTCCCACCTATGAGTGAGAACATGGGGTGTTTGGTTCTTTGTCCTTGCGATAGTTTGCTGAGATTGATGGTTTCCAGCTTAATCCATGTTCCCACAAAGGACAGGAACTCATCCTTTTTTATGGCTGCATAGTATTCCATGGTGTATATGTGCCATATTTTCTTAATCCAGTCTATCATTGTTGGACATTTGGCTTGGTTCCAAGTCTTTGCTATTGTGAATAGTGCCTCAATAAACATATGTGTGTATGTGTCTTTATAGCAGCATGATTTATAATCCTTTGGGTATATACCCAGTAATGGGATCGCTGGGTCAAATGGTATTTCTAGTTCTAGATCCCTGAGGAATCGCCACACTGACTTCCACAATGGTTGAACTAGTTTACAGTCCCACCAACAGTGTAAAAGTGTTCCTATTTCTCCACATCCTCTCCAGCACCTGTTGTTTCCTGACTTTTTAATGATTGCCATTCTAACTGGTGTGAGATGGTATCTCATTGTGGTTTTGATTTGCATTTCTCTGATGGCCAGTGATGATGAGCATTTTTTCATGTGTCTTTTGGCTGCATAAATGTCTTCTTTTGAGAAGTGTCTGTTCATATCCTTCGCCCACTTTTTGATGGGGTTGTTGGTTTTTCTCTTGTAAATTTGTTTGAGTTCATTGCAGATTCTGGATATTAGCCCTTTGTCAGATGAGTAGATTGCAACAATTTTCTCCCATTCTGTAGGTTGCCTGTTCACTCTGATGGTAGTTTCTTTTGCTGTGCAGAAGCTCTTTAGTTTAATTAGATCCCATTTGTCAATTTTGGCTTTTGTTGCCATTGCTTTTGGTGTTTTATACATGAAGTCCTCGCCCATGCCTATGTCCTGAATGGTATTGCCTAGGTTTTCTTCTAGGGTTTTTATGGTTTCAGGTCCAGCATGTAAGTCTTTAATCCATCTTGAATTAATTTTTGTATAAGGTGTAAGGAAGGGATCCAGTTTCAGCTTTCTACATATGGCTAGCCAGTTTTCCCAGCAACATTGATTAAATAGGGAATCATTTTCCCATTTCTTGTTTTTGTCAGGTTTGTCAAAGATCAGTTTGTTGTAGATATGTGGCATTATTTCTGAGGGCTCTGCTCTGTTCCATTGGTCTATATCTCTGTTTTGGTACCAGTACCATGCTGTTTTGGTTACTGTAGCCTTGTAGTATAGTTTGAAGTCAGGTAGCGTGATGCCTCCAGCTTTGTTCTTTTGGCTTAGGATTGACTTGGCAATGCGGGCTCTATTTTGGTTCCACATGAACTTTAAAGTAGTTTTTTCCAATTCCATGAAGAAAGTCATTGGTAGCTTGATGGGGATGGCATTGAATCTATAAATTACCTTGGGCAGTGTGGCCATTTTCATGATATTGATTCTTCCTACCCATGAGCATGAAATGTTCTTCCATTTGTTTGTATCCTCTTTTATTTCATTGAGCAGTGGTTTGTAGTTCTCCTTGAAGAGGTCCTTCACATCCCTTGTAAGTTGGATTCCTAGGTATTTTATTCTCTTTGAAGCAATTGTGAATGCGAGTTGACTCATGATTTGTCTCTCTGTTTCTCTGTAGTTGGTGTATAAGAATGCTTGTGATTTTTGGCTGCATAAATGTCTTCTTTTGAGAAGTGTCTGTTCATGTCCTTCGCCCACTTTTTGATGGGGTTGTTTGTTTTTTTCTTGTAAATTTGTTTGAGTTCATTGTAGATTCTGGATATTAGCCCTTTGTCAGATGAGTAGGTTGCGAAAATTTTCTCCCATGTTGTAGGTTGCCTGTTCACTCTGATGGTAGTTTCTTTTGCTGTGCAGAAGCTCTTTAGTTTAATTAGATCCCATTTGTCAATTTTGGCTTTTGTTGCCATTGCTTTTGGTGTTTTGGACATGAAGTCCTTGCCCACGCCTATGTCCTGAATGGTAATGCCTAGGTTTTCTTCTAGGGTTTTTATGGTTTTACGTTTAACGTTTAAATCTTTAATCCATCTTGAATTGATTTTTGTATAAGGTGTAAGGAAGGGATCCAGTTTCAGCTTTCTACATATGGCTAGCCAGTTTTCCCAGCACCATTTATGAAATAGGGAATCCTTTCCCCATTGCTTGTTTTTCTCAGGTTTGTCAAAGATCAGATAGTTGTAGATATGCGGCATTATTTCTGAGGGCTCTGTTCTGTTCCATTGATCTATATCTCTGTTTTGGTACCAGTACCATGCTGTTTTGGTTACTGTAGACTTGTAGTATAGTTTGAAGTCAGGTAGTGTGATGCCTCCAGCTTTGTTCTTTTGGCTTAGGATTGACTTGGCAATGCGGGCTCTTTTTTGGTTCCATATGAACTTTAAAGTAGTTTTTTCCAATTCTGTGAAGAAAGTCATTGGTAGCTTGATGGGGATGGCATTGAATCTGTAAATTACCTTGGGCAGTATGGCCATTTTCACGATATTGATTCTTCCTACCCATGAGCATGGAATGTTCTTCCATTTGTTTGTCTCCTCTTTTATTTCCTTGAGCAGTGGTTTGTAGTTCTCCTTGAAGAGGTCCTTCACATCCCTTGTAAGTTGGATTCCTAAGAAATGCTCATCATCACTGGCCATCAGAGAAATGCAAATCAAAACCACTATGAGATATCATCTCACACCAGTTAGAATGGCAATCATTAAAAAGTCAGGAAACAACAGGTGCTGGAGAGGATGCGGAGAAATAGGAACACTTTTACACTGTTGGTGGGACTGTAAACTAGTTCAACCATTGTGGAAGTCAGTGTGGCGATTCCTCAGGGATCTAGAACTAGAAATACCATTTGACCCAGCCATCCCATTACTGGGTATATACCCAAAGGACTATAAATCATGCTGCTATAAAGACACATGCACACGTATGTTTATTGCGGCACTATTCACAATAGCAAAGACTTGGAACCAACCCAAATGTCCAACAATGATAGACTGGATTAAGAAAATGTGGCACATATACACCATGGAATACTATGCCGCCATAAAAAATGATGAGTTCATATCCTTTGTAGGGACATGGATGAAATTGGAAACCATCATTCTCAGTAAACTATCGCAAGAACAAAAAACCAAACACCGCATATTCTCACTCATAGGTGGGAATTGAACAATGAGATCACATGGACACAGGAAGGGGAATATCACACTCTGGGGACTGTGGTGGGGTCGGGGGAAGGGGGAGGGATAGCATTGGGAGATATACCTAATGCTAGATGACACATTAGTGGGTGCAGCGCACCAGCATGGCACATGTATACATATGTAACTAACCTGCACAATGTGCACATGTACCCTAAAACTTAGAGTATAATAATAATAAAAAAAAAAAAAAAAAAAAAAAGAATGCTTGTGATTTTTGTACATTGATTTTGTATCCTGAGACTTTGCTGAAGTTGCTTATCAGCTTAAGGAGATTTTGGGCTGAGACGATGGGGTTTTCTAGATATACAATCATGTTGTCTGCAAACAGGGACAATTTGACTTCCTCTTTTCCTAATTGAATACCCTTTATTTCCTTCTTCTGCCTGATTGCCCTGGCCAGAACTTCCAACACTATGTTGAATAGGAGTGGTGAGAGAGGGCATCCCTGTCTTGTGCCAGTTTTCAAAGGGAATGCTTCCAGTTTTTGCCCATTCAGTATGATATTGGCTGTGGGTTTGTCATAAATAGCTCTTATTATTTTGAGATATGTCCCATCAATAACTAATTTATTGAGAGTTTTTAGCATGAAGGGCTGTTGAATTTTGTCAAAGGCCTTTTCTGCATCTATTGAGATAATCATATGGTTTTTGTCATTGGTTCTGTTTATATGCTGGATTACGTTTATTGATTTGCATATGTTGAACCAGCCTTGCATCCCAGGAATGAAGCCCACTTGATCATGGTGGGTAAGCTTTTTGATGTGCTGCTGGATTTGGTTTGCCAGTATTTTATTGAGGATTTTTGCATCGACGTTCATCAGGGATATTGGTCTAAAATTCTCTTTTTTGGTTGTGTCTCTGCCAGGCTTTGGTATCAGGATGATGCTGGCCTCATAAAAATGAGTTAGGGAGGATTCCCTCTTTTTCTATTGATTGGAATAGTTTCAGAAAGAATGGTACCAGCTCCTCCTTGTACCTCTGGTAGAATTTGGCTTTGAATCCGTCTGGTCCTGGACTTGTTTTCATTGTTAAGCGCTTTTTTTACTTTGGTAACTTTATTTTCAGGTATTTTATTTGTAGCTATCATTAATGGGATTATTTTCTTGGTTTCATTTTCAGATTGTCTGCTATTGGCATAAAGAAACAGTATTGATTTTTGTATGTTTATTTTGTATCCTGTAGCTTTAATAAATTTGTTTTCTAATAGTTTTTCAGTGGGGTCTTCAGGTTTTTCTAAATATAAGACCATATTTCCTGCAAAGAAGAGTAATTTGAATTTTTCTTTTCCAATTTGGATGACTTTTATTTCTTTATCTTGTTTAATTTTTCTAGCTAGGACTTCCAGTGCCATGTTGAATAAAAGTGGTAAGTGGGCATCCTTGCCTTGTTCCACATCTTAGAGGAAAGGCTTTCAGTTTTTCCGTATTCACTATGATACTGACTTTACTGGATGTGGCCTTTACTGTGTTGAGGTATGTCTGTTCTGTACTAAACAATTGTTGAAAGTTTTTATCATGAAGAGATGTTGAATTTTATCAAATACTTTTTAAGCATTTATTGAAATGATTATGTGGTTTGTCCTTCATTCTGTCGACGTGATGTATCACATCTATTGTTTTCCATGTGTTGAGCCATCCTTGCATCCCAGGGATAAATCCCACTTGGTCATAATGAATGATCTTTTTAATGTGTTGTTGGATTCAGTTTGCTAGTACTTTGTTGAGGATTTTTGCATCTATGTTAGTCAGAGATATTGGCCTGTAGTTTTCTGTTTTTGTCATGCCTTTTTCTGGTTTTGGTTATCAGGGTAATACTGATCTCATTGAATGAGTTTGGAAGTACCGCCTTCTTATTTTTTTTTGAAATAATTTGAGTAGGATTGATATTAGCTCTTTAAATGTTTGACAGAGTTTAGCAGTGAAGCCATCAGGTCCTGGGTTTTGCTTTGATAGGAGACTTTTTATTATTCCTTTTATGTCATTACTTGTTACTGATCTATTTGGGTTTTCTATTTCTTTATGGTTTAATCTTGGTAGATTTTATGTGTCTAGGATTTTATCCATTTCTTCTAGGTATTTGGCATGTAGTTATTAATAATAATCTGTAATTATCTTTTGAATTTACGTGGCATCAGTTGTAAAGTCTCCTGTTTCATCTCTGATTTTATGTATTTGGGTCTTCTCTCTTTTTTTCTTAGTTTGTCTAGCTAAGGGTTTGTTACTTTTGTTTATCTTTTCAAAAAGTCATATCTTTATTTTGTTGATGCTTTGTATTTGTTTAGTCTCAATTTCATTTATTTCTACTCTGATCTCTATTATTTCTTTTGTTCTATTAATTTTGTGTTTGATTTGCTCTTGCTTTTCTAATTCTGTAAGATGCGTTGTTAGGTATTTTATTTGAAATTTTTCTACTTTTTTGATGTAGGCATTTATTTCTATAAACTTTCCTCTCAGCACTACTTCTGCAATATCCTATAAGTTTTGATATATTGTGTTTCTATTTTCACGTGTTTAAAGATTTTTAAAATTTTCTTCTTAATTTCTTCATTGACCTAATGGTCATTCATAAGTATATTACTTAATCTCCATGTGTTTGTATACTTTCCAAAGTTCCTCTTGTTATTGATTTCTAATCATATCAAGCATTTATGACCATAATGGTGGTCAGAAATCGTGGTCAGAAATACTTGATATTGTTTGTGTATTTTTTTATTTGTTGAAACTTGTTTTATGATTGAACATATGGTCTATTCTGGAGCATGCTCCATGTGTTGATGAGAATAATGTGTATTCTGCAGCCGTTGGATAAACAGTTCTATAAATGTCTGTTAGGTCAATTTGGTCTATAGTACAGGTTAAGTCTGATGTTTGTTTGTTTATTTTCTGTCTAGATAATCTGTCCAATACTGAAAGTGGGGTGTTAAAATAATTCTCAACTGCTATTGTATTGGGCTCTATCTCTTTAGTGATATTTGCTTTATATATCTGGGTACTCCATCATTGGGTACATATATATTTGTAATTATTATAGCATGTCACTGAATTGACTTCTTTATCATTATATAATGACTTTCTTTGTCTCTTTTTATAACTTTTGTCTTGAAATCTATTTTATAAGTACAGCTACTCCTGATCTTTTTTGGTTTTCATTTACATGGAATATCTTTTCCCACCCCTTGAAATAAGTTTTATTTTAAAAATAATTTGCTAATTGTGGTGTGTTTATCTAATATTAGCTTATTATTTAAAGCTGCAATAATCAATTAGGCCAGTTTTATATTTAACAATAATTGTTACTCTTTATGGAAAATCATCTTCTTGATAATTTTAAAGTTCTTGGCTGACTTCTTGTCAGATCTGATTAAACTGTCATTATTTTTATCTTGTACAGTGGCCAAAAAAGCCCTCATGCTAGGAATAGAACTGCCAGCTCTCCTACTTTTAATTGTTTTCTATGCTTGTATTGTTAGTTTAATTGTCAATCTGTGATTTTTCTACAGTAATCTTTTCCAGGCTCTGAGTCCCTTTTTAAGTTTTGTTTCATTGAACTAGATAATATAAATCACAGAGTGGCTTAATTGACATATGTTGACTGTATATCAATATGTTACACACAAAAATGCACACATAGAGGTATCTCTCCCAACTCTGAGGTGGCAGATTCCTCTTTTTCCTCAGGAACTCATATTATGTAGATGACTTGTGACTTTAGAACTCATGAAATATGAGATGATATATCCATCAATCTATATCAAACATTGATAAGCTTGATTATGTTTATAGGTAAAAATAGTAGAAATAACTACTGTTTCTAGAATTATAGCAGACTAAAGTATTCTAAAAGCCTTTCACTGCAAATCAGTTTCAACTCTAAATGATCATACTTTTAAATGCATTGATCAACTCACTGGAAAATACAAGAAATCTCTAAGAATCTCACCCCACCAATAAGTTTAAATCTAGGAGAAATATTTAGAGAATGTGGACAATAACAGTATATTTTTTTCAGTAATACCAGAGAGAGTTTATTATAAACTTACTCTTATTAAAAGAACTTCTTCTAAAGTATGTATATAATAAAAAGGACAATGATCCTAAAAAATCTGAAGTAAAAAATAATAACATGCAAAGATTTTGGTGTGTAATAAATATAGACAAATATTATATTCAAAGTAATAATTTCCAATATGTGACATTAAAATTACCAAGAAAGCAAGAGAGAACCAAGATATTAGACAATAATGTAAAGTCAGTTGGAATAGCAATTAAAGTTAAAATATTCTAAGGTTTTGAATTTATTTAACAGGAGAGATAATCAAGGGGCTCTTTTTACATTAGGAATATAAGTTAAATTTTCAAAAATACCCCCCAAAACATGTTACTACTAATTTTAATGTAATATAAAAATCAATGCAATCAATATCAAAGAATGAAGAAATGAGAAAAAGGTAAAATAAAAAGATGGAATAGACAGAAAACACAAAATAAGAAAGAAAAGTACAAATGTTTTAATAATCACAATAAATGTAAATAAACTAAATACTGAACTCACTGCTTAAAATACTGATATTTCCAGATTGCATGAAATGCCAACATTCAGCAATAGCTGTTTTCAAAAGACTCATCAAAACCTGTATATACTTGATGAAATAGTTTCAAATATATAAGGCAAAACAATATAAGTATAAAGATAAATTTACAATTCACTATTATAAGGGGATATTTAAATACCTCTTGCATTATGTGATATTTCATCTGAGCAACACAACATGCATTTTTAGTGAACTTAGAACTCAACACTCAACAATTATAGAATATCCATTCTTCAGCAAGCACCATAAAAACTATATAGAGAGATTTCAAAGGACACATTCTATGGGTACAAGACAAATTAAGTTAGAAGTTAAAAGACCTTTCAAATGACTGGGAAAAAGAAACATAAATAGCACATGAGTCAGAGAAACAATTCTTACTAGAAATTTGAGACACTTATAACTGGATAATAACAAAAATACTTGTGTCCATTTGTCTGTTCAAGTCCTCTAAGGAGATACCAATGAAGAATTAAATGTACAAGGATACATCGGGGAAATGTCTTTGAAGGATAAAGAGGGAGAGAACAGGAATAGGCTGAGGGAAACTTCAGACTATGATGTGGAACTGACGTCTGTGAAAAGAAAAACTAGAAGGAGGATTGGGGTGGAAGGTATTCAGACAGTAGTGCAATTCTGAGAAAGCCTCCTCCATGCTGATGGGAGTCCCCGTCTCTACTAAAAGTACAAAAATTAGCCAGGCGTGGTGGCAGGCGTCTGTAATCCCAGCTGCTTAGGAGGCTGAGGCAGGAGAATCACTTGAACATGGGAAGCAGAGGTTGTAGTGAGCCGAGATCGCACCACTGCACTCCAGCCTGGGCGGCAAGAGCGAGACTCCGTCTCAAACAAACAAACAAAAAGGAAGATAATGGAGAGTAGAAGGATGGTTACCAGGTTGTCCTAACAGCGTTCTACATCTAGCCAAAATGGACCTGGTACTCTTGCTATGCTCAGTCACTATCAACAGCAGCCTAGGAAAATGTGGCCTTGGTGAATGCCACAGTGGGTCAGAGAGTGGAGTGGTTAGAGGTTGTCAGTCAACCTTGTACCCACAGCACATCCTTTTGATGGTATTCTGAGTAGCATGCCTCCATGGCTACTATGATACAAAATATCAACATTTTTGGAATAGAGTTAAACGATATTTTGAAGTATGGCAGTAAGTACTTAAAATAAAAGCTTATATTAATGAGTTTTGTGTTCTTCAAGATTGTAGAACAAAAGTCAATAGAATAAACCTAAAGAAAATAGAAACAAGGAAACAAGATGAAAGCACAACGTATAAACTAAAATAGTATATATATATATATATACACACACACACACACACACACACAACATGAAAACTAATTTGTTAGAAACTTTAGTAAAATATGCAAACCATTGTAAAAATGGATCAAGAAAAAGAAGCCACAAAAAGTAAGCATAAAAAAGGAATATAATGGGCCAGGCGTGGTGGCTCACGCCTGTAATTCCAGCGCTTTGGGAGGCTGAGGCAGGTGGATCACCAGAGGTCAGGAGTTCAAGACCAGCCTGGCCAACATGGCAAAACCCCATCTCTACTAAAAGTACAAAAATTAGCCAGGTGTGGTGGTGAGCGCCTGTTATCCTAGCTACTCAGGAGGCTGAGGCAGGAGAATCGCTTGAGCCTGGGAGGCGGAGGTTGCAGTGAGCTGAGATCGCACCACTGCACTCCAGCCTGGGCGACAAGAGCAAGACTCCGTCCCAAACAAACAGACAAACAAACAAACAAAAAGAACATAATGGAGAGTAGAAGGATGATTACCAGAGGCTAGGAAGGATAGTTACCAGAGGCTAGGAAGGACAGTTGGGGGATGGGTACAAAAAGTAGTTAGAATGCACAAGACCTTGGTTTTGATAGCACAACAGGGTGATAAAAATGATAACTTAATTGTACATTTTAAAATAGCTAAAAGAATATAATTGGATTAGTTTGTAACAAAAAGGATAAATGCTTAAGGATATGGATACCACAGTGTTCTATGATGTGATTATTATGCATTGCATGCCTGTATCAAAACAGCTCATGGACCCCATAAATATATACGCCTACTAATGACCCACAAAATTAGAAAGTAAAATTTAAAAAGGAACATAATTGTAGTTAAAGATTTAAAATGACAAAAAAAAAAAAAAAAAAAAACCCAAACTGAGCTTATGTCTTTTAAAAGTGTTGAATTTGGCTATTTTTAAAAAGTCTGTGTCTTGCAGCATGAAGTTGCAGTTTTAAGAAATACAATGAGCCTGGGCAACACAGGGAGACCCCCATCTCTACACAAAATTAAAAATTAGCCAGACATGGTGGCACATACCTGTGGTCTCAACTACTCGGGAGGGTGAGGTAGGAGGATCACTTGAGCCCAGGAGGTTGAGGCTATAGTGAGCTGTGATTGTGCCACTGTACTGCATCCTAGGTGACAGATTAAGACCTTGTCTATAAAACAATAGAAGAAAAGAAAAGAAATACAATGAATTTATTAGGTTGGTGCAAAAGTAATCGCAGTTTTTGCCATTAAAAGTAGTTGCACAAACCACAATTATGTTTGCACCAACGTAATAAAATATAGATTTTTCAGGAAATGATCTGAAGTTTTCTAACAGTTTTTATTTTATCTACTGATATTTCTAACTTCATGCTTATCAAGTGAAAGGAAAGCACAAAGATTTGTTCTCTAGCAGTTTTGCTGTTGGATGGCTGGTGGTAGGTAAATGGAATTTCCTCTGACTTCATCTGCTTCAGAATACTGATGGGGTCTCATCAATTCGGGTGGGAGTTTTCATTTGTTCATATAGGATTTCATACTAAATGCCATGTCAAGTAATCTGGAAATCCTGACAGGGTGAATCAAATGTACTGAGGAATGAGTCCAACCATTTTGGGCACTATGCCATTACTGCTGGCACTCATTTATTCCTGGCCACTGCAATTAATTCCTGGAACACAGTTTCTAAGGGCTCCAGTGGGTGGTAATGCCTTTCAACCAGAATTCACTGGGCTCCTTTCCAGTCTTTTGGGCACTACTGCCTCTCTGCTGGTACACTGCTATCTTCTGATGGGTGTTTTCCATGTTTCCCTGATTATTTTCACTGCCTTAAAGGATCTTCATAATGCTAAAACTACCCTATGATTGACAGCAAGGTGCAATGTGAATGATATACCACCTGAAGGCTCCTAAGATAGCTGTTTTTACTCCTAATGTTGCATAGTGTTGTTAGTTGAGAAATTACTTCAAGTTTTATTTATAGTCTCTTTGCTTTTCATAGAACTCAACCACAATCTTTGAAGTCTGGGCTAGGAAACAAAACTGGATAACAGAAATCATGCTTTGTTCCTCTCTACATTGAGGAACAATGTGTATTACTTCTACATTGATGCGTTCTTACCAGATCAAAGTCATCATGTCTTGGTGGTTCATTTTCATCTCCAGATGGTTTCTCTCTCAGGATGCGCATTTGTTCTTATAAAAACACATTTTTGTTGAACTGATCACATCAGTTCCCTAGATATAATTAAGTATATTTGAATCCCCCTTAGATTTCTTCTTCCTTTTTTTCTTCCTTACATACTTCCTATCTTCCTCTTTTTATCATCTCTCTATCATCAAATGTACTTCATACATGTATAAGAAATCATCACATACTAAAATAAAAGAGGAACTCAACACTGAAGATAATTGAGAAGAAAATAAAAACTTTAATTTTCAAGAATTTTTAAAAATATACAATTTTAAGGCAGCATATAAAAAAGATAATTAGGTAGAATGCAAATAAGGAAAACATAAATTCATTCAGCTGACATTTAATTCCTCCAGCCTTTTCTGAGGAATCTACTTTAGGTCATGTGCTCAATGAAAAATAAAAATTCAATTTGAATGGAAGTAAATCCAACATAAATCAGTCAAAAAGAGGCCATTTGGCAGGTAGGAAGAAAGCACATTTCCAAATTTGAAAGGTCAGAGATGTGGTTGAAAGATTGAAAGGCCTAGTTTGCAATTGTCACCCACCACCTTCCCAGACCTAACTCAAATTCACACTGTCACCCAGTCAGAAGAGAGAAATGCAAGTGGCAACAAAGTACACCTGAGTTTCCTGCCCTGTCTCCTGGGAGAGAAGATAACCCACCTTAAGGTTATACCAGTGTTCTTACGAAATGGGAGATTCCTCTAAGCATGCAGGAATGATCCTCAGAGTGCCATCAGAAATGTTCCCATAACCTTAGTTTTTGTTTGTATTTTTCCTGGAAAGGTCCTGAGTACTATTTTCATTTAAAAATGGAAGTAGAGGCAAAATGAGAAATTACTAATATCATTATAACATCAGTGACTTCCTCACTGTCTCATGTTTCTTCTTTATTCACCAATTCTAGTTTTCAATCTAATTTATTGGACATCATGTTTAATATTTACTATTTAAATCATACTGTTTTATTCTTTTTGAGGAATTATAGGTGAATATGTCATAATTTCTACCTCAGGGATCTCAGATATGTATTATATATGTTATTTCATGTATTTTTACATATTTTGTATTTACATACATTGTATATTTACATATTTCTTATGTAAATATATGTTATTTCAGATATTTCATTGGAAGAAAATTTGTATTTATTTCTTCAGCAAATATTAATTAGAAGTAGTGATATAAGGGAGAAAAACTAATCACAAAGAGGATGATTCATGTGAAATATTATTAATTCTTATAGGGATGATGGACATTCATGTCAAAAGTAGAATTAGGCCCAGTCTTTGAAAGCAGTGAACATTTTCAGTAAGTGGGTTTTGGGGGATAGAAAAGAGCAAGGACAGTCTGAAAGCAAATAGCTTTAGAAAAACACAGATATGGGAAGCATTAGGATACTGTATATATAGCTTGGGAAAGTAGAACCTTCAGGTTTGGGAGGGTTGGCTGAGGGATAAGACAGAGGAGGCAAATTGGGAATAGCTTGTGGAAGACAAATTGCATCCTGAGGAGTTGGAACTTTAGCTGTATGGTAGAGAAACTGAGTGTTTTATGTCAAAGCTATAGAAATAACTTTCTTCTAGAAGGAACAAATGTGTGCTTTGATGAATGAAAGGCTAGGAACTAGTAATATTGTTCAGTTACTAGCCCCTTCTAATAATTGAGGCAATCATTGGCTGCCCAATCTAATTTTTACTATTATTCCTTAATTGACTAAGGCCTAAGTCTGAGAACAGAAGATCCACCTTTTCCAAAAGAAGCATCAATCAGCCTATAGTTGGGAAAAGCCACCTCCTAGCTGTCCTTAGTGAATACTGGACAGGCTCCCATCAATATTCCACCACCTTCCTGCCAGACACAATGAGAAGAGTGAGAGCTATGTACATAGAAGTCATCAGGCTTGTGAATTGAATAGTAATTTACTGGTTTTCCATTTCCTTAAAGGGTATAGGTGCTTGTTATACAATGAAGCCACATAAGGAAAATGCCCAAGAAAATAAAGTGAGTGGTATCTGAACAAAGACATTGGCATCTCATTCTGTAGTTGGAAGCATTATAAAAAAATAAGATGAACAATTTGAATAACAAATACAAAAACTTAATTAAATAAACAAAATTACTAGAAAAAATAACACACCAAAAAATGACTCAAGTAAAATGAGAATATCCAATAACTCTAATTAGTGTAGAAGTTAAATCAGTATTTAAAAATTTTCTTTTTTTTTTTATTATACTTTAAGTTTTAGGGTACATGTGCACATTGTGCAGGTTAGTTACATATGTATACATGTGCCATGCTGGTGCACTGCACCCACTAACTCGTCATCTAGCATTAGGTATATCTCCCAATGCTATCCCTCCCCCCTCCCCCCACCCCACCACAGTCCCCAGAGTGTGATATTCCCCTTCCTGTGTCCATGTGATCTCATTGTTCAATTCCCACCTATGAGTGAGAATATGCGGTGTTTGGTTTTTTGTTCTTGCGATAGCTTACTGAGAATGATGATTTCCAATTTCATCCATGTCCCTACAAAGGACATGAACTCATCCTTTTTTATGGCTGCATAGTATTCCATGGTGTATATGTGCCACATTTTCTTAATCCAGTCTATCATTGTTGGACATTTGGGTTGGTTCCAAGTCTTTGCTATTGTGAATAATGCTGCAATAAACATACGTGTGCATGTGTCTTTATAGCAGCATGATTTATACTCATTTGGGTATATACCCAGTAATGGGATGGCTGGGTCAAATGGTATTTCTAGTTCTAGATCCCTGAGGAATCGCCACACTGACTTCCACAATGGTTGAACTAGTTTACAGTCCCACCAACAGTGTAAAAGTGTTCCTATTTCTCCACATCCTCTCCAGCACCTGTTGTTTCCTGACTTTTTAATGATCGCCATTCTAACTGGTGTGAGATGGTATCTCATTGTGGTTTTGATTTGCATTTCTCTGATGGCCAGTGATGATGAGCATTTTTTCATGTGTTTTCTGGCTGCATGAATGTCTTCTTTTGAGAAGTGTCTGTTCATGTCCTTTGCCCACTTTTTGATGGGGTTGTTTGTTTTTTTCTTGTAAATTTGTTTGAGTTCATTGTAGATTCTGGATATTAGCCCTTTGTCAGATGAGTAGGTTGCAAAAATTTTCTCCCATTTTGTAGGTTGCCTGTTCACTCTGATGGTAGTTTCTTTTGCTGTGCAGAAGCTCTTTAGTTTAATTAGATCCCATTTGTCAATTTTGTCTTTCGTTGCCATTGCTTTTGGTGTTTTGGACATGAAGTCCTTGCCCATGCCTATGTCCTGAATGGTAATGCCTAGGTTTTCTTCTAGGGTTTTTATGGTTTTAGGTCTAACGTTTAAATCTTTAATCCATCTTGAATTGATTTTTGTATAAGGTGTAAGGAAGGGATCCAGTTTCAGCTTTCTACATATGGCTAGCCAGTTTTCCCAGCACCATTTATGAAATAGGGAATCCTTTCCCCATTGCTTGTTTTTGTCAGGTTTGTCAAAGATCAGATAGTTGTAGATATGTGGCGTTATCTCTGAGGGCTCTGTTCTGTTCCATTGATCTATATCTCTGTTTTGGTACCAGTACCATGCTGTTTTGGTTACTGTAGCCTTGTAGTATAGTTTGAAGTCAGGTAGTGTGATGCCTCCAGCTTTGTTCTTCTGGCTTAGGATTGACTTGGCGATGCGGGCTCTTTTTTGGTTCCATATGAACTTTAAAGTAGTTTTTTCCAGTTCTGTGAAGAAAATCATTGGTAGCTTTATGGGGATGGCATTGAATCTGTAAATTACCTTGGGCAGTATGGGCATTTTCACAATATTGATTCTTCGTACCCATGAGCATGGAATGTTCTTCCATTTATTTGTATCCTGTTTGATTTCCTTGAGCAGTGGTTTGTAGTTCTCCTTGAAGAGGTCCTTCACATCCCTTGTAAGTTGGATTCCTAGGTATTTTATTCTCTTTGTAGCAATTGTGAATGGGAGTTCACTCATGATTTAGCTCTCTGTTTGTCTGTTATTGGTATATAAGAATGCTTGTGATTTTTGCACATTGATTTTGTATCCTGAGACTTTGCTGAAGTTGCTTATCAGCTTAAGGAGATTTTGGGCTGAGACAATGGGGTTTTCTAGATATACAATCATGTCGTCTGCAAACAGGGACAATTTGACTTCCTCTTTTCCTAATTGAATACCCTTTATTTCCTTCTCCTGCCTAATTGCCCTGGCCAGAACTTCCAACACTATGTTGAATAGGAGTGGTGAGAGGGCATCCCTGTCTTGTGCCAGTTTTCAAAGGGGATGTTTCCAGTTTTTGCCCATTCAGTATGATATTGGCTGTGGGTTTGTCATAGATAGCTGTTATTATTTTGAAATATGTCCCATCAATACCTAATTTATTGAGAGTTTTTAGCATGAAGGGCTGTTGAACTTTGTCAAAGGCTTTTTCTGCATCTATTGAGATAATCATGTGGTTTTTGTCTTTGGCTCTGTTTATAGGCTGTATTACATTTATTGATTTGCGTATATTGAACCAGCCTTGCATCCCAGGGATGAAGCCCACTTGATCATGGTGGATAAGCTTTTTGATGTGCTGCTGGATTCGTTTTGCCAGTATTTTATTGAGGATTTTTGCATCAATGTTCATCAAGGATATTGGTCTAAAATTCTCTTTTTTGGTTGTGTCTCTGCCCAGCTTTGGTATCAGAATGATGCTGGCCTCATAAAATGAGTTAGGGAGGATTCCCTCTTTTTCTATTGATTGGAATAGTTTCAGAAGGAATGGTACCAGTTCCTCCTTGTACCTCTGGTAGAATTCGGCTGTGGAATCCATCTGGTCCTGGACTCTTTTTGGTTGGTAAACTATTGATTATTGCCACAATTTCAGCTCCTATTATTGGTCTATTCAGAGATTCAACTTCTCCTGGTTTAGTCTTGGGAGAGTGTATGTGTCGAGGAATGTATCCATTTCTTCTAGATTTTCTAGTTTATTTGCATAGAGGTGTTTATAGTATTCTCTGATGGTAGTTTGTATTTCTGTGGGATCGGTGGTGATATCCCCTTTATCATTTTTTATTGTGTCTATTTGATTCTTCTCTCTTTTTTTCTTTATTAGTCTTGCTAGCAGTCTATCAATTTTGTTGATCCTTTCAAAAAACCAGCTCCTGGATTCATTGATTTTTTGAAGGGTTTTTTGTGTCTCTATTTCCTTCAGTTCTGCTCTGATTTTAGTTATTTCTTGCCTTCTGCTAGCTTTTGAATGTGTTTGCTCTTGCTTTTCTAGTTCTTTTAATTGTGATGTTAGGGTGTCAGTTTTGGATCTTTCCTGCTTTCTCTTGTGGGCATTTAGTGCTATAAATTTCCCTCTACACACTGCTTTGAATGTGTCCCAGAGATTCTGGTATGTTGTGTCTTTGTTCTCGTAAGTTTCAAAGAACATCTTTATTTCTGCCTTCATTTTTTTATGTATCCAGTAGTCATTCAGGAGCAGGTTGTTCAGTTTCCATGTAGTTGAGCGGTTTTGAGTGAGATTCTTAATCCTGAGTTCTAGTTTGATTGCACTGTGGTCTGAGAGACAGTTTGTTAGAATTTCTGTTCTTTTACATTTGCTGAGGAGAGCTTTACTTCCAAGTATGTGGTCAATTTTGGAATAGGTGTGGTGTGGCGCTGAAAAAAAATGTATATTCTGTTGATTTGGGGTGGAGAGTTCTGTAGATGTCTATTAGGTCCGCTTGGTGCAGAGCTGAGTTCAATTCCTGGGTATCCTTGTTGACTTTCTGTCTCGTTGATCTGTGTAATGTTGACAGTGGGGTGTTAAAGTCTCCCATTATTAATGTGTGGGCATCTAAGTCTCTTTGTAGGTCACTCAGGACTTGCTTTATGAATCTGGGTGCTCCTGTATTGGGTGCATATATATTTAGGATAGTTAGCTCCTCTTGTTGAATTGATCCCTTTACCATTATGTAATGGCCTTCTTTGTCTCTTTTGATCTTTGTTGGTTTAAAGTCTGTTTTATCAGAGACTAGGATTGCAACCCCTGCCTTTTTTTGTTTTCCATTTGCTTGGCAGATCTTCCTCCATCCTTTTATTTTGAGCCTATGTGTGTCTCTGTACGTGAGATGGATTTCCTGAATACAGCACACTGATGGGTCTTGACTCTTTATCCAATTTGCCAGTCTGTGTCTTTTAATTGGAGCATTTAGTCCATTTACATTTAAAGTTAATATTGTTATGTTTGAATTTGATCCTGTCATTATGATGTTAGCTGGTGATTTTGCTCATTAGTTGATGCAGTTTCTTCCTAGTCTCGATGGTCTTTACATTTTGGCACGATTTTGCAGCGGCTGGTACCGGTTGTTCCTTTCCATGTTTCGCGCTTCCTTCAGGAGCTCTTTTAGGGCAGGCCTGGTGGTGACAAAATCGGTCAGCATTTGCTTGTCTGTAAAGTATTTTATTTCTCCTTTGCTTATGAAGCTTAGTTTGGCTGGATATGAAATTCTGGGTTGAAAATTCTTTTTTTTAAGAATGTTGAATATTGGCCCCCACTCTCTTCTGGCTTGTAGGGTTTCTGCCGAGAGATCCGCTGTTAATCTGATGGGCTTCCCTTTGAGGGTAACCCAACCTTTCTCTCTGGCTGCCCTTAACATTTTTTCCTTCATTTCAACTTTGGTGAATCTGACAATTATGTGTCTTGGAGTTGCTCTTCTCGAGGAGTATCTTTGTGGCATTCTCTGTATTTCCTGAATCTGAACGTTGGCCTGCCTTGCTAGATTGGGGAAGTTCTCCTGCATAATATCCTGCAGAGTGTTTTCCAACTTGGTTCCATTCTCCCCATCACTTTCAGGTACACCAATCAGACGTAGATTTGGTCTTTTCACATAGTCCCATATTTCTTGGAGGCTTTGCCCATTTCTTTTTATTCTTTTTTCTCTAAACTTCCCTTCTCGCTTCATTGCATTCATTTCATCTTCCATCGCTGATACCCTTTCTTCCAGTTGATCGCATTGGCTCCTGAGGCTTCTGCATTCTTCACGTAGTTCTCGAGCCTTGGTTTTCAGCTCCATCAGCTCCTTTAAGCACTTCTCTGTATTGGTTATTCTAGTTATACATTCTTCTAAATTTTTTTCAAAGTTTTCAACTTCTTTGCCTTTGGTTTGAATGTCCTCCCATAGCTCAGAGTAATTTGATCGTCTGAAGCCTTCTTCTCTCAGCTTGTCAAAGTCATTCTCCATCCAGCTTTGTTCCGTTGCTGGTGAGGAACTGCGTTCCTTTGGAGGAGGAGAGGCGCTCTGCGTTTTAGAGTTTCCAGTTTTTCTGTTCTGTTTTTTCCCCATCTTTGTGGTTTTATCTACTTTTGGTCTTTGATGATGGTGATGTACAGATGGGTTTTTGGTGTGGATGTCCTTTCTGTTTGTTAGTTGTCCTTCTAACAGACAGGACCCTCAGCTGCAGATCTGTTGGAATACCCTGCCGTGTGAGGTGTCAGTGTGCCCCTGCTGGGGGGTGCCTCCCAGTTAGGCTGCTCGGGGGTCAGGGGTCAGGGACCCACTTGAGGAGGCAGTCTGCGGGTTCTCAGATCTCCAGCTGCGTGCTGGGAGAACCACTGCTCTCTTCAAAGCTGTCAGACAGGGATATTTAAGTCTGCAGAGGTTACTGCTGTCTTTTTGTTTGTCTGTGCCCTGCCCCCAGAGGTGGAGCCTACAGAGGCAGGCAGGCCTCCTTGAGCTGTGGTGGGCTCCACCCAGTTCGAGCTTCCAGGCTGCTTTGTTTACCTCAGCAAGCCTGGGCAATGGCGGGCGCCCCTCCCCCAGCCTCGCTGCCGCCTTGCAGTTTGATCTCAGACTGCTGTGCTAGCAATCAGCGAGATTCCATGGGCGTAGGACCCTCTGAGCCAGGTGTGGGATATAATCTCGTGGTGCGCCGTTTTTTAAGCCGGTCTGAAAAGCGCAATATTTGGGTGGGAGTGACCCGATTTTGCAGGTGCGTCCGTCACCCCTTTCTTTGACTCGGAAAGGGAACTCCCTGACCCCTTGCACTTCCCAAGTGAGGCAATGCCTCGCCCTGCTTCGGCTCGCACACGGTGGGCGCACCCACTGGCCTGCGCCCACTGTCTGGCACTCCCTAGTGAGATGAACCCGGTACCTCAGATGGAAATGCAGAAATCACCCGTCTTCTGCCTCGCTCACGCTGGGAGCTGTAGACTGGAGCTGTTCCTATTCGGCCATCTTGGCTCCTCCAAAAATTTTCCTACCAAGAGAACACCACACCTGACTGATTTTTAGGTGAGTTCTACCAAACACTTAGGGATATGATCAAATACATAAAAATTATTTTAGAAAATATAAAATGACAAAACATTTTCTACCTCATTTTATATAAGCATATCTGTATGTAAATTATAAATGTTATATACAACATATATTCAAATATATCACACACACATACACACACACACACACACACACACACATATATATATATACACACACACACATAGTAGTACCTCATTATTCATAGGGTTTGGTTCCGGGACCTCCTGCGGGCACCAAAATCCACAGGTGCTTAAGTCCATGATATAAAATGGTATAATATTTGCATATTACATATGCACATCCTTTTGTATACTTTAAATCTATCTCTAGATTACTTATAATCCTGAATACAGTATAAATGCTATGCAAACAATTGTTATACTGTATTATTCAGGGAATAATGAGGAGAAAAATAGCCTGTATATGTTCAGTAGAGATGTAAGTCTTATTTTTTCAAATATTTTAAATTTTCAGTTGGTTGAATCCACTCATGTGTAACCAACAGCCAGGAGGGCCGACTAAACACAGTATAAACTTTAGTACCAAAACCAGGCAAGGTTTTGGTACTAAATTATAACTTCATTCTATAGCAAGCACCTATACCCAGAAAAATACAGAGTTACCTCATTCATGAATACAGATGTTCAAATCCCATCATTAGTACACATCCAAATGTATGAATCTCATAAGCATAAGTAAAAAATTAACTCAGAAATTTTACACAGCATGATGTAATTTTTGAAGGTTCGAGCACAAAAGTGAACAACATTTTACTTGGAAGTGCATGCATTCATTCAATAAAACATTTAGAATTGTGGACATCTCTGTGAAGAAGGGAGGGAAATGCAATCTTTGAGGGCACGTGGCAGAGATTCAGCATTCTGAGCAACGTTCTCTGTCTTGAGCTGAATGGTGACTATTTGAAATTATTTTTGCAGCATCAAATAATTTTAGGGCTGAAAGGACCTTTGCAATAAACAAGCCTGGGTTTTTGTTTTATTCATGAACAAACTAGGCTCAGAATGCGTAAATTCTTTACATACGGTCACACAAAATCATCCGAGTCTCTTGCTAATGTTTTTTCTATTACAAAACACTGATAGAAACTGAATGAGTCTTCTGTTTGGATTTTTCTTCTGTCCATTTAAGCTGTCATTAGGTATGATCCTTATGATAAACATTAAATAACAATACCCGTTACTTCGCATTCATATTTTAATATTTGTTTTAATCATTTATTTTTAATATGGTATCAGAAATTATTTTTCAATGAACTCTGAATAGCTATTATTTATTAAGTGTTCCCTATGTGTTTATCACTGTGATAAGTTCTTTATTAACTAATTTGATGTGTGGTTTTACTAAATTTACAGTCAAAGTTTATTCTTGGGGAGAACATTTCCCTAATTGTATTATGATTTGCAATAATATAGGGATTTAATTTGCAGAGAAACTTAGGGGGGTTCAGGAAAGTTTCCTAGAGGAATATGATGGGAAGTCAGCTGGGTGAGAAATGCAATTGAAGTTGGCAGAGGAACAGGTGAGGCAGCGGGGTGGGGGTGGGAGTAGGATGGTGGTTATAAGGGAAATTTGTACCCTGCAAGTAGGAAGACGATAGATTACTGGAATCCTAGGTGTAATACTGAAACAACAGGTAAATCTATGCACCCTGAACACACAATGCAGGCTAAGCTGGGGGAAATAGTTTCAATCTTTGAGGTTCTTGGTATGGGATGTTCTACTTAGTTCCCCATCCCCAAGCTCAATGTCAGTCCACAGAATAAATTTCTGAGATAGAAATTAAAATGAGTTAAAATTCTTATCTGTGTCTGTGAGTTTTATATACACAGAGGAGTGATTAGCATAAAATATGAAATTGAAGCCATAGAAAACAATGAACATGTAACATCAGAGGTAGCTAATTCCAGTGACAGAAGCCTGAGGGACACCAGCATGTAAAAGAACAGAGGAAGCACAACCTGCAACTGAAGCAGAAAGAACAACCACAGAGTTAAGGAAAAAAAAAACTGAAGAATATGGATTTATAAACGCCAAAGGGAGATGAAAGACTTCAAGACGATTGGGTAAAGTTAGCAGGGTCAAATATTGCTGAGAGTTTAGTGAAGTTAAATGTTGAGAAGTACATGCTAAACTTTGTGACAATGAGGTCACGCCACTGATTTCTTTGTTGTTGGGAATAAATGAATAATAAAATGTAAAAAAAAAAGGACTGATAAGTGAGGTAGAGGAGATAACTAGGGTGCACAGTAGTTTCAAGATATTTGGTTCTGAACAGGTAACAAAGATAGGATGGTAATTAGAAACAGATGTCGCAGGAAGGGTTTCCCTTAGAATGAGTGAGAGTAGATCATGTTAAATACCCACGGAAGTGAAGCAGATACAGGGAAAGGATGGGAGTAATTAATGGAAAGCACAGAGAAAGCACAGAGACTGTGGGAAGAGACAGAACCAGAGAAGAAGTGGGCAGAGTAATGATAGGAAGAGGACTGTTTCTAACTTTGGTGGCAGAAAGGGAGGATAAGAAAATCCTTTTTTTGATAGATTTTATCTTCTCTATGAGGAAGAAAGCAATGTTGTCTGCTGTGAATTGGAAGGCAAAAGGTGGGAGGCCTGAGGAACAGTGGCTCTAACCAGTGGGTCTTACTTTGTCTGCATTTTGGAATCACCTAGAGCACTGTCAAACATATCAGGTTGTACTTCAGACAAAATAATCATAATCTCTGAGGGTGGGACTCAGACATAAGTACTTTTAGTAATTCCCAGGTCATAATTATGTGCCACAAAGCCTGCAAACATCACCTTAAACCCTGGCTGCTCATTGGAATCATCTGGGAGACCTTTTAAAGTTAGTGATGCCTGGATCCTATCATGAGAGGATCTGATTTTATTGTTTTTGTATGAGGCCTCAGTTATTAGGATTATTAAAAAGCATCCTGGGATTCTAACACGTAAACCACATGTTTACATGTGGTTGAGAACCCCTGATTATAAATGGTAGTCAGTCAGTGATGAAGACTCAACAGAGGTTGAAATGTCAGGTGTGTAATAACAGATGCTTGCACAAATGTGTGATGCACCCATGGCACTCAGCAGTCCTGGTATAGAACTGGAAAAGATGAATAGTTGGATTCATATGAGCCCAGGGTTTTGTTAGCTGCTGCTGTCTGTCTTGGAAGGAAAATGTGTAAAACATACTTGCAGATATTGATAAATAGAGGGGTGTTAATGATGAATTATAAAGTTCAAGCTGAATAGAAAATAGAGGTAAAGAGATGAGGGGGTCAGTAAGGAAGAAGTAAAGAGACAGTTAGGCAGAAGATTCCTATGAGGTTGATGAACAAATATAGAGCAAGCAACTGCATGAAAAAACTGGCAATAATTGTGGTTGAAAGTCTAAAACTGATTTAATTTAAAAATTTTTCTTTGTTGTTATTGGCATCCTTGACAGAGGCTAATACTAATGCCAGTAGTCAAACACAAATGAGTGAACAGGTGAGTATTAGAAATGATCTTTATACAAAGTAATGCACTGTTTTGGAATAATATAGTATTGCCACAGAGCCTCGCATTTCCCGGTATAGATTGGAAGTGTTGACTCATATTTGGTCTTGGCAGTTAGAAATGGAGGTCAAGAAAGATGTCTGATTATGGTGCTGCTTCAAGATGTTGGTCTTCTTAATATAAACTCTCACAGAAACATCCAGGGATTTAGATCTCTCTGGGAGAGATCTCTGTGTGAACTTATAAAAGACATTTAGCTGAACCATACATCTTCACTGTCTACGCTGAAATCAACCTTTCTTTTTGGGGGTTCTTTACCTTGATAAGCTGCCTCCACCATGCCTGGCTCTTGGGGATACATTACTTTCTTGTTTACATTTCAGCTCACATGATGGCACTATTTTCTTCAAAGTTTAACAAAACAGACAAAACTTTTAACTAATAAATGCAAGAAAAAATTTCACAAATTACAAAAGTAAAAAATATAGATGTTTCTGAAGTCCAATTTTCCGATTACACAATAAATTAATTCTAAAACTTCAAAGATATTTATTGGGCTTGATTACCTTCCTACTCCTTCCAGGACTTACATGGTATATTTAACTTTATTTTCCACTATATGGAGAAGTTTCTAGGGAATGTGTATTCTATTGAAGCAAGTCTTAAAGCATTTGATGTACCACTGTTCTCTTGTTTCTACATCTTGTAGAGTCAATGGAAGGACTATAGTGAGAGGTTTTTAATTTCGGGGTAGATCCAGAAACCAGGAAGTGTTTTTATCCCTTATACATCAACTGAATATATTTGTTATATAATGATTTTAACTTAAATATATTAAAAATAACAGCTATTATTTATTATGTATGACTGTATCACATACAGCTCTAGTTACTTAACATGCATCATGTAATCCTTCTATCAACCCTTTATTTTAAAGATGAGGACACTGAAGTGAATAAGTTACCCATGATCCTACAGAGTACATTGTTGAATTTTATTTTTGACTTGAAAACTGAAGTATCTTTTGGATAAGAAGGCTAAGTAATCCAGCTGATGGCTTTCTCTTTAAGCCTACCATACGAGATACTACAATAATAAGAGAAGATTGGAATTCTTAATACCAACAGAAAAACCATCAAGAAATCCTGAAGAGATGGAATGTGGTTTCATACAACTGAGGGATTTAAAAGTAGTCTAGAATGGAAGAAGGTCAGGCATCACAGATTAAGACAGATTGGATGAGTGCTTTCTAGATAGGTGCTTTATTCTTTCCCCCATATTTCTCTGAGGAATTTCCCCTTCCCATCATCACTGCAAAGCAGAGAAAACATCATCAGTGCAGTGTCAGCCCAATGAGATGAATTGTATTAGGCTAGCATTGGAGTTCAGCTGAAGTTGGAAGAAAAACAAAATTGCAGGTGGATACCATTATTCCCTGGTTATCCTTTTCTCCCAAGGAGCCCCACCACACTCAGTAGATTAGTGGACTGCAAAATACATGTTGAAAAGTAGCACTCAGTAGATTAGTGGACTGCAAAATACATGTTGAAAAGTAGCACTTGGGGAAGAGGTACAAAGATGTATATGGAGAGGCAGGGTCACCTGGATGTGATGGTGCAGAAATGGGAACATTAGAATCCAGATTAGAACACTAGAGGTTCTCTACCCTGAGGTACATTTCTTTTGATGTAAATTTATCCACTCTTAAACTCACTAACAGGAGCAAAACCTATGGCTTGGGCCTTCAAAGAATCCCTAAAATAATTTAAAAAAATAGTCAAAGTTGCTGGCACTTCCAAAGAAATTTTAATTCATGAGAGAGAAATGTTAAGATATTTTAAGAATGCAATAATATAACCAAATAAAACAATCAGTGGGCCAGAGAGTATATGAATTTCAACTAAGCTCAATATATATTCTTAAATGTATAAAAGAGATTACTACAAATACTAAGCAAGAACAAGTAGTTAGAGAAGGAATTAAGTGTAGATGCTATAATTTAAAAATATAATTGTTGAAATAAAGAACTCAGTAAAATGAGGTTAATGATGGAATAAGTGGGTATAACTGAGAAAGGAATTGTAAACTGGAAGTCAAGCGGCTATTAGAGAAGAAAATAGGAAAAGTGGAAAGAAAAGTATAAAATAGTTAAGAGATAATTAAAATGTAGAAGTTAAAATAAGGGTAAAGGGAAGAAATACCAAAACATGTAGAAATACAAGAAGGAGGAATAAGAAATAATGGAAAAAAGTTTGAAGAAATATAACTGAGGATTGGAAGAAGTTACAGATAACCTATAATTAGCTTAATAAATTGAAAGAAAAATAAATGTAAAATAAACATAAAAATGTGTTAAACAATTTAGGAATAACCAGTAGAAGAATAAAACTTGATCATATAATTTTATAATCAATAAAAAATGTCTTTCCAATATAAGAAGAAAAATAAATAAGGTATGACAAATAGAAATTATTAAATAATATGGTATAATTTTAATGTAACAGTAATTGCAATAAATTTTAAATGTATTTTATTTATAAATCAAAAGACAAATACTCTGAGATGAAAATTTTTAAAAATTACAATACAAGTAAATACTATTGAGATAGAAAATTATGAAGACATTGTGAAAAAAAACAGAGAAAATCAACCAAAGCAATAATGGAGTAACAGTTTTAATATTAGGCCAAAGGTAATTCAAGTCAAACATAACAGAAAAAATGTTACATTCTGATAAAAAAATAAATCTAGGAAAAGAGCAATATAAGTCCATAGGATTTATAAAAAATAATAAATATATGGATAAATTATAATAAAAGGAAAGAAAAATAAAAAAAGATGAAACTAAAGTTTGTTTTTTTGAAAAACATAAGAAGTACCTGCATGCACTGCCTAGAGGCCTGAGGGTTGGCCTGCCACTGCTACTGCCACTACTGATGTCCTGCATGCTACCCAGGGACTAGAGGACTCACTTGCCTGCTGGGCCCACCACTACCATTGCTGGCACCTAAGCAAGTTGCTGGGGGGCCCAGGGACCCATCCACCCAAACCCCCACCCCATTGGCATTTTTGTATATCACCCAAGATCCTGATAACAAGCATGCCTAGCTTGCTGCCACCATCACTTGTGCCTGAGGACTGGCCTGCCTGGTGTCCCATTCCTCAGCAAAGCTTCACCACAGTCTCCATTAACAACCACAGTCTAAGCCACTGAGGAACTCACAGATAGCACTGATGCTTATTATAACCAAAGAAATCATATGGAGACGACTGTGCCCACCAAGCATCAAAACAAAGGTACTCTACCCAACCAACACTACAGATATATCTATAGGGAAAGCCTTTTCCTACAAAAGCCAAATTGTAAAACTGGAAGAAGTATCTGTTACACAGATGCACAGATGTCAACGTAATGACACAAGAAACATGAAAAAGCAAGGAAACATGGCGCCTCCAAAGAAACACAATAATTATTCAGTAACACATCCCAAAGAAAATAAAACCTGTTAAAAGTGAGAAAAATATTCAAAGGAACAATATTAAAGAAACTCAGTGAGATACAAAGGAATACAGATTAAAAATAGAAATAAATCAGGAAAAAAGTTCAGGATCTGAATGAGAAATTTAACAAAGAAATAGATATAGTAAAATATAACTAAACAAATTCTAGAACTGAACAACTCAAATAAAAAAATAAAAATACAACATTGACCTTTAACAATAGGCTAGATCAAGCAGAAGAAATAATATTTGTACTTGAAGATAGGTCTGCTGAAATAACCCAGTCAGCTAATAAAAAAGCCTATATGACATATGGGATATTATAAAGCAAACAAATATTTGAATTTGTGGTGTCTCATAAGACAAACAGAAAATTAAAGGGATATGAAAGCTATTTAATGAAAAAATAGCTTAAAATTACCCAATTCTTGCAAAAGATATGGACATCCAAATACAGAAAGCTTAATCTCCCTAGTAGATTCAACCCAAAATGGTCTCCTCAAAGCGTATTATAGTCAAACTGTCAAAAGTCAAAGACAGAATCCTAAAAACAGCCAGAGAAAAGCATCAAGTCGTATATAAAGGCATCACCATCAGACTAACAGCTAATTTCTCAACAGAAACCTTATAGGAAGGAAGAGAATGGGGTGAGATAATTAAAGTGCTGAAAAGAAAAACGAACAAAATACAAATAACAATAACAAAATACAAACTGTATGGCAAGAATGCTATACACAACAAACACATTCTTCAAAAAATGAGACAGAAATCAAGTCTTTCCCAAACAAGCAAAAACTGAGGAAGTTTATTTCCAGTAGACCTGTGGTGGTCTAGTGGTGATATAGAATTTCCTACCAGAAATGCTTATGCGAGTCATATATCTGCAAGTGAAAGGATGATCTCCACAATCATGAAAACACATGAAAGTATAATACTCACTGGGAGAGCAGACAAGTGAGAAAGAGAAAAGAGTCAAACATTAACACTACTGAAAAATGACACCCCCCAATAATAAAAAATAAAAGAAGAAAAAGGGGATAAAGCATATGAAAATCAACCAGAAAAAAAAAAGTGTAGCAAGTTGACAGGAATAAGTCCTCACCTGTAATGATAACCCTAAATGGAAACAGTTTAAATTCACGACTTAAAAATATAAACTGGCTGCATAAATAAAAACAAATATGGCTCAATTATCTGCTGCCTATAAGAAACTCACTTCACCTATAGAGACACATATAGACTAAAAATAAAGGAATAAAAAAGATATTCCATGCAAACAGGATCCAAAAGTCAGCAGGAGTATCTAGCTATAGTTACATAAGATAAAACAGACTTAAAGTCAAAAACAGTAAAAATGCACGAAGAATGTCATTATATAATAATAAGTCAGTTTGAAAGAGGATGTAACAATTTTAAATATACACGTACCTGCCATGGAAGCACCCAGATATATAAAGCTAATAGTAGATCTAAAGGGAAAGATAGGCTCTCAGCATTATACAGATCATGTAGAAGGCACATCAATACAGAAATATTGGATTTAAACTGCATTTTAGGCCAAATGGACCTAACAGACATTTAAACAACATTTCATCCAACAGCTACAGAATACATGTTCTTCTCACCAGCATATGGACCATTCACAAGGATAGACCATATGCTGGGCCACAAAACAAGGCTCAACAAATTTAAAAATTTGAAATCTTATCAAGTATATTCTGAGACCACAATGGAACAAAACTAGAAATTGATAACAACAGGAACTTTAGACAGTGTACAAATACATGCAAATTAGACAACATGATTCTGAACAACTATTGGTTCAAAGAAGAAATAAAGAAGGAAACAAAAACATTTACTGAAATGAGTGAAAATGGAAACACACCATACCAACACTTATGAGACACGGCGAAAGCAGGGTTAAGAGAGAATGTAATACCAAAAAATGCCTACATCAAAAAAGTAAAAAGATTAAAAGTAAACAACCTAATTGATGCACCTCAAGGAACTAGAAATGCAAGAAGAAACCAAACCATCATTAATAAAAAAATAATAAAGATCAGAGCAGAACTAAATGAAATCATGACTTAAAAATTACAAAGAATCAATATAATGAAACAGATTTCTTTTTTAAAAAGATAAAATTAATCCAGTGGTAGCTAGTCTAAGAAGAAAAAAAAAGAAGACCCATATAAAATCAGAACCGAAAAAAAGATACACTAGAGGAGAAACCACAAAAAATGCAAAGTATAATTAGAGACTATTTGTGAACAACTAACTATACTCTAGCAAATTGGAAAACCTAGAGGAAATGGATACTTTCCCGGACACGTACAATCTACCAAGATTGAACCAGGAAGAAACAGAAAACGTGAACAGACCAATAACAAGTAGTAAGATTGAATCAGTAATCAAAAGTCTTCTAACCAAGAAAATTCCAGGACTGAACAGCTTTACTGCTGAATTCTAACCAATCTTATAAAAACAAAGTAACTAACACCAATTCTTCTCACACCATTCCAAAAAATTAAAAAGGAGGGAACTCTTCCTAATTCATTTTACGAGAACAGCATTACCCTAATACTAAAACCAGACAAGGACACAACAAAAAAAGAAAACTACAGGCCAATATTTCTGATGAAAATAGATGAAAAAATCCTTAAAAAATGCCAGCAAATCAAATCTAACAACACATCAAAAAGATAATACATTATGATAAAGTGGGATTTATCTCAGGATACAAGGATGTTTTCAACATGCACAAATCATTAAATGTGATACATCACATCAATGGAATGAAGGACAAAAACCATACAATCATCTCAATAAATGCAGGAAAAAGCAAATTATGCACAATAATGTTCATAAGTGACAAATCCACTGATAATATCATACTGAATGTGGAAAAGCGGAAAGTTTTTTCTCTAAGAATTGCAATATGACAAGGAGTAGGAGTCCTAGCTAGAACAATCAGGAAGAGAAATAAATAAAAGGCAACCAAATTAGCAAACAAAGTCAAATTATTCCTCTTTGCAGACAACATAATCTTACACACATACATATATATGTGTGTGTGTGTGTGTGTGTGTATAAACCTACACATTCCACCGAAAAACTCTTATACCTAGAACACAAACAAGAGAAAAAAAGAACAAATGAACAAACAACCCCTCCACCGGCAAGCTCACAAATAACCTCAAAATATAAGCAAATGATCTGAATAGGCATTTTTCAAAAGAAGACGAATGACTAACAGATATACGAAAAAATGCCTAACATCACTAATTATCACTGAAATGCAAATGAAAACTACAATGAGATATCATCTCACTCCAGTTAAAATGGTTATTATCAAAAAGACAAAAATAACAAATGTTAGTAAGATGCAGAAAAGGAGAACTCTTACACACTGTTGGTGGGAATGTAAATTACTGTAGCCATCATGGAAAACATTATGGAGGTTTCTCAAAAAACTAAAAATAACACCACCATATGATTCAGCAATCTCATTACTGGGTAGTGATACCTGAGCTCCCTTGTCTACTGCAGCACTATTCACAATAGCCAAGATATGGAATCAATGTAAGTATCCATCAACAGAGGGATAGATAAAACATATGTGGTGTGAATACAAAATTGAATGCTATTCAGCCACACAAAAGACAAAATGTTGTCATTTGCAGCAACAGAGAGGGAACTGAAGACCATTATGTTAAGTGAAATAACCCAGGCACAGAAAGGCAAATATATATTCTCACTCATGGGTGAGAGCTAAAAAAGTTGATCTCATGGAGGCAGAGAGTTAAATGATGGTTACGAGAGGGTAGGAAGCGTGGATGACGGGGAGGAAGAGAGGTTGTTCAATTAGTACAAACATACAGTTAGATGGAAGGGAAAAGCTCTAGTTTTCAATAGCACAGTTGGGTGGCTATAATTAGCAATAATTTATTGTATATTTAAAAGTAACTAGAAAAGAAGTCTTGAAATGTTCTTAACATGAAGAAATGATAAATATTTGAGGTGATGGGTATCCTAAATACCCTGATTTTACACATTGTATGCACGTACCAAAATATTACATTTATTCTAGAAATATGTGTGATTATTACATATTAATAAAATGTTAATTTAAAAACCTTTTTTTTTGAGGATCTAGACAAATTCATTCTAAAATGTCTAGGAAAGAATAAAGGTCCACTAATAGCTAAATTAATTTTGAGGAGCATTTTAAAGAGAAATTCTTACCCTAGCAGATATGAATACATATTTACAAAACCACGGTAATTGTTTAAAAAATCACAATAGGGTATTGTTGCATGAACAAACAACATTTCATTGGGAGAAGATATTTTAGCATCAGAAACTGACAGGGGATTAATTTATAGAACTCTCCATACCATGAGTGGGGTGCATGCTCCAGACTGGATCCCAAAGCCTAAAGCCTTGTCTAGGTGAGGATTGCAAAGTGTCAAAAGAGGTGAGCTGAGTCTAGAGCTTGCCTAGTCTGGTCAATCTTTGACTTGAGAACTGAGGTCTGAAATTTATCAAGAAAGAAAGAAGCATACATTTGAATGAAAACTAAAGTTAGTTAATAGACTAATAATTTGGACAGAATAGAAGTATTGTTATATAGTGAAATTGAAGCTCAGAGAGATAAAATTAATAAGAAAAACCAACTTCAAGAAAAACTGATTTTGGGAAAAATAGATACAAATAAAAAAGTACAAGGAAAATAACATAAAATTAAGAATTGTAGACCATGAACTTTAGTATAGGAAAGAACTTGGAATTTACAAAATACTAATATAACATAGTGGGCAGAAATATATAAATTAGACATTTTAACTAGAGATTTTATATTAGATTCAGAGAAATGGATGGGTCATACAAACCAAAAATATTCAATATTTAGAAGATTCAAAAACACAACTATTAAGCTAAAATGCAAATATAGAGAGAGAAAGAGGGAGAGAAGGAGGCTGTAATGAAGTGTCTGACTCCATTTTTGATGTTTGATTGCTGACAGCTTTTAATGCCCACATTTTTCCTTTCCTTTTCTGCTCCACATTTGGTCAGGCAGATGAGAAATCCAGGTGTCCCCTTCTTTAGTGCCAGCCAGTGGTAAGTTAAAGCCACATAAGTCTTGGGCAGTATGTATGGGAACTCTCAATTCAGCCTCAGCCCCTCAACATAATAAAAGTCACGCCGGTCTCCTTTCTCTGCTCTCTGAAGCCAGTTTTGGACCTGGTTAGGAGTCTGTCCTCCCCACAAAACCTCATTATGTGATACACATTTTATATCCGTTGGTGCATGTGTGGTGTCATTAGTTTGGCATCTGAACCAAATTTGCGATATGTGTATGGGGAGGAAGGTTCACACAGTGATGAAGAAAATTTTACAATCAACCAAAATAAAAAAATACAGTCTTTTCAAACAAACATATAATATATACAGAAATTTCCACAAACATGGCCTCAAAGATAGTCTCAGCTTATTTTTAAAAATCCACATTATTCAGATTATATTGACTTGCTATGATTCAATAAAATTAGAAATCAAGAGTAAATAAATAACTTAAAACTTTCTCTCTCTCTCTGGAACTTAATAAACCTACTACCAAATAACCTTTAGGTTGAACATTATTATAAAGGGAAAACACTTTGACCTAAATAACCTTGAAAATACAACCTATCCAATGTATTGAACTAAAGTAGGTATGTTTAGAGGAACTATAATAACATTAAGTATATTTATAATAAAGACTGAAAATAAATTTGGTTCAGATGTCAAACAGATAACATCGCACATGCAGCAATAGGGTAAAAAGGCTGATTTCATAATGAGGCTTTGTGGAAAGGAAATACCCCCGAACAGTTCCAAAACAGGCTTGAGAGAGCAGAGACCAACAAATAACTTAGGAAAGGAGCAGCATAATATGCTTATGGGATATATGGAAAAAATAATAAATATAAGAATAAATCATCATGAAAGAAAGAAAAAGAGAAGACTCATAATAGTAAAATTTGTTCTTTGAAAAAATTAATAAGAATGACCATCCTCTGGGAAAACTGATCTTGAAAAAAAGAGAAAAGATGCAAATAACAACAAAAAAGTAGAAACATCATAATTTTAACATGAAATAACAAAAAGAATATGAAAATCTATATCCAATTATGTTTGAATACCTAGATGACTTGAATAAATTTCTGGAGGAATTAAAGCCTGCCCTGCAGGCTTTTGCAGGTGCAAAAAGGAAGAAAATATGAATACCATTAAAACTACTAATGAACTGAAATTCAGCCAAGCCCCTCCTCCCATCAACAAAAGATTCTGCAGGTGAACTGTACCAAACTTTCAAGGAAAATATTATTCATTGTTTTTGAAGTTTTTATATAAAACAGAAAAAAGACAAATATTATTAACTCATGTTATGAGGTTAGTATAAATTTGATTAACAAGTTGGATAAATAAGAGAAAAAGAAAGTTCTAGAGGAATTTGATCAATCCTTTATATTGTTGCAAAAGTACAAATAAACCATTCATTAACTGGATTCAAATGTGTATTTTAAAAAATGATCAAGATGGGTCCATCTCAAAAAAGTAAGGAGAGATGAACATCAGAAAATCTAGTAGTACAATCTACTACATTAATTGACCAAAGGAGAAATAAGTTTTGATTATCAGAATAAATAAGGAAAAACTTTAATAAACATCAACTCAGATTTATTACAAAAACTCCTAAACATAGAAAACAAAGTTGCTGGACATAAGATCAGTTTACAGAAATGAAGTTCATTCATCAGTATTACGACTAACTAGAATATGAAACAGAAAGTAAGAGACCAATCACAGTAAAAATGAAACTATAGAATTGTAGGAGTTAATCTAATAAAGAATGTGCAACATCTTTATGCAGAAAAAAATCCTATTAAATGATGTTAAGGAATACCTAGGTAAATGGTCAAAATACTGAGCCATGTTTATGGATGGAATGATTAATAATATAAGTATGTCAATTTTACTAAAGTAGCATATAAATTCAATGCAATTGCAATCAAAATTACAAACATATCTTTAAACAAGACATTGAAAAACTGATTTTTTATGTGTTTGAAAAAATAGGATCTTAAAAATTCCGGATTTTTTTTTTAAATAAAGTAAAGCCTCCCCAGTTCTAATATATACTACCAAGTCAGTGTTCTGGTATAAAAGCCCAATGGAACCAAATCAAAGGTCAGAACAGATCTGGTGTATATTGGAATTTGGTTTATAACTGGAGCAATGCCTCAGATGAATAAAGATAAGACAGGCCTAAATGTGAAGAGTGAACTCGAAAGCCAAAAGAAAAAATAATCTGAGACATGACTATAGCTCTGAAGATAGCAAGGCCTTCAAAAACAAGGGCAGAACATTAATGAGTAAATTGAGAGATTTAACTACATCACAACTAAATATTTCTGCTCAAGAAAGGATAAATAGACAAAGTTAACTTGACGGTGAGAAATGGAAAAAGATATTTACAATGTTTAAAAAACCCACAAAAGATTAATATCTAAAATATGCAATGAATGTCAACAGAAAGAAGACAGGAAAACCAATTGAAAAGTGAAAAACTCGCAGATGGAAATTCGGGATGAATTATAAGAACAAGACATGATGCTGTGAAACAGAGTCTCTGAACCATTTAACTCAATCACTTCATGAGATCATCTCCCCCTATTTCCACAAAATGTAGAGTGTACTTAAAAATCAAATGCTTATGTAAAAATAAAATAAAATACAGGAGAAGTCTAAATTTTTGCTTGGAAGTAACTGCTCCTGAAAGATTAACCTTTTCAGCAAATATGCACTTAGCACCTACTATAGGCCTGGCAAATTTTGTGTGCTGGGGATAAAATTCCACTCTTGTGGCATTTACATTTTAGTTAGAGAAAGTGCTGTAAGATTCATTTTGATAGATATTGCTTTTATCTGCAATATCTAAAGAAGTACTTTACACACAGTTGAATATTAAATAAATATTATTGACTGAATGAATACATGATTAATGATATGCTGGCCTCCTACTAAAATGTAATTTTTGGTGGTCCCAGTTGAGTTAGATCTTTTAGTAAAAACCTGAGCAGGTTAGTACCTTTCTTCCATTCTTGCCTCTGTGCTTCGTATGCTTTAGTTCAATGTCTAATTTCACAGAAATGTCTCACAAGGCAGCTATATGGTATACAGATTTATTTAGTTTCACATCCTATCTCTGTCACCTACTATGTGTGTTTTGTCAGTTTAAATATTCTGATGCTCACTTTTCTCATCAGTAGAAAAGGGGTAATGATACTTGCCTCGGAGGGTGGCCATACAGTTTAAGAGTGATTAAACACACACACACACACACACACACACACACACACACACACACACACACAGCTTGGCATGGTTCCCGGCATGGAAGGCACACTCTATAAATGGTAGCTATTATCAACAATTATATCTTGTTAAATGACATTACTAATGAGTGAATCACAATGGAGAAAACAGCAAAGTACAGCCCTACATGGAAACTTCATTTTTAAGCACAGTCTGTCCTTTAAATCTGTGGGCACATTTCTTCTCCTATGCAAAATCTCTTGGTTAAGGTGCAAGATATCAGCAAGTGGGGATGATCTTTTGGGTTTAATGCCTTTTCTCATGTTGAATCTATACATTCATGAATTGCTGAATACCAGAGCCACGTCTCCAATTAAGGAACTATGCTTCCTATTTTTACCTCTCTGGCCTATTCTAGCTTTCCCTTCAGTAAAAGAACTTGAGACAAGGGATTACATGCAGGTAGTTCGTTTTCGAAAGTGATTTCATGGGGCATTAACTTTCTTGCACTTCCAAGCTGTGCTTGCATTAACACCTAGAAGGTCCCTTTCTTTAAACACTACCTTGGAGGCCTTCTGACCTGCACAGCATGGCTTCAATTGATAATTGGCTAATATAAGGTTGCCTTTTCTTTTTTCAAAGTTCTTAAGAACTTAACAAAAGGATTACTAATAGGACATTATCTCTTTTGACTTTCAGGTTGCTCTTGTGTGAGAGCCTGGTGGTTCCTAAAAGTGTTTCACATTGTGGAGTTGAAAAGCCCCAGAGCATAAAGCAAGTAATATTTGGAGTACCTGAGACAAGGTTCTATCAGGGTTCCTCCTTGTGTTGCTGTTAACTGCAGTGACAATTAGAATAAAACATAGGCCAAGGGAGGAGGTCCAAGAGAAGTCCAATACATCTTCCTTTCTAACTATTTGTAAATATCCCCTCTATTTTGGATGCTGCCACACGTGCTCCAGTATACCTGTTCCGATACAGAACCATAGAACATTAGAGCAGAGAAGAACTTTGGAGGCTTTCACTTTGCCACTGTCTCAGTGGTCTGTATTTGACGAGTACCAACATATTAAGACATTCAATTGGTGAATCAAGTCCACGTTTGTAAATTTTCTGCCATTTGGGTTAGGCAACACTCCATGAGGCCTTATGTAGTAACTGAGGAACATTTTTGGTGCAACAGAGGTAGGAGAAGTGGGATTCTGGGCCACATGTTCATAAAGTTGCCTTGCACCCTCTGGACCTGCTTGCACACAACCCATTATACAATGGATCACTGCCTTATTCACCCAAACTTATAACTCAGTGGTTGGGACAAAATTCAGCTCAGAAAAGGCTGCATTGGTGGCCTATTCTCCTATGTCACATAGTTAAGGTATTTTCCTCACTAAGGATTAGCAGCAAACCAGGAACTGATTTTCAAAATGAAAACAGTTGTTTGAATCATGACTCTGTTATTGGAACTTGTCAGGCACTCTGTTCAGTGTCAGAATCCAACACAGATACCATTGGATCTGCTGTGTCCTATGGCCCATGTGCCAAAGCAGCTTGTACTAGAGGGAGGAACTTCTATAATGCCTTCTCTTGGTCTGAAACCTGCCCAAAACTGGCAACTTTCTGTGTCATCAGAAAGTATTTTAGAAGTATTCCCAAGTGCAGTATTCCCACTGTCCCTAAAATTCAGAGGCTTACTACATGCTGTGCCACTATTTAGTAGTAAAAATACAAGGTGCAACAACTTCTCTTTTATCCTAGAGGGTTAGCTTAAGGCTTGAGGATGTCCTGGCTTGATCTAGACCTTTTGATTTCTAGAATTTCATTGAGATAGCAGACTAATAAGTGGTAGATTATCTGGTCTCACATTTTTTTTTTAAATCCATCCTATTATTTCTTCTTTCTGAGGCTTCTGACTTCTTCCTCAATCCTCTGCTGAGGCACCTCTGATAATCTCTATGCCATTTTTGCAGACCAAGCTTCAAGGTGTCATCCTGGAAGCATATTGAGACTGGTTCTAGCTTCTTTGCTAAAACATTAAATCCTAAAACATGAATGCTTTAATGTCAATACATTCTCTCTCATGCAGCCTAAAAGCTTAAAAATAATGATACAAAAATGCTCCCGTGTCAGTCTTGAAATGCCATTTTTTTTTTTTTTTTTGAGACAGAGTCTGGCTCTGTCGCTCAGGCTGGAGTGCAGTGGCACGATCTTGGCTCACTGCAAGCTCTGCCTCCCGGGTTCACACCATTCTCCTGCCTCAGCCTCCTGAGTAGCTGGGACTACAGGCGCCTGCCACTGCGCCCGGCTAAATTTTTGTATTTTTAGTAGAAACGGGGTTTCACCATGTTAGCCAGGATGGCCTCGATCTCCTGACCTTGTGATCTGCCTGCCTCAGCCTCTCAAAGTGCTGGGATTACAGGCGTGAGCCACCGCGCCCGGCTGCCACTGATTTTTTTTTTATCAGGACTTTGTCATTGGCTTATAAAAGTTATTTAACCCATACATTCTGTCTCTTTTGAAACTCCACTCTTAGAGTTGAACACAGGGCCTAATTTTCTGCACACTTTGCTCTATGGTTGCAGGTGACAAAGTCCTCTCTAAATATTTCCCTTAGATTCTTATGGCTGTTATAATGTTCCAGCTAAACCTTAGTGACAACCTTAATAATGACAGTATAGCATGTGATGGGATAGCATGCCAGGAGTTATCAGCATCTCACTTACTACTGCAATAATGGTGTTTGTATCCTTGTGTGTTTGGTGAATGATCCAGGTCCAAAATCTCATCCTGATGGTCTGCTTTCTAGGGCCACTTGTTTCTTAGCATGAGATTAACCAATGAAATATAGCTCAAGGCAAGGGCTTATGTTCAGATAGTTTATTTTGAGAATGGACCCCAAAGAACCAAAGTGGTGGATTAGGAAGCATGAAATAGGGAAGAAGAAAAGGCACTAAAGGATGCATTATTAAGTTGGTCACCACTGTAGGAAACTGGGGCTTGATTCCACCAGGACCCTCTGAGGAACCCTACAGAATTGCCTCAGAATTGTCCACCTGTGGGAAAGAAGAGGGGAGTTTTGTCCGTTGGATCTTATCCTCCATTGATGAATTTTCCCCATTGGCCTTTAATTTCCTTGTACTTCTGGGTTGCACATGTGTGTCTCATAGGTTCCTCAAGGAGTCCCACATTGTGGAGCAAGATTGCAACACAGGGATACTGCTGCAGCATGATTGGAGTATAAGATGGGGTAAAAGGCTGTAAATTGGGCACAAGAAGTGACCAATTATACTCCCTTCTTTTTATTAAAACTTTCCCCAAGTTGAGTTATTCATCTTTACATTCTGCTCCAGGTGCCTCATTAATTTTTTTTTTTTTTGTAGTAGAATCATAAAACATTGGAGCAAAAGGAACCTCTGAGAAATTATGAGAACCCTTTTATACAGATGATGATACTGAGGTACAAAAAAGCTTGTGAATTCTGACAAATATCATAGCATATCAGTGCTAAGATTAGACTTGGAGCTCAGGATTCTTGGTTACCTGCATTTGTTCCTTGAGACTCCCAACATCTTGGAGTTCAAGAGGTCATGTAATTGTTAATATGCAAATGATCTACCTATTTACTTATGGTCTTTTTTCTTTGAGAATAACTACAGTAATGCTACTTATGTTTATTCAGTACTTTACATTTTGTTGAGCAATTTCTATACTTCAGTCCATTTAATCCTCACAGGAACCTTATAAGGGTTGTGTTATTATCACTTCATAGAGTAAGAAATAGAAGTTGGAGAGTCGGTTATCTGTCCATGATCTTGGTTAGCAAATATAATTCTGTCTTTTGAAATAATTGGAATTCTGTCTTGTGAATTCCTTTATTACAAGCTATGGGAAGATGCTTTATAAATGCTAAAGGAGTACACACATATAAAATTATGTCGTTGAGAAATCTTTAATCTTTCATGAAAATGGGTGGTGTCCAAATATAATCATATACAAACACATGCATATACACACAAAGCAGAATAATTATTAATTTAAAATATGTAAAGCTCCTGGCACCATTTGTAGCATAATTGTTGTTTATTATATCAATTTTTTTCAGGTATTTAAAAAATTGTTGAGTACTTATTGAATACCTGGCATTGTTCACAACACTGTGGATCAAAGTCAGAACAAAGTCTTGCTTTCATACAGCTTATTATTAATATTAAAAATTCATGTAATTTATTATTTGCATCCATGACTAGAATTCAAACTGAACATCCTGTGGGCTGTGATATTTTTTATTGAGACAAGCTATGAAAGAAGAAATGACTTTGGCGCCTAGAACAGGTAGGCGAACTGGAGTACACATTCTGTACATTGTAGGTTATTTTCAAAATTGCTCCTCATGATGGAGGGAGACCAATAAGAGGAAAGCAGGTGAAACAAAGAACTTCTGCTTCAAGCACCGAGTTTCCTTACCATTTTCACATAAGTAAAATCACACCCTCATCTCCATTCCTCTTACACCAAGTTCCCAACTCTGCTCAGCCACCAATAAAAGCATCGTCCTCATTTCTAACTTCCAACACTTGCCTACTACTTTTGCCAGCTTGTGGTTACCTATGGAAGACATTTTATGGCCTGAAAATGTCTGGCTTAAGAAGCTCCCCCCCCAAATATGCATAGCAAAACTGATGGTAACATATGGCCCTATATTTTTTCCCTTCTTGCCAGTTCACTAAAATAAATTTACTTTCAATTTACATATTCTTGTCTACATTTCAGAGATTTAAATATATTTGTAAGGTCTGTCCTGTCTATCTTTTTCTGAGATTATGCAACAGCTTTGCATGCTGTTTAGGAAATAACAGAAACTTTTATGATTTTTAGAATCTTTCATTTCCTAAGAAATTTAGAAAAGCTTATGAGATCAGAAAGAGAAAGGCCGAAATGTTAAATTATGTAAAATGTGTAATAATTATTTCTATAAGCTAAGTGGTAATATACTTTTCCAATTTGAAAACAAATCTACTGTCTATAAAACTCTAAATAAAAATTCTATTAGATAGGTACATACTATATACAATTCCATCTAGATCCTTTAGACAAAGGGCATATTTTTAAGATTTATTGGAATGCAAAGGAGATCATGGTGGGGATTTTTCAATGAAAGAAAACCTTATTATGGACCTTTGAATTTGCTAATATGGAAATACTATTATTTTTATCCAGAGATGAGACTCTTGTTCAGTGAGAAAAACTGGCAGGCTCTGTGAGAATGTTTCAAAAAACTGGCTTCCCTCTTCCGGGGTCCAGCCTTAACCATTCTTGAGATTTTCGTCAACAGCGTACTGAATGTGGAAAGGAGTGGTCCTGTAGACAAAGAGTACCCTGTGCCTGTAGCAAGAGTGATCCAAACGTGAAAGGAGGGGACACTTAGCTATGTTTTGCTTGCTTATGGTCTAGATTCTCTTGTGGAGAACAGAGCTGTGACTGGGTCTTTATACATTGATGATAGGACTGGGTCATCAACCTCCCTTACTGATCATGTGGCTACACTCTAGGGAACCATTATTAGGGACCCTTGCCTTTACCCTGAAAAATCATATGGCAGGTAGTATTAAGGATGTTTATGAGGTCAAGAGTAAAGTGAGATATTTTAAGATAATTTTCAGAACAGTGGTTCTTAACTGGAAGCAGTTTTATTTTTTCAGGGGACATTTGACAGTGCCTTAAGTTATTACAACTCCTGAAGGGGGCAACTGGCATCTGATGGGTAGAAGCTACAAGTGTTGCTCAACACTAGAACAAAGAAATCTTGGTTTAGAGTTTTGTTTTCTTTTCTTCTGTTTTTGCTATTTTTGTTTGATGCCCCAAACAGCCATGTTAAAATATAAATATAACCTATTGTTACTGAGTAATGTGTGCAGAGGCACTCCTTATTTTATACCATTTCAGATTTTACTCCATTCTCTCCTTCTTTGCTAAGCCTCTTCTTGCATCTCTCTCCATTTCAGACCCTAATGGTAGCCCATTCCTGACCCCATTCCTAAGCATCATCTCATACCTAAATTTCAACTATAGAATTGGATTCAAATATATTGTAGTTTAAAAAAAAGTTGAAAGTTGAGTGGCCTAGTTCTTTAGACCACAAAATGTTTTCATTGAGTATGATATACCCAAGCTATGATATGTCCATGCACCAGGATGAATTAATGCATTTTACCTATAATACTCAAGTGACTTGTACTCTTTTCTTTTCATAGTGTTTGGCATTATAGGGTAGCCAATCTTCAGACAGAGGAAGTGCCTATTGCAGCACCAAATTTGCTGCACATATTTATGTATATGTAGGGCATTAAAAGAAGGAGATACTAATGTAATTGATAAAAATGAGTGATTATTTTAATTAAAATGCAAAAGAATATGGCAGAGCATCAAATAACATTCCTTTTTGCAAAACAGAATAGATAATAAAATGTTCTCTTCTCAAAGAAGAGAAGTAGGGTAGAATTTTTCTCCAAATTTTCAGAAAGGCATCTATTTCTTAAATTGGTAAAACTGTTAAGTCTCTGCTGTTTAGGAAATAACAGAAACTTTTATGATTTTTAGAAGCTTTCATTGACTTGCGGTCAAAAGGTAGAATTAATACAGAGTAGAAGAAAAATGATAAGACTCGATGGTGATTTGAAATTGTAAAGAAAGAATTTTACATTTAAATTATACTTAGAGACATAGAAAGACGAGATTAAAGCCACAGTGAGGGAGCGGTGTTGCTGCATACGTGCTCAATCACGAAGGTTTAAAAACAGTATAATTAAGCTTGCGATCTCAAAGACAGTAGTGTGTCTGATTATGGGGAAGAGTCTTATTGTGAAAGATGGAGCAGATGTTCATGCTTGTGAGACATGGAGACAGAGATGTCTGATTTTGAGCGATCAATACTTTATGATTGTGAAGTTTGACATTTCCAATCTGATAAAGAAAAATATCTCCCATGTGATACAACATTCTCGGCTCCTTTTAAAAGACAGCACTTAAGTATTATTTCTCTTTTGGGTAGGGAGACAACAATGACTATCATATTATGAAACAATCCTTTTCTAGGCATTTTCACTAGCATATAACATCCTAAAAATGCAGAGAGAAAGAAAAGAATAATGAGCGCTGAGGGTCCAATTTGCTCTAAAAATTCTTTTGGAGGGATGGTCTCATCTTCTGATCTCAGGGGCAAATCACACACATATTTTTTCATTCCAAATTAGAATGCATTACCTATAGTAACCTGTTCTGATTACTCCTGTCTTCACCCCAAACACATTCCCTCAAAAGGGAAAGGGAATACATGCAGAGTAGCCAGTGGAGTATTTTTGTTTTAATTATACTTTAAAATTTATCTAAGCCACTTTTTGTAATTGCTTGCTTCAAACAAATGAGCCCAGCCAATTTGCCCTAGGAGACAAGAAACGCTTCATGTCCTGAGGACTTTCTGTCTTCCATAGAGAGTTGAAATTTGGCATCATACAGCTGCTTCATAGCCAAGAAATTAAGGGATTTTCTATTTCAATAGCTAGCTGCATTCAGAGATGTTAGCCTGTTAGGAATGTGTGTCTACAGTCAGTAACACCTAGGACTGATAGCAAATCAGACGTGTTAGAGAATTTTCTCAAAAATTGCCACAGCTGCTGTGTTTCTGCTAGAAAATAAATAACAAATATATTGACATGCCTTTTCCTTAGAACAGCAGCTGTACTGATCAATGCTGTTAAAAGGGCTGTCTGGCCAAGCCGGGGGTTGCATGTGACAGTCTGAGTTGGTGTCACCGACCCTGATGTCCTGTTATTCTAATTTGCAAACGAGAGCCTAATCTCCCAAGTTGAATTCTTTAGATATTCTTCTACCTTGACACTAAAACCATCTGCCATTTGGGGATTGATAATGTGTACCTTTTATGTGTTTTCTCATCATTGACATTTCCTGAGCCAAACCATTAGGGAGTTGACCAAGGGAGGGAAAGGACTCCCCTGCCCTCACCACCCCCCTCTCTTTTACTTCAAACAGGCAATGAAAACATTTTGCATAAACAAATTCCCAGTCATAACTAATCATATGAAAGCTGACAAAAGTATGTTATCCTACACTATGAAAATACTAATCAAAGCAGCTTGTCAATTGTTAAAGTTAATGATTTAGATATGCAACACTCTGACTAAATTTTAGTAGGTAATTACATAATTATGCACAGGTTAGCACAATCAAAAATAGCAGTTGCCTCCTCAGTCTTTAAACTATGTTACGGTACTGAATCTCATTCTGGAAATGACAGTTTCTTATGATGTTTCAGAGCATGAACATGGCACCACTGGCTATTATGTTTCGGAAGGATTTCCATGCATCTAGGCTGATCTCTCCAAAGGTTCAAGATCAGGAGGGGGTTTGTCTGTTAGTGCACAATCAAATTTGTAGCTGAAACACTGTATTTACAAGTTTTTTTCCCATCTTTAGCGCAAGTAAGGCTTATTATTAGTTACAGAATGATCCATTCTAATTTATAATGCCCCATAGTGTTCTCAAACTTCAGGATACAAATACAAAATATCTGTTAGTTTATATATTTAAAACATTTCAGCACAACTTTTCTCTAACCAAATTTCTGGAAAGCAAATCTTTTTTTTTTTTTTTAACTGATTTGTACTCTACTGTTGAAATCATGTCTCAAATAGGAAAAAAAAATCCCTAGAGGATTGACAGGATATTTTATCATGCAGGGCATTGAAGTCTGGGATATTTTCTAGGACTTTCAAAAATATGTGGCATTATTTAGCTCTGGATTCTCTGCCTCAAGCCCAGAATTTGGAGAGAAAGGAAGAATAGGAGGAAACTTTATCAGGTACATTCTCATTTTCTCCTCTTTCTTCTTCTTTGCTTCTTTCCATTTGTTCCTTTTTATTGAGTTCATATCATGTCTCAGGAGACATAAAACTTCAGGGGGATAGAAAAATAAAAAGCAACACAATCTGAAATTTCAGAGAGGCCCCATATAGTTAGAAAAGACATGTAGACAGGTACTGTCTATGAGGTAGGTCCTAGAATAGAAGTATAAATAGGAGTTTATGAAAGTGGAGGTAGGAACACTTAAGTTTGTGACAGGGAGAAGTGGTGGTTGAGGAAGCTCCAGAAAAGAAAATCCTTTATCTGAATCATGAGTATTCAAGGCAGAAAGTGTTTTTTGGGGAGCAGGGGAAGGGAGGACATTCAGGTAGAGTGAATAGCCTGTGCCAAGATATGGAAGTCTGAGAACATTAAAGTGTTTGGTCTGGAGAACTTTGATATATCCAGAACTTATATGTAAGAACATAAAGGAGACATTCAGGAAAATCTCTTCTGGGGCCTAATAGTTCTGGGACTGTAACACAGTACTTTTTTTTCCGTTTTACGTGAACATATGGGATTAATAAACAATGGCTTTTGTTTTGTTTTTTTTTTTTTTTTTGGTGAGACGGAGTCTCGCTCTGTCACCCAGGCTGGAGTGCAGTGGCGCAATCTGGGCTCACTGCAGTCTCTGCCTCCTGGGTTCACGCTATTCTCCTGCCTCAGCCTCCTGAGTAGCTGGGACTACAGGCACCCGCCACCATGCCCGGCTAATTTTTTGTATTTTTAGTAGAGACGGGATTTCACTGTGTTAGCCAGGATGGCCTCGATCTCCTGACCTCATGATCTGCCTGCCTCGGCCTCCCAAAGTGCTGGGATTACAGGCCTGAGCCACTGCGCTCGGCCACAATCGCTATTTTTCTAAATCAAGATGTGTCAGTCTTTGTGTTCCTTTCAAAAGATAAAGTCAGTGTAACATCTGTAAATTCCCCACGTAAAACCTTTTGTTCATGCTTCTTTTTCTTTGTGTTCCTGTGAAATAATAGGGATAAACTGGCTCCATCGTGTCCTAAATTGGTTAACGACTTTTGATTAGATATTATTAGTTGATAATTTCTGCTTATGATGGCATTAGATCAAATTAATGATCAAATTAATTAAACTCATTGGCATCCTTTTTCAGCCATAAGAAACAGGATATGAGATGAAATTTATACACTAGTGCTTTATTGTAGGATGCAGTTCCGGAGCAGCAGGAATGAAGGGAAATGGGAAGTAAGGAAGGACTAAAGGGAAAGCAAATGTAATGCAATATGTTATTGAGGTGGCCACAGCTTCAAAAAAACAGACATTTACTTTGGGGATTGCTATGGAGAATCATATGGCCTCATGGTGCCTTGTACATCCTGCAAAGGGAAGAAAGGAAGAGGAATTTATCTTCTGGATTCTTCTGTTTACTGTTCAAGGTGTGCCCCATGGGGTGTTAACTCCCCCAACCTTCCAGGTTGTGTTGGCAGCACATGCATTATGCAGTCATGCTATAGCCTGATTCCAGAAAGAGAATATGGAACATGGTATAGCCCAATGCATATGGAATAGAGACTCTTCTGAGAAAAAGGAAGTAGCTTGAGGAGTTTTAGAAATGATTTTTTTAGCCAAAATTTTATCATGCTGAAAGCTATTATGGACAGGAAGGAGCACGTACATTGAATGGTATATTAATTTACTAACCATATGTGTTTCAAATGTTTCTAGGTCAGATTTAGTCCCTGCAGTGCAGTTGTAGATTAAGACAGACTGGAGGGAATGCAGTCCCCTGAACAGATTTAATTAGCATAGGACCCTGGGATGATGTGCACTGTGTATGGCTCGAATGTCTCTGACTTCATATTGCATGGCTGAAGGTCACTTCCAAACTGACAACTGACGTTAAAAACATTGATCAGAATGGCTTTTTCCCTTGTTAACAGAGGTGCTCCCCACCAACTCATCATAATATGTCCTCTCTTTTTAAATCTCTGTGTACAAATGTTAAAATTTTCAAAACCAAGTTTCAAAAATGACAGTAATTTTGTAAATGCCGTCACAAAAATAGAGTGAATTTTCAATGCAGGCTGATCATTTCCTTTCAGGCATAATTCTTGCAATGTAGGTAGCCAATCCTAAGTAGATAGGATTAGCCACAGATTGTGCAACTCAGACTGAATGAATTATTTTTTTCTAGTAGGGTTACTTGAGATAAATGAAAAAAAAAATTACACTTCCATACTGGAATATGAATTCTTTAAAATTAATATATATATACACACATATATATGTATTTGAAATGTGTATTTTGATGTCTCTCTCACTAATATGTTAATTTTGATTTAGAAGACAAGAATATAATTTCAACTTTGCAAATGACATTTAAGAGATTATTTCTTTGATTTGGGAGGCAAGACTGAAGAAAATACTAATAGCTACATATAGTGTGTTTGTAATCTATTTTGAATTTCTGTTTCAGTCAAATTTGAAATGTTGATGTATTGTTCTTCTTTGCATTGTATTGAACCTATTTGCTGCTCTGCTCACAAATGCTAATATTTCTGTGAAGCACAGAGCCTGGCTCCTGCAGCTTTTGCTTCAGGCATCACCTTGTTATTCTTTTCAGCTTCTTCTTAGAAAAAAAAGACCCTGACCTCTTACCTAGGTCTCACTATCTACTTAGTACTTGTGAAAGGGCAACCCATCTTAAGGCTTCTGTATACCTGCTGTGTTTCTAAATCACCTTATATTATTATCTTTTTCTTTTCTATCTCAGAATAGAAATGTACACACAAAGTACCATCTTTCTGTTATCTGTCCCTTAGTTAGCAAAGAGCCCATGATAACTTACTTCCATTTAAAAGATGGCTACCTTCACAGTATTATTGCTGATGAGGAGAAATTTTCCTAGTATTAATCTCCTTTTTTCTACCACTCCTCTCACTTATTTTTTCCTTGCTAATGCCTACTAATTTGTATTTCTCAGAAAATACAATTCCAATATTACATTTTCTATGTGTTTTTAGTGAGCCTTGTTTGATTCACCCAACTCCTAGTTTTAAATCTGAGTTCTTTGGAAGAATAAACTTTTTCTTCTTACATTTAGACATATTTTGAACATAACATGTCAAAACTGTTTTTAAATGAAGTGTTTGGTCATAGCAATGAATACTGAAGTCTTTCTATTAATGTAAATCTTTCCTAGGGCCCACACCTTCAGATGCCTTAAAACTGATAGAAGCAAAACATCATTCTAGAACCTGAATTTAAATCATTTCCATATGAATTCAAACCAAGCAGACAATTTTCACAGATGACACCAAATTTTACAGTTTCTTTTCTTTCTTTCTTTTTCTTTTTTTTTTTACTTGAGTGTGATTGATTTATATAAGGCTTCTATTTTGATTCATGACTGTGAATGAGAATCCTTCTAGCACTTGACATCCATGCTTCTGACCAGGTTTGAGGATAGAGTCAAGGGTCTGTGCACTGTGTGAAATAAAAACATCAGTATATGCAGATGACAATTCTATCAGAAACCAAACTGCCCACTACAAAGGAATAACACTATGAGATGAGATAGGAGCTGTTTCAGGAGAAAAACAAAGGCTTTGAACAATAAATGGGTAAAAGATTTATTATAAGTGACTCCAAGATAATTCTTTTGGGATGCTGTACTATTTCTCATGTCAACATAATTTCCAATTTTATCGAATAACAGAATAAAGGCAAGCACGAAACCTGAACAGGTAAAGTCTAATGTTTTACATGGAAGTAAAGGTGATACATCAGGAACTTCTGCTTTTCCTGTCACATTAAAAAAAAACCACTCTTTTGTGGTTACACTCAAGAACTGTGAAGAATCTAAGATGTCACTATTACATAATTGCAAGGTAACAAGTTAGCCTACCATAATTTCTGGGTGCTGCAAAGCTACAAGTCTCCTTGGTAAGAGACAAATGACCTTATTACTCATGGCACAACAGGCAGCATGAGCTTCCTGTTGTTGGTTCTTCTGATCCCACCAAAACACTAATACTGGCCATGCAGAGAGGCTCAGGTGGATGTTGAGGCTCAGGTAGATAAAGAGAGGCTCAGGTGGATGTAGCTCTTACCAGTAGAGCTACAAAGTTTGTATCATAGCTGAGAAGCTCTGAGTTTAGGAAGCCTCAATCCTTTAAAAGGGACTGATACAAACTTGCCCACACCTTGAGGCTATAAAGAAGGAGGAACTACCTTTAGGTTCAAAGTCCCCAAACAAATAGGGGCCCGAGGAGACAATCATTCAGGGGCCACTGGGTGACATTTTTTTCTCCTTTGGCTCTTTTACACAAGCTTGATACCACCTCCTGAATTATGGACCTCCCAGCATCTAGAGTGTTGAGGGTCAGCAGCTTCTTCCTTTGGGTCACATGTATGCTCGGTTGCATAGATCTTGATGGTTTGAGACAACCCTGTACCTAACATTGCTCTTTCCCTGGGACAACTCATGGCAATCATTGGGGGCATCTCTAACCAATAGATCTACAAGGTTTGAGTTGCTCTTCTCCTCTGGGATACTCAGCTTTTCCTTAAGGCACCCGTTCATGTGCCGTTTTTTGGAATACACATTCTTTTTTTCATAGAATTTTTTCTTACTCTTCAGAATGCTGGGATTGATAGAAAGAGGAATCCACAAAGTATATGCATAAACAAAATGCAAAAAGATATATTTAAAATGTTAAAAACTTTAAATTGTATTAATGTCTATTTTATGAAAAAAGATAATTAAAAATGGGTTAAACATTAGGGAGGACCAGATTTTAATAGTGGCGTTGATAGAATCCTTATGTTTGTGCTTTTAGCAGGATTGGCCACTAAATGATTTCTCCAGCAAAAAAAATCATGAAAGAAGACCAAAGACAGTAATGTCTAGTAATAGTAATGTCTTTGTTAAACATAAGTGAAATCAGAAACTTAAAAATATGTATATACATAGAAGAAATAGACTTTAATTGCATATCTAGCCCCTGAAGCCTGGCATATCAATAATTTAACAGGGTTTTCTGGCATTATCTAAGGAAAATCTGTGGGACACCTATTTTCTAAGGTTAAGAGATTTACTTTTCTTTCTTTCTTTCTTTCTTTCTTTCTTTTTTTTTGAGACAGAGTCTCACTCTGTCGCCCAGGCTGGAGTGCAGTGGCATGATCTCGGCTCGCTGCAACCTCCACCTCCTGGGGTTAAGTGATTCTCCTGCCTCAGCCTCCCAAGTAGCTGGGATTACAGATTCCCGCCACCACGCCTGGCTAGTTTTTGTATTTTTAGTAGAGAAGGGGTTTACTTTTTACTCAAGTCATGATCAGTTGTAAAAAAGTCAGTGAAATGGAGAAATCAGCCCAGATCTCTTGATCTCCTTCATCATCTAAACAATTCAAATCCAGTCATTATATATCCCCTATACTGGCATCAAACAGGTCTTTTTCATGTTACTTGCCTACTTAAGACCCTTCAATGGGTGGCCATTATCTATAATATAAAATATAATTTCTTGAGTAGTATATATGGTCTTTCATTATTCAACCCTTGAGGAAGTGTTCAGTTTCGTCCAGACACTTCCCCAGTTGCACCACACATTACAACTATCTGTCTGTGTTATATATAATGCCCCTGACCATGACTTTTGCATATGTTGTTACCTTAGCTTGGGTACCTTACCATTTTACTCTTTGTATTCCTATGACACCCTTAGTTTTTGAAAATCAGCTCAATATTACCTTCAGAAAAAGCTATATTTATCTAACACTGTATATGTAATTTTTGTTCTCTGTATAGGCTTTTATTGTTTTGCCCTTTTCTGTCTTGTCATTTTGCTTGCCTTTTTCTCACACTGTATGCCTAGGGCAAACTTTAGGCCTCATCTTGCAGACGTCTTGTTTAGCTTGAGGTCTGATGCACAAGAGTTACAAGATGAAAATTTTTGCAGAAAGAGTGCATGAACGAATCCAGAAAATGTAATTAACTCAAAAATAATTTCTAGAAACTATTAAGTATATCACATTGAGTCTAGAAAATGGATCCCAATCCAAAAGCCAGTTTTGGTTTTAGGGACATCTCCAGAGAAGGCTTGGAAGTCCTTCCGTCAGCGTAGAGAGAAACTTTCACACAAATTCAGAACTGCCTTAGATGTTACTGATGGGGACAGTAAAGTTGGTGTTGCTGAGTAAAACAAAAATCCTTTTACCCAAACCATTGGTGTTGTCTGGTGTGTCTTTTGAGAAAATAAATAAATAAATAAATCATTTAACTGATGACTTAATTTTGAGTTGTTTAAGTCTTTTAAAGATACATTCATTATAGTATAAAAGATTGACACTTCAAGGTAGTACTTTTGCAAAGCACTGAACCAACATAGAAAACTGCTGACCTAAATAAGATAGTTAGTAGAAGTAGAAAAGATGGGTAAGTGTGCCTGTAAAATGAAGACAGAGTTCATAATGAAAGGAAGAGAGGAGCATTAGGAGATGACTTATTCATCTTGCATTTTCAGCACCTAGCACAGGGCTTGATACTTGGTAGATGCTCAATATAGTTTTGTTGAATAATTGAATGACTGAGTGAATGAACAAGCCAGGCAGACAGAAGGAGGGAGATATAAAGAGCTGCTATATTTGGGTAAGTTTTCAGTAGAAGAAGATCACAGAATGAAAAATGTTCTACTCTGATCATGAATAAAAAGCAGAGAAATATATGAAATATTAACAAAAGAAGAATAGAATAAGCCTAGATTTTTTTCAAAGGTTTATGTATGTGTAACTTGCCATAAATTCACCAATTTTAAGTGTACATTTTGATAGAGTTTTATTAAGTTTACAGTTGTTCAATCAAAACCACAATCTAGTTGGAGAGCATTTTTATCACTTTGAAAAGTTACCTCATGCCCATTTCAGCCAATCCTCACTCCTATCACAAGTCCCAGGCAAACATCGATCTATTTGTTCTCTGCCTCTATTGTGGTGCCTTTTATAGTAATTTCATATAAACGTAACCATACCATGTGTAGCCTTTTGTGTGTAGCTTCTTTCACTTAGTGTAATATTTCTGAGGTTTCATATTGTTGCATGTTATCAGTGACTCCTTTCATTTTTATTGTTGACTAGTATTCTAACACATAGATATACCACATTATGTTTTACAATTCACCTTTTAATAGGCATTTGAATTGTTTCCAGTGTTTTTTATTTGTGAATAATGCTTCTGTGAATATTCACATGTACGCCTTTGCATAGACATACACTTCCATTTTATTTGGGGTTGGAGGGAAACAGATACTTTTTAGGAAACTCAAAACTACTTTCCAAATTGCAAAACTACATCTAAAGTGAGGTTTATGGAAATGTTTTATCCCCAAACTAAAATAGTAACAGGAAGTTGAGGATAATTGATCATTATTATTATTAAAAGAGCCATATTAAACCTGTCTTATCTTAATATGTATTGGCTAAATAATTAAACTTAACTAGAGTCAATACAGTCTCTTTTTTCTAAACTTGTAAATAGAGATTTGAGAGTCAGAGATTTGGTTCTTTTTCCCCAGTCAAATGAAAGCACACTAAAAAGAAAATACAGTGCAAAAGTGTAAAAAGGTTTATATAGCTATAAATGTGCAAATTATAAAACCAGAATCTGTTTTCATTGAATAAATCTGGTAACTGTCTTATGAGATGAAAATGTACTTTGTACTTTGCATATCCTTTCTTTAAATTGCATGTAAAATATTTTTCTATTATTCATGTTCTGTATTTAAATTAATTTTAGATAAAGGAGCCACACTATGATATAACCTAGTTTATATTAAATTTTTATCATCTATTATGAAGAAAATTATTACTAGTCCATATAACCAAATGCTAAATGATAGCAGCTTCACAAATTACAAGTAGTAATTTACAGGAGGTGCAAAAAAATGTTACAGCATTTTATTGATAAAAAAGTTTCAGTTTCTGAAACTAGAGGATTTTGTCATTCCATTTAAAGAAGCTTTCTTCTCAATTTAAATAATTATAACATAAAGCCACTTTTTAACATTCAATATACAACTTGGGCCAGAATTTGCAACAAGTAAAGATGAAAACAATCAATGCTAACCTACAAAGGATGCAACCATTATGGAGAACACTTTGGAAGTTCCTCAAAAACTAAAAATAGAGCTACCATACAATCAGCAATCCCACTGCTAGGTGTATACCCAAATGAAAGGAAATGAGAATATTAAGATATCTGCACTCTCATGTTTGTTGCAGCACTGTTCACAATAGCCAGGACTTGGAAGCAATCTAAGTGTCCATCAACAGATGAATGGTTAAAGAAAATGTGGTACTTATACAAAATGGAGTACCATTCACCCATGAAAAAAATGAGATTCGGTCATTTGCAACAACATGGATAGAACTGAAGATTATTATGTTCAGTGAAATAAGCCAGGTATAGAAAGAAAAACTTTTCATGTTCTCACTTATTTGTGGGATTTAAAAATCAAAACAATTGAACCCAGGGAGATAGACAGTAGAAGGTCGGTTACCAGAGGCTGGGAAGGGTAATGGAGTAGAGTGGAGGTTAGTTGGGGATGGTTAATGGGTACAGAAAATAAAATGAATGAATAAGGCCTAGTATTTTGATAGCATAACAGGATGACTATAGTCAATAATAATTTAATTGTACATTTTAAAATAATTAAGAGTATAATTGGATTATTTGTAACACAAAGGATAAATGATTGAGGGGATGGATACCCCATTTTTCATGATGTGATTATTTCACATTGCATGCCTGTATCAAAATATCTCATGTATATCATCAATATACACACCTACTATGTACCCACAAAAATTGAAAATAAAAAATTATAATAAAAACCTGAACACTGCAAAGGAATACTGTTTGGTTAGTAGAACAAAATAATTTGGCCGGGCACAGTGGCTCACGTCTGTAATCCCAGCACTTTGGGAGGCCAAAGCGGGCAGATAATCTGAGGTCAGGAGTTCGAGACCAGCCTGGGCAACACAGTGAGACTCCATCTCTACTAAAAATGCAAAAATGAGCCAGGCGTGGTGGCGGGTGCCTGCAGTCCCAGCTACTTGGGAGGCTGAGGCAGAAGAATAGCTTGAACGTGGGAGGCGGAGATTGCAGTGAGCTGGGATCATGCCACTGCACTCCAGCCTGGGCAACAGAGTGAGACTCTGTCTCAAAAAAAAAAAAAAATTCATGATTCATTATGAACACTGCATATATATGGGTATATATGGGCATATATATGAGCAGAAACCATTAATGTTTCCCAGGTTTTGAAATCTCTTAATGAAATGAAAGTAAAAGTATTGCCAGGCCAAGATATGTTAAAAATTTTCTGAATAAAGTGGCTGCTTTTGGTTTGAGAATTTATTCTCTTGAGTCACTGCCATTACAGAGGGTTTATTTCATTTCTTGTAGGCAGAGTACACAAGGTAGGAGACAAAAGGGACGGAATATAAAAATCAGACATAAGAAAATTTTCAAAAGGAAGAAAGAAAGGAAAGAGAAAAGAAAAAAAACTTCTTTGTTTCTGCTGCTGGAACTTAAAGCACACCCACAATAGACAGAGGAGAGGTGGGTAAGATTGGAGGTGTGAGCTGCTAGGTCACACACCTGGGTGAACAACGAGGCTAGGATGAGCATCTCTCTCCTCAGTGGCAGCTTCCATCCTAATGTGGATAAAACCTCAGTAAGTCAGTTGGAGTCCTGCTCTGGTGTTCCTCAGAATGTCTTGTATTTGTTCTTTTGTTCCGCTCACTTTCCTTTTCCTCCTTGAGAAATACGACTAACCCAAAAGATATGGTTTTTGAAGCCTGTATTTGCACTAGACCTCATGTTTCTCTAACAACTCAAGAACAAACCCCTCCATCCTCAAAACACTTTGAGGCAAGTCAACCAGTCAAAGGAATGAAATCACCTTTGTCCAAAGTGAAACTCACTTATGTAAAAAATTAATAATAGTGGACTAGACTATGCATTATGTAAAGCAAGGCCTTTGCTATTTTTAAAGTCAGCAATCTAGAGTCAAGACCAAAATAAACATGACTCAATGACTTTGGCAAGTAACTTTACAGAAGCAAAATTGAGGCTTAGAGAGGTTGACTGAGGTAATGGTTTTTCACAGCTATAAACATTTCTGAGGCTTCTTTGACACCTCACATTATGTTAGTTGTCTTTGCTAAGTGCTCTCACGACATTCTTGGTTACTCCTATACCTTATTTATAACACTTACAACTAGGGTTTTGAACAGTCCAAACTCCACAGGGACTGCAAAGGAGATAGAGTTTTATTATTTCTTGAGGGACCACCTTTAAACATGGTTTTCCCATTCGTTAACATCTCAGGTGAATCCCTTGGCTGCCTGATCACATTCAGGTATTGAAAAAAAAAAAAAAAAGGATCAGTCAAATTTAAAATTACAGCTTTATAAGCAGTGTAACATTCTCTTCTCTCTAGCTTAGGTTTGCCGAGGATAATTTGAATGGGAGTGGGGGGTGGGGAGCTTCCCTGCTACTTAACTCCTGTTTTCTCGCCATTTGGTTTTGTGTTGACACAGGCATGAAGGATCACACAGAGATTATTAGTTCTGTTTCTTTAATTGATACCTCTGTAGACTATTGATAATCATTGTCTTTCCCTGGAAATCTTCAACTGGGCATGGACACTGTGTGGCAAATGGTTCAAGTGATTGAGTTTTTGGGGGGTATGTGTGTGGATCCATCAAGAGTCTCCTCATCACACAGTTTCCTGCTATGGGGATCTGCTCTGGATCAACTTTTTCTGGCCTTTTCTCAGCTCCTTCTTGATGAACCCCCACCCACAGCCTCTAGCTGCTTGGTTTCTATGCTCAGTTGCTAGCCTTCTTATAGGGCTAACATGTATGAGCATGCTGATTTAAGCCCTGCTACTGTTCAGGACATAGGAAAGGCACTAATCCTTGTTAATCCAATCCTGAGGAAACCAGTATAGCACCACGCACCATTCTAATTACACATCCCATTTCAATTGCCTGATGGCTGATTTCCACCTCACTATTTTGAACCTCTTATGCTCCGAGAGGTTTGGAACATTAAGTGCCTAAACCAAACACACACACACCTTTGGTAAAATGTCTATAATCCAGAGCTTCTTACCTGTTGATGAAGTGGCTTAGTTCTTGGCTCTAATTAATGAACCTCTTTGGTAAGTTATATACACCTTACTACCTTGAACCACTTGAAGAGATCTAAAGGACAAAAGAGAAAAGAGTTGTGGTCATATCCGAATTTCCAGAACTTAGCTTAGTGCCTGGTACAGAGTAGCAGTTCATTAAATAGCTGTCAAATTAGTGAGTAGATAAATTAATAAATGCCCTTTTATAATGAAGAAAAATGCCAGGATATAAATGATGTTGTAAAGAAAATATATGAAATACAACCGTTTAGTTGCAGTATATTAATCAACTATTTTCTGTTATTTAATATTTTTAAAATATCAAATATGAAATCCTATGACAACTCAGATGAATTAGGCATTATTTGTCCCATATTTATGCTCCTTAAAAACACTTATCAAAATTTGGGGCAAGTTTTGAGTACTGAAGTCAGTGTGACGGACAGACTTTGGGACGCCTCAGTCAAGCAATCAGTTCATTTAAATGTCTCAAGTCAGATATGAGTAGTTCTGTAGCTTGGGAGAAATACAAATTGTCTCTGGTGATGGGCTAAGGACCATTTCTATGGGTAGCTGCTTCCTTAGTCCACGCTGCATTTTACCTGCTTAATTTTTTGAGCATAGATTTTCTACAGGTGGGCCTTCAGGACAGCCAGGGTTTTTGTTGTTGTTGTTGTTGTTTTGTTGTTGTTTGTTCATTTGTGTAAGCAAGATAAGAAGGAAAATATATAGTAGTAGCAATTTAATGTTTAACTAATCACAAAAAATTCTTGTTATGGTAATTTCTAACCTTACTGGTTTATTCTGATTTTCAGACATAAAAATAAGAAGTGGTAAAACTCTATCTCCTGCATTTTAACTTCACCTTTATAAGTTTTCCTTAAACATCTCTAAATTACAATCTCCACCCTCAAATGGTCTCTTCATTAATTAAAAAACAAGGTACAATGTTTCTTTGTTAACAAAACATTTTACAATCTATTCCCAAATATCAATGGAAACAAAGACAAAAGCCTCCTGGGACTTGGTGGCTAAGGTCACATGAAAAAAGTCCCTTCTCCATCACTTCCTAACTGGAGGCCCCTGGGATAATCTTTGCATTGTGGTTTTCTCATCAAAGCCTCATCACAAAGTGAGGAAAATAATATAACTTAGCACACAGGTTAATTAAATAGAGCAAAGGGCTAAACCACTTCATCAACAGGTAAAAAGCTCTGGATTATTGATATTTTGCCAAGGTGCTCGTGTGTTTGTTTGGTTTAGTCAATCAATGTTCAAAACCTCTTATAACACAAGAAACACCGGTTTCAATTTTGTTATCCTGGTTGTTTTTAGATTAGAAATCTGAAGCATAAAGAATGGTTTGCTTACAGATGTATGTGCTCACTCTGCTAAGTCCAAACATTGGGATCCTGAAAGTACTTGAGGGTTGCCCCTTGGCTCTGGCTTCAGAAGCATACTCCTAGGGGTCTTCTGCATACTGAATTTCCTTCTGAGGAAAGCCTGGAAAGGTGTGCCGTACTTTTCAGTTGACAGCATGTTACATGAGCTTTATTAAAACTGAAAAGTTGTCATGTAAGGGATTATTGTCCCCATTTTACAGATAAGGAAAATGAAGCTGAAAGAGGTTAACTGAGGTGCACAAGGTCACATGAGTATTTCATAGCGAAATTAGGATTAGAACTCCATTCCGCTGATTTTCAGCGGTATGTTCTATCTGCTGGGTGTTGTTGGAGAGCCTGAAAGCTTATCGGAACAGAAAGAAAGTTAATTCAGCTGCAGATTGATTAACCTAAAGGGAAATCCAATCAATGTTGGTAGAGAGCTGGGAGAAGCACTTTTCTGTCTACAGTGATGTTTTTACCGGGACAGCACAAGATCTCCCATCTGGATCAGAATCGAATTCCAAATATCAGAACAAGCTAAATTCTTCTTTCCTTTCTGTAGTTGCATCTGTTTATTTACATTTAAGTAATACTGTATATGCTCCTAAAATTTCTGGCTGGCAGCATGGAGTAACTCTCTTCATTATACTGATTTGTGTGGTCATCCTTAGCACCTTTCTGGATTTGTGATCGTGCGTGATGAATCTTATAAATGGTTCAATATTTCCATGATTCAAAATGAAAGTGCTAAGGCAAACGCAAAAGCAGCTTTGAATTTCTGTAGGCCAGTTACCATTCAAGAGCCTCCATCTGCAGCAAAACTTCCTCCTTCTAGTGGAATACTTGTTCACACTCAGGAAATGACATTTGAGGTGTGGCCTTACTGACTTGAACTGAGAGCTTGTTTTGCTTAATCATCCTGAGGGAATCAAGATATAGGTAAAACCAGGAGGATGAAATTTTATGATTATTATAGGAATATGAAATATGTGTGTTCCTTTTATTTTCCTGCTGAATAAATAGTAATAATTGAAAACCATTGATGTACTGCAATTTTGCTTTGTTTTGCTGTGATGCCTTTTTAACATTTTTTCTTATTCAATTTTTCTTTGAGAAGAGAAAGGGCTGAATGTTCATTTTATATTAATTGGAATATGTATGCTAGTTTTAGCAGAAATATCTATATCTTCCTTTATTATAATCAATTTTTTCTCATTAAATCTGAAAACTGCTCCAAATTACTATTGTATATTTTTAAAGCACTTTACAGTCTGCATTTGCACATTCATTATCCCATTTTATTCTCACAACATCCTGTGAAGTAGAACTTAGGAAAGACATCGTTTGCCATTGCAAACCTATATATGAGAATATAACTTTTTGCTTTGGGGAATATTTTGTTTCGATGTGATTATTACATAGTTTGCTAATGTGAAAATTGGAATATTCTCTTTATTTCTAACTTCCCAACTTCAGTTGGCTTCCCAGAAATTTTTATAATATCAAAGTGTAGATAAATTTAAGAGCAATTAGAAAATGAGTAATAATGGGCATTTTATTTAAGAGAAAAATTGGGGCAACTTCCAATTTTTATTAGATGTTTGGAATATTACTATTGTTTTCATCTGAAAAAATTTTCCGTTATGTTTTCAGGTTATGCGTAGTAGGTTCAAGTTCTATTTCACTCGGAAATTACCTATTTAACAGCTGTTGCCTTGCTGTTTTTCATAGTGATTTTAGGGAAATATCATCAGAGAAATGAAATAATTCTGCAATCTCTAACCTGTTTCTTTAAGATGTGCAACAAGGGCTAGAAGCAAAGAATCTGCAATATTCTTTATAATTTCATGGGGTCTTCTGAGGAAATGTGCCAATTTTATGGGGACTCGTAGGGAAAAATTTTGATTTCATGTGGATTCGAGTGAAAAGGTAAATTTCATGGGATTTCTAAAAATGGCTGGATTTCTCAGGATCCATGAAATCTATGACAGCCATGGAGAAAATGCACTGCTCTTGTCATGGAGTAAATTTCAGTGCAGTTTGGCAAACTTTATTTCTTATACACCTGCTATGACATACATTATATATTTTGAGTCATTTTTGACCATTTACTCTTTTATAAATGTCTATGAATGCTAAGGGTGGCACTTTGTGTACCTAACAACAAATAGAAAAATGTAGTTGTTTTGTGAGTTGCTTAGAGCATACTTGTGTGATCACTAACACATACGTGACTCATCTGGTGACTTATCTGGAGTCAAGGTCAGGATGGTGGTGCTCAGAGTTCTGGTGGGCCTAATCAGGGGACAGAGGGAAGCCTCTCACTCCCATGCCATAGTCTTCAAGGAATCATAGAATGTTAGGTTCAAGGAGACCTTAGACAGTGTTGTGGTTCTCTCAAGGTATTCCAAGATTTAAACATCTGCAACAGAGTTCCCTGTGGAACTTGTTAAAAATTTAAACTCTCTGGCCTCACCTCAGACTAGCTGACACAGATTCTCAGAGAGTAGAACTTGAGAACCTGCCTTTGTAATTCAACTACCTGAGTAATTCTGATCCTGATCCACACTTCAGCTTGAGAGCCACTGTTCAAATACACTTTTATTCCCAATTCAAATTGTCTATGATGTTGTCTGTCATGAATTCTAGATCTCTATTTAATACCCCTCCTCACAGAGAGCAGGATTGAGGCCTGCTGAGATTCCATTAGCTGGTCTTGTGGCTGGAACTGGGGCTGGGTCATAGGAAAGGCTGTTGGGGAAGAAAAGATGTCTAAACCAATTCTGGAAGCTTGTGCCTACGGAAGCACTGTGAATACAACAGCTATAAGAGCTGACTGATACAGGTGTGCTGTATTGGTAATAAACAGTGTTTCCTTGATGCATTTCTTTTTTTCTGAATGGGGTACAATTCTTGACAAAGTTCAAAGGAAAACAAAATAAAAATTTTATCTTAAATTATAGGGTACCTGCATTTATGTACAATTCAGTATATATTAAAACAGTGGAAAGTGCTTTGTTTTAATAAGTAAAACAGTGTTAGATTCTAATCCAGATCATTAAAGAGGGTTTTCTATACTTGAATGTGCAATGGAACATTAGAAAGCAATGTTAGGCACAGGAATAATCTCTTCTTTACTCTGGACTGCAGTAACTGCAAGATCTCCAGCATTCCTGGACCCCTGTATCCTGAATGCTCATAATGCTTTCTTATTGTGACAGCAAAAATTTTTCAACATGCTTCCTGGTGTAGTATTTATTGCCCCTTAGAGAACCATTTCACTGATTTTCTTAGTCACATCATATTCAGACCTTTCTAAAATGGAAGTATGCACATATGATTCCTCTGCATAAAGTCTTTCCATGTTTCCCCATTTCTTTCAGGGTGAAGTTCAACAACATAGTACTCAAGGATCACATTTTTGGTAAGGCCTCTTGGGCAGTTTGATTATGTTGTGTCTCTCCTGTACTCTTGTAGCAGTAACCTATGCATATACTATACTGTAATGATTGGTTTATTCAATCTCTGAAAGTAAGAACTTTGATATTTTTCTATAAAGTGTTTATAGTTCTCAGCCTGGTCTACAAAATCTTCAAGATATACTCGCACATATGTTTCTAGCCTTATTGCTCAGGGTTTTCCACTGACACTCATCATTTCAGCTACATCTAAAACCTGGCTTACAATTTCAAAAACTCACCTTCTCTACCGTTTCTACTCCTGGGCGTACCTGAAAAACCATTCCCTCCTCTCATCACCTATATAAATCCTGCTCATTCTGTAAGACTCAGTTCAGTTGTTATCAACTTCATTGAGATTCTATCAGGGAACAGGTATAGTGCCTGGTGCTGAGGTTGGCCTTTGTTTATATGGAGCAAGTAATCCAGTTATAAATCTTCCCTCTCCCCTGAGGTTGGATTAAGAGCTCTTCCTCTTGCCAATCTCTAGCACAGCACTTATCTCACAATATTGCATTATGGACTGTAAGCTTCTTGAAGAAAGACAATGAACCATCTTTATGTTTGTGTGATCAGCACCTGGCATAGTGCTTGACTCATAGTAGGCACATGAACGGTGGGTTGGAAACCTGGGGAGCTCACCAATTATCAAGACAGCCAATACAATATTTATTACAAAGTTCTGGAGTGGCAGTCTTGGTGGTACTTCTTTCATATTTTGAATTCTGATTATTATGTACAATATTTTGAAATAAGTCCTCATGCAGTTTTCTGGAGATTTTTCCGTATCTTAATTTCTCAGAGTTTTCCTATAGTTAACAGCCCCAGAGCTCTGACTTGGCAGTCCTGATCCCAACTGATTCCTGGGAAGGAGACGCCAGGGGAGGGGAGGTTAAGGTTTGTCCAAATCACCTTGTGTTAATCTTGGGTGCAAGTGATGGGGGCCAGCTGTGGGTACCCCTCCACCGCTTGCCAAATTAAACAGCAGAAAGAGAATGTCATTTCTTCGAACTCTATTTCCTAGTTGACTAAAATTCTAAAAGGAAAACAGAATGGCAGGCCTGGATCCTTTGCTATGTATATTTTCTTAATCTGTCATGGAATACTGGTTTTCCAGCTGTACAATATCTGATTTTGTTTTTCTGTACATAAATAGGCTTTTGATAAATATAAAATAAATGTATAAATTCTGAAAAAATCATCTTCAGATATACAATTTTTATTTCTAAATCACAAGACTACTTTTACAAGCAGAGGCTCTTTTCTAAATGAGACAAACTGAACAATGGAATGTCTTATATTTTATTGTTCTGCTTAGTTGAATGAAATAAAAAAATCTCGATTTTTTTTTAGCATAGTAAATGTCATTGGGAAAAATTATATAGAGCTTTCCATTCTAAATATAGAGGTAACTTTCCAGAAAACAAAAACCACCTTTTGTGAAGAAATGTACCTAATGTACATTTTAAAATACTATCTAAGTTCAGGCACAGTGGCTCACACCTATAATCCCAGCACTTTGTGAGGCCAAGGCAGGTGGATCAGCTGAGGTCGGGAGTTCAAGACCAGCCTGACCAACATGGAGAAACCCCATCTCTACTAAAAATACAAAATTAGCCAGGCGTGGTGGTGCATGCCTGTAATCCCAGCTACCCGGGAGGCTGAGGCAGGAGAATTGCTTGAACCTGGGAGGCGGAGGTTGCAGTGAGCCGAGATCGCCCCATTGCACTCCAGCCTAGACAACAAGAGTGAAACTCCATCTCAAAAAACAAACAAAAAACAATAAAATACTATCTAAAACAGTTGTTATTTAAAATATAAAAGCATAATAAAGCTAAACAAACTGCAAGCTGTAAGATGTTTGGAAAATGATTTGAAAATAATCTTATCAACTTCCCTTCCAGTAAACCTTTTTACTTTTGTTCCTGAATTATAAAATCAGAAATTTGAAAAGTATGTTACTCTTATAGTATAAAGCAAAAAAGGAAAATACTGACATAGGAGTATCATAGGTATGGGGCAAAAATAGCTTCAAAAAAAAAAAATCATTTAGCCTAGGTATGTTGCTCATCCTCATTGCCCGCTGGCCTAGACCATAACTCAAAGGCCAGAGGAATTGCCAGCTGGCCCTGGCTTTACTGTCTTCTAGCTGTGTTTTTACTTGGTAAAGAACCTTTAGCTCTCTGGGCCCCAATTTCATCATCTGCTAAAAGAGGGAATTTTTTTTAACAGGCATGTTGTTATGTAAAAATGAGAAACTATATTGTCTGTAAAAAATATCTGAATGAGCTATAAGATAGTATACAACAGTAAAATATTGTAAGTATTGTTCATATCTCATTCTTTCCCAATGTAACTTCTAATCCTTTGTTTTTTAGGAAGATAAAAATTGCACAGATACATTTGTTATATAGAAATACACTAAGCTTTTTAGAAATCTTTCAGAATGCATTACTATTCATCCTGCTAGATTCAGTCTTAGGACACCTCCACGATGTCATTAACACTTTTGGGTGCTTATAGAGTAAGTGATTGTCACAAATCAAACCTTTACATTTCAAGAGATAAGCAATGTGAGTAAATAAAATTTCAAAATAGAGAATTTAAAATGAATTTCCTTAAAATTAGAGCCTAAAGTTATTTTGGTGCCTTTAGACATATTTTAAATGAAATAAATTCAATAAAAGCCATATGGTTTATTAATATTTAGCTCTATTTCCCTTTACAAAGGACCATAGTATGATTTTAAGAAAATATTTATTTCATGCAGCTTCAGAGTTGTTGTTGTTCTCCTTCCTTGTATAATTGCATCCATCTTATTTTTTCCTCTTAGAATCAGAGTTTCTATTTTTGCTAGCTTGTGGTGCAGATTTTACTACTAAACACTGGGAATATCAAACTGGGCAATCAAATAAGCTTTCAAGGCTCCCACTCCCTTGAGACATGAGCAGGACGCAGGGCTAAATTTGGGGTTCCAATTCCTACCCCTCAAACAGTGGCAGGCTGAAGCCACACTTAGCCTTCATACAAGATTCATGATAATCCTGGGACTGGCTTGGCTCTGACACTGTATTAGATATGTGAAGATCCAAGCTGCTCTCTACATAACTCAGGGCAGAATAGGGATTGCTTTGTAGGCACCCTGGCTGTTTTAAAGTTTTCTTTTAACCAAGTGACTTTGAAATTTCTCAGTATTTTTTTTGTGTGTGAGTGAAAAGAGAGTCAGACAGAGGAGAGCTGACGTTCCCCAGGGGCAAATCGTGTTTTCGGTTCCTCTTTATACCAAAGTTTTTCTTGCATTTTATCTTATGTCTCCTCCTACAAGCTAAAGATTTGAGCAGTTCTTTTCTTACCAAATTTAAGGGATGAACGCTGCAAGGACATGTACCGACCATTGGATCTTAAATGCTTTACTCAAAGTACAGAAGGTAAATGCAGAAGTTTTCATTAATCCCTAACCACATTATTTGACACCTAGGTCTTTTTTATTAGACACTTATGGAGAAGCATTTGTAATCTTTACTTCAAAAACAAATGATAAGATGTCACTTTAACAGTTGCAGCCTTTATCAAGAGTTAGCTGATTGTATTTTATGTTTTTGTTTTTGTTTTTATTATGGGAGAAGAAGGCAATAAAGAAGGAAACAGACTTTCATAGCTCAAGACCATTTGGTCTTTACCGCATAACTTAATTGGATCCTCACAAAAGTCCTAGGGAGCAGATATTATAAATGCAATTTTAGATGGGCAGAAACAGGATCAGGAAGGTTAGGTGATATATTCAAATCACACAGCTAACACATAGTAGATCCAAAACTCAAAATCAATTTTGTCTGATTCTAAAGTTCATGCTTTTTCCACTGGCTACTAATGCCTCATAGAAAGGAAAGAGATTGAGGTACCTGACCTAGCCAGAGAACAGTGAGATTTATGTTCCAGTTCCCTGGTTTCTGAACAATTCTTCCATGAAATGATGATAACACCACCATATTATATTCCAGGGTTGCCAAATACATGGGACCAATACAAAACAGCATCTCCTCCTCCTGCCTGCTCAGGTCCTTCTGAAACCTCTGCGAACACTTCCTCTCGGGAGAGTTCTACCACGCTTTGCTCTGTTTTAGCATTTTCTTATTGAGACACCTGCCTCCTCACCTCATTTGTCCCATAGTGTTATAAAACAGAGGCAAACAAATGTTTTTAGAGAAAAAGCAAGGGAATAATAATAAGTTAGTTAGGACCTACCTTCTTTTGGATTAAAAATGATGCACGAGGTATTTTTGTGATACGAGTCCATTGCAACTTCTAGTGAAACAAACCTTCCCGTGAAGTAGATCAGAGATAACAAGAATCACATTCTACACATGCCTAAACTCTAATTCTTTTTTCTATGCCTGGCTTGAATCAGGTAAATTTTAATCCTTTATTTGTGACTGAAAACAAACTTGGCTACTGTCTGGGTGGAAGCAAAGGTAAGGACCCCTGTAGGTGAGAGATGTAGTTGGATATTGATTTGGTCAGATATACTTTACCTTATTTCACAATAGAGGACTGTATTTGGGGCTCCTGAAAGGGTCTAAAAAAATGGAGTAAAAACATACTAACCCCCAATTTTTCACTGTAAACTGTTTATCAGAATCTTTAGTAAGTTTCCCTTGCCTTTTTATCTGATTTTTAAAATCTGAGTGCACAGAATCAATTTTTCATAAAACTTGCAAGTTTTGAGGCTTTTGCTGCATGTCAGGCACCGTTCTAGGTATTGAGAGCAACAGCAGAAAACAGATAGATTTTGGTTTAAGTAGCTCATATTCGTGTGTGTGTGTGTGCGTGCATGCACACACACGTGGTGAGGGAGTGTTTATGTATGTGTGGCAGGAGGGACACAGATAACAAACAGATACATATAAAATATATAAGGTGGCAAAAATAAATCCCCATGATAATGAGTGCCATAAAAAAATAAACCCAGAAGGAGCTAGAAATTGGCTGGGGTTGGGGTGGGTAGTTTCTCTTTTATATTGAATAGTAAAAGAAGGAACCTCTGATAGGTTATTCTTTGAGAAGAAACATGTTTCTGACATTTTTCAGAAACAGCAAGGAGGTCAGTGTGACTTGAAAAGAGAAATTAGGTGACTGGTAGGGCAAGCAACAAAAGGTTAGACTGTACAGGACCTTTTAGGCCATAGCAAAGACATTGTATTCTACTTTGAATGAAATGAGAAGCATTAGTGGGTTTTGAGCGAAGGCTCACTCCAGCTGCTGTGTTCAGAAAGAATAGAGGAGCAAGCTGGAACTTAGTTATCTTTATTAACTGCCTCTGGACACACTTAGAGGGTTGTAGAGGGGATTGAGTGGTATAATACATACAAAGAGTTATTGCATGAGTTAATACATCCTAAATTCCTAGAACATGAAAATGCTCAGTGTCTTCGTTTGGGAGCCAGCATAATTAAGTGTTTTAGAGATGGTCCTGGGCATGTCCCTGTCTAGATTCAATCCTTGCTCCATTTCCTACTTGTTTGATTTTCTAAAAGTTACCTAACTCCTTCATTCCTTGAATTTCTCATTTGTAAATGTGAATAATATAGTGTCTCCCTCACAGGATCATTGTGAGGATTAAAATTAGTCTATGCCTATGAAATATCTATGGCATCACTGTGCACATAGTAAATATTCAATAAATGTTATCAATGTCACTATATAGCTTTTACATTTTACAAGGTGGTTTCAGGTTTTCCATCTCAAAAGCTCCTTATGAAGTAAATCACATAAATACTTCTATTTTTGTTTTGTAGAAAAAGGGATTGAGGTTCAGAGAAGTGAAATGACTTGCTCAAGATCACTTAGCCAGAAAGCAGTGGAGTGGAATCGAGCCCAGATCTTCCAAGTATTCTTTTCATTATATTCGGCTGCATTTGAATGTTTACGTATGTGTTAGAAGAACTCCAGGTCAAGCCTCTGAGCTCCAAATTGATGATTCTTTTTCTTTTATCATAGGTCTAACTAAAATATTTGTATAATGAATGAATGTATGCATTAATAAAAGAAAGAAATGAAACGAGAAAGGGGAATCCTTTATAAAGAGGACAAGTTTAGGTTGCTAGAACGTGCAGCGTGGATTTAGGAGACTGGATACCAATCAGTTGTTGACACATTGTATAATTCTGAGAAAATTGCCTAACATCTTGAGTCTTTGGTTTCTTCATCTGCTAAATGAAATCTCAGTATATTCTCATATCTGCTGGCTAGATTTGTGAAAATATATGCCAAGATAAAGATGGAAACACTTAGGAAAAAATGCTCCATATACCACATGTGTTGCTACTATTAAACTTCTCTAAGAAAATTCAGATCTAGACACCTCTAAAATACCTTCTGGGGTTGGTTAGTAAGCATTTGCTCAAAAACTTGAATTTTTGCACTTTTTTTGGTGGGGGAGGGAGAGTATGGATTAAAAACTTTTTTCTAGTGGCTTAAATTCATGGTAATTTTCCTAACTACCTTAGAAAAAGTTGTCCAGTCTCACCTTCTCCTTGATTTTCATGGTAAAAGTGATCACCTGGTGACTTAGTCCTTTCAGGATGCTATAACAAGATACCATAGACTGGGTAGCTTATAAACAACAGAGATACATTTTTCACAGTTCTGGAGGTGGGGAAGTCCAAGCTGGAGCTGCTAGCAGATTTGGTGTCTGGTGAGGACTCTCTTCTGGCTTCATAGACAGCACCTTCCTATGTCCTCAGGTGGTAGAAAGGGAAAGAGTTTCCCTGGGATCTCCTATAGAGTCAGTAATCCCATTCATGAGGACTCTGCTCTCATGACCTGAACATCTTCCAAAGGCCCCACATCCAAGTATCTTCACATTGGAACTGTTTCCACATATGAATGTAGGGGCATACAAATATTGAGACCTTAGCACCAGCAGGCTCTCTTTCCCAACCATCCGCAGCCACCCTTATTGGGAACAGTTAACACAACTTTATTGATTTTGATAAACATTTATTGAATATCTATTATGTACCAATCATTCTACTAGGGAAGGCCAAAATGATAAGACATCATTTCTGACCTTATGGAGTTCAGAATTGAATAGGAAATGCAGTCTCACAAACCATACAGAGATAACATGTGATATAAACTCTAATGGAGACCTACAAAATGCTTTGGGCATGTAGTCTAAAATATGCTTAGCCATGACTGGTGTTGGATGGAGAGGATTGGATGGAGAAGGTGCACCAAAAATGATGTTCAAACTAAATATTAAAGTAGAGACTGGGGCCTAAATGAGTGCTGGGGACTTCGAAGAAGCAGAGTCTGTGAGTTTGTTCCTTTTATTTTTAAAAAAATTTAATTAATTTATTTATTTTGCCACAGAGAGAAGTTTTTTAGCAGGTTGGGATATAGTTGTTACTACAGGAGGAGGTTCTTTGGGAGGTATTTTAAAACATTTACAGGTTCAAGGAAAAATGAGGTTAACATTTTAGAAGAAAATTAGCAAAGCAATGTCTTGTGGATGCAGGAGGGCTGAATTTTAGTTTGAGGGGAGAAAGACTTTTTGTTGTGATACTACCAACCTATGGATGCACCAGTGTGACACAAGCACCCAGTGTGGTAAGGCTATTTTCTGAATTTCTATACCTTTAATTTTTGGGGACAGCATAATGTAGGGGAATACATCTTCATAGAGAATAATAAGTGTTGGTTTGACCCTGAAGGATGAGACATTTGAATGTCAAAATATTTTATAACATTAGTAGGCAAAATTATGGTAAAACTGTGGCTTGTGTGGGTTGCTTTTAAAATTTCTGCTCTACCCTGAGCGAACAAGACCTAGTCAGGTGATTGAAGAAAGGTCACAGGCTTTATGGGACTGAGCAGTTTAGATAAGCAGTCAGTATTATCTGATATTTATCAAGACTGAACCTGAACTCCAAACCTGGAGCTTTGCCCACCGGCACATCCTATCTGGCTTATGCTTTTTCCTATAGGCAACTAAGTCAGGATCAGATGGGTGGCAGATACCAGGCCATATGCATATTTATAATATTGCAAACTTGCCATCAAGCTGACTAAGCCAAATTAAGCATATAAGAAATGAAAAGTTTAGATGGAAGCTGATGTTTTTAGGATTCCAGGATGTGGCTCTGCCAGATCAGTGTGTTAACTTAATGAACGAGAGCAGCTCGCATTTCAGGAAGGAAAGGAGCCATGTCGTCCTGATGAATCAATCCCTGTAAGTAGGTTCTGTGCCTTATAGAGTATCCCCTCTCCCACCTCCGACCCACTACCCTCCCCACCGAGTCCCCCTCATTCCCACCTCTCACAGCCATAAACAAAACAAAAAGCAAATGAAAACAAACAAACAAAACCCTCATCTGACTCATTGTAAAAATACACTCAGGATTTGGATATTGCCCATCTGATATCAGTAGCCTTTTCTCAGACCATAGTAATTACACTCTGCAAATACATTGCTTCTGAATTCCCTTTAATGCAGTCTTTTGTTTCTTTCTGCTCATGTTCTCTTTTGCTTTTGAGCCATTTCCTGTCTCTCCTTTCTCAATAGTCATCAGAGTTTTAGATACCTCAATAATTCTCTCTTCTAATCTCTTCCTTTCTAATGAAAAAAACCTCTTTTTCTATGTTTTTTTCAGTTATAAACATTGATAACATTTATCATTTTGTTGTCATTTCTGTACCTTTCAACTCTTTGATATTTTTCCCATAATAAGATGCTTGAAACTTTACAGTATTTCAATGGCCTATCATACTGTGATTAGTGTCCTTTGCTAATTTTTGTCATTCCCCTAGTTTTATGTAACCTTGTGTTTTGAATGTTGTAGATGACACGAAAGCAATGGTTTTGAATTTGTGCTTCCTTTGGGCTCTTGATCTCTCTGTTGGTCCATATATGCTTAACAGTTTGTGAGCATTTTAGGTTTACTCTCTGTTGCTATTAAATATATTTACTTCTCTATCTATATTACCATGTTGGTAGGTTGGAATCATACCTAAAGCACCCCATATTCTCATTTTTAGAACGTTTGATCAGTCACTTGTCCCAGGTTAAGTGAAAAGCGTATGCCATATATATTCCATTTGTTGCTTTCTTGCATAGCCATCTCTCTAAGAGCTCAGGCAGAAAATAAAAGAATTCCCTTGTCAAAGTATGAGGGGAAAGGGGAAATGTCAAAGCTCTTCCAAAAAATATATGGTTGGAGCCCATTATATCAAGAGTTTTCAAAGGGAAATGCTGTCTCTTTTAATCTGTCCCCCTTTACCCAGTAAGCTTAGAGCTCCTGTCTATTCTTGTTTCTTCCACCCTCAATTTATTAACACTGAAGTCAACACCAAGCTGGATAACTAGATGGGGGAAAATCTCTAACTATGCCAGATTACCATCTACCGTCTATTACCTCTGGCATAGGTAGGGGTCTCTGATTTATTTTATTCCCATGTCCCACTAAACTTACTGCATACTGAGAGACTTTGGCTTGGCAAAAGACTAAGAAATCGTCCTGGCCTGTTCTAGACCCCCCATATTTTCATTGCTGGTATACAGCAGTTAAGTCTCCAAACAGATTTACTTCCTGTTAAAAGTATTAATAATGTTGTACTTCCCTTTCTGTCTGGGAAAGGAAGCTTTATGTGGGCCTTTCCACTTGCACATTTGGTAAAACCAAGCTCCTTGGGAGACAGTAACATTTTGCCTTTGTCTCATTTGAGTGAGACAGGGAAGGAAAGAGGCCCAACAAAGGAATATTCTGGGAAGAAAGTCTATTCCCTAATAGTTCCAGTTTATATATAGAACCCCAAGAACCTCATGAATTTTAAAAGGAATTTAATTTGGAAGTATGTACATATTTTATCTTCCAAAGATATGGCGGTGTCTTTATGCAAAAACCCAAATAAAAGGATACTTTTAGGGCAGTAACTGTAGTGATTTACTCAAATTGTATCTTTTCCATTGCAGAGGAAGCCTTCCAACAGAAAGGGTCTAACTGGCTAAAGGAAGACTCTGGGGGAGGCAGCAATCTGTCCATTTAGCTTGGGGGACAGGGGAGGGTTGGTAGTGTGAACTTGCAAGGTAGAGAAAGATTGAAGTAGTTGAGCGACATTTTCCACTACTGCACAGAGAAATTTTGAGAAGCCCATTGTAGTGGGAAGAGGAGATACTTCCTAACTTATTTAGACCCATAGGAGAAGTGGAGACAGAAGAGGAGGCGACATGTACTGCACTGCAGTTTGTCAAGAATACCAAGATACTGCATCTGGAGAAGGGTTCCCTAATAGCAGGGTCCTCACTGTGGTCCACTCTGTGCCCACGTGTGCTGAGAGGGAGGAAGAGGTGGTGGCTAAGGTAGCAGCAGGTGCATCTGTGAAAGTGAACCTCGAAGGAGCTTCATTCTTGTTTTTACCCATTAGTTTTCCCTTTACTGGTGCTCGGATAAGCATTATTACTTATATAGTTAGGAAGAGAAACTTAATCTTATACATGTCAATTTAATAAACACTTATTTGGCCACTCTTTTTGTCGAAACTTTGTTAGATGCTGGAAATACAGAGGAGCAGCACACAGTTCCTGCCTTTAAGTTGTGTTTTGGAATGTTTTGCTGATGTGAGGAGATAATTTTTTTTTTCATGAGGTGATGTGTAAGCCCTCACACAAATGGTCTCTCACTAATTAAAATGACAGGTTTATACAAGATGCTGGTGAGGTACTATGTGTTCTATCTTCTGTCCAAACATCACAGATGGTGACTGTGTGTAATAGAATATATTCAACCTGGTCAAACCCTAAGAAAAACTTGACACCACAAGGCATGTATACTCTGTTTCCTGAACTGGTTGTCTCCTTAAGGAATGTATAGCTGCATACCACTGTCATAACAAGAATAAAGGATAAGGCTGTTTAACTTAGGTCTTTCAAATGACTTATTTGTACCCGGAAAGCATTCAAGTTCAAAGGATATAGAGACAAAACAATTAGAATTACGGCAGCATGAACAGAGACAGTGTCAAATTTGTGACAGCAATTGATAGAAATATAACAGTGGTACAGCTAAGGTGAAAATCTTGCTTTAAATCATACTGAAATGTCTGTGATTCTTCCAACTGCTGTTCCCCATTTCTACCACAATGAAGCACTTTTTTTTCAGTTCTTCTTTTCCATGAAGAGAAAAGAACAGACCCAAGGACATAGAACCCTGTATCGGAGCCAAGGTTAGAGCTGAGATATTTTTGGCTCCTAATTCTCTGCTGAGTCCATTAGACTATGTCTCCTCTTCTTTCTATTATTTGATTTTCTGTTCTCTGAGTGTTTACATACCCAGAGTGATAAAATACATTTTTGTTCTTATGTTACTAATGCAGTAGAGGTATTTTTTCAATTTTGCCGAACTGCAACACACTAAACATGGCAAATAACTGCTTTCAACAAAATGTTTTCAAGGCATGCCTTGAAATGGGAGTTAAAAATAGGAATGCAAATGCTAATAACGGTATTGATAAAAGAAACTCTGGCTTCAAAAATGAGAAATTCAATTAGAAAAAATGAAGGTGACAGTATTTGAGGAAAATACTCCACAATGTCTGAGAGTACTAATGGAAACCTTAATTCCATGGCATTATCACAAATTAGATAGAGTTTTTCTCAATGTAGTTACTTGCAGGTCAGCTAAGATAATAGTGGGAGTGTTTCTGGGCTGGCCATCCTCCTTACTGTTGACCCTGAAGGTGATATGCCAAAATTTAGATTACTTTGATATCTGTAAATAATGAAAAGAGAACTACTAAGTCAATGACCCACTGGACCCAGCCTAAGTAGCTTCTTAATGTTCAGACACACATGCCAATCATAAACTTCATTTATCTGCCTCTCAAAGAAGTTAATGCTTCACTGACCATGTATTTTAAGATCATATAATTTACAAATGCTTACAGACTTAGACAAAAACATCATTATGTGAAAATACTTTACATTTTATATGATCTTACCCAAAGGAGCTCAAGAAACTTATCAGACTGCCCGTCATTAATTTTCACAGCATCTCTGTGAGGGAGGGAGCAAAAAGCATTCTGTTCATTGTTACTGTCAATATTCTTAGCTGATGTTCTCTTAAGATACTTTATAAAACTAAGAAAGCCGTTGTGTCTGTCCACAGGATGCTTACAACCCAAGAAATCCTGATAAGGTCCACCTCACAGATGTCAAAACCATTTTTAGCCATGAAAAATCAGATGCTCTTCAGAGCGAAAGATTCTATCTCTCATCTGCCTCCTTAACACATTCCAGTTAATAACTAGAATCGTAATATTTCATGTTTTGATATAAAGCTATTCACTCTGGATCTTTTATCAATGGACATGGAGATCAGTCCATCACTATATTTTGTAAAAGAGACCTGAATTTTTATCTCTAAAGACTGAGTGAGCAGGAAATGTGCGTATCAGATAGTTTTGTAGAGTCTGAACAATTTCCCAGAGTTGGAATGGGGATGTCAAAGTAAAAAGTAGCCTTTTGAATACATACGAAAATTTGGTATTATATACTACATATGAATAATACATATGTAGATAGTTGATTGAGGACTAGCTTTTAAGCCAGGCTTTTCAAAAGTATCTATTATGTAACACTAGCTGTGTAAGATATTCTTGAAAAAAAGGTCAATAAATATGGTCAACTCTTCACTATTATTTGTTTTTAGATATTAATCATATTTAATAGTATATTAAAGGCTCTGATAAGCATTGAAGTAAAGAAACATGCTTAACTTTGTAAAAACTGCCCAAACTTATTTTAACGCTAAATCCTTTTTCAGGGAACACCCGTAAGAAACAAACATTGGGAAAATAACTTTAACTCACTTCATCTGGGTATTTAACATGGTTCGGTACATTCCCTCTTCACTAAGAGAGATCAGTAAGCCATGGTACTTTAACTCAACAAGATCACAATCTAGAAGAGCTTTTGTATATGGTGTTTATAACATTAAGAAGTTTACAAGGCTGAATAAAATTGGGAATGCTAATTTCCAAATGACCAAGATAGACAAAAATGTGCCTTAGGAGTTAGGAGAAAAATGTAGTATAGGGAGTAGAGTAGGAGTTTATAGAAGGTTGAGTACTCAGTGTTTGCAGAAAGATTCAAAGCAGTCAGGGTATGTGAGGTGCAGGTGGGGTGAAGTGGGAAAGGGGAGGCAGAGCATGGTATTCCATTTTAAAAGCACGAGCGAAGAATGTTTGATGAACTGTATGAAGGGTTAGTAATGATGGGTTAATGAATATAGACTTTATTCCTCAATCTTCTAACTTAAATGTATTAGTAGATCTTCAAACTTTACCTCATACACTCCCTTGTGGCTGTTGCCACCACAATTGCTGAAGTTTCTGCCTCTGCTCATGTCTTATCAGATTCCTCAGGTTTCTTTCTAGGCTCATCCACTAGATTTTCAAGGGTGGGGCAGGAGTACAATTGCATATTATACCTACATACATGAAATAACAAACTAGGAAAACAAATTGTTAAATATAATATGTTGCATTCTCCAACATTGACAAATATGTCCTCATAGTAACCTGCAAGTCCAGGTTCAAATTTAGAATTCTAATGGTAAGTAGGATTCTAAAAATAACCCCTGTTGTTGGCTGAATAGTGTTGTTACAGTCTCTAGTTAAGCACTTTTGTAACCTCAAACACAGCAAGAGTTCTCAGCTGATTTTAAGTTAAGAAATTTTATTGTAACAAAAAAATTAAGATTTTTTCCTTTCAATCAGAGGGATAATATGCTAAAAATGGAATTTAATTCTTTTAAATTTGAAGATATTAATAAGTTGGATTTGAGGTGCAGGAGATTGAAGGAAGAATTACCTGATAGGAATGCATTGCAGTAATCTGAACACAAGGTGAGGAGTACTCAAATATTGGTATTATCAGTGGAAATGTGTTTTTAAGATACCAATAAAAATACTTTCATACAGTTGAGTTTGAAATTGCAATATCATTTCTAAATAGAGATATTTTGTATGCAGTTAATGGTATGAAACAAGGATTCAAGAAAAGATCCACATAGAAACAAAGAGGTGCTTAGCCATAATTAGTATTATGGGATACCTGAAATTGTAAGAAAATAAGATTTTTTTCAGGGGGGGATGCAGAGGAATGAGAATAAAACCTCAGAGGATTATGACAGATCAGGCACAGAACAAAGAAAATCTAGAGACAAAGAAAGCCAGAGAAAGAAAAGTGCACAGAATGAAAAGCTTTTCCAGAAGGTCCCTGCTGAGATAGAAAGGAAGGGTGAGGCTCTAACTACAATCAGGTGTATATGAACATGGAACATCCTCTCTTTTATTCCACAATCTGCTTCTCTCTTGCATTTTTCATCTTGGAACCAACTTCTTGTTATCTCTCTGGTGTTCTGATGTGGGTTAATAACCTTGTTTGGTTTTCTTGGTCTCTGAGCTGGTTCCTGTTTGCTGAATTTTCTCCCATATAGGCAGATTAGACTCGCTGTTTCTGATCTTCTCTTTACTGTCAGCTTGACTCCATTAGAGCAGATTGAATTAGACGGTTTGAGACCCTGGCCATGCTGGGCGACCTTCAAGGTTAAATGAAACAACAAGGAGAATAAAGATTAGGAAAAGGAGTAGAGATTAGGTGGCTATCAGTGGCCTTGAAGAGACCATCTCTTGTCAGAAAAGTTAAAAGAATATTAATTGATGAATCAATAATCTAACCTTAGTCTCATCACTTTGTATTATTGATTTTTCTAGGGAGTTTGAAGAGTGCCTAATATGAGAATTTATTTGGTACTCATTATTTGGAGGAAGAAGGTAGCACCAGAGTTCAGAGAGTTTTGTTATCACATTTTCTATTTGTCAGAATGTCAGAAATAAACCCGATTTCATTCATCAGGACAGGAAATAAACAGCACATTAACACTTGGCTGAAGATGCTGCATAAACTATGAGGATTCCTCTAGTCAGGATCTCAAGCATATGCAATGCACAGTCATCCATCCCACACATATTTACTGAGTTCTTAGTCTATGCTGGGGACTATTCTATGTGCAGAGATTTGAGTGGTAACAAGAATATAAAATTCTTGCTGTCAAGAAATGTATGCTTTAGGGATGTGAAGTAGACAAAATTAAATATAAACACAAATAAAATGCTTGTAAATGCAAAAATCACCTATATTGTAATTTTTTTTTTTTAGATGGAGTCTCTGTCACCCAGGCTGGAGGGCAGGTGCAATCTTGGCTCACTGCAACCTCTGCCTCCAAGGTTCAAGCAATCCTCCCTCTCAGCCTCCTAAGTAACTGGGATTACAGGCACCCAACACCATGCCTGGCAAGTTTTTGTATTTTTAATAGAGATGGGGTTATACCATGTTGGCCAGGCTGGTCTTGAACTCCTGACCTCAGGTGATCTGCCCTCCTTGGCCTTCCAAAGTGCTGGGATTACAGGCGTGAGCCACTGTGCCCCGCTCTATATTGTAATTTCAATGCAATTTGCTTTCTCATGTGTTCTCCAAATTTATTCTAATAATAACATTTTCTAATCTTCACTACACCAAAATTTTTTCATGAATTTTGAACCTAGGCTGATAACTGGATCTTTCTTAGATATTGTTTATTTACTTCCTAATGACTACTGTATATCTTTAATCTCCATTATAGTCTTTGATTTTTCCAGTAACCAAATCAGAGACCTGGAATCACTATAAAGTTCTTTCTTGGCAAGAAAATCTGCTAGTCTCTATACCTTGTCATTTTACCTCTTTGATACATTTAGAACCCTTCTTGTCTACGCCAATTCCATGGCTACTTAACTAAATAGTATTTATTGCTTTGGGTGATTTAAATAGTCTACTAACAGGTCTCTGCCTCATAATTTGAGTAAGCCTCTCCAATTTATCCGTTACCCAGAATGACCTTAAAACACAAATATGATCATGTCATGTCTTCATTTAATATCTTTCAAAGACTTCTCATTAGTCAAGAATAAGTCATAAACACCCTAGCTTTGTTATCACAGCTTTTTGTGACCTGCCCTCTGTTCTACTCAACAGCCTCAATTCTACCATTTTTTCTCCCATCACCTCTGATCCAGCTATGCTAGTGACCCTAAGAATTTAGAAAGGGCACAGACTTTGGGGATCCTTCAGACTCAGCTTCAAGTCAGGCTCTGACATGTCATAACTATAATGGATTACTGAAACCTTACCTGGTCTTCATTTTGTCTTCTTACTTTGTTAGATTGTTAGGAGGTTCAATGTGTGTTTATTTAATAGTTATGTACCTTGTGCATTAGGTGTCTACACAAAGTAAATGCTATAAACTATAGCTATAATTGTAATTACTCACCCTCTGCCTAGAATACTCTTTCTCTAATGTTTACCTAGGTGTTCATAAATCAGGCTTTAATTCTTTCTTCAAACTTTAACATAGACATAATCTTCTCTGAGATACTTTCCTTAAGTTTACAAGGATTAAGTTCTGCAGATTGTTAGAACTGGGTTCCATCTTAGTTCTGCTGTATTCTATTGGTATAACTATTGACAAGTAACACTTTTGCAGATCCTCAGTTTTCTCATTTGTTCAACGAGGATAAAAAAATTCCTATCTTGTGAGTTTCTTATTCAACTATTCTTTTAAAGGACAAATAAGTCTACCCCTTCTTTCTCAACACATAAATATTCTCTTATTTCTACTTTTTCTCTCCATGTTATTGGTGTTCTTAATATTTCCAATATTAATGGAAAGGCACTGATCTTATTTTCCCAAATTATAGGTTTATTATGAAGCCCTTTAATCTTTCTTTGAAAGGCCTTGCCATGAGACTGAATCATTTGATTTTTTTTCTACAGTCCTTTTAGAAACAGGAAGGCCTTTATTTATAAGTTTGATAAAATCCAGGCATGAGCAAATGTAAACTTATTTATTTACATGTATCAGATATGAATGCATGATGTCACATAACACTTGCACCACTAGAGCCCACCACCTGTGGAAATGTCCCTGTACAGCAGACAGAATCAATTAATGCAGAAGATTTGGTTTGTATTGGGTATTGGCAAGTGGAGTACAAGTCCTATTTGGGGTAAAAAACATGTTCTCTTGAAAAAAAGATAAATTATTTTGTGGGGTAAAAGAGTTTCTTTAAGGGCAAACTGGCCAGTACTGGAAAAGACACATGGCCATGAGCATAATAAATTTTAAATAGGTACCTTTACAAAATTACTACATGGTTATTTCTGTAAACATGCACAAAATATTCATTCATGATTACCTTTTAAATACTAATGTAATAAGGTAAAATTCTCAATTTGTGGTATTTATACATTTCATTTTTGTTTTTATTATCCTCTTCAATATTGCAAATATACCCCATTGCAAAGCTATCCTCACGAAACTCCAAAATCTCTGTACAACCATGTTATTTAAATAATACTATTTGAATGATCATATCAGAAGATGAACAGAATTGATAGCAATGTCTTCCAAGACTTGTAATAATAGGATAGGAGTGCTTACATTTCCTGGTGTAGACATTTTTTATAACACTTAACAAATGGTCACTAAATGAAATCTACAGTAGGCAACCCACAGTCTCATTTCCATCTGTCTCTCTCTAAACATAATTGCCTTCAATCAGCTCTTGCTCTATGGGTTTTTTAAATTGTGTAGAAGTGCTTCCTTGATGAATACAATATGGAATATCTCAGCTTTATCCCCAGAGATTGAGGCATATCTGTAAAAACCTTGAAAGTTTGTAGGTGTTATACTAGCAACTGATTGCTGGAAAGTTACTATTTACCGTATAGCCTTATAAAAGGTTTAGCTTTCTCTCAAAATCTTTGCAAGCTATTTGGACCATGCTGAATGATTTCTTGAATGAGTTGACTCATCTTTTGCTGTTCACACACATATTCCTGAAAGGATGAATCACCAAGAAGAGTGAACCTTGAGCACAGACTGAAGCTTGGCCAAAGTAAATACCAAGCCAAATAAATCAGCATTTTCTTCAGCTGGGTCACCCGTGGGCAAAGGTAGAATGGGCTACACATGCACAGACCTCAAAGTTTCACCGAACAGAGAGTAGAGGGAAGTTCCAGGGATGGGGAGATCCTGACACAGCCAATCAAATCATTCTGGATTGGAAAGGCTCAGAGAAGCTAGGAGACAGAAAATGCCATAAAAATGTATCAAGTTAATTTCACGCTTTTCCACCTTCAACTTTAGCACAAATTAAATTTAATGCTCCTCAGCCTGAGTGGTCTGCATGCAAAATGGTACCACGTGGTTGAGGCTGATGGAGATAAAAAGAGTTTAGTGTTATTTACAAAATAGTATGAAAATATTTGTTTTGTGATCATGAGTTGCTTTACAGTAATTAAAATATCCCCTCCTCTTCTTCTTAAAGGTACTGAAACTCTTGTAGCTTACACACGTTAAAATTAAACTGTTTACTGTTCCGCAATATTAGATACCAAGTTAAGGTGTTTCAATTTCCACAAAAAATGAGTGGTTTCATTCATTAGATGATCTCTAAAACATCTTCTTGTACTAATGATTTAGAATCTAAATAGGGCCTATCTTTGTCTCAACATAAATGTTAGAATAAAACTCCACAGGACAAAAAGACATGATGTGTGTATGATCCATATGTCCAGGAAACAAACACGTTTCTAATATTCAGTAGAATTGCTGATACCAGCTTTCTAACCAAGATGAAACAAATCCAGGCTAACCCTGCTGACACACGACAACCCTAAGCGGTAGCTAAGGATTAGGGACTTTGACCTGTAAATATTTGTGAGAAAATAATACAAAATTTATTCTGCCTTTCTTCTCTTATTTTCTTGGTCTGGAATATAATATCAACCTACCAGGAACCCTGAAGAATTTTTGGGCTTACAGAAAAGTCTGCCTTCTTCCAGATCTGTTCCTTCAGGAATAACGAGATGTTACAAACCCACAGGAACTGGGTATTTGTTGTAAGAGCTAGGGAGAGGATCTAGGGACAAGGAAGAAAACAGAAAAAGTAGTCAAAAGTTATGTTTCGGGTCATTTTTCACCACAATTAACATATTCTTCCTGCTCCTTATCAGTCCTAGGACATTTTTCCTCTGTTTTATTTTATAGTATGGTTACCTTTCAGGGCCTAGAGTTGGAAGTTTCTGCTCAATAACTCTTGAGAGAAGCTTTTCCCAGCAACTCCTGTGTAACCCACTGGTCTTGTGAGTGAACGTGAAAGTGAGAAAGTTGTGTTTTTGCTGGTTCTCATTGGGTTGGACCTACTTTGCTATAATGTTTCTTTTTGATGGGGCAAAAGAGGTGGTAAAAGTCTTTTAAACTTTTAATTTTTTTTTCAAAAGGTAAAAGAAATGTAAAGGCTTTGGAGATGTGAATGGGGACATTGGGTTGCCATGGTCATCCTTTTTCTTTTCATTACAATAACACTCATAAGAGAGTATAGTGCAGTCTGCCTACTCACCAAAGAAGGCAGAAAAAGAATAAAAGTATGTTTTATGCAAGCTAAACTAAAACTTTCCCAAATGATGCCTAAATATGCCTTGATAATTTTTGTTCACCACTGCATTTCTATAAAGTATAACATGAATCTAAAAGATTTCAATTTTCCAGTGCGAATTATAGTGAACACATATGTTCTTTTCTTGGGCAATCTTATGGAAATTTTTTTCTTCTAATTCAAGCAATATGTCCTTGAGAAATATTACTTCATTTTTTTCCTGAATATCATTTTTTTTTTTCTTAAGCCTCCCCCTAAAATCCTGCAGTGAAGTTAAATGCCCATGCTTTTCTCTACTGGAACCCATCCACCCTCTCTCTGCTCAATGCTTCAGTCTCTGGTAGTTTTCTTTTCTTTCTCTTTTCCTTCCCTATCCTCACCTCCATCTCCTGGATTGGTAATCCCCTTACCCACCTTTTTAAAAGTTGCTCAGATACCTCTGTGAGACTTTGTCTATCTGCCCCAGAAGTGTTAGTTGCTCCCAAAAGTACCATGGAAACCTTCCAGTAGCACTTACCTAATTGCACTGCAGTTATCTGCTCACGTCTCCTTCTCCCACTGGACTGTGATATTCTTAAGGGCATGACTATGCCTTTGTCAACTTTGTATCCCTAGTATTCAACCTAGTACACGGACACTCAATAACTGTTTGATAAATGAATGAATCAAGAGCGGGATAAAAGAGAGGCAAGCAGAGCACAGCGTAAAAGAATTAGAGCAAGCATATAAAGGGCAGCATAAAAGGCTGCTGACTGTCCCACTTCCCTCTCCACATCTCCTGGGAGAGATGGCGGCAGTATCAATGTGGACAACGTGAGGTAACTTTGAAGTGGAAGCTGGACCTGGTCAACAGGATGCAGTAAAGGAAGTGAAATTATTGATCTGGTAGACTCTGGCTAAGGGGTAGTGGTTGTCATGTACTTGTGTGCTAAAGGACTGGTGATTTTTAAAGCACATAAGCATGCTTGTAACTTGTAGATAAGTAATAATCTGCAACAAGTGTTAATACTAATGATGAGTTACAATTTATGAACTACCCCCTATGTAGCAGGCGCCTTCAAGGCTAGGCACTATTCTGTGTTATCAGCAGTCATCTCAAGGACCCTGTATCAATTTTAAATTTTAAATATAAAGGGGAAAAACGAAGAAATTTTAAATATTTCAGACTAGGTCACACAACTGTTAAGTTTTGAAACAAACTGAACTGCCTCCATCAACCGAGGTCAAAATCCACTCTTGCCAGAGATTCATACCAGGAAAATGTCCTGGAAACCAGTAAAACTAGCACCTGAACAGGGGTGGATTTCCACTGACATGTGACCAAAATCAGTTCTTAGTTGATTCTTTTTTTTTTTTTTTTTTTTTTTTTTTTGAGACGGAGTCTCGCTCTGTCGCCCAGCCTGGAGTGCAGTGGCGCAATCTCGGCTCACTGCAAGCTCCGCCTCCCGGGTTCACACCGTTCTCCTGCCTCAGCCTTCCAAGTAGCTGGGACTACAGGCGCCCACCACCACGCCCGGCTAATTTTTTGTATTTTTAGTAGAGATGGGGTTTCACCGCGTTAGCCAGGATGACGTCGATCTCCCGACCTCGTGATCCGCCCGCCTCGGCCTCTCAAAGTGCTGGGATTACATGCATGAGCCACCACGCCCGGCAGTTCTTAGCTGATTCTAAGAGTCACCGGAGTCCTTTGATTTGCTGCTTTTTGCCAGAAGGACTTCAGAAAGTTCTCAATTATTTTGTAACAGTGCTCTGTTGGAACTTTGGCCAAGGGCTACATTTTGTCAGAATTAACAAGCTTATAGTATGTCAGGATCTTTAGCCTGTGGGAGTGTTAATACACCATTCCTTCTGAGTTTCCTTCAGAGCCTTAGGGACATAAAACACCTTGAGCCTCACATTTTCTTTTTCTTAACCAAAGTCCATAAGAAAGCCTCATGTCTGTTCCTCTCATGTGCGCTCATTCTAGTACTATTAATACTATTAATATCATGCAGTTTTTCCCAGACTCGCTTTCCCACTTCTTTACTCCCTTCCAAATCTTTTCTTTCCTTCCTCTGGGACCTCTGTATCATGATAAACAAAGCTTCACACCCTTAGTTTCTTCACAGAAAGCTCCTTTCACCTTCTTACTGAGCTGAGGCCTGAATCTGGCTTAAGAACATGTACCCTTCTGTTGTCCCCTTCCATGATGGCAGTTGTTTATTTTCTCAGTCCTGAAGAGCTACAGGTGAGGGCGTCCCTCTCTCAGAAGTTCCTATCTCTACAACTGAGCTGTCTTCAGCCTTTGTTTACAAATCTGTGCTTCCACAATTCTATACTCAACATTTTTTTCAAAAAATAAAAATAATGGCCACATTTTTCTTTTTTGAGACTTCTTTTTCTCTCTCACCACCTGTGTCTCCTCATCATTGATCTGGATGTAGTCTGTTTTTCTTACTTACTTTTAAAAATAGTTATTTATTTATTTATTTTTTTGGTTTGCAATTTGTTTATAGCTTCTTGCATGTAAAACATTTAAGACAAAAATTTCCCTCAAACATTTACTTGTATTGTGTTGCAAAGTTTTAATATGAAGTAATTTTATTAGTGTTCAGTTCAAAATTCTTATTTCAGTATGATATCTTCTTTCTTAATGAGTTTTGAGCAATGCTTTTTTAAAAAAAAACTTTAAAGTATATGATTTAAAATAGATCTTTTGTTTTTGTTTTGTAGTAATTTCATCGTGGCCAGAGTACATAATCTGGATGATATCTATTCTTTGAAATTAGTAGAGAATTACCTACTATTTGCCCCTCACCCATTTTAAAGATGGTTCATGTGTGCCTGAGAAGAATGGGAATTTTCTGTTTGTCAGATCCAAGGACCTATGTATTTCCTCTAAATGAAGCTAGTATTCTCACCACTTTCTTATTGTCATAATTTTTTTTTGGTCTCCTTTACCTAAGAATAATATAAAAAGATGTGTTGAAACAATGCTGGGGTATCTATTTCTCTCTGTAGCTCTAGTGTGGCTTTTTTTTTTTTTTTATAATTTTAAGCTATTTTACAAGTTGCTACAAGTTTTGAATACATAGGTCTTCTATATTGAAACTTTATCATTAAGTCATGATCCCCACTCCCTTTTTATCTCTATGAGTTCTTTGGCATAAAATTAAACAGATACCCTAGCTTTGTTTTGATTAATAGTTGCTCAGTATATCTCTGCATCTTTTTACTTTTAGCCTTTTAACAGCTTGTATTTTAGGTTTGCCACTTTGAAAACAGCATAAGACTGGATTTATTCCCTGAGCTGAGAATTCTCTTCTCTGAAAGGAAGTCAGTTCATTTATTCATTTTTGATTGCTGATATTTAAACTTGTTTCTACCATCTTACTTTGTGGTTTCTAATTCTCACTTTTCTGTGATTTTTTTTCCCCTTGCCTTTTTTCAATTGTTTTTTCCTTCATTCTATTTTTCTCTTCTACTTCTTTGGAGGAAGAAAATCTATTTTTAAATTTATTTGTATGCCTTTAATGGTCATTTCTGATATTTTAACATTCATGATTAACAAAGGTTAATCAATCTTAACCTACTCCTGAGGAATATTAGGACTTTAGAACAATTTTCAATCATCTCTTGACATGCTGTTGCAATCCAGTATTCTTTCTCCTTTTCTAAAACCTCATAAGTAAAATAGTTTAAATTTTTGTAATGTGAAATTATCTCCTAACTGATCACTCTGCTTCCATTCCAGTATTTCTAAGGTATATTCTCAGCAGAGCAACCAAATAATCCTTTGTCTTAACACATAAAAACAAACTTTACTTTTATTAAAATTTATAATATGCATACAAAAAAGACACAGATCTTAATGTGTGCAGCTTGATGAATTTTCCAAAAATGAATACATTCATACAACTACCAGCTCAAGAACTGGAAGCTTACCAGCATCCCACAGCATCTTTTATGTCCCCTCCCTAACGTGAGATCCTTCCTCCTCTGCTATGATGACCACTCTTTTCTGACCTCTAACACCATACATTAGTTTGCCTATTTTTAACTTCATGTAAATTACATTACCCAATGAATATTATTTTGTGTTTAGCTTCTTTCAGTCAACATAACACTTATGGAAACCATGCATGTTGTTTCATGTGGCAGTAGTTGGTTCATTTGTGTTGCTTCACAGAATTTCACTGTATGAAAGTGCCAAAATGTATCATTTTTCTATTGATGGATATTGGGCTTGTTTCTAGCTTTTTGTTGTTTTAAATAATGCTGCCATGCACATTCTTGTACATATCTTTTGAAGCACCTAAGTATGCAAATCCGTGTTATATCCCTAGAAGTAGAATTGTTACTAATACATAATAGGGCATATTTACAGTCACTTTGACAAAAGGCTAAGTGGTTTTCCAAAGTGGTTGTAACTATTTGCCTTTCATAATGATGATGAACATCAGTGCATGAGTACCTGTTGCTTCATAGCCTCAGCAATACTTTCTTTTCAACTTTTAATCTTGAGTTAATTTTAGACTTACACAAGAGTTGCAAAAGCATGGCAGAGAATTTCTATATTCAACACCCAGATTACCCTTTAGTTAACATCTTACATAATCATAGTATACATCAAAACTAAGAAAGAAACATTGATACAATACTATAAACTGAAATAAAGATTTTATTCTAATTTCACTGTGCTGCTTTTGTTCCAGAATCCAATCCAGGATCTGATTTGGCACTTTGCTGTCATGTTTCCTTAGTCTCTTCTATTTTGTGACATTGTCATTCATAACCTAACTGTATTTAAAAGGCACTGGTAGGAGTTTGTGCAGCATGTTCTTACTTGTGTTTGTCTGTTTTCTTTTTTTTTTATTTTACTTTAAGTTCTGGGATACATGTGCTGAACGTGCAGGTTTGTTACATAGGTATACATGTGGCATAGTGATTTGCTGTACCTATGAACCCGTCGTCTAGGTTTTAAGCCTCACATGCATTAGGTATTTGTCCTAATGCTCTCTGTCCCCTTCCCCACCACCCTCTGAAAAGCCCTGGTGTGTGATGTTCCCCTCCCTATGTCCATGTGTTCTCATTGTTCAACTGCCACTTATGAGTGAGAACATTGTTCAGCTGCCACTTATGAGTTTGGTGTTCTGTTCCTGTGTTAATTTGCTGAGGATGATGGTTTCCAGCTTCATCCATGTCCCTGCAAAGGATATAAACTCATTCTTTTTATGGCTGCATAGTATTCCATGGTGTATATGTGCCACATTTTCTTTATCCAGTCTATCATTGATGGGCATTTAGGTTGTTTCCAAGGTCTGATATGTTTTCATAGTTAGATCAAGGTTGTGCATTTTGGGGAAGAATGCCACAGGAGCTTCATGCCTTCTCAGGGTGTCAAATAAGTGAGTAAATGATGTTATATGGATATGTATGATGATAACTTTGATCAGTTGGCTAAAGTGGTATATGTGCTTTACTACATTGTAAACTAATTGTTTTACCCTTTGTAATTAATAAATATTTGGAGGAAGAGACTTTGAGAATCTACAAATATCTTGCCTTTGTTTAAATTTTCACTGCTAATTTTAGCATCCACAGGTGAATCTTGCTTATATCAATTATTACCATGCTGTCCCAATTGTGATTTTTTCTATTTTCCTCATTCCTTTCATTTATTAATTGAATTTTTTCTATAAGGAAGTGTCATTCCTTTTATCTAATTTCTTTATTCACTTATTTTTATTGTGGTATTAACTCATGGATATTTATTTTCTCAGTCATAGTATAACACTATCATCATTTATTTTGTTGTTCAAGTTTTTCTGATTCTAGTGATAAGGAGTCAGTGGGAAGTGATACCCTCATCCTTAAACAACTTGGTTTATTGCATGCCTCTTTACTTTCTAGTACAAGATGCTTCAGGTTGTTCCTGTATTTTTCCAGCTTTGAAATCAACTACTTCTTCAAAGAACCCTGATTGCTTTTATTAGAGAATGATATTTAGAAGCCCAGAGATCTAGACACCAATTTTGCTCATTGCATGGAGATATCCCTGTGTTGAATTCCTTTCAGTGAATAGAGCTAGGAAATATATATATGTATACATACCCAGGCATGAACACAAATCTCTGACATCTATCATCTCTATAATATTGCTCTATCTAATCTATCTAAAATAAAATCCATGAGATTATATTGATAACTTTGACTCTAGCCACCAAGTATTCAAACTAACCTTCTTTCTTTCTAACTTCTTTCTTTGACAGTGAGCAATCTAGTTCTCATGACCTATAATATATTTACTTAGTTTTGTTCAAGCCTAATATACATGTAATTTTATAAATGCTAAATGATACACCTATGAAAGGTACATTTATCAACTATAGTTTAGTTTCTGTACAGATCTTTCTTCTTCAGCCTTATAGTATTAATAAAAGTATTTTGTCCAAGGTTACGGAAATCAACTACTTTCTTCCTGACTTCCTTCAGTGTGGTTATGTAATTTACGTTTAATACAGTTAGATTCATCCTTATAGTTTGCATTCCTTCTTGAGTTTCTCCAACATTTTGGTTCATTTCTTAAATTTATGTATGGTAAATCTCACTCTTTTTGGTGTACACTTTTATGAGTTTTTGGCAAAGATATAGACTCAGACATCTATCACCACATTTTCTTACAGAAGAGTTCCATCACCGCAAAAATTTTCTTGTGCTGTCGCTTTGTAGTCAAAATGCAGTACTGATCTTCCCAATTAATCTATTTTCTATGTATCTATTTTTTGCTTAATTATATGGGCACCATATAAATGTACTCAAGCTATGTGTAGCCTTTGGGGTCTGGTTTCTTTCACTTAGTAAAATACATTTAAGATTCATCCATGCGGAATATTTTTTTTTCTTTTTTCTTTTTTCTTTTTTTTTTTTTGACAGAGTCTCAACACTGGCTCACTGCAAACTCCGCTGCCTGGGTGCCTGGGTGCAAGTAATTCTCCTGCCTCTCCTGAGTAGCTGGGTTGCCACCAAAAGCAGCTAATTTTGTACTTTTAGTAGAGACGGGGTTTCACCATGTGGGCCAGGCTGGTCTCAAACTCCTGACCTCAGGTGATCTGCCCGCCTTGGCCTCACAAAGAGCTGGCATTAGAGGAATGAGCCACCATGCCCAGCCTTGTTTCTTTTTATATTGTATGTATGTACCACATTTTGTATATTAACCTACCATTTAAAAGGCATGCATATGATTATGAGAAAGCTGCTATAAATATCTATATAGAAATGTTTGCATGAAGTTTCCAATTATTTTTAGTCAATAAACAGAAGTGAGATTGCTGAGTCATATTGTACATATATGTTTGACTTTATATGAAACCTCTATACTGTCTTCCAAAGAGACTGTACCATTTTCAATTCCCACCAGCAATGTATGAGAGTTTCAGTTATTCTGCATCTTTGTCAGGACTTGGTAGTGCCATTTCCTCCAACCCCCATCCTTCTAATAGATGTGGATGGTAGCACATAGTTTTAATTTGCAGTTTATTTATTAACTGTCTCTTCTTGTATTTATAAGCTATTCATATACACTGTTTGGTAAAGTGCCTCTTCAGATCTTTCAGCAATTTGTTTTATTGGGTTGTTTGTTTTATTTCTGTTGTGTTTAGAGAATTTGTTTTATAATCTAGATACAAGATCTTTGTCAGAAATGTGATTTTCAAATATTTACCTCCAGTCTTTTTATTCTTGGATCAGTGTATTTAGCAGAGAAGATTTTAATTTTGATAGAGTTCAATTTATTTATATTTTCTTTTACAGATTGTGTTTTTGGTGATGTCTATAAAATCTCATCAAGCACAGGGTCATGCAGATTTTCTCCTACATTTTCTTCTAGAAGTTTTATAGTTTTAACGTCAATGATGTATTCTGTGCTAATTTTTGCATTAGGTGTGAGGAATAGATTGCCTACCTATATCCAATTATTTTAACACCATTTGTTGAAAAGGCTAACTTTTTCCATTAAATTATTTTTATATATTTGTTACAAATCAGTTGACTATATGCAAGGGCTTACTTCTGGGCTGTATTCTGTTTCACCTATCTATGTATCTATCTTTCATCAATATCAGACTGTCTTGATTAATCTAGTTTTATAGTAAGGCCTAAAATCAGGTAGTGTGATTTCTCCAGTTTTGTTCTTATTTTTCAGAATTGTTTGGCTATTCTAGTTCCTTTAGAATCAATTTGTTGGTATCTACAAAAGGTCTGCTGGAATGTTCTGTTGCTTTATGTTAATCTATGGATTAAATTGGAGAGAATTAACATGTTAGTAGTATTCACTCTTCTAGCACATGAACACAGTATATCTCCCCATTTATATAGATTTGACATTTCTTTCATCAGTGTTTTGTAATGTTTAGCATATTGACCTTGATACTATGCTTTTATATTTATATCAAAATATTTCATTTCGGGTGCTATTGTTAAGGCTATTTTGAAAATTTTTGAATTAATAGCAAGCATATAGAAAATAGTGAGCGGTGGCTAACTCCTGTAATCCCAGCACTTTGGGGGGCTGAGGAAGGCAGATCACTTGAGGTCAGAAGTTCGAGACCAGCCTGGCCAGCATAGTGAAACCATGTCTCTACTAAAAATACAAAAATTAGCCATGTGTGGTGGCACATGCCTGTAGTCCCAGCTACTCAGGAGGCTGAGGCAGGAGAATCGTCTGAACCTGGGAGGCAGAGGTTGCAGTGAGCCAAGATTGCTCCACTGCACTCCAGCCTGTGCAACAGAGTGAGACTCCATCTAAAAAAAAAAGAAAAAAAATCTCTAAAGAGAGACAATTTTATTTCATCTATTCTAAGCTATATGTCTTTTGTTTATTATCCTTGACTTATCAGACTAGTTAAGACTTCTAGTAGGATTTAGAAAAGGAATTATGAGAAAGGACATTCTTGCCTTGTCCCAGATCTTTAGGTGAATACATTAAGTTTTTCATAATTGTGTATGATGTTAATTGTTTTTTGTTTTGTTTTGTTTTTTTAAAGATGGCTTCTTACAGATTAAGGAAGTTCTATTACTAGATTGCCGAGGATTTTTAAAATCACATATGCATATTGACATTTATCAAAAGCTTTTTCTCCGTGTATTAAGGTGATCATGTATTTTTCCCTATTTAATCTCTTAATGTGGAGAATTACATTGTTTGATTTTTCAAAATTGAACCAGGCTTGCATCCCTGGAAAGAAGAAACCACTTGATTGTGGTATATTATTCTTTTTATATATTGTTGGATATAATTTTCTGATATTTTGTTGATAATTTTTGAGTCTGTGTTCATATGAGATGTTGGTTGGTCTACAGTTTTCCCGCAAAGTCTTTCTGTGGTTTTGAAATTAGGGTAATACTTGCCTCATAGAATGCCTTGTGAGTTGTTACCTTCTATTTTCTGAAAGATATTATGCAGAATACTTTTTTTTCTTCTTAAATGTGTGGTAGAATTCTTCTGGGTCTTCATTTTTTTGAAAGATTTTAAACTACAATCTCAATTCAGTAATTATAGATTATCTATTTCTTCTTGAGTCAGTTCTGATAGTTTGTGTCTCAAGAATTTGGCCCGTGTAATCTATTTTTTGAATTTAAAATATGCAGTTATTTCTAGTATCTAATTTTATTTTACAGTTTGTGGGGTATGTAGTGATATCATCCCTTTTATTCCTGATATTTGTAATTTGCATTTTATCTTTTTTTTCTTTGTCAGACTGGTTAGAATTTATCAATTTTGTTGATTTTTCAAAGCACTGGTTTTTGTTTTCATTGATTTTTCCCTATTTTTGTTTCTAATTTTATTGATTTGTGCTCTTTATTATTTACTTCATTCTGCTTAATTTGTATTCAGTATGCTCTTCTTTTTCTAGTTTCTTAACATGGAAACTTAGATTATTGATTTGTGACCTTTATACTTTTCTAATATAGTATTACATACTGTACATTTTCCTGTATTTCCTTAGCTGCCTCCTGCAAATTTTGCTATGTTGTATTTTCATTTTCAGTCAGTTCAAAATATTTCCTAATTTCCCTTGAGATTTTTTACCTTTGACCCATGGGTTGCTTAGAAGGGTATTGTTTAAATTCCAAATACTTGATAATTTTCTAGGTATCTTCTTGTTATCAATTACTTCTTTAATTCCATTATACTCTAAGGACATATTTTGAATAAATGTTCAATGTGGAATTTAAAATAAATTTAAATATATAAATAAATTTATATTTATTACATTTTATTATTTTTATTAAATATAAAATAAATTTATATTTATTTAAAATTAAATTAAAATATAAATATATATATACACACACACATTTGTATCTATCTATAAATAGTCCTATTGCTGGTATGGTGTTGAAGACTCTCAAGGTTCCATTACTAGACGACATTTTTAAATCTCACTCAAACTTTTGGCTTCAACTGTCCAATTTGATAATTTCAAAATCGGTGTCTATAGCATAAATATCTACTTTTATGTCTAGAGTTTTGTGCAAACATTTTGTGCATATTTCCTTTCTTGGAGGATATTCAGTTTCTTCAAAATCAATAGTTCCCAAATTTTAACACACACCTACTTTTCCTACCTTGGCCAGTATTATTTTCATAATATACCCAGTTGCCCAACCCAGAAACCTGGGGTTTATCCCTGATTCCTCCCTTACGTATCTCCTATTCTAATAGGTCATCAAGTCCTGCTATTTTTCTCTTTATTTTCCCTAAAAAATCCTTCTTATTTCTTGTCCAAACTTCTTCAGTAGTACTCTAATGTTTCCTTTGTCTCCAAACTTGAATATAATCCAATTTAGTTTTCGTAACCATATTGAACTATCCTTTCGGAAATATAAATTTAACAATTGCCATTGCCCACCTCTCCTTAAAGTTCACTATGACTTTTCATTGCCTTAGCTATATTAAAACAAACAAACAAACAAACAAACAAACACCTTAGCCTAGCCTAGTAGGTTGTTCATAAACCAGCTCTTCCTCCTATATCTCAGTTTTATTGCCATTCTTCCATTCTTCTTGTAACTCACACTTTGGCCACACTGAACTACTTACAAAACATCTTCTACCTTCATCTGAAATAGTTTTGTCTCTTATGTATTACGTTTGCTCCATAAACTTGTATTGACAATATATTATATTGTCATTGTTTGCTATTTTGTTCATCTCCCCTATACAGCATTAGCTCTTTCAGGATAGAGAATGTAATTTTATCATCTATACATACTTAACTGTACCCAGAAGAGTGTCTGATACATAATAAATACTTAATCTTGCTTTGAATGAATGACTAAATGAATGATTTATTGAATAAAATAATAAGCACTTGAGCCAGGACTAGAAACAACATATTCTGCTTCCAAATGACACACTGACTCTGTTTTTAGTAGAATATTAATTAGTTATTGCCTTACTATATACCATGTCAGCAAATGGAAGGTCTTACTTATAAAAAGGCAAAGTAATGTTTGCACTTTGACTTGATTTTTTTAATCTTTTTGGCTATGGAAACAATTACTCCAATGTCTTGAATAAATACTCCCAAAAGATACTCAGGTCCAGTCTTTTTAAGCAATATAACTGATAGCTAAATGCATTGCTTTGCACTTTCTCCCTGAGGAGTCTGGCTACCACTTTTATGCCAACTCAGAATCTCAGGTTATCTGGCTATGTTGTACTCTCATCAGTTTACCTCTTCACTAACTGGAAGAGCTTAGTGTTGTCTGCAACTTATAAACCACCTCCAGTTAGTTTATGAAAGGTTCAATAAAAATTGTCCCAGTCCAGGTTAAAAATGAACAGTTCTTAATAAACTGATTCTTATCCTTTGTTTTATAAACCTCAACTGGTTTCCAATCTACAAAACAGTGGCCTTAACCTTTGGGGCAGAGTTTTGCCAAAAGTATTTAGAATATTTACACTGAATCTAATGTTTCTTCCTTACATATTAATAATAACATTTTTTTCCTCAAATATCTTTATGGTATTAGTCAAACCTAAAATCTCCTTATAGACATTGAGTTGACATAGCATGATGAAGCTGCAGAATTTAACATATAGATGTTATAGGTTACTCAGGAAGTACAGTGAAGTGTGGTACTTGGGTACCTCATTAAGGAATTTAGATAATGATTTTGTTATTTGAATGTTTTGAAATACTGTCTGTGTCAGTTGGCAAGGATGAATTGAGGTGTTTTCTAAGGCATCAGGATAATCCACTAAACATAAAGGTTAGCACATAGTAAGATTTTAATAGATGGCTTTTTTTGGTAAATTATTCCTTTTTATTTCAACTTACTCTTCAGAAAGCTGTAAAGATGAATGGATTAATTTCTATAAAATTCTCACAAGTTCTAGAAAGCATTAAAAATGAGATATTGTTGCTGTTTTAGTTCTTATTAAATGGTATACTTCTTTTGCTTCCTGGATTGTATTCTACTGTACTCTAGATTGTGAATATTAAATACGTTGTCTTAAAAACACTGTTTTGGAAGCTTTATTTGGGACCTTCCTATTTATGTCTACCCCAACTCAACATTTTCAGCACAAATTTTAAGAAAGATTAGAGTTAAATATTAACTTTTATGATTTCATTTCGTTATTGAGAAAAGTACTATGTGTATAATGCCCTCTTTCCTGAATGAGGATAAATGGAATGATATATTTTCATTCATTGAATGTGGCACATTTCCTCTTAGGGATTGAGTTAATTTCCTCTCAAAATGTCCCTCTTCACCATCTCGTGGTCTTCCCCCAATTTCAGATGCTCATTCACACAATAAGACAATATTCTGCATGGAGTAATAAAAGCGAAATATAACAAAGATAAAAAATCAGATCTGGCATTTAGGAGACAGTTTTAATATGCCACAAATTCTCACATCCTTAGACTGCTTCAGAGTTAATAGACTTATTGTCTATTAACAATAAGGACTATTCCATGTCCTGTGGAACCATGGAATAGAAATAACTGATAAGGAAACAAATTAGCTAAAACATAGTTAAGACATCACCTTTGTAGTGATTAAAATTTGGTTCACGAAGTATCATTTGTGACTGATGCAAAACACAGAGTCAAACCAATTAAGGTCCTTAAAGAACCCAGAGAACTTGACTGCAAAAATCATGTTTACCATTGTTTTCAACTTGAAATAATTGTTTTATGTTCACCTGAATTTTCCACTTCACTCGCCTCATTCCTCAGAAACATCTCTCATTATTAACCTTGCTTTGCTCAATCACTCTCCTGTCCTGCTTCACCATGTGCTCTCCTCACCTCACCTCCAACCCCAGCAGATCTTTTTAGTGGCACCTTTATTTAATTATTAATTTAGCACCTTCTCTTAAGATTGTCATCTGCCAAGAAAACCATACTCTCCATAGCTCTATTCACACACAAAAAATCTACTTTCATAAATATTATCCAGTAATAGTCAGGTGGTAATCCTGGTTTTGACTCTTCAAAGTATATTGTCCTACCACTACCTTCCTTTGTTAAGCATGAAATGCATATGCCCTAGGCTGTATTAAAAGAAATGCAGTACACTCTGGAAGGAAATTGCCCCATTGGACTCTGTAGTTGTCAGGGAATGCCTGAAGTGCTTCATTTAGTTCTGGACACCACATTTTAAAAGAGACATTGCCAAAAAGGAAGATAATCAATGGGAGGTATCCAGGATATTCAGCAAAGTTAAAAAGGTATCGGAAAATAGTTGGAGGGAAGTAGGGCTTGTTAGTCTGGAAATAGGGATATTTAAGAGAGGTCATGTGTCCTGCTTTTTAAAATCTGAAGGGATTAAATCTATTCTGTATTTCCTCCAAGAACCAAACAAGGTCAGTGGGTAAAGATTATATGCAGACCATTGTAAGTCAATATAAGGAAGCGAACCCTGTTGACTTCACTTCTACGACATATTCTGATCTTTCCATTTCCCTTCACATAAACTGTAGTCCAAGACACAATCATCACTTATGTCAACTGCATTGATAACCTGCGATCTGGTCTCCCTATTTCTACTATTTTTGCTTCTCCAATCCATCCTTCAAAGAGAAGCCAGAGAGATTATTATTATTATTATTATTATTATTATTATTATTATTAAAGTTCTGGGATACATGGGCAGAACGTACAGGTTTGTTACATAGGTATATATGTGCCATGGTGGTTTGCTGCACCCATTAACCCGTCATCTACATTAGGTATTTTTCCTAATGCTATCCTTCCCCTTGCCCCCTATTCCCTGACAGGCCCCAGTGTGTGATGTTCCCCTCTGTGTGCCCATATGTTCTCATTGTTCAACTCCCATTTATGACTGAGAACATGCAGTGTTCGGTTTACTGTTCCTGGGTTAGTGTGCTGAGAATGGTGGTTTCAAGCTTCATCCATGTCCCTGCAAATGACATGAAATCATTCATTTTGTGGCTGCATAGTATTCCATGGTGTATATGTGCCACATTTTCTATATTCAGTCTATCATTGAGGGGCATTTGGGTTGGTTCTAAGTCTTTACTATTGTGAATAGTGCTGCAATAAATATGCATGTGCATGTGTCTTTATAGTAGAATGATTTATAATCCTTTGGCTATATTCCCAGTAATGGGATTGCTGGGTCAAATGGTATTTTTTGTTCTAGATCCTTCAGGAATCACCACACTGTCTTCCACAATGATTGAACTAATTTACACTCCCACCAACAGTTTAAAAGTGTTCCTATTTCTCCACAGCCTTTCCAGCATCTGTTGTTTCCTGATTTTTTAAGGATCGCCATTCTAACGTGTGAGATGGTATCTCATTCTGGTTTTGATTTGCAGTTCTCTAATGACCAGTGATGATGAGCTTTTTTTCATATGTTTGTTGGCCATATAAACGTCTTCTTTTGAGAAGTGTCTGTTCATATCCTTCACCCACTTTCTGATGGGGTCGTTTGTTCTTTTCTTGTATGTTTGTTTAAGTTATTTGCAGATTCTAGATATTAGCCCTTTGTCAGTGGATAGATTGCAAAAATTTTCTCCCATTCTGTAAGTTGCCTGTTCACTCTGATAATAGTTTCTTTTGCTGTGCAGAAGCACTTTAGTTTAATTAGATCCCATTTGTGAATTTTGGCTTTTGTTGCCATTGCTTTTGGTGTTTTAGTCAAAAAGTCTTTGCCCATGCCTATGTCGTGAATGGTATTGCCTAGGTTTTCTTCTAGGGTTTTTATGGTTTTAGGTCTTATGTTTAAATATTTAATCCATCTTGAGTTACTTTTTGTAGAAGGTGTAATAAAGGGGTCCAATTTCAGTTTTCTGCATATGGATACCCAGTTTTCCCAATGCCTTTTATTAAAAAGGGAATCCTTTCCCCATTGCAGCCTCTGTTCTGTTCCATTGGTCTAGATATCTGTTTTGGTACCAGTACCATGCTGTTTTGGTTACTGTAGCCTTGTAGTATAGTTTGAAGTCAGGCAGCATGATGCCTCCAGCTTCTTTCTTCTTCTTGCTTAGGATTGTCTTGGCTATATAGGCTCTTTTTTGAAACTTAAAGTAGCTTTTTCTAATTCTGTGAAGAAAGTCAGTGGTAGTTTGATGGGGGTAGCATTGAATCTATAAATCACTTTTGGCAGTATGGCCATTGTAACAATATTGATTCTTCCTATCCATGAGCTGGAATCTTTTTCCATTTGTTTGTGTCCTCTCTTATTTCCTTGAGCAGTGGTTTGTAGTTCTCCTTGAAGAGGTCCTTCACATCCCTTGTAAGTTGTATTCCTAGGTATTTTATTCTCGTGTTAGCAATTGTGAATGGGAGTTCACTCACGATTTGGCTCTCTGTTTGTCTATTATTGGTGATAGGAATGCTTGTGATTTTTGAACATTGATTTTGTATCCTAAGACTTTGCTGAAGTTACTTATTGGCTTAAGGAGATTTTGGGTTGAGACGATGGGGTTTTCTGAATATACAATTATGTTACCTGCAAACAGAGATAATTTGACTTACTCTGTTCCTATTTGGATACCTTTTATTTATTTTTCTTGCCTGATTTCCCTGGCCAAAACTTCCCATACTTTGTTGAATGGGAGTGGTGAGAGAGGGCACCCTTGTCTTGTGCTGGTTTTCAAAGGGAATGCTTCCAACTTTTGCCCATTCAGTATGATATTGGCTGTGGATTTGTCATAAATAACTCTTATTATTTTGAGATATGTTCCATCAATACCTGGTTTATTGAGTGTTTTTAGCATGAAGGGGTGGTGAATTTTATCGAAGGCCTTTTCTGCATCTATTGAGATAATCATGCAGTTTTTGTCTTTGGTTCTGTTTATATGCTGGATTAAATTTATTGATTTGTATATATTGAACCAGCCTTGCATCCCAGGGATGAAGCTGACTTGATCGTGTTGGATAAGCTTTTTGTTGTGCTGCTGGATTCGGTTTGCTAGTATTTTATTGAGGATTTTCACATCGATGTTTGTCAGGAATGTTGGCCTGAAATTTTCTTTTTTTGTTCTGTCTCTGCCAGGTTTTGTTATCAGGATAATGCCAACCTCAAAAAATGAGGAGGAGCCCCTCTTTTTCTATTGTTTGGAATAGTTTCAGACAGAATGGTACCAGCTCTTCTTTGTACCTCTGGTAGAATTTGACTGTAAGTCTGGTCCTGAGCTTTCCTTGTTTGGTAGGCCATTAATTACTACCTCAATTCAGAACTTGTTATTGGTCTATCCAGGGATTTGATTTCTTCCTGGTTTAGTCTTGGGAAGGTGTATGTGTCCAGGAATTTATCTATTTCTTCTAGGTTTTCTAGTATATTTGCATAGAGGTGTTTATAGTATTCTGTGATGGTAGTTTGTGTTTCTATAGGATCAGTGGTGATATCCCCTTTATAATTTTCTATTGTGTTTATTTGATTCTTCTCTCTTTTCTTCTTTATTAGCCTGGCTAGTGGTCTATCTATTTTGTTGATGTTAAAAAAAAAAAAAAAAAACAGCTCCTGGATTGATTTTTTGAAGGGTGTTCTTTGTGTCTGTCTCCTTCAGTTCTGCTCTGATCTTAGTTATTTCTTGTCTTCTGCTAGCTTTTGAATTTGTTGCTCTTGCTTCTCTAGTTCTTTTAATTGTGATGTTAGGGTGTCAATTTTAGATCTTTCCTGCTTTCTCTTGTGGGCATTTAGTGCTAAGAATTTCCATCTAAATGCTGCTTTAGCTGTGTCCCAGATATTCTGGTATGTTATGTCTTTGCTCTCATTGGTTTCAAAGAGCGTACTTATTTCTGCCTTAATTTCGTTACTTACCCAGTAGTCATTCAGGAACAGGCTGTTCAGTTTCCATGTAGTTGTGCAGTTTTAAATGAGCTTCTTAATCCTGAGTTCTAATTTGATTGCACTGTGGTCTGAGAGACTGCTTGTTATGATTTCCATTCTTTTGCATTTGCTGAGGAGTGTTTTACTTCCATTTATGTGGTCAATTTTAGAATAAGTGCAATGTGGTGATGAGAAGACTGTATATTCTGTTGATTTGGTGTGGAGAGTTCTGTAGATGTCTATTAGGTCCGCTTGGCCCAGAGCTGAGTTCAAGTCCTGAATATCCTTGTTAATTTTCTTTCTCATTGATTTGTCTAATATTGACAGTGGGGTGTTACAATCTCCCACTATTATTTTTTGGGAGTCTAAGTCTCTTTGTAGGTCTATAAGAACTTGCTTTATGAATCTGGGTGCTTCTGTATTTGGTGTATATATATTTAGGCTAGTTAGCTCTTCCTATTGCATTGATCCCTTTACCATTATGTAATGCCCTTCTTTGTCTTTTTTGATCTTTGTTGGTTTAAAGTCTGTTTTATCAGAGACTAGAATTGCAGCCTCTGCTTTTTTTTTCTTGCTTTCCATTTGGTTGGTAAGTCTTCCTGCAGCCCTTTATTTTGAGCCTATGTGTGTCTTTGCATGTGAGATTGGTCTCCTGAATACAGCACACTGATGGGTCTTGATTCTTTATCCAATTTGCCAGTCTGTGTCTTTTAATTGGGGCATTTAGCCCATTTATATTTGGGGTTAATATTGTTATGTGTGAATTTGATCCCGTCATTATGACGCTAGGTGGTTATTTTGCCCATTAGTTTATACAGTTTCTTTATAATGTCAATGGTCTTTACAATTCGGTATGTTTTTGCAGTGGCTGGTACCGGTTTTTCCTTTCCATATTTAGGGTTTCCTTCAGGAGCTCTTGCAAGGCAGTCCTGGTGGTGATGAAATCCCTCAGCATTTGCTTGTCTGTAAAGGATTTTATTTCTCCTTCCACACTTATGAAGCTTAGTTTGGCTGGATATGAAATTCTGGGTTGAAAATTCTATTCTTTAAGAAGGTTGAATGTTGGCCCCAACTCTTCCAGCTTGTAAGGTTTCTGCAGAGAGATCCACTGTTAGTCTGTTGGGCTTCCCTTTCAGAAGAGAAAGGGGTAAGCTGACCTGTCTCTCTGGCTGCCCTTAACATTTTTTCCTTGATTTCAACCTTGGTGAATCTGATGATTATGTGTTTTGGGGTTGCTCTTATCAAGCAGTATCTTTGTGGTGTTCTCTGTATTTTCTGAATTTGAATGTTGGCCTGTCTTGCTAGGTTGGGGAAGTTCTCCTGGATAATATTCTGAAGACTGTTTTCCAGCTTGGTTCCATTCTCCCCACTCATTTTCAGGTACACCAATCAAACGTATGTTTGATCTTTTCACATAGTCCTGTATTTCTTGGAGGTTTTATTCATTCCTTTTCATTCTTTTTTCTCTAATCTTGTCTTCATGCTTTATTTCATTAACTTGATCTTCAGTCTCTGGTATCCTTCCTTCTGCTTGATTGATTTGGCTATTGATACTTGTGTATGCTTCACGAAGTTCTCTTGCTGTGTTTTTCAGCTCCATCAGGTCATTTATGTTCTTCTCTAAACTGATTATTCTAGTTAGCAGTTCCTGGAACCTTTTATCAAGGTTCTTAGCTTCCTTGCATTAAGTTAGAACATGCTCCTTGAGCTCTGAGGAGTTTGTTATTACCCACTTCCTGAAGCCTACTTCTGTCAATTCATCAAACTCATTCTCCGTCCAGTTTTGTTCCCTGGCTGGCAAGGAGTTGTGACCCTTTGGAGGAGAAGAGGCTTCCTGGTTTTTGGAAATTTCAGCCTTTTTCGTGCTGGTTTTTCCTCATCTTCTTGAATTTATCTACCTTTGGTCCTTAATGTTGGTGACCTTTCAATGGGATTTTTGGGTGGTCATGCTTTTTGTTGATGTTGATGCTATTGCTTTCTGTTGGTTAGTTTTCCCTCTAACAGTCAGGCCCCTCTTCTGCAGGTCTGCTGGTTTGCTGGAGGTCCACTCCAGACCCTGTTTACCTGGGTATCACCAGCAGAAGCTGCAGAATGGCAAAGATTGCTGCCTGCTCCTTCCTCTGGAAGCTACATTCCAGAGGGGCACTCACCAGAATCTAGCTGGAGCTCTCCTGTATGAGGTGTCTGTCAACCCCTGCTGGGAGATGTCTCCCTCTCAGGAGGCACAGGGGTCAGGGACCCACTTGAGGAGGCAGTCTGTCCCTTAGCAGAGCTCAAGCGCTGTGCTCAGAGATCTGTTGCCTTCTTCAGAGCCAGCAGGCAGGAATGTTTAAGTCTGCTGAAGCTGCACCCACAGGCGCCCCTTCCCCCAGGTGCTCTGTCCCCGGAAGATGGGAGTTTTATCTATAAGCCCCTGATGGGGCTGCTGCCTTTCCTTCAGCGTTGCCCTGCTCAGAGAAGAGGAATCTAGAGAGGCAGTCTGGCTACAGCGGCTTTGTGGTGCTGTGGTGGGCTCCTTTCATTTCGAACTTTCTGGCAGCTTTGTTTACACTGTGAGGGGAAAACTGACTACTTAAGCCTCAGTAAAGGCGGATGCCTCTCCCCCTACCAAGCTCAAGTGTCCCAGGTCGACTTCAGACTGCTGTGCTGGCAGGGAGAATTTCCAGCCTATGGATCTTAGTTTGTTGGGCTCCATGGGGGTGGGATCCACTGAGCAAGACCACTCGGCTTCTAGGCTTGAGGCCCCTTTCCAGGGGAGTGAACAGTTCTGTCTTGCTGGTGTTTCAGGCACCACTGGGGTTACAGAAAAAAAAAAAAAATCCTGCAGCTAGCTTGTTGTCTGCCCAAACAGCCGCCCAGTTTTGTGCTTGAAACCCAGGGCCCTGGTGGTGTAGGCACCTGAGAAAATCTCCTAGTCTGTGGATTTTGAAGACAGTGGGAAAAGCATGGTATCTGGGCCAGATAGCACTGTCCCTCACTCATGGCTTCCCTTGGCTAGCGGAGCAAGTTCCCCAATCCCTTGTGCTTCCGGGTGAGGTGACATCCCACCATACTTTGGCTTGCCCTCCGTGGGCTCCAGCCACTGTCTAACCAGTCCCAATGAGATGAGCCAGGTACCTCAGATGGAAATGCAGAAATCACCCGTTTTCTGCATTGGGTCTCGCTGGGAGCTGCAGACTGGAGCTGCTCCTGTTTGGCCATCTTGCCTGGGACTGAGATTTTTAAAACCTAAATGAAGTTTTGCTTTCTCCATCTAAATCCATTCTAGCATTCTCTCACTTGATATAAAAGTATAAACTCTAAATTTCTTTGCATTGCCTATAAGGTCCTAAATGATCCACTCTGCCTTCTCTGTTTCTGTCCTTTTCCTTCTTGCTCCATATGTCCCAGCCATACTGACCATCTTTCTTTTCCAGAAAGAAAACTAAACTCCTTGTCAAATTCAGACCTGTGCATTTGCTGTTGCCTCTGCTGGAACACTTGGCTCCCACCTGCTTCCACTGCTGACTCCTTCTTGTCATTCAGCATTTACTCAAAGGCTTCCTCCTTAGAGCAGCCTTACCTAGCTACTTTTGCTAAAGGAATTCTTCCTTCTTATTGTTATAGCTCTTTGTTTTATTTTTTTCCCCCATAGCCCTTGTCATTCCCTAAAAACTTCCATTCTTCTTGTGTGCTTTCTAATTGCAATGTTAGATTCATAAAAGCAGAACTTTGTTTAACTACTATATCTACAATGGTGAGGACAATGTTGGGCCCATGATAAGAGTCAGTAAAAATGTGTTAGACTTGGATGACTCTGTAACACATTATATTCTAAGATTTTATTATTGTAGGTCTCATCATTCTTAAACTCATCATGTCCATAAACAATTGCAGTGTGGCTTATTTTTTATGTGAATGCTTATTTGCATTTAAATATTGCATCAACAGCATATTTTATCTACAACATGCTAGCATAGTGGTTTAAAGTATGGTCCTGAAGTCCCTCAGATTGTGTGGATTTCTATCCATGTTCTGCTGTGTAACATTGTGCTAGTTATATAGACTCTTTACACTTAGTATTTTCAAATATTTTTATATACAAATTATGGATAATAACATTGCCCCTGCCCTATAGTGTGTTTTGTTGAGAAAATCAGAAGAAATATGTATAGCACTTAATACAGTGCCTGGCATATGCTAAATCCTCAAATGTTAGCTGTTAGTAATAGTAGTAGTATTTAATGTTTTTACACAACTGTGCAACTGTCAAGCCAGTACTTTTACATGAAAATAAGTCAATAGCAAGGTGAACTGGACAATGACCAACAATTTAAATATGTCATCAATGTTATTTAGTCCAGAAAAATAAATATATACCATTCTCATGCTATTTTTTCCTAACCTTATGTGTTTATACTGACAAGTGATAAGCTTTCTGATAACTTCAGAGGGAGAGAGGAGCAAAAAAGAGGGATTCAATAAAAGTGCATTTTAATCTCTGAATCCTTCTATAATTCGGAATTTTCTCATTCTAAAAGATCCTAATGCAAAAATTAGAATTCATAGTGATGGCAAACAACTGTACCCATATTGTATATATATATTCTAAGTTGTTTCACTTGTATGTATTGTTGTTGGGATAGAAAAGGAAAAAAATTACATTGATGTTCAATATCACGTGAAATACATATTTTTTAAAATACCAGTGATGATGTAATCAACATTACTTAGCAGAAGAAACAAACTTTACATTCTCTTATCTGCTTTCATAACGGTATATAAAGTCAATACAATAGACACATAATTATACATATCTACTGAACATTAAAATTCACCTTAAGTATTAATTCTTTATTCATATGAATAATTAAAATTTGCTTTATTTAAGTTTTTAAAAGTACTTTTGAGAACCGGCTTATTTCTAAGGACTAAATACCCTTGATATATGCTTTTGATCCTGATTCAATGAAATTGTTTTTCTATTTTTCTTTGTTCAGTATATAAAACAGGCAAACCCGCAGTTTGTACTTCATGACTAGCCTTAACTCTTGTTGAAGTATAGCAAAATTATAGTCCTGTCAAAACATATTAGTAGCTGTGGACAATCTTTGGCTACCTCTAGTTTTCATGCATATTTGTAATCTTAATAATTATCTATGCACTGCTTTGTTGAAAGGTTCATTGTTCTGATTTCTATTTAGAAAAGCTTTCTTCTTTTAAGAATACATGATTACCCAAATAGTCTACCCTAAATGTTGTATTTCTTTGGCGTAGTAAGTCTGATTTCCTTAGCATGGCAAATCTTCTCTGACTTGTGAGAAAAGTCAATTGAAAAATGAACCAAATTATTTCAATGAGAACTCAAGCAAATGTGCTTGTAGAATTTCAACAAGTGCCGTATCGGTTAAAGAAAAATGATTTGAAGGCTGAGTGTCTAGCTAAGTGCCTGATTTCTCTGTGCATATTTATCATTAATTAATCTATAAATGTAGCTACCCATGTTTATGGTATATGTAGTGGTTATTGTTACAGAAATCAGGTGTTTCATCAAATATACTCATTTAGCACAAAACAAATATAGTGTCGGCCTCTTTCATTGAACTCTCAGCAACTAAAGCTTAAGTCAAGTATGCATTTTCCAAAATGTAATGAAATCACCATCAAAACAGAATGTTACAGTGCCAGCTGTCTCCTCTTTGGTTTTCTAAAGCTTTATTTGTTGATTAAGTGGCTTGCATCTCTACAAGGCCACCACTCACTTTTCTAAGGCCTTGACCACAGACGATTCAATTGCTTGGCTGTTAAATTTTCAGCCGTCAGTGACTATTTGAATATTATCTACTAAAAGTCAAATTTTTCTGACAGAAACCACAGTAAATCAGTGGATAGATACTTAACCCTCCAGAACTCAACCTAAGGGAAACAGTTCTTCTTATGCTTGGGGAGTTGTAACAACATCTGAGAAATGCTGCCGGGAGAGCAGAATGTGCCTGTACATGGCTTATTTAAGCTTCGAATAAGTAAGAGCTTTATGCTGAAGATACTCATGAACAATGATTTACATACAAAACAACACTACTAACCTATCCCACTGGTACCTTGCCAGGGAATTATTTTCTAGTAGGAGATGTTACACTTATGCTAATTCAAACACATCTGGAAGTTTCTTATATATATGAGGCTTCCTGGCAGTGACACCTCGTACTCAATAGATGGGCAGCTCTGGATCACATAGTTGCTAGAACAGTGTCCCCTCCCTTCTTCCTGGCTGCATGGGCATTGCTTCATTGGCTGTCATCTCCTTTCAGGGTACCTTTATTTTGAACAATGGCAAGCATTTGGGACATGGTTAACTGTGGTTGTAGGATTAGGGATAAAGAATTAAGGTGCTCTGTGAGTTGGTAAGGAGGGCCCATAGGAGCATACATATCCTGATCTCTCATACTAATAAGGATGTATGCAACAAGGCACTGGCATTTCTTCTAACCCTAGTATCTTAGTGACATCAGTTTAATTTCTGCTCCAGCTAGGTAACAGAAGATGTGGGAATGGAAGAAAATGGAGGAAACCCAGAGAGAGAAATAAAAGGATATAAGCTATGGTGGATGTAAAACCTTGAGAAGATAATATAGTTTTAGTCTTTTATTGTGATTTAAAATAATGTTTACTATTTACCAAGAATGCAAAGTACCATGGCTGAAATTTTGTGGGAAATAAATTTCTATGCAGAACAATGCAAAGATATTTGAGCACCAACATAAACAGTCAAATTCATGGGGACAGGCAGGTAAAATGGGGAGTCGGTAGAGGTAGCATGATGACAATGTCACCAGGATGAATACTATTAAAAGTGTTTGATTTTGTTTACCATATTGATTTTTAAAATTGTCATTTACTACTGTGGCAGAAAAATCCACCCTTGAATGACGTTTCACAACTTATGGGACTGATTTAGTATCCAAATTTAACCCCTGTATCTGCTAGTTCCAATAACTTCTTTCCCTTTGGGGAATGGTTTGCAGTGGTATGGGTATGTTCATTTGCCCATCATCCCTTGCCACACTCTGAATTTCAGGCAAGAGATGCAACGCAACTTAGAACTATGAAGCACTGGCCGGGCGCGGTGGCTCACGCCTGTAATCCCAGCACTTTGGGAGGCCGAGGCGGGCCGATCACAAGGTCAGGAGATCGAGACCATCCCGGCTAAAACGGTGAAACCCCGTCTCTACTAAAAATACAAAAAATTAGCCGGGCGTAGTGGCGGGCGCCTGTAGTCCCAGCTACTTGGGAGGCTGAGGCAGGAGAATGGCGTGAACCCGGGAGGCGGAGCTTGCAGTGAGCCGAGATCCCGCCACTGCACTCCAGCCTGGGCGACAGAGCGAGACTCCGTCTCAAAAAAAAAAAAAAAAAAAAAGAACTATGAAGCACTGTAACTGATCCCAGTTACATGCTTTGAATCAGGTAAAGAGACACAGACGTGATCAGATAACACTGACATGTTGAATATTTGGGACATCTGAGTCATTAATTGAGATTCCCTATTCCAATAATGTATTATAAAGAAATAAGACTTATTGTCTAAATAAAAGTAGGCTATCCAAATAGAGATTATAATCATCTATTGAAAATATCATGATCAGTGTACCATTAAGTGGCATGTGTTCACTACAAAGCTGACAAATGCACCTTTTCAATACATGATCGAGATCTTTATGTTCGGCTTTATGCAGTTTTTTTATTATTATTTCTGTTAACTTCTGTTCATCATTTTCAGTATAGAACTTAACAGTTTATCCTCTGTTTATTCAGGTAGAATGTGGAGGTCATTCCAACTCCATACTCTTCTGTAAGACTTTTCACACTTACGCTGCTATCTAGTTTCCCCAACAGCTTGACTTGCTCTGCAATAAACATAAATGCTTCTTCTTTTTCTTACCACTATTATCATAGGGATATCTGCAGATATTTTTGACATTTTCAACATCTTTACACCACAGAGCAGAGAATAAGCAAAAAAAAAAAAAAGTGAGTAATGCACATAGGTCTTGGTCCCATGGGGGCCTTGTGGGGAACCGGCCATAAGCACATGCAGCTTACACACATGCCATTTATTACACTTTATGGGCATGCTTGCATGGAAGAATATGGGTGTATGCTGAAAGGATATATCCACTGAAAAGGACTGGGAAGGTCTTCTGTCCCTTGGGACACTGAGTAAACTGTGTGGTGTGCACCTGTGTTTTTGACTGTGAATGATTATATGAAGTTACGTGTGGAATATTCACTTGTGGCATCACATCCACGCTCAAAGTTTTGGGTATTGGAGCATTTTGGATTTCAAATTTTTGGATTAGGAATAATCAACTTGTATAAAATATTTGACCAATTTTGACCAATATATATGTATTAGTATGTCTCTTTTAGTCTTCTTGCATGTTTTAGCGCATTTTAGCATAGTCAAGAGCATATTGTACATACAGTGCTATATCCTACTTTTTGACTACCCTTTACTCTTAAGCAAGTCCTTACATCATTAAAAGTCTCAAAACATAATTTTATGCTTATATATTATTGCAATTATATTTGCCCACTATAATTTATTTAATAGTCATAGGATTTTTTCTAGCACTTCATTGTTTTAAATAACACTATCCTAAATATCTTCCTTCTTTTCTTTATTTGCTCATTTATCAGATTTTTATTAAATGGTTTTTCTGTGTCAGGTGCTGTGTACCAGGAACTATGCTAGGCCTCGAAATTATCAAAGTGAGTAAGTGGAGAAGATAGGCTATAAAAACAAATAATTATGATAAAGTATAATAAATGCTAATATAAAATGTTAATATAAATATGTGTTTATATTTCTGATCACCAACTAAGGTTATATTATAGAAAGAGAATTATTGGGCCAATGTGGATAAGCATTTTAAAGGCTATAGGTATGTGGTACCAAACTGCTTTCCAGAATTATTCCATCAATTTATGAACACATAGGCAATGTGTTAGCATATTTCTCACCACTATCAGCATATTATTAATATTCTATAAATGTTTGCTAATTTGGTAAGTAGAAATGATATTTTATAATTGACCTTTATCACATTTCCTTGGTAAAGCTAAACTTTTTCATATACTAATCAGCTTTTTCTTTTTCTTTTTTTTTTTTTTTTTTGAGACGGAGTCTCGCTCTGTCGCCCAGGCTGGAGTGCAGTGGCGGGATCTCGGCTCACTGCAAGCTCCGCCTCCCGGGTTCACGCCATTCTCCTGCCTCAGCCTCCCAAGTAGCTGGGACTACAGGCGCCCGCCACTACGCCCGGCTAATTTTTTGTATTTTTAGTAGAGACGGGGTTTCACCGTTTTAGCCGGGATGGTCTCGATCTCCTGACCTTGTGATCGGCCCGCCTCGGCCTCCCAAAGTGCTGGGATTACACTAATCAGCTTTTTCTACGTCTTTCTTTTGTGAACTGTTAGTCCAGTTTCTTTGCATATTATTTCATTGAAGCATTGGTGTTTTTATTATCAATATGTATGTTTTCTTTATTAATTTATTAACCTTTTTGTGATGTAGTTTTAGTAAATATTCACTCTCATTGTGTGTGCACTTCAATTTAGTTATATTTTTGACACCCATTAAATTTTAAATTTTTAGATGGTTAATTTGATATTTAATTTTATGATTTTTTCTGATATATAATTATATATTTATATTTGTAAATGTGTATTTGTAAATATATATAATTATATATATATTTACAAACATTAGGTTGAAGGACATATTTAAATGCTTTTCTTTCATGTATATTTTTTTCAGTTGTAAAAACATAGCTACTCATTTAGGCCTCTGTAAGATATAGAAGGCTTATTTATAAGTTAGGAAGATAAAGAGGACTTAATGATAAAATTAGTACTGGAATAGATCAACATAGACATCAGGATCTCAGGAAGATCTAGCAATCTTTTTCATGATCTTCCCCTGGTGGAATCTTATTTATCTCTAGGTATTAGATCCCCCTTATAACTTTGACTTGTCATAGTCCCTCATGGCTTTGATTTAATTCAGTCTTTTTCTCTTTACATATACTTTTAATATCAGATCCTATTGCTAACTGGCCATGGGTCTGTGTTTCTCTATTTAGATTCCAAAGAGTATGGTCAAGTTAATCTTTATATACGAGGCCTCCCTGCAGATTCTTGGTCAACATATGGATTTGCTGTCCATTAGTTGGAATCCTCTCTTTGGGTGATTGGCTGGAGCAAGGAGGAAAGAGGTGGTGGTGTCAGTGAGTCAAGCTGAACAATAGTTGTCATTGGCTGGCATTTCATTCATCTCTAAGAATGAAATGTGGATATTGGAGTCCTGTGACTGACTTTGCTGTGAAAAAGCTGTTGCAGGTAAGAATGTAATTAGGCATTCAGGAGCTTATAGTACTAACCTCAGCTCTGCTGCCAACTAGCCCTGGATCCTTATACTAATGTCTTAACCTCCCTTAAAGCACAGTTGGCTCAGCTGACAAGTGTGATGGTTTTGTAGTCTTTAAGGTCCATTCCAATTCCAAAATGTCTACAATTCTTATATATAATATTTGACAATTTAATAAAAATGTGAGGTACTTCTCTCTGCTCTGCAAAGTTGCTGGCTTTGATGAGTAATCAGAGTATTGCCATCACTTAGCTGTGAACTAAATGAAGTAATGTATTTCAGAACACTTAAGACCTGATGTATTTTAAAGAGCTAACATCCAAGAGAAACATGTGCAGAGTTGACAGTCCTTGGTTGATTACAAGGCAGTTGAGTTAATAATGTTTTATGAGCAACCTATTTTTATTTTAGTTATTCTTTTGAACTCAATACTAAAATTTTCCAAATTCCAAACACAATCTTAAATTAAAAAATTAATAATGTCAACAGAAAACCTTTTAAGGACCAGATTGTCATTTGAGGTTATTAATGCTAGCTTTACATAAAAACAACTGTCTGATTTCACTAACTTAGCAAAATTACTGTTCATTTATGGGTCATACCACAGTTTACATATTTAATAGATGGCCTTTTGCATGACGGTTGAGGGATCCTGGCTCTTTTCATCTCGTGGTACTGCTGTCTCCTAGGCCTCCTTCAGATTTCCACATAGGTTTCTTTGCTTTTAATTGGCAATAGGCAAACAGCAAGTGAGAGGGGACTCTTGGCCAGTCCTGGAAGAAGATATGAAATACTTCCATTCTCATTCTTTGACAGAGCCCAGGAATATGGTCCTGTCCAAATTGCAAGGGAGGCTGGAATATGTAATCTTCCAATGTAGCAAGAGGAGGATGCAGGGTTGCTAACATCTAGACAGTCTTTGCCATAATTGGTAGAATGTGAAATATATGCTAAAATGAAAAATCAAGGAACCAAACAAAATGAAATTTCCATTTTTTCTGGCTGAATCGATAATAGTGAAATTGTCAAAACAAATTTTCATATAGAAATACAAAAATTAAGATAGTTTTGGGTCATTCTTTTTCATCATAAAAAGTCAATAAAGTTTGCACCAAATAATTACATTTAGCAGCAGATTTTGGTGTTATTTTTCCCAAAGTAAATTATTTGTTCATTTATTCTTTAAAACTGAATTTTAGGTTTCAGGCAAATTAAGGTAACAAATGGCTCAGTAGAACACTAAGAATTTTTGCATAATATTACTTTTGTACACAGGAATCAGTCACATTTTCAGAGATTTTTTTCTTAGTTTCACATAAGAAACCTAACAATAAACTATTTCTTTTATCTTCTAGCTTCATTGAAAGGACCACACCAAATGAATCATGACATTCCTCAAGGCTGATTTTCCCCCTTTCTTCTCCTTATACTCATCTTCCATTCACTCTCCTGTATAAACTATTCTTGTTTCTATTTTCCTCTTCTGCCTTTATGAATTTTTTAAAGATTTTCAGTAAACTCAGTAACATCTTTTCCTTCAGCTATATTTCTGTTCCCAGTACTGTTATGACTTTACTATCAGTTATACTTATCCAATAATTCAGAGTATATTGAAAACTAGAACTTTCATTAGTGTTAATTAGATGACCTATACACATTCTTTCGTGCACAGAAAATATTGTTGCTTGAATACGGGAGTACGTTCGAAACATATTCAGTTGTGTCATGTTCTGCCATGTTATCCAACAACAACAAAAAACAAGACTAAAATTCTACTAATTTGAAATGATTTTAATTTTTTACAGTGTTTTGTTTTCTGACTGATAGACCAATATATGTATTACATTCCTTTGTATTCTGAGACACAACTGTTTGGGTTCTGAAGACAACATTCTTTTACTTCAAATGCTTGACATAGTGCTTTCCTTTAACTGGATAGCCTAGAAATAGTAGCTTGTATCTCTTTTTTCTTCAGATACAACCATCACCTTCTTTCAAAAGTAAAATATAAAGCTGCTTTTCCGTCAGCATGGTTAGAAATTCATTTATCGATAAATAGTCTTTCTTAGGTTCTCCTCATTCTGTCACAATAAATCATCAACTATTTCAAAGAATATTACTATTAAAATATTTTTAAAATAATAATGGTTGTTATGGATACTGCTAAGTGCTCTACATTGTGGAATAGTGTATTATTGTGAGACTATCAACCTTTAACCCTATTAAGACTCTATTTGGGAAAAATATTTAAAAATTTGCATTTCGATATGAGTTGAAAAATTCTGGATAATATAATCAGATAGTTTATAATGGAATAATTTTGAATCGAACTTTTTTTTTTTTGAGATGGAGTCTCACTCTGTTGCTCAGGCTGGAGTGCAGTGGCAAGATCTCGGCTCACTGCCAACCTCTGCTGCCTGAGTTCAAGCGATTCCCCTGCCTCAGCCTCCCCAGTAGCTGGGACTACAGGCACATGCCACCACACCTGGCTAATTTTTTTGTATTTTTAGTACAGACAGGGTTTTGCTATTTTGGCCAGGCTGTTCTTGAACTCTTGATCTCAGGTGATCCGCCTGCCTTGGCCTTCCAAAGTGCTGGGATTACAGGCGTGAGACACCATGCCTGGATTTGAATTGAACTTTTGGTGAAAGAAAATATCGGTATAAAATTTACAAAGTTTTGTTATACCAATAAATAAATCCACTGGCTTATTCCCTTTTTAATTTAAAATCAGTAATGTAATGATTTTTATAAAGGACTTACACTAAATGAACACCTACTAAGAAGCATTGTTTATCTTGCCTATAAGATCATAGGCAATAATATACACCTTCCTTGCCACCACATTGTTATATATAGTATGTATAAATAAGTATGGACAGCCATATGATGAAATGCTAATTAACCAATAAATAATAATTGGTAAATTGGCTTGCTAATGTGGGAAATATACAATATATATCTATAATATAGGCAGTAATTACAAGTGATTATTTCTTTGTGGTTTTCTGTATTTTCATCATTTCTGTTTTAACTATGTCACGTTTGTAATAACACAAAATGATAAATGTAGTTGGAAAACATACCTAGTCACAGAAATGGTATAAATATAAATAAGTATAATACTTTAAAGAGGTACAGATCTATTAAAGTGTACTGTTTCAGAGACTTCAGGCTAAGTGCTAGGGATGCATTATCTCTACCCTCAAGAAGCCTGTTGATTTGTAGCTAAAATGTTAGGGTAATTCAAATGAGGACAGATTATTTTTGATAGTATCCCAGACACCAGGTTCTTATGAAACCAGAAAGCCTGGAAGGTCATAATACACTTAAAAAACCTCAACTCCCTGTAAATGACATCAAAGAAGCATCTGAAAAGTATTAGAGCTGGAGAAAAATACTCAATTTGAGAATTTTAAAAATGGTTAGACTAATAGAAAATCCATTTTTGTATCATAAATATAATACTTGAAGAAGAAAACGAAGCTTGGAACTGGTACTATTTCAAACACTTGTTTTAAATAATGGAAGTTTATAGTTTATAAATATTGAATTTCTACTACACTTTAATATAGTGTATTCTCTTGGATATAGACCATTCATTATAGGGCATGTTCCCATGTTTCCAATTTCATTAGAAGCTAAGAGGACTTCCTGTGTTCTATGGCTGTGCCACGTCAAGAAGGTGGTAGAGGCTGGAGCAGTGTTAGCTGTCACTGTTCTCTCTTGGTGATGTAGACTAGATGAAGGTTTCTTCTTTAGTGGCCACTGGAAGGCTGGGAATGTGAATGAAGGACTGTCAACTGTATTCTTTTGGTGCAATAGTAGAATATTAACTTGGAATTTTTAAGTTTTAAAAACAAAACAGTTTTCACAGAAAAGTAAAAGGGGATATATAGCTCATCCCCTATTATCCTAACTTATTATCCAGTGGGTAGGGATTTGTGTAAAATTATAATTTTAAATGTTTCATGAGGACCTAGAAATTTCTATTTCCTGCCTAAAAATAGACTTCTCATGTCTTCTACGGCAAAGGTTTTTAAACATGGCAATTAAACATCAATTAAAGTGATTCAAGATTGTGAAATGGCTGACTTAAAAACAATATTAGCACATACAGCTGGGATGCTGGCTTACCTGAAGACAGAGCCATGGCATCCATGATTTGGAAGTTCAGTGATTCAATAAAATAGATTTCATTTACTTGGTAATTTTAAACATTTTAATTGTTTTGATGTGTGTAGACTTTTACAACATTTTGTTGCTTCTCTCAGCGATATGACCTGAATTTACCTTTTTCATGTAGATGCATAATCAATTTAATTTCCAGACGAAAATGGATAGTCTTTTGGATTTTCTGCCTAACATACAGGTTGGTAAAATTTCTGTCAAAGCATATGAGGATCAATATAAACCTCTAAGTGTTGTAGTGTGAATAAGAAGTGACTCACTTGCTTTTAAACTAAACTCTTTGTAATTGGACTTTTTCTCTATGTTTTTTAAGGTCTACAGTGAACCACCCAATAATGGTGCTTCAATATGAACTTCATACAGGTTATAGTCTTCAGAAGGGATAGTAATATATGGTTGCAGGTAGAAAGAAAGGGACTAGCCAAATTATACCAAAAGCCCTGTGTTTCTAGCAGAAAAAAAGCAAAGAAAAAAGTTACCACAAAAAATAAACTGGAACATGTGAAGGTAATTGGTCAAAAATTTAACAGTAGCACAGACATGGTATGAGAAAACACTTATGAATAATTGGGTGTTCAAACATTTGGCTAAGGATAAACATAGAGAAGCAATCTGATTAGACATTTTGCTATCAGTATGACAGCAAACAAATGTTCTTACCAAACACTCTTTTTAGCATTGTAGAATTGATATATCCTATATTGTCCATTTTAGGTTATATTATATTTACTATGTGTATTTGAGTGTGTGTGTGTGTGTGTGTGTGTGTGTTTATTATAAGACAGATTATATAGATAGATGATAGATAAATAAATACATCAATAGATAAATAGTTAGATAAAAAATCAGGCTGTAAAGTTGAAAACGTTGAGAAAGGACTCTGGGACATTGGTCTGGGCAATGATTTCTTGAGTAAGACCTCAATAGTACAGGCAACCCAGGCAAAAATGGACAAATGGGATCACATCAAGCTAAAAAGCTTCTACACAGCAAAGGAAATGTTCAATATGCAAAGAGACAACTTACAGAGTGGGAGAAAATATTTGCAAACTACTCATCTGACAAAGAATTAATAACCAGAATATATAAGAAACTCAAACAAATCAATAATGATAAAAACAAATAATATGATTAAAAAATGAGCAAAAGTTCTGAATAGACGTTTCTCAAAATGAGACACAAATGGTTTTCTTTTTCTCGTTGAACCGTTTTTCATGATAAACATGTCAGGAAATGGTGAACAGGTATATGAAAAAATGTTCAACATCATCAGTCATCAGATAAAAATCGAAACTACAATGAAATATTATCTCACACTGGTTAAAATGGCTTTTATTAAAAGACAAAAAATAATGAATGCTGTCAAGTCGGGGGACCTCTAGTGGTCAAGTGTTCAGTAGGATAAGAGGGCAACTATAGGTAACAATAATTTATTGCATATTTAAAGATAACTAAACTAGTGGACTTGGAATGTTTTTAACACAAAGAAATGATAAATGCTTGAGGTGATGGATATACCAGTTACCCAGATTTGATCATTACACATTGTATGCTTACATCAAAATACTACATGTACCCCATAAATATGTATAACTATTATGTATCTATAACAATTAAATATTTTTTAAGTTAAAATATATTTTTTATATTTAAGAGTAAGCAGAATAACTATCATTTTTCTGGGTTTCTTGGAGGGTCTCCCTGCAAAATCAAATGATATTCCTAATTTTTTAGGTTCTAAAAATTTATGTTTTAGGGATTTATTCCTCAGACCTAATATTCTGCCTTTTAGCCTAGCAATTTCACACCTCACTGTAAATCAATTTGCTATAAGTTTTTTCTGCTTTTGCATATCCAGTTAATTCTCATGAAGTGCCCTTTCCCTTACTCCTGTCTCCCACACCTAATGTTTCTAGACCTGGTTCAAATGTCTTTTTCAATTCAAAACCTTCCTTGAGCTATCTAAATGAAGTTGATAACTTACTTCTTTGATTGTGTTTATGCAGAGTATTTAACCCTAATTATTGTGTTCATCACATTAAATTGCATTTATTTTGTACCTTTCTCTCCATTAGACTGTGAATTATTAAGGATATATCTTCTGCCTTATATGCTTGATAACTCTAGCATCTGGTATTTGGTCTTACAAATTGTTCACTGAATGAATACATGATAAAATGAGTTTGTGTCGGCAGTGAAGGGGGAAGCTTTAAACCTTGAATGTCTGAGGGAGAATTCAAGGGGAGCAAGGTGAAGGAGAAAGATACCACTGTGGGGGGAGGAGCCAAGATGGCCGAATAGGAACAGCTCCGGTCTACAGCTCCCAGGATGAGCGATGCAGAAGACGGGTGATTTCTGCATTTCCATCTGAGGTACCGGGTTCATCTCACTAGGGAGTGCCAGACAGTGGGTGCGCGCACCGTGCGCGAGCCAAAGCAGGGTGAGGCATTGCCTCACTTGGGAAGCGCAAGGGGTCAGGGAGTTCCCTTTCCGAGTCAAAGAAAGGGGTGACGGACGCACCTGGAAAATCGGGTCACTCCCACCCAAATATTGCGCTTTTCAGACCGGCTTAAAAAACAGCGCACCACGAGACTATATCCCACACCTGGCTCAGAGGGTCCTACGCCCACGGAATCTCGCTGATTGCTAGCACAGCAGTCTGAGATCAAACTGCAAGGCGGCAGCGAGGCTGGGGGAGGGGCGCCCGCCATTGCCCAGGCTTGCTGAGGTAAACAAAGCAGCCTGGAAGCTCGAACTGGGTGGAGCCCACCACAGCTCAAGGAGGCCTGCCTGCCTCTGTAGGCTCCACCTCTGGGGGCAGGGCACAGACAAACAAAAAGACAGCAGTAACCTCTGCAGACTTAAATGTCCCTGTCTGACAGCTTTGAAGAGAGCAGTGGTTCTCCCAGCACGCAGCTGGAGGTCTGAGAACCCGCAGACTGCCTCCTCAAGTGGGTCCCTGACCCCTGACCCCCGAGCAGCCTAACTGGGAGGCACCCCCCAGCAGGGGCACACTGACACCTCACACGGCAGGGTATTCCAACAGACCTGCAGCTGAGGGTCCTGTCTGTTAGAAGGAAAACTAACAAACAGAAAGGACATCCACACCGAAAACCCATCTGTACATTACCATCATCAAAGACCAAAAGTAGATAAAACCACAAAGATGGGGAAAAAACAGAACAGAAAAACTGGAAACTCTAAAACGCAGAGCGCCTCTCCTCCTCCAAAGGAACGCAGTTCCTCACCAGCAATGGAACAAAGCTGGATGGAGAATGATTTTGACGAGCTGAGAGAAGAAGGCTTCAGACGATCAAATTACTCTGAGCTATGGGAGGACATTCAAACCAAAGGCAAAGAAGTTGAAAACTTTGAAAAAAATTTAGAAGAATGTATAACTAGAATAACCAATACAGAGAAGTGCTTAAAGGAGCTGATGGAGCTGAAAACCAAGGCTCGAGAACTACGTGAAGAATGCAGAAGCCTCAGGAGCCAATGCGATCAACTGGAAGAAAGGGTATCAGCAATGGAAGATGAAATGAATGAAATGAAGCGAGAAGGGAAGTTCAGAGAAAAAAGAATAAAAAGAAATGGGCAAAGCCTCCAAGAAATATGGGACTGTGTGAAAAGACCAAATCTACGTCTGATTGGTGTACCTGAAAGTGATGCGGAGAATGGAACCAAGTTGGAAAACACTCTGCAGGATATTATCCAGGAGAACTTCCCCAATCTAGCAAGGCAGGCCAACGTTCAGATTCAGGAAATACAGAGAACGCCACAAAGATACTCCTCGAGAAGAGCAACTCCAAGACACATAATTGTCAGATTCACCAAAGTTGAAATGAAGGAAAAAATGTTAAGGGCAGCCAGAGAGAAACGTCGGGTTACCCTCAAAGGGAAGCCCATCAGACTAACAGCGGATCTCTTGGCAGAAACCCTACAAGCCAGAAGAGAGTGGGGGCCAATATTCAACATTCTTAAAAAAAAGAATTTTCAACCCAGAATTTCATATCCAGCCAAACTAAGCTTCATAAGCGAAGGAGAAATAAAATACTTTACAGACAAGCAAATGCTGACCGATTTTGTCACCACCAGGCCTGCCCTAAAAAAGCTCCTGAAGGAAGCGCTAAACATGGAAAGGAACAACTGGTACCAGCCGCTGCAAAATCATGCCAAAATGTAAAGACCATCGAGACTAGGAAGAAACTGCATCAACTAACGAGCAAAATCACCAGCTAACATCATAATGACAGGATCAAATTCACACATAACAATATTAACTTTAAATGTAAATGGACTAAATTCTCCAATCAAAAGACACAGACTGGCAAGTTGGATAAAGAGTCAAGACCCATCAGTGTGCTATATTCAGGAAACCCATCTCACGTGCAGAGACACACATAGGCTCAAAATAAAAGGATGGAGGAAGATCTACCAAGCCAATGGAAAACAACAAAAGGCAGGGGTTGCAATCCTAGTCTCTGATAAAACAGACTTTAAACCAACAAAGATCAAAAGAGACAAAGAAGGCCATTACATAATGGTAAAGGGATCAATTCAACAAGAGGAGCTAACTATCCTAAATATATATGCACCCAATACAGGAGCACCCAGATTCATAAAGCAAGTCCTGAGTGACCTACAAAGAGACTTAGACTCCCACACATTAATAATGGGAGACTTTAACACCCCACTGTCAACATTAGACAGATCAACGAGACAGAAAGTCAACAAGGATACCCAGGAATTGAACTCAGCTCTGCACCAAACGGACCTAATAGACATCTACAGAACTCTCCACCCCAAATCAACAGAATATACATTTTTTTCAGCACCACACCACACCTATTCCAAAATTGACCACATACTTGGAAGTAAAGCTCTCCTCAGCAAATGTAAAAGAACAGAAATTATAACAAACTATCTCTCAGACCACAGTGCAATCAAACTAGAACTCAGGATTAAGAATCTCACTCAAAGCCGCTCAACTACATGGAAACTGAACAACCTGCTCCTGAATGACTACTGGGTACATAACGAAATGAAGGCACAAATAAAGATGTTCTTTGAAACTTACGAGAACAAAGACACAACATACCAGAATCTCTGGGACGCATTCAAAGCAGTGTCTAGAGGGAAATTTATAGCACTAAATGCCCACAAGAGAAAGCAGGAAAGATCCAAAATTGACACCCTAACATCACAATTAAAAGAACTAGAAAAGCAAGAGCAAACACATTCAAAAGCTAGCAGAAGGCAAGAAATAACTAAAATCAGGGCAGAACTGAAGGAAATAGAGACACAAAAAACCCTTCAAAAAATCAATGAATCCAGGAACTGGTTTTTTGAAAGGATCAACAAAATTGATAGACCGCTAGCAAGACTAATAAAGAAAAAAAGAGAGAAGAATCAAATAGACACAATAAAAAATGATAAAGGGGATATCACCACCGATCCCACAGAAATACAAACTACCATCAGAGAATACTACAAACACCTCTACGCAAATAAACTAGAAAATCTAGAAGAAATGGATACATTCCTCGACACATACACTCTCCCAAGACTAAACCAGGAAGAAGTTGAATCTCTGAATAGACCAATAACAGGAGCTGAAATTGTGGCAATAATCAATAGCTTACCAACCAAAAAGAGTCCAGGACCAGATGGATTCACAGCCGAATTCTACCAGAGGTACAAGGAGGAACTGGTACCATTCCTTCTGAAACTATTCCAATAAGTAGAAAAAGAGGGAATCCTCCCTAACTCATTTTATGAGGCCAGCATCATTCTGATACCAAAGCCGGGCAGAGACACAACCAAAAAAGAGAATTTTAGACCAATATCCTTGATGAACACTGATGCAAAAATCCTCAATAAAATACTGGCAAACCGAATCCAGCAGCACATCAAAAAGCTTATCCACCATGATCAAGTGGGCTTCATCCCTGGGATGCAAGGCTGGTTCAATATACGCAAATCAATAAATGTAATCCAACATATAAACAGAGCCAAAGACAAAAACCACATGATTATCTTAATAGATGCAGAAAAAGCCTTTGACAAAATTCAACAACCCTTCATGCTAAAAACTCTCAGTAAATTAGGTACTGATGGGACGTATCTCAAAATAATAAGAGCTATCTATGACAAACCCACAGCCAATATCATACTGAATGGGCAAAAACTGGAAGCATTCCCTTTGAAAACTGGCACAAGACAGGGATGCCCTCTCTCACCGCTCCTATTCAACATAGGGTTGGAAGATCTGGCCAGGGCAATCAGGCAGGAGAAGGAAATAAAGGGTATTCAATTAGGAAAAGAGGAAGTCAAATTGTCCCTGTTTGCAGACGACATGATTGTTTATCTAGAAAACCCCATTGTCTCAGCCCAAAATCTCCTTAAGCTGATAAGCAACTTCAGCAAAGTCTCAGGATACAAAATCAATGTACAAAAATCACAAGCATTCCTATACACCAACAACAGACAAACAGAGAGCCAAATCATGAGTGAACTCCCATTCACAATTGCTTCAAAAAGAATAAAATACCTAGGAATCCAACTTACAAGGGATGTGAAGGACCTCTTCAAGGAGAACTACAAACCACTGCTCAAGGAAATCAAAGAGGATACAAACAAATGGAAGAACATTCCATGCTCATGGGTAGGAAGAATCAATATCGTGAAAATGGCCATACTGCCCAAGGTAATTTGCAGATTCAATGCCATCCCCATCAAGCTACCAATGACTTTCTTCACAGAATTGGAAAAAACTACTTTAAATTTCATATGGAACCAAAAAAGAGCCCGCATCGCCAAGTCAATCCTAAGCCAAAAGAACAAAGCTGGAGGCATCACACTACCTGACTTCAAACTATACTACAAGGCTACAGTAACCAAAACAGCATAGTACTGGTACCAAAACAGAGATATAGATCAATGGAACGAACAGAGCCCTCAGAAATAACGCCGCATACCTACAACTATCTGATCTTTGACAAACCTGAGAAAAACAAGCAATGGGGAAAGGATTCCCTATTTCATAAATGGTGCTGGGAAAACTGGCTAGCCGTATGTAGAAAGCTGAAACTGGATCCCTTCCTTACACCTTATACAAAAATCAATTCAAGATGGATTAAAGATTTAAACATTAGACCTAAAACCATAAAAACTCTAGAAGAAAACCTAGGCATTACCATTCAGGACATAGGCGTTGGCAAGGACTTCATGTCCAAAGCACCAAAAGCAATGGCAACAAAAGCCAAAATTGACAAATGGGATCTAATTAAACTAAAGAGCTTCTGCACAGCAAAAGAAACTACCATCAGAGTGAACAGGCAACCTACAACATGGGAGAAAATTTTCGCAACCTACTCATCTGACAAAGGGCTAATATCCGGAATCTACAATGAACTCAAACAAATTTACAAGAAAAAAACAAACAACCCCATCAAAAAGTGGGCGAAGGACATGAACAGACACTTCTCAAAAGAAGACATTCATGCAGCCAAAAAACACATGAAAAAATGCTCATCATCACTGGCCATCAGAGAAATGGACATCAAAACCACTATGAGATATCATCTCACACCAGTTAGAATGGCAATCATTAAAAAGTCAGGAAACAACAGGTGCTGGAGAGGATGTGGAGAAATAGGAACACTTTTACACTGTTGGTGGGACTGTAAACTAGTTCAACCATTGTGGAAGTCAGTGTGGCGATTCCTCAGGGATCTAGAACTAGAAATACCATTTGACCCAGCCATCCCATTACTGGGTATATACCCAAATGACTATAAATCATACTGCTATAAAGACACATGCACACGTATGTTTATTGCGGCATTATTCACAATAGCAAAGACTTGGAACCAACCCAAATGTCCAACAATGATAGACTGGATTAAGAAAATGTGGCACATATACACCATGGAATACTATGCAGCCATAAAAAATGATGATTTCATGTCCTTTGTAGGGACATGGATGAAATTGGAAACCATCATTCTCAGTAAACTATCGCAAGAACAAAAAACCAAACACCGCATATTCTCACTCATAGGTGGGAATTGAACAATGAGATCACATGGATACAGGAAGGGGAATATCACACTCTGGGGACTGTGGTGGGGAGGGGGGAGGGGGGAGGGAAAAAAAAAAGATACCACTGTGTACACTGAGATGGAATTCACTTACTTAGAATTTCATTTAGAGCTGACCCTTTGTGCCAGCGACAACCTGAGCTGAGCTTCATGTACCTAAAGCCAGGTCCCGGATTTGCAACTGGGGCTGCTGTTTGCAAAGCCCATGGGAGATTTTTGACCCTTAGAGTCCTCTGAAAACCTTTTCTTAGGAGTTTTTTTCTTGTTACAACCACCTATTATGATCTATCTCTTGTGATAATTTCACAGAAGTCTTCACCAAATTGTTTGTTCAATTAATCCTTGAAGAATTTTTTTTTTCATGGACAAATAGATGGTTTCAAAATATTGAGAAGTTAAAAAAATAGTGTTGCATGTAAGAGGAGAAAAACTGCATTTTATACATATAGATCTGAATGGAGAGGTAATTTACAGGAGTTCTTCAATTTAATACTGGTCAATGTCAATAGATACAACTGTGCTGTCATATTGGGGTGATCAAGGTAAAAGTTTCAGAGTGGATTTAAAAATGGCTGTTTGTAAACATGTAAAAATAAATCTGACATGATTTTTTTCTGTTGGAATACTTCATCTGGAATTAAAAACCTACCAGAGAGATAAGTAATTTTAAACCTATTTAAGTGTAATTTATAAATAGACTCTGGAGAACTAGAAAGCAGTTCAAAGCGTCCTTCACCCTCAAAGAAGACGTTGTCAGACTATGAACCACTTCACAGCATTTGTATGAAATAAAGGCACTGAAAGTCTCATGATGCTGTGTCTTACTTGTCTACCCCTATTTATTCATAGAATGCATTAGTTGGGCCCCTTAATTATTTCTTATCTACTTACTGCCTATATAAGTCATATTGAAGAATTTTATCATTACATTTAGGATTTTTTTATTTACAACTTGGACAAGTGTATTATTCCACAGAGTATTACATGTGTGCAAATTTAGTAATAGATTTTTGAAAATTGGCCTCCCCAGCAAAACAGAAGGTAGGAATTCTTGCAAACACTTTTGCCCATGGCACTGAGCTAGGTACATAGAATTCTGTGGAAATGAATTAGTTTGTAACAGCCAAAAACAGTGTTGAAGGAGATATAGCAATAATGTTGATCTTAGTTATAAGGGTAAAATAAGATCACTTGAAAAACCTCTCTCAGTTTTTGACAAATTAATGAGTATGGCTGTCTTCTTCCCCTTAATATAATTCTGTATATGTGACACAAATGCTAGTCTGGTTGATTCTGAGAAACAGAAAATAAAATACTGATTACTCTTAGAAAGACATAAGCTAATATATATGGAGGGAAGAACAATTTAGATACGAAAAGAACTGGCTGCAAAAACAGCAGGAACTTAAAGAAGAACTTTTAAGTTGTAATTTCTGCCTTTCTTCACATTGCCCTGCGAGAATTATTTCCTACAGTAAGGAGAAAAAACAGCAGCACCAACCCAGCATCAGTGACAAATGGTGAGGAAACAGCAGAAAGGCAATCCAACCTAGCTGGGTTGGAGGGTGAATAACAACAGGTTCCCAGATATTTTGGGTGGATCCTGATGATTTTCTCTTCTCTATCCTCCCTATCAGGACTAGTGAGGAGAAAAGAAGAGTCCTCAAAGTACGTAATTGCTTACTGTGGGGCGGTGAGCAAAGAGAGTGATTCTGCCCAGATTGCAAAATTAGAAAATCTCAGACTGGAGGTGGATTCCTTCACCTTATACCAGATAAAAGAGAATTGTGGAACAGAAATTCAAAATAAATATAAATAAAATCTTAAAATAAATATAAGTAAGAATTAAATATTCTCAAAGAGATGAGGGAGAATAATGGAAAAGATGAGCAGAATAATACATTTTGAAAAAAATAGAACTCAGTAGATAAATTAAAATAGAATAAATACAATTGGGTAACAAACTAATGAATTTGAAATTAGAGGAAAATTTTAAAACATCACAAGAAAGAGATAAAGAAAAAGAGAAGAAAAAACAAAATTTTGGAGAGAGGAAGGATGGATATATAATTGTTAACCTCCACATTGAAGGTTTTCCAGGAAACTATATTTTTAAAAAATGAAAGAGAGGAAGTATTTGGAGAAATAGTGGCCTAACATTTGTAAGAATTAAAAAAGAAAAATATTGCAAAGTTTCATAGTGCCAAACCTTTTAGATGATTTAAAAAGACAATACAAACATATTAAAGTGAATTTTAAAACATCAAACACAAAAAAGAGATTACTAAAGTTTTCTAATAAAGAACAGAGTATTTACAAAAAAAACAAGAAATGAAACACTAATGCAATTATTGTTAATGTTATATTCATAATAGAGGAGAATAACATTTTTCAAGAGTAATAATAAAAGGACTTTAAATCTGAAATATTATATGCAACTAACAATAATTTACATGCAAAGGAAACATACTTACATATTCTCAGGCAAACAAGAACTCAGAAATTTCATCAAGCAAATGACTCTTTTGAAAATACTTTCAGGAAGTATAATGGTAAGTTGAAACTAGAAAAATCTATGAAATACATGAAATGTACAGGTAAGAAAACAGCATAGTAAATTTTCCTGTTGCTAAAACAAACCTAAAATCTATAAAAGATCCATAAAGCTCAGAGTTAAAAATGCAAACGTGGTGGCAGGGGAGAAGAAAATAAGAGACAAGAAAGAGAGAGGTGATATGGATATGGATAAACTAAGAAATGGGTAGAAGAAAAAAAGTAATGTAGATATTCATCATTGTTTTACTGGTAACCAAACAATAAATAAAACACAATATTAACTTTCATACAAGAAGAAGGAACTTCTTGTATGAAATTGAATGGAAAGTGTGAAAGGCAAATTAAACTAATACACAGAAAATATACAATAAAAATCAAATATTAAGAAAGAAATGAGTCCTAGTAACAATCGCAATAAATGTAAATGTATTAAACTCACTGACAAAAGACAGAGACCTTCAGAATGGATTAGAAGAAACATTATCCAACAAAAGATAAAATACAAGAGAAAACTTCAAAGAAAAGATGATAAAAGTTGAGAATAAAGGTAAAACTTTCAATTACAAACAATGTTGGATTAGTTTACCATAACAAGTGTCTCACTGAGGACAACTATAAGAAGGGTAAAATTTTAACATTATTTTTATGCACATAGAAGAGTTTATGAGACCAGGCCAAAATTAAAGGGAACCAAGAAAAAATAAACAAGTATGAAAGCAATTTTGACTATTATCAGGCAAATTGCAACCATGCCTCTTCTTTGAGAATGTTACTTTTTCTGTGGAGGTCTTTTATCCACATATACAGAAATCTAGAAGTCCCTGAGAATTTACTCCTTCCACACAGCCCTTGACCAGTGGCTCACAGAAGTAGGAGTATAGCAAGTTAGCTTCTTTGCCTTGGGCAACTCTGAGGTTAACTTACTCCAGCGTTCTCCTGCAAGATCAGGCCAAAGCTATATTTGCAGGGCTTTATCTGAGACTGCACCCTGGCATGGCTTTCTTCTCTCCCCTTTTCTGCTTTCCATGCTACCTTGCTGATCTCTATAGAGACTATTGCCTTTCTAAATCATTTGTTCATGAATCCTTGCCTCAGGGTCTGCTTCTGGGAAAACTGACCTAAGATACCATCTCTAATATTGTCCCTTCCTCATTCTTTCTAGTTTTTATTTTTTAAAGTCTTTCTGTCATCTGTTGTTTCTGTTGGACTCTATCAAGTGATTTATTGTGGGTATTATTTTTTAAATTTTGACTGTAAATTCATGTTTCTTGGGACTTTATCTGTAGAAATCCTTTGAAGCCTGGATGGAATGTGTATTCCCTCAAACATAATTTGCCTAGGTTTATCTGAGATCCCTGAAGAAACTACTATTTGGGGCCACTTTAAATAGATTGTTGGATTTAGGTTTGTTAGGCCACTAAGTCAATGTGGATTCAGTGTACAAATCAGCATGAGGAGTGTTCTTTGGCTATGAATGTTCAGGTGAGATATTTTGTCTGAATTCAGCACAAAAATCATAGGAAAGAATTTCCTTCTCTTGTGCTGTGGGGTGGATTTATTTCTGGTACACCCCATACACAGGATAGAGCCATTTAGGGTCCCAGCATTATGTAGGTATGCCCTACTGGCTTTATCACTTTGGTGAGCCATAGGCTTTGTCTTCTGTGCCTTCTGTCCTGTGGGGCAGAAAAAAATGGAAACTAAGATTTGATAAGATTAACTACATAGTCTAAGGTCCAAATAATTTCAGTGCTTTCTTAACTTTCTAAATAAGAATTTTAATTTGACCTTGAAAAGTTCCTTCTGTCTTGAAAGAGCAAGGATATAGTTATTAGATTTAAGAAATTTATTTTTACTTAAATATAAAAATATATTTAAGTTAAAATATATTTAAGTTAAAATATATTTTTATATTTATTTTTATATTTAAAATATATTTTTATATTTTTATATTTATTTTTAATATAAAATTGTTATATTTTGTTTTAATATAAAATATATTTTTATATTTAATTTTATATATTTATATTTATTTAAATGTGTGTATTAACACAAACATTAAATGTATTAACACACATTTAAATATATTTAACACATGACACGTGTGTTTCTTCCAATGTCAAGTAAAGGCCATGTTTGCTGATATGCCATACATTTATTTGTTTATTTATTTATTGGAGAGGTTATGGGGGGTTTTCCATGCATATTAAACATGCTGCTGACTTAAAATTCTATTATCCAGAGAGCAGCATAATTCAGCCTAGTCCATTTAAATTTGATAAAAATTATATGTATTAAACAATAATGAATTGATCATCAACAGCAATGAACAGACTTAACAGGAGAGGAAAGACAAATGTCAGTTAATACTCTCGCTTTGTGAACAAGTAGTTGTATAATTTACCACAATAAATTGTTTTCATGGCTTTTTAGTCAAGGCTATATAACAGAGAATGCCAGTGAATACCAATAATAACAACAATATTGGAGCCTATTATCAACTCAGCTATAAGAAAAATAAAGAATGAGTACGGTTGTTATGGAATCAGGAACATATTCAGGGAAAAGTTAGAGGAAATAGCACTAAGTTGTCATACATTACTTCAAAAAATGAAAAAAAGGTATTTTACTTTCTTCCTTACATAAGGAGAAGGACTAACAATTTTCTCTAAGGATAAGGGGGAAAAAACCTTTCTACCTTTTACCCTCTGATCAGGACCTCTTGTTCTAGAGGGAATAAAATATATCTCACCCTTGGAATCAATCATTGTGAATGGATGAGTTGTGTAGGCAAATATAGTTTTAAATGAAATAAAATTGAGCTTAGGTGAAATTAGTGAGAACCAGTATATAAGTAAGAAAATTTTTATTGATTTCAATATGTTAGTTGAGATTTTAGGCTAAGGGATTGTCACAGGTAGGATCATATTACATAAAATGATGAAAGTAATAGACAACAATCCCTGTGAAAAAGCTTGAGAATTCCTCATAGCTGCAATAGAGTCACTGAAAAGGATTTATGGTACTTGTATAGGTAGAAGTATTTCCATTTTTCTATCATTTTCTAATATTATTGCTACCAAGCATCATTTTTATTAATACCCATGACTTGCTCTGGGTATTAAAAAAATTTTACTCCTCAAATTGCATGGAAAAAGTAACTGTTAATTCACTTTTTTTTTTTTTTTTGAGATGGAGTCTCACTTTATCTCCCAGGCTGGAGTGCCATGGTATGATCTCAGCTCACTGCAACCTCCGCCTCCCAGGTTCAAGTGATTCTCCTGCCTCAGCCTCCTGAGTAGCTGGGATTACAGGGTGCACCACCATGCCCAGCTAATTTTTGTATTTTTAGTAGAGATAGGATTTCACCATGTTGGTCAGGGTGGTCTCAAACTCTTGACCTCATGATCTGCCCACCTCGGCCTCACAAAGTGCTGGGATTACAGGCATGAGCCACTGCACCTGGCCTAATTCATGTTTAAATAATCACAAGCATATATAATTGGAAATCAGATCAGCAAGAAATAACCAGTAGACAACGGAGTTGATATAAAGTAAAGATCAACCTAGTGTTCTAATTTTTATTCATTCATTCATTCATTCATTTACTTTTTCATTTATTCTCCTATTCATTTCATTATTTATTAATTATTAACTAGTTTTTATGTATCAGAAACCATATGGGGCTTATGAGTTTTTATTGTGGTTAAGTGCAAAGTTCCCAAGAGCCTTATGAAATATTAAAAGTAACTCAAGGCCCCTCTACTATAAACTTTGTAGATTATAATTTTTTGAGGGGTTAATACTTATGTATAGAAATCATTGAGACCTAGAGAGTTTAAATGATTTGCCCTAGATTGTACAGATAATTAATGGTTGTCTCAGCACTAGAAGCCAATCTTCTTAATTCTACTGAAAGTAGATAATATGATGACTCATATTTATTATGTAAATATTATATTTTATTATAAACATGACAGTTCATATTGACTATTACAATTAACATGCAGTATAAAATATGTGTTAGTGTTACATTGTTGTTACCATTATATTGTATTATATTGCAGATATTTTTTCTTTTGGTGGCTGCATACAAATGAATTATAACTATATTAATAATATTTTTCTTTAAAAAACTAAAGATGACATTTTTAAGTCCTCTCTCTTGGAATCTGTCATTGCACTTGGCTAAAATGTAGCTACAGATTATTTGTACTATATCTTTCGACTGTACCAATTGGCAACAATTTTTCTCTTTAAACCCTAATCAATGAAAATAATACTTCTGTGTCTCAGTCAATCGCAGTTGCTTGTAAATGACCTTTGACTGATAAGTTTAATTGAAAACTGTGGTCAGCCTAGTCTGTCAGCAAGCATGTCATATAACACAAGATAATTTGAAAAAAAATGCAACAATGCATTCAATCTGTGGCAGTAGATCAGGAAAATTACTGCATATCCAGTGCTGAACAGAAGAAAAAATAATAGGGTATTTTCTGTTGACCTCCTTAAGAACCAACCTGGATCAAATCTACTTAAATTTTAAAACCAGATGAAATCAAGTGCGTTCCATCTCTTTGTAGCTAAACTTCTTAAGCCCCTCACTTTTAGTAGCAGCAGACTGTGTTTTCATTACTTATTCATCTCAGGATGCACTTATAAATATAAAATATCATCATTTGAGTTTGTTATACCATTAGCTTTAAAATTTTATAAACTACTGAACAGGTGTTTATAAAGTTGAATAAGTTAAGGAGATTTATTGTTGTAAGAAAAGTGTATCAGTAGGAAATACCATTGATAAACAGAAAAACGAAAGATTGTAAAATTTACTGAGTGCATTTGAGAAAAAATATATTTTTCAAGCTTTCAAAATATTAAAGTTGTCTTAATGACTGAAATGTGTTTTTTAAAAATCCTGTGTTTAAAAAAATTCTAATGAAATTTGTTACATTTTGTCTCTACAAAAATAGTCATCTCACTTTTATTTTCACGCTTCCATTTGTGAAGTATACTCCATGCACCTCAAACATTTATGATGAGCATATTTTCTGATCCAGGATATATGTATATTAGAAGATTTTTTCCTTTTTTCATAAGAAACATTATTTTAAGCTTCCCAAAAAATTAATACCTCAGAGGTTAAACAAGGAAGCTTTTCACTGAAAAAAACTTGTGAAGAAATTATTATTCTAGATTTACTTTCAACCACCAAGGAAACTTGATGTGGCAGTAAAATAAATCTTGGAAGAAAATATAAGAAATTAAAAAATGCTCAAAGTTAACCAAAAGGACCTTTACAGGTTTAATTCATTGAACAATTATTAATACTAAGCACCTATTTGGTGCCAAGAACTATGAAAATCTCTGCAGAAGAGAACAAGGAAAGATCCTTATCCTCTAACCACTTATAGTCAAATGGGAAATGCAGCCATGCTAACAGGCATTTACAATACAGTCTACTAAATTCCACCAAAGGGCTATCATAAGGTATCATAAGATATAGGAGGGGGATCTAATTTAGCTTTGAAGGATCAATGAAGGCTCCTAAGAGAGATTATTGCTAAGACTTGATGGATGAATAAAAGTTAGATTATAGAAAGTTTGAGAACAGTAAGAGTGTTCCCAGCAGAGAAAAGTACTTCTGCAAAAGCTAGGAATCATAATTATGAGAATATAGTGCATCAGCCCACTGTTTAGAATAGATGATGAGAGGCTAACAAATACAGGCAGGAGGCAGAATTACTCTGTTCCTATTTTGAATCTGTCCTTGCCACTATGAAGAAGTTATCATCAAAATAGAACAGCTAGAAAAACACCATTAACAATGAATTGAAGTCCCAGAAAAAGTAAAAAGAAGAGACTATAGGAAGCCACCCAGACATTCTAAATGAATTCAAGTTTGCAGTCATAGACAAATTACATTCCAAGGTGTCGAAAGGACTTACAGATGTAATCATAGAATGATTGGCAGTAATCCACAGAAATCACAGAGAAGGGGAGTGCTGCTAGAAGATGCGATCTAAGCAAATATCACCCCAATTCTCTCAAAGGGTTAAAAGGTAGATTCTGGAAACTACTAGATCAGCAATGTTGATCTTTAACAGCATTTTAGAATGGATTACTTTAACAAGGAATTGAAATCACTTAGAAAATAATGAGACAACCTCTAAGATCCAGTCTGAGTGCACTAAAAGCATTCCTGCCAAATTAGCCTCATTTAATTTTCTGTAGGTTGAGTAGCAGGGGAGATTTTAGGGGGTTGGGAGGTTGCAATATTTGTGTTTAGGTAGGGATTTTGACGAAATCACTCGTATGTCCTTGGGAACAAGGGTAGAAATATGACTGAATGACAGTGGACGTAAGCAGATATGTAAAGCTGGTTGAACAACTGCATGTAGTTATTAATTTGATGTTAGCTTGCAGGAAGGTTTCTCACAGCACGTCTCATGGCTTTGTCTCTGGCTTTGTCTTGGTCACATTTAAAAACCCAATCTGGGTGAAGAGGCATCAGTCTGCAAAGGGTCAGCTAATGTACTGACTTTTAGAAACATAATTTGAAGTGTTTTAGTAGATAGAACAATGCATAAAAAACAGAACATGGAGATTGTGGAGCCGAATTAATGTACTGTTTTGGTTTTTGCCATCAGTTCCATAAGAATACATTTGGCGGGGAGGTTTTAAAAGTTCAACTCGAAAGGAGTATAAAATGAAATTAAAAAACCGCTTTAGGTACTTCAGTAACCACAAACTCTAACAATTACACCGGCTTAAAAAAAGAAAGTGAATTCAAGGTAAGACTATGTTAATAGAAGAACATTTTCAAAATGAGGGAAATGGCCACAAGACTGATTTCTAATATTTCACTGAACTCGGACATTTGTCAGACCTATCCTGAGTGTTACATACAGGTATACACGCATGGTGGACGGAAGCTATGGTTTTTTCCTCAACATCCATTACACCTTCTCTGTTAATACCAGCAATAAGGTTTGAGTGAACTTGACCTCACCCTAGCTTCAAGAGTAAGCTATGCTCAGCTAAGGCCAATCAGGAAAATTCCATCTTCCTTTGCACTGTAATTGGTTTAATTAATCCAGGCCTAAGCTTATCAGTGTGTGGCATTCCCCTGGTTTTACGGATTGGTTCAGGGGTGGCCAATTGATGTAAATCTCAGTGTTTTCTTTTTTTTCAGCAGTTAATGGGTAGCAACCTGCCTTTCTTGCTGAATGAGGCATCATGCAGCACTAATTACTGCTGGCAGGCATCCAACAGCTAGGAGGGAAGTCAGTCTGGGGAGAAAGTTAACACCGATAAAAGTGGAGCAGAGCAAACCACTGGAAAATGGACCCAGCGCTCTGATGGAACTGTGCCTAAATTACCCTGGAGTTTTTAGTTATTCTTTAAGCCAACTTGAGTTTGATTTTTCTGTCGCCTTTAATTGAAAGCATTCTAAGATTCAAGAACAAATTCTAATAAGATTATTGTCAAAACAGAGGGAAGCCATGCCATAAAAAAGGAAGTTTAGAGGAACTTGGGAAGAGAAAATCTTAAGGGTTGTATAAATTGTTTAGTTCAGTCCCATGGAAGAGGGAGTGGATTGTTGTTACTGTTTGAGAATTCAAAACTAGGGCTGTTGCTACTAAGTTCTGAGAAGATGAATTTTGATTCAACATAATTCACTGAGAAATACTCTTTTGAGAATATTTCTAATTTTTAGAGGCATTCCATTGTAGAAAGAGCTGTTTGCCAATTACTGGAAGTGCTAAAACAAAGAATAATGAACCATCTGTAAGTTCTATTCAGCCCCAAGATTGCATGGTATTTTGCCATCCTTATTTATTTAAATGTAGGTAAGGTAGTTACTTGTTTAAAAGAGCTTGATTTCTGTCTTGGCTTCCCCATCTAACCTGAGAGATGTTTTCCTCATCTGAAGAGTGAATGGGTTGGAATACATGGTTTCTAATACTGTTTCTATAGCTCTAAATTGTTTTGCTACCCAAAAGAAATTGCTGGTGGTATGGAAGCAAGGCTCTTGGCCTGCTGTTTCTCCAGATAGTAGTAAAAATCTAAAACAAGATAATAGTAAAAATCTAAAAATGAAAAATTAGAATAGCAGCTTCAAATTAATCACATTCCTTCTCAAAGTTAGAATGAGGGATTGCCTTGGGAAATGCTACTCAGATCTAATTCCTGAAGATATTATGTGCATATTTCAGAAATGGAAGGTTCTATTGAGTGAATTATCAAAAATTCAATCACTTAACAATAATTTATTGAGCAGTTATATTCCCCAGCTTGTGCTAGACACTATGATAAAGAAAATCTTACCTGTCTGGCTTTGTCTAAGGTAGAAAGTATATCATAAGTTTTCAGTATAGAACATTCTCTGTTATACAGAGGCCACATAACACCTTCCTTATCCTTTGCTTTTAGTACTAAATTCAGGATATTGCCAAGGTTCTCTGTATAGAAAAGAAGAGAAAGTGAGAAGAAATAAAAGTATCATTCTAAGTGCTTATTAGATTGTTTTGAGCGTCCCAGAAAGATCTCTTAAATAGAGGCTATAAACCTATTTCATACTATACATGCATGTAATATTTTACTGAAATAAATAAAAGATCAATATCTTTTAGAAAATATAAATAGGCAAAAAGAGGGTTCATAAACCTTCTGAGTGTCTAGCTAATAAATTCCTATTGTATGTTCATTACTGTGCAAGTGCTTTGGAGTCTGTGTAAAATGCAGTTCCTGCCTCCTAGGAGGTAATACTGGAAAAACCAAGATAAAATGAATGAGCTTTTGAATACTTTTGTGCACAGGTGTTGATCTATGTGGAATATGCCATGAGTGCTGCAGGAGCATAGAGGGGAGATGAAAAAAAACGCAGACTGGGAAGTTAATATGGAGAGAGTAGGTCTTAGCCTTGAAGGATAGGCTGAAACTTAAAAGGCAGCAGAGTTGAAAACTGCTGCTTAGGTGAGGGAAAAATACTTGAAAATGTTCAGAAGCAACAGATTTTTATATAGCCATGAGGATACTGACTGTATTAGGCAAAAGAGTTTGTGGGAAACACGGATAGGTATTCTGAGATGTCTTAAAAATTAAGCAAAGACATTTACATTGCATAGAGTTTTAAGCAGGGAGATCTAGATTGTTTTTGAGCAGAGACTAACATAAGCAATGTTTAGGGAAATGTATATTGGCAGTAACTATAGCATGAATTGGAGGATAAAGAGGCTTGCTAGGAAGTGATTAAAGTAATCCCTGTGTGAGTGATGATGTCAAGACATGGGTAGTTCCATGTAACAAACCAGCATATGTACTCCCTCAACCTAAAATAAAAGTTGAAATTATTTTAAAAAGAGCAATTGCAACAAAAAGAAAAATTGACATATGGGACTTAATTAAACTAAAGTGTTTCTACACAGCAAAAGAAACTATCATCAACAGAGTGAACAGACAACCTACAGAATAGGAGAAAATATTCACAAACTATGAATCCAACAAAGGTCTAATAACTACCATCTATAAGAAACTTAATGCAACAAACAAAAACTAATACCCCCTTTAAAAGGTAGGCAAAGAACATGAACAGACAGTTCTCAAAAGAAGACATACAAGCAGTCAATAAACATTTTAAAAAATGCTCAGCATCACTAATTAACAGAGAATTGCAAATCGAAATCATGATGATTTTGACTCATCTCACACCAGTCAGAATTACCATTATTGAAAGGCCAAAAAATGACAGATGTTGGTAAAGCTACAAAGAAAAGGGAATGCATATATACTGTTGATGGAAAAATAAATTAGTTCAGGCACTGTGGAAAGAAATTTGAAGATTTCTCAAGAACTTAAAATAGAACTACCATTTGACCCAGCAATCCCATTACTGGGTATATATCCAAAGGAAAATAAATCATTCTACCATTAAAACACATGTATTTGTATGTTCATTGCAGCACTATTCACAATAGCAAAGACATGGAATCAACCAAGGTGCCTATCAATTGTGGATTGGATAAAGAAAATGTGGCATGTATACACCATGGAATACTAGACAGCCACAAAAAAGAATGAAACCATGTTCTTTGCAGCAATGTGGATGCAGTTGGAGGCCATTATCCTAACCAAATTAATGCAGGAACAGAACATCAAATACAACATGTGTGGATGCAGTTGGAGGCCATTATCCTAATCAAATTAATGCAAGAACAGAACATCAAATACAACATGTTCTCACTTATAAGTGGAAAATAAACATGGGGTACCTATTGATACAAAGATAGGAAAAATAGACACTGGGGACTATTCCACTGACAGGACTAGATAGGTCATCAAGACAGAAAGTCAACAAAGAAACAATGGACTTACACTATACCCTACAGCAAATGGACTTAACAGATATTTACAGAACATTCTACCCAAAAGCTGCAGAATATACATTCTTTTCATTAGCACATGGAACATTCTCCAAGATAGACCATATAATAGGCCACAAAACAAGTCCCAATACATTTTAGAAAACCAAAATTATATCAAATATTCTCTCAGACCACAGTGAAAATCAACTTTAAAAGGAACCCACAAAACTATGCAAATACATGGAAAGCAAATAACCTGCTCCTGAGTGATCAGTGGTCAACAATGAAATCCAGATGGAAATTAGAAAATTCTTTGAACTGAACAATAATAGCGATACAACTTATCAAAACCTCTGGGATACAGCAAAAGTGGTGTAAGAGGTAAGTTCATAGCGTTGAATGCCTACATCACGAAGTCTGAAAGAGCACAAAAAGACAATCTAACATCACAACTCAAGGAACTAGAGAAACAAGAACAAACCAATCTCAAACCCGGCAAAGAAAAGAAACAACGAAGATCTGACCAGAACTAAATGAAATGGAAACAAAAACAATACAAAAGATAAATGAAACGAAAAGCTGCTTCTTTGAAAAGATTAAAAAAATTGATAGACCATTAGTGAGATTAACCAAGAAAAGAAGAGAGAGGATCCAAATAAGCTCAATTAGAAATGAAGTGAGAGATATTACAACCAATACTGCAGAAATACAAAAGACCATTCAAGGCTACTATGAACAACTTTATGCACACAAACTAGAAAATCTAGAGGAGATGGATAAATTCCTGGAAATATACAATCCTCCTAGATTAAACCAGGAAGAAATAGAAACTCTGAACAAACCAATAAAAAGCAGTCAGATGGAAATGGTAATTAAAAAACTGCCAAAAAAAATATCTAGGATCAGATGGATTCACAGCTGAATTCTATCAGATGTTTAAAGAAGAATTGGTACCAATCCTACTGACACTATTCGAAAAGACAGAGAAAGAGGGAATACTCCTTAAATCATTCTATGAATTTAGTATCACTCTAATACCAAAACCAGGGAAGCACGTAACAAAAATAAAACCACAGGCCAATATCCCTGATGAATATGAATATAGATGCAAAAATCCTCAACAAAATACTAGCTAAATGAATCCCACAGCATATCAAAAAGATAGTCCATCATGATCAAGTGGATTTCACACCAGGGATCCAGGGATGTTTTAACATATGCAAGTCAATAAATGTGATACATCACATAAACAGAATTAAAAACAAAAATGACATGATCATCTCAATAGACATAGAAAAAGCATTTGACAAAATCCACATCCCTTTATGATTCAAACCCTCAGCAAAATTGGCACAGAAGGTACATACTTTAAGGTAATAAAAGCCATCTATGAAAAACCCACCGTCAAGATCATACTAGATGGGGAAAAGTTGAAAGCATTCCCTCTGAGAACTGGAACACTGGAAAGGATGTCCACTTTCACCGCTTCTATTCAACATAATACTGGAAATCCTAGGTAGAGCAATCAGACAAAAGAAAGAAAGAAAGGGGATCCAAATCAATAACGAGGAAGCCAAACTGTCACTGTTTGCTGATGATATGATTGTATACCTAGAAAACCCTAAAGACTCATCCAAAAAGCTCCTGTAACTGATAAATGAATTCAGTGAAGTTTCAGGATACAAAATTCATGTACACAAATCAGTAGCAATGCTATACACCAATAGTGACCACGCTGAGAATCAAATCAAGAACTCAACCCCTTTTACAATAGCTGTAAAAAATAAAAATAAAATACTTAGGAATATACCCTACCAAGGAGGTGATAGGCCTCTGCAAGAAAAACTACAAAACACTGTTGAAAGAAATCATAGATGACACAAATAATGAAAACACATAGTGGATGGGTGGAATCAATATTGTGAAAATGACCATGTTGCCAAAAGCAATCTACAAAATCAATGCAATTCCCATCAAAATACCATCATCATTCTTCACAGAACTAGAGAAAACTATCCTAAAATTCATGTGGAACCAAAAAGGAGCCTACATAGCCAAAACAAGACTAAGCAAAAAGAAGAAATCTGGAGGCATCATGTTACCTGATTTCAAACTGTACTATAAGGCCATAGTCACCGAAACAACATGGTACTGGTATAAAAATAGGCACAAAGACCAATGGAACAGAACAGAGAACCCAGAAATAAACCCAAACACTTATAGCCAACTGATCTTTGAGAAAGCAAACAAAAACATAAAGTGAGGAAAGAATACCCTATTCAACAAATGGTGCTGGGATAATTGGCAAGTCACATGAAGAAGAATAAAACTGGATCCTCATCTTCCACCTTATGTAAAAATCAACTCAAGATAGATCAAAGAGTTAAATCCAAGATCTGAAAGCATAAAAATTCTAGAAGATAACATCAGAAAAACCCTTCTAGACATTGGCTTAGGCAAATACTTCTTTACCAAGTACCCAAAAGCAAATGCAACCACAAAGATAAATAGATAGGACTTAATTAAACTAAAAGGCTGCTGCACAGCAAAAGAAATAATCAGCAGAGTAAACAGATAACCAACCCACAGACTGGGAGAAAATCTTAGCAAACTATGCATCTGACAAAGGACTAATGTCCAGAATCTACAAGGAGGTCAAACAAATCAGCAGGAAAAATAAAATCCCATCAAAAAGTGGGCTAAGGACATGAATAAACAATTCTCAAAAGAAGACATGCAAATGACCAACAAACATATGAAAAAATGCTCAATGTCACTAATTATCGGGGAAATACAAATCAAAACCACAATGTGATACCACCTCATTCCTGCAAGAATGGTGATAATAAAAAAATAAAAAAAAATAGACGTTGGTGTGGATGGGGTGGAAAGGGAACACGATTACACTGCTGGTGAGAATGTAAACTAGTACAACTACTGTGGAAAACAGAATGGTGATTCTTAAAGAACTAATAGTAGGTCTACCATTTGATCTCACAATCCCACTCCTAGGTATCTACCCAGAGGAAAATAAGTCATTATATGAAAAAGACACTTGCACACATATGTTTACAGCAGCACAATTCGCAATTGCAAAAATAAGGAACCAACCCACATGCCCATCCATTAATGAGTGGATAAAGAAAATGTGTACATATTTACCATGGAATACTGCTTAGCCATAAAAAGGAACAAAACAATGGCATTTGTGGCAACCTGGGTGGAACTGCGGACTATTATTCTAAGTGAACTAACTCTTCACTTTTGAGTGAGAACATGTGATGTTTGGTTTTTGGAATAAAATACCAAACATCATATGTTCTCATAAGTGGGAGCTAAGCTATGAGGATGCAAAGGCATAAGAATGATACAATGGACTTTGGAGGCTTGGGGGGAAGGGTGAGAGGGGTGTGAGGGATAAAAGACTGCACACTGAGTATGGTGTGCACTAAATCACCACTAAAGAACTTATTCATGTAACCAAACACCACCCATACACAAAAACCTGTTGAAATAAAAAATAAAAACCAAAAATAAACAGAAAAAAAGAATTGGACAGGAAATTGAAATAAATTATTTTATATTGTTTATATCAAGCTATCTAGAAGGTAAGCAGATAAAAGTTTGCTTAAGTTGCTCTTACATTTAAATGTTTTTTCATCTTTTTGTGTTGGTGACATGCAAAACAGTTCAAGCTTTTCTCTACTGGTTTGTGTTGTCACAAACACTGGACACCAGAGTATAGTTTGTTCTCTCTATATTATATGCTGTATGTTATGAATGTGTTTTTGGATTATGTATAAGATTAATAATTTAAACTCTCAATATGCTGAGAAATGCTGAATTCATCATGAGAACACAATAAGAAAGTGATGATGCTACATCTATTACTTATTTCCACAATTGTGTTGATAGGTGCACAATTACTTTGGGGAAAAGCAAAATAAAACTACAGGGATACATCCTGAGAGAAAAACAATACTGAAGCTAGAAAAAAAACCTCAAAACATTGGATATAGGTTCATTTGGTTTTCTTTTGTTTACATTTTATAATATATTGCTTGATTTCTACATAGTAAAGTTAATTATATTGTGAAATAAAAAAATGATTTTGGAAATGGGCTTGGAATACCATCCCTTTTGAAGGGAAGAGATACATAGTACAAGTGCATGAATGCAGGTAGGTTGGAAGTTTGAGGGTGGAAGGATGAGGATGGTCTCTGTGATTTCTATTTGCTCAGACATATGAGGCAAAATTATCACTTATACAAGATTAAGTATGTGATGTTTCAGGTTTGTAGAGAAAGAAGAGTAAGTAAAATTTAGTTATCTTATAGTCTAGGAAAGAGAACTGATTTAGTAAAAGGTAGTTACTAGGTGGTGCTGAAGTTTGCTTTTATAAATTTAAAATTATCATGACTTCATCTTTACTTCATGTTCAGCTGCACAGAATTATGAGGTAGGTGAAGAGCTAAATTCAACCTGGATTAGAATCCTGTCAAGAAAGAAGGATTGAGAAAGAAAAGGGCAAGGAAAGAGAAGGAGTGTGCAAGGACATGATTGTAATCAGGCATGGAATGCAAGTGAGTGAGGAAGAAACGAAGCATGCAGAACAATCATGGGAGTGGAGGTGCTGGAGTCTATAAGTGGGAAGATGAAAGGTGTTATTTGAGATATTTGAGAGTGGGATTTGGGAGATGGAACAGTTATTGGCAATGACAAGATGAAGAGGACATCCAGGAGAGTGCATGAATGGGGAATGGCATCAAGGAACCATGAGGCCTAAGTGTTGCATTTTCTTCCCATCTATTGAAGTCACCAAGGTTGATCACAGGACTAGTAACAGAGGAAAAAAACAATGATCTCAGAGTGATATGGTTTGGCTGTGTCCCCACCCAAATCTCATCTTGAATTTCCACGTCTTGTGGGAGGGACCTGGTGGGAGGTAACTGAATCATGGGGGCAGGTCTTTCCTGAGCTGTTCTCGTGACAGTGAATAAGTCTTATAAGATCGGATGGTTTTTAAAAAGGGGAATTTCTCCTGCACAAGCTCTGTTCTCTTGTCTGCCACCATGTGAGATGTGCCTTTCACCTTCCACCATGATTGTGAGGACTCCCCAGCCATGTGGAACTCCAATAAACCTCTGTGTGTGTGTGTGTGTGTGTGTGTGTGTGTGTGTGTGTGTGTGTGTGTGTAAATTGCCCAGTCTTGGGTATGTCTTTATCAGCAGCATGAAAACAGACTAATATGGTAAGTTGATACCAGTAGAGTGGGGTGCTGCTGAAAAGATGCCCCAAAAGGGGGAGGCAACTTTGGATCTGGGTAACAGGCAGAGTTTGGAACAGTTTGGAGGGCTCAGAAGAAGATAGGAAAATGTGGGAAAGTGTGGAACTCCTTAGAAACTTGTTTACTGGCTTTGACCAAAATGCTGATAATGATATGGACAATGAAATCAAGGCTGAGGTGGTCTCAGATGGAAATGAGGGACTTGTTGGGAACTGGAGCAAAGATGACTCTTATTATGTTTTAGCAAAGAGACTGGTGGCATTTTGCCCCTGCCCTAGAGATGTGTGGACCTTTCAACTTGAGAGAGATGATTTAGGGTATTTGGCAGAAGAAATTTCTAAGCAGCAAAGCATTTAAGAGGTAACTTGGGTGCTGTTAAAGGCTTCAGTTTTATAAGGGAAGCAGAGCATAAATGTTTGGAAAATTTGCAGCCTGACAATGCAATATAAAAGAAAATCCCATTTTCTGAGGAGAAGCTGGCTGCAGAAATTTGCATAAGTAATGAGGAACTGAATGTTAATCCCAAAGACAGTGGGGAAAATGTCTCCAGGGCATGTCAGAGGTCTTCAAGGTAACCCCTTCCATCACAGGCCTAGAGGCCTAGGAGGCAAAAAGTGGTTTCATGGGCTGGGCCCATGGTGCCTGTGCTGTGTGCAGCCTAAGGACTTGGTGCCCTGTGTCCCAGGCACTCCAGCCATGCCTGAAAGGAGCCAACACAGAGCTCAGGCTGTGGCTTCAGAGGGTCCATGCCTCAAGCCTTTGCAGCTTCTATGTGGTGTTGAGCCTGCCAGTGCATGGAAGTCAAGAATTGGAGTTTGGGAACCTCCACCTAGATTTCAGAGGATGTACGGAAATGCCTGGATGTCCAGGCAGAAGTTTGCTACGGGGCAGGGCTCTCAGGGAGAACCTCTGCTAGGACAGTGTGAAAGGGAAATGTGGGGTTGGAGCCCCTACACACAGTCCCTACTGAAGTACTGCCTAGTAGAGCTGTGAGAAGAGGGCCATCGTCCTCCAGACCCCAGAATGGTATATCCACTGACAGTTGCATTGTGTGCCTGGAAAAGCTGCAGACACTCAATGCCAGCCCATGAAAGCAGCCAAGAGGGAGGCTGTACCCTAACAAACCACAGGTGTGGAGCTGCCCAAGACCATGGGAACTCATCTCTTGCATCAGTGTAAACTGGATGTGAGACATGGAGTCAAAGGAGATCATTTTGGAACTTTGAAAGATTTAACTGTCCTGCCAGATTTCAGACTTTCATGGGGCCTGTAGCCTCTTTGTTTTGGCCAATTTCTCCTATTTGGAATGGCTGTATTTACTCAATGCCTATACTCCCATTGTATCTAGGAAGTAACTAACTTGCTTTTAATTTTACAGGCTCATAGGTGGAAGGGACTTGCCTTGTCTCAGATGATACTTTGGACTGTGGACTTTTGAGTTAATGCAGACATGAGTTAAGACTTTGGGGACTGTTGGGAAGGCATGATTGGTTTTTGAAATGTGAGGTCATGAGATTTGGGAGGGGCCAGGGGTGGAATGATATGGTTTGGCTGTGTCCCCACCCAGATCTCATCTTGAATTCCCACGTGTTGTGGGAGGGACCTGGTGGGAGGTAACTGAATCATAGGGCAGGTCTTTCCTGTGTTGTTCTCATGGTAGTGAGTAAGTATTACAAGATCTGATGGTTTTTAAAAAGGGGAGTTTCCCTGCACAAGCTCTCTTCTCTTGTCTGCCACCATGTGAGATGTGCCTTTCACCTTCTGCCATGATTGTGAGGCCTTCCCAGCCACGTGGAACTATAAGTCCATTAAACCTCTTTCTTTTGTCTTGGGTATGTCTTTATCAGCAGCGTGAGGACAGACTAATACACAGAACTGAGATCATCACTGCATCACAGGCCAGCAAGTGATGGGAGGCAATATGACAGAGTCTTTAAGAAGATGAACGCTGGAGCCATACTTCCAGGGTACAAATCCCCACTCTAATACCTCCTAGCTGTTTGACTGTGAATATTTCACCCAATATCCCAGTACCTCAAGTGCATCAGTAGAATAAGGATAGGAACATATGTAACTCAGAGTGTTTTGTGAATATTAAGTCAGATCGATGCCTGGAACAGGGTAATCATTTTGAGCCCTGACATGCTCGAATTTTCAGATTAAGAGTGAACAACAGGTATGTACATGCGAATATTCCAAAATCCGAAAAAATCTAAAATAGGAAACACTTCTGGTCCCTAGGACGAGATAAGGGATATTCAACCTATGTAAATGTTAGTTGCTGTCAACTGGTAGTGTCTTCAGACGGGAGTATTTTCGGTGTGTGTATGTGTGTGCATGACTATGTATTTATCAGGGAGCATATAGAAATTAGCAAGGAAGAGCAAGAACCAGAAAGACATAAAGTATGGTTGAGAAAAGAGCCATCACTTGAGAAGGCTTCAGGGGCAGCTGTGACCGTGGGGAGGGCCAAGTTTCAGTGAGAGCCCAAAGGTAACAAGAATGACTGGAAAAAAGACAAAGATATAACAGTTAGCTGCAAGCAGACTATGAGTTTCAGAAGCCACAAAACAAGAATTTAGAGTGGTGGGGAGGAGAGGAAGAACTGGGTCAGATTTAAGGGCATATATAGAACCATGTAGAGATAAGTGTCCTCATCCTGATGGATAACTGGGAGGGCAGCGCTGGTCCTGCCGAGTCAGGTAAACTAAAGAGATTAGGTATGAGGACCTTGGTCCTGGTTATCTTTCCTCCTGAGACCAAGTGTCATGTAGTTTTTCAGAAGATGGACTGTGGAGCTTGCAAAAATGAACAAAGTTCTTCTGTGGCCTGTGTAAAGTCTAGAGGAGTCACTACCTAGCAGGGAGGCCAGACCACTTCTAAGTAAAAGAGGGGAAGTTAATTATTATTATTATTAGTGCTGAAACTGAATCCTAACAGCTAATTCCGGTCCCCAAGACTAGGTCAAAACCTCTTTATAAGTTTTCAAAGCACCTAATTTCTTCTTCAAAGCACATATCATAATAGTGATCACATAATAAATTGTATATTCATTTAATGACTATTTCCCCTCACCTCTTTTATTCACTGATAGAGCATCAGAACTTTGCATGTAGTAGTCACTATAGCTAATGCATATCTATGTATCTGTATCTCTATTTACATATATAACTATATCATCTGTCTTTTAGTGGGTTTTATATTAGGGGTTAAGTTGCCAAATAGATTTATTTGGCAGTGATCATATCTAATTTCAAACATTTGCTCTCTAAGCCTGGTGCCTCCATGTTACTTATCCAGGGTTAATGAAGGCTGTGTTTGGAGGAGCAGCCCAGGGAAGAATGGAATTCAGCTCTACAGTTATCTTGCAGGCTTTACTTGCAGCATCTTTATAGACTTTCCGCAGGAGAAAAACAATGGAGACTTGGCTTGAGGAATGAATCAGTCCAAATTATTGAAACTTGAGTAGCAGAGTAGGCTTAAGCTAGTATGAATAAGAGTTTGCTTGGGATGTCCTTTTCACAGTTGAATTCAATAGACAAAGATTCTTTTTACATTATCTGGAATTGCTCAGTGGTTATTTCATTTTTTGTTCCTCAACTAGATCATACCTCTCTAGTGACAGGAGGGAGTGTCACTTGGGCTGCAGGCAGCCAAGCCTTGTTTGGCCAAAGCCAAGTAGTTTCTTGTTATGCTATGTGAGCTATGTTTGGGAAAATCAGACTGGCATTATGTAATAATACATAAAAAAGGCCATCTTGTGGTCAAGGTGCTGTGGTTAATGGGTGAGAAAACAAGGTTGCAGACCACTTGCCACCCTGTTAATAGGGCCTCCTGGAATTAATAAGGCCGTGTTGTCAGGGCATAGGGGCATAAACGCAACACCAGTTCATTTGTTGCTGCATTCCCCATAGTACATAACTGTCTACAGCAGCTATGGTGTACACGTTAATAATTATTTTACTCAGTGACCGGAAATAGTCTATTTTTTTTTCACTGTCATACTCTCAGATAGCTGCCGTAGCATTGCTTTTTTGCACATGTAGTAGCACACTTGGTTGAAACTGATTTTTGGAGTTGGGAAAGCTATCAGGGGACTGCTGAAATGAGGCAGCTTGTGGTATTTTCCCCTCCTCCTTACCCCTAGTTGAATTAATACCCAATTTAACAATTTAAACAAGTGTCTGAGAACCTAGGAGAGAATTTCAGGAAAAGTCAATAGTGCTTTGCAAATAGCTGGGGTCCAGTGAAGTTGAATCAGTGAGCTGAGCAAGAAGAGGGAAACACAGATTCAGAGCAAATACAGGAAGGTGGGGAAGAAAGATAGCAGGGGTAGGTAGGGTGGCAGCAAAAGAGTAAGGAATATCAGGATCCTTGAGACCTGCAACAACTTGCACATTTGACTTAGTGTCCTGTTCTTTTCACCCTAGCTTGGCCTGTTATTTGGCTGAAATCTGTGTCCTAAAGCAAACATTTTAGGTGGGGTTGATAGTAGGATCCCAGAAAATCTTTACGTAGAGGCTGGATTTAAATCCACTCTGCTCTCTTATTCCCACCCATTTAATATTGTCATGCTTCCTGACAAGTTATACCGGCAGGGACTGAAAAGGAAGACTGACCTGCTCTTGGCCTTTTCCTCCCACATCCACTTTTTGCCTGCACAAATAGTACATAAACATAATGCTTGAGAATTGCAAAATGTTCAAGGTGATTTTTAAAATACAGCTATAAAATGGAAATATTCAAAAGCATTTTATGTTGTCTTAGACTCTTGAGTAAATTGTGCTGTGTGATAACATTTTTTCTGTCATTACTCTTGGAACACAATAACCTTCTTTCTGGTCTCCTTCCTGCCACTTGTACCTCTCTCCACACAACAACCAGTGATTGGTATGGACTGAATGTGTGTGTCCCCCCCGCCATTCATATGTTGAAGCCCTAATTCCCAATGGGGTGGTAGTTGGAGATGGAGACTTTGAGAGCTAATTATAATTAAATGAAGTCATAAAGGTGGAGCCTTCATGATGAGATTAGTGTTTTTATAAGAAAACACACCAAAGCGCTCTTGTGCTCTCTCTCTCTCTCTCTCTCATACCTGCCATGAAAAAACACACTGAGAGTGAACAGAGGGCCGTCTGCATCATGGGAGAGTCCTCCTCACCAGAATCTGACCATGTTGACACCCTGATCTCAGAATTCCAAGCTTTCAGAATATGAGAAAATACGTTTCTGGTTAAACCTCCCAGTCTATGGTTTTATGTTATGGCATCCCAAGCTAACTAATATAGCCATCTCTCAATAATGTACATTATATCTGAAACTTTGAAACTTTCCCGCTGAAAACCTTTTAAGGACTTCTTATTACTCCTGGAATAAAATTAAAATCCTTATCATAGTCTACAAGGTGCTGAATAGTCTTTTTTTTTTTTTTTCTGAGACAGAGTGTTGCTCTGTTGCCCAGGCTGGAGTGCAGTGGCGCCATCTCGGCTCACTGCAAGCTCCGCCTCCCGGGTTCACGCCATTCTCCTGCCTCAGCCTCCCGAGTAGCTGGTGTAGACTACAGGAGCCTGCCACCACACCCGGCTAATTTTTTAGAGACTGGGTTTCACCGTGTTATCTAGGATGGTCTTGATCTCCTGACCTCGTGATACGCCCGCCTCAGCCTCCCAAAGTGCTGGGATTACAGGCCTGAGCCACCGGGCCTGGCCAAGGTGCTGAATACTCTTCTCTTCAACCTCATCTCATATTGTCCCATGAAAAGCCATTTTCCACCACAGAAACTTTGCACTACTCATCCCTGCCTGCAATGCTCATCTTTCACTGCTTATTTTATTTATTTGCCTTATAAATATTTCTAGTTACTATGCCAATTATATACATAACTTTCTAAATATGTTTTTATTGTTTGTCTCTCTATGTACTGTTACGTAATGAAGAACATAAACTGCATGAGGACAGATATGTTGTCCTTTCCTTTCACCGATGTGTTCCTTGCACCTAGTACAGCATTGGAGACATAACAGGTACCTATAAAATATTCATGGAGTAAGTGATTACTAGCCTAGAATTCTCAAAGCATTTTTTAAATTTTTTTATTATTATACTTTAAGTTCTAGGGTACATGTGCACAATGTGCAGGTTAGTTACATATGTATACATGTGCCATGCTGGTGTGCTGCACCCATTAACTCGTCATTTACATTAGGTATATCTCCTAATGCTATCCCTCCCCCTCCCCCGACCCGACAACAGGCTCCGGTGTGTGATGTTCCCCTTCCTGTGTCCAAGTGTTCTCATTGTTCAATTCCTACCTATGAGTGAGAACATGTGGTGTTTGGTTTTTTGTCCTTGTGATAGTTTGCTGAGAATGATGGTTTCCAGCTTCTACTCACTTCCTTCTTTGATTCATTATTATAGTTTTGTTTTCTTTAGCTTGGGGTTCATTATAAAACATATTTACCTTTCAATTCCACATTTTTAATTAAACATGGGCTGCTGGTGTTGTTCATGGCTGGGAATAATACTGTTTATATAATATCTAGTATTTCCTCACATGTATCTAGAAGGCTTCTCCACAATAATAACTTTTAACCTGGAAAACTGAGGCCCAGCTTTGAGCCCTGAACTTAGAGGGGGCTACCCTGGCCTTCCAGGACCTCACCTCTATTCAATGGGTCAGGAGTCCATGGATCCAAGAGGATACACTCACCCAGGACCTGCCCACTGATTTTATGACCGGATGCCAAGACACACAGAACTCTAGAATCCCACACTCAAATCACCCAAGCCTGCTTCTAGGTCTTACAGGACCTCTTTTTTCAAGACTGGGTCCAGCATGTACCACACCCCTTGGCCTGAGGAGTAGCTATTACCATAGGTGTGAGCAGAGTCTAGACAAGTATACTGGGGTGTCTGCATGCCTCTGTGCAAGGCAGGACAGACCAAGTGTGGAGATGGGAAGAGAAATCAGCCTGACAATCAGTAATTCCAGAATCTGTCAGACAGACTTGGCCACAAGAGTAAAGAGGCCTTGGGCTCAGGCATTCACCCCAAGACATTTGCTGAGTTGTTCTACAAGCTTGGAGTTGGAATAAAAAAGAAGACTAGTCATGGAAAATTAAGATAAGAAAAAAATGAAGAAAATTTGCTGTTAATAAGGAAGTTTTAAGAGCTAAAGAAGCCCTAAAGTAAAAATTATATTACTAGGAGAATTTATTTGTTTATCTATTAAGTTTTTTTGGCTAGAGTACAAAGATTTTTAAAACACTACAAGTTTCATATATTACCTTTTCTCACGAGCCAATTCTTGAAAAGGTAAAGAAAGTTAGTTACTTCCTGTTTCTTCATAAGTATTCTTGAAGAATTTAATATAGACTAGAAAGTGATTTTTAAAATGCTTTGTGCCAATCTTCCAGAAGTTCTGCACAGTTGTACTGATTGCCTCTGTAGATATAAAATGGCAAAGTTTGTGACTCGAAAGCAAAATATAGACATGTTCTGATCCTTCCCTGAACGCACCTTAGTGTTAACGGTCAGGGTAGAAGGATGGCTGTGGATCAATTTTCATGGAGTAGCTGTTACTCCCTGCCTGAGGAGACATGAAAGCAGCCTTTTACCCTGAAGTAAAAGAGCAGCTATCTTGATTTATATCCACTCCCTTACTTTACTCTGGTTTATGCTCATAAGTAAGGAATTTAAGCTATATAGAATATGTATCCCCCAAAAAACAGAATCATAGAAAAAATACAGCATATAACTAAATTATTGTTACATTTGCATTTTAACAGACCTTAATGTTATTAATCTTAAAATTTTGTTATGGATAACAGCTATCATTGTACATATTTAAAATTGTCTAACTAGAGACAATTGGCTTTGATATTACACAATTGCCAGTTAGAAGTCCTTAGAAGTTTTATAAGGATAGAGAGGTAAAGTAATTCTTAAAATCCTGAATGAAATAAGTAAAGATAAGATCAGAAAGGTAAAAGTGAATTCAAAAAATAAAGGGGCTAAACAGAAATACAATTGGATCTATTGATGAGGGCAATAAAAGTAAACGATGCAAATTATCTTTGACCAGGCTGATGGGATTTGAAGTGTTGAAAAGTATCTCTTCCTTTCTTTTTATTAAAACAAAGAAAACACCTTCCTTTCTCTGTCTGTAAACTTATAGAAATGCATGTGATCAGATAGGAAAGAGAGTTTGACAGTCAAAATGTTGATTGAGGCAAGGACAATATGGTTCATAGGTTTTACTAATGGAATTTTTAAAAATCAAAGTCTTCAATGAACATTTCACGCACATTCACTGTTCTCAAAGTTGCCCAAGTATACAAAATCATGTATTAGATTCATTGAGCTACACTGCAAATTATAAATTAGTATTGGTTTGTATAATTTTCTTGTAAGATATGGTATTTACTTTATCTTCAATTAGTAAATTCAGAGCCTATACATGTGTAGTGAATTCTGTTTATAGGGCACAAAAATCTAAACATTAAAATCTTGAACTATTACATGGTAGGGTTTGGACTAAGATGAAATGGTAGTGAAATGGGTATCTTTGATAATGTTACATAAGAAGCATCATAGAGTCCAACATTTTTCATACTGAAAAGCTATTTTCAGGTGATTTATTGCCAATCTGGTGCCTTCTCTCTGCCAAAAATTTAGGTGCTTATGTGAACACATATACAACACCAAAGTACAGATCGGAGAATTCACAAGGAATGTCATCCCCAGGAAATAGGCAACCATGGTTGGCATTTTGCAGAGCATATTGAAAGAAAGTACACCTTAAATTTCAGTATCGGATGGATATCAGCCTAAAACTATAGGACCATATAAAGACTGTTGGTGAAATCTGAAGTTTGAGCCTTTCTGATAGAGAGACTGAAATTAGGCACCATTTAATGCAAATTGGTATGGAACACACACATATATAGATTATAGACTCAGAATATGAACATTCAGACAAGACTAGTTTTGAGATACCGGTTATCTAATGTGAATGGCCTGGAAGTTAATACCAGAATCACTCTGGATATCATTTGTAGTTTTGAAAATCTAGCCAGACTTATTATCATTCCTAATAAATTGTGCATAGTTCTTATTTCATGTTGTGGAATGATTATTCTCTCGTAATTTTGAGTTTAATAAAAAATAAAGTCCTGAAGAAAATGATCTCAAAAAGCAGGTATTTATAAAGAGAGTTATTTATCTGGGTAAACTCACTAAAATTTTAGTGAGTATTTGGGTGCTCAGATTTTAAAATCAGGCAAGAATTATTCCAGCTGAATGGTGTTTAAATAGAATAAGACTTATTATTTTCTGGGTGTGTTTTACCTAATCCTGGAATGCATATGATAAGATAGGCTGTAGTCTACAGTTTTTGCACCTAAAATCATTCAGACTTTAACACAATGAAGTTGCCTTTTCATTCTTGATGAACATCCGTTAAATTCAGAGTCACAGAACAAGATAATATCAGAAAGAAGTGGCCGGGTGCGGTGGCTCACGCCTGTAATTCCAGCACTTTGGGAGGCCGAGGTGAGTGGATCATGAGGTCAGGAGATCGAGTCCATCCTGGCTAACATGGCAAAGCCCCTTCTCTACTAAAAATATAAAAACTTAGCCAGGCATGGTGGCACGCACCTGTAGTCCCAGCTACTCGGGAGGCTGAGGCAGGAAAATCGCTTGAACCTGGGAGGCGGAGGTGGCAGTGAGCTGAGATCGTGCCACTGCACTCCGGCCTGGGCGACAGAATGAGACTTCATCTCAAAAAAAAAAGAAGTTGTATCATTTTTCTGTGGGGCAAAATTAAAAGTTGTATATATTATCACTTGGGAAGACTGAGGCTGGGAGCTAATTGTTGAGTTTCCTAAAATACAATATAAATATTTCTTATGGAGCCTTTTAGGATATCTCAGGTGATCAGATTATGATTACTAGGCAAACGCAAAAGTAAGTTTTAAAAACATTCTTCTTCCTGTTTACAATGGAATTTAATTGGTCTGATAAATCATGTATGTGCTATCAATTCTCTTTCTTATTGAAAATGGGTCAATACAAGTATATGCAGTTTTAACTCCACAATTGGACAGATAAAATGTTACATGTAAAATATTAAACTTAACAAACCTAAGCATCAGTCATTTAAAATGCAAGTAGCTGGCCTTGTTGAACCATTCATATTTTCCTAAATCCAACATATTCTCTCATATCACTTTGCCTCTATACAAGTTCCTTAGAATGACCTCTCTCCTCTTTCTAATTTAGCTAATTCCTGCTCATCTGTTAAAACTCAGCTCACCCATCACATTCTCCAGGCATCCTTCTTTATCATCCTTCTGCCCATGTCAGTTATTCCAGTTTGGATATTCTCTTTCTGTGTTTCCATAACCTTCCAGGCTTTTGTCTGTTATAACACTTATCCTCCAATACTATGTTCATCTTTTTGTTTTTCTGCTTTAACAGAGAATACCAAATGAATCTTTTAATTTTAAATTATCAGTGTAAGCAGTGCCAGATAGATAATAGGTGCTCAATACTAGGTGCCTAAAAAATTAAAGTTAGTAGAAGAAATTTTGCAGCATATGGAGTGATGTCAGAATGCAAGTGATTCAGTTTTTGATAGACTTTGATGTGTTGGAAAGGAGAAACATCAATTGCCATCAGTGAAAACGTCTTATTACTAGTCATCTGGAACAGTTCATATTTGACGAACCTAATGAGTATAGAAGCTGCCTAAAGAGCCCTCTATCAGATGAAATGGACAGCCCTCTTCAACCAATGACATTGTTGGTCTGAGGGCTAGTTAACCTAAAAAGGTATAAAATAAAAGACTGTTGAGGCAAGATTCTGAAGCACTCTATCACTATCATAATTTTCCCAGTTAACATATTTTTAGTGCCTATTCTGCATCAGGTATTGTATTAGTCCATTTTCACACTGCTATAAAGAACTACCTGAAACTGGGTAATTTATGAAGAAAAGAGGTTTAATTGACTCACAGTTCCACAGGCTTAACAGGAAGCATGACACTTGGAGGCCTTAGGTAATTTACCATCATGGCTGAAGTTGAAGGGTAAGTAAGGCCCTTCTTCACGTGGTGGCAGGAGACAGAGAGAGTGAAGGGGGAAGTGCCATACACTTTAAAACCATCAGATCTCCTGAGAACTCACTATACTTGAAACAGTAACGGGAAAATGTGCCCCTATGATCTAATCACCTTCTACCCGGCCCCTCCCCTGACACATGGGGATTACAATTGGACATGAGATTTTGGTGGGGACACAGAGCCAAACTATATCAGGTATCCATAAGCATTTTTTGTACATCATTTTTATTTAATCATTACAACTTAATTGAAATAGGCATTGGTATTTCATACACACTGCAGATGAGAAAATTGAGAATTTGGGAAAATAAGTAAGTTGCTTAAAGTCACACAGTAACAGAATTTAAATGCTGGTCTATCTCTAATGCCCATGATCTTCACTGTTCAGCTATTCTGTTTCCATTAGATACAGCCTAGATTATTCATTGGTGTTTCATTTCCCTACTTATTGTCACCATCAGTTATTTTCTGACTCTTCCCCTTCACAGCAGTGAACCCTATAACTGACTGACTCCTCAAGCACCCTCTTCCAGTGTTAATCTAGCAGCAGGACTAATTTATCAAGACTGGGGGGAATAAGAGGAAAGTTTGATCTTCTCACTTGAAACTCCTACTCTCAATCCTCCATTTCCTTCTGCTAAATATTCATTATGCAGAAAGGAACACAGAATTAAAACAGGAGGAAATGAAATGGGTGGGTGACATGATTTGGCTCTGTGTTCCCACCCAAATCTCATCTTGAATTGTAATCATCCCCACATGTCAAGGGCAGGGCCAGGTGGAGATAATTGAATCATGGAGGCAGTTTCCACCATGCGTTCTCGTGATAGTGAGTGAGTTCTCACAAGATCTGATGGTTTTATAAGGGGCTTCCCTCTTCACTCGGCACTCATTCTCTCTCCTGCTACCCTGTAAAGAGGTGACTTCCACCATGATTGTGAGTTTCCCGAGGCCTCCCCAGCCATGTGGAATTGTGAGTCAATTAAACCTCTTTTCTTTATGGATTGATTACCCAGTCTCGGGTATTTCTCCACAGCAGTGTGAGAATAGACTAATACAACGGAGAAGAGAATAACCTTAATTTTGCTTTTTCCATCCCTAATCCTAACACCATCACCACACTTCTTCTACTGAAACACTTACAATGTGATTATGTGATGAAAAGAAAAGAGACAGAGATGAGAAAAGGAAATCATGTGGAAAATATGATGGTAAATACCATCAGCATTTTTTCTTCCATCTCTACCAGCCAAATCCCCCTAACTCCCAAACTCACTTATCCCTTGTATAAATAAACATTTCTATTGAAGTATAATACACAGTGTACAAATCATAAATGTATTTTAATAATTTTGTACAAAATGAACACATTTATAGTCACCACCCACATCAACAAACAGAACAGTATCAACACATTATGAATTGAAATTGCATTTTCCTGGTGATTAATAAGCTGCAACAACTCAGATATTTAATAGTCATTTGAATATTTTATTTAGTGAGCTGTCTTTTCAAGTCTTGCCTATTTTTAAAATTGTGTTGCCTGTCTTTTATTAACTTGTAAGAGTGATAAACACACACACACAAACACACACATATAACACATATATGTTATATGTATTGCAAATATTTTCTTTCCCTTATTTGTTTGCCTTTGAAGAGTATTGTCTTTGATGAAAATAGGATTTTTAAAATTTTAATATAGTTTTACATAATTCCATATAATTTTTTAGTTTTCTGTAATCCATGAAATGTTAATGTAATCCAACTCATAAATATTTTTTCTAATGATTAGTACATTTTGTGGTCTGTTGAAGAAATCTTTGCTGCAAAATTATGAAGATATTCTCTTATGTTATCTTCCAGAAGCTATGTTTTATCTCATGTAAATTTTGATCTATAATCCATCTGGAACTGATTTTTGAGTGTGGAGTGAATTGTGTGTTAAGAATCATTTTTTCTTCTGAATATGCAATTAACTCGTTATTATTTTTTGGAAAAGCCCTCCTTTCTCCACAGCATTGTGTCATCTTTGCCCTAAGTCAAGTGTTAGTAGTGGTGACAATCTGCTGCTGGACTCTATTTTGCCCTGATTTAATTGTCTATCCAAGTGCCAATGCCATACTCTCTTAATTTATGTAATGTCTTCAAATTTTGTTCTTTTTAGAATAGCTTGGCTAATTGAGACTCTTTGCATTCCATTAGTCTTAAAATCTGATTGCCCATTTTTACAAAAATATAAACAAAACAAAACACTTTCTAGAATTTTTACAGGAATTGCATTAAACACATAAGCCAATTTGCAGAAAACTGAAATCTATTGAATACTGAGTCTTCCAATCTAAACACTTGGTATATTAGTAACCTCTCAGTTTTTGTAGGTCTCTTTAGTGCTTCTCACAATAATTTATTGATTTGCATATTTAGAACTTTTATGTATTTTGTCATTTCCTACATATTTTATTATGCTATTTTAAATGTGAGTTTTTAGTTTTATTTCTTATTGGTGGTACATATAAATACCTTTGCTTTTTAAATACTGTTCCTCTGTGCAAAGACATTGCTTAAGTTGTACTGCTTTTAGTAATTTATCTGTATTTACGTTGGGCTTTTTAATGTAAAAACATGTAAACCTTAAATAAAAGTTTTATTTCTTTATTTTCCATTTTTGTACTTTCTTCCTTCCTTTTTCCTTCCTTACCTCCTTCTCCCCACTTTCTGTCACTTTTCCATCTCTCTTCTCCTTGTTCTTCCTCTTCTCTTGCTCTCTCTTTTTCTCTCTCTGTATCTCTCTCCCTGTCCCTTCCTTCTTTTTCATTTTTTTTTTGTTTTTTGCCATATTGTACTAGTAGAAACCTTCAAAATGATAATGAATACAAATGGTAATAGGGTACATTCTTATCTTATTCCCAGTCCCATGATGAAAACTTTTAATACTATAGCATTAAATATAATGTTTATTGTAGATATTATTTCTACAATAGACATCATCTACAATGATTAGATATCTCTTCTAATCATAATTTTCTAAGATAATTTAATTATGGTCTGTAATCATTTCCAATGCTTTTCCTGCATCTTTTGAGGTCTTCATAGAATTTTCCTTTTTATTTTGCTAATGTGATGAATTACTTTAATTTTATAATATTAAAGCAACCTTGCTTTCTGGAATAAGTTCAAGTTTTTTGTAATATAGTTTTTAAAGTATATACATTTGAATTTTATTTGTTCGTAGTTTTACAAACATTGCATTATATTTATAAAATATATTGACTTGTAATTTTCCTTTCTTATAATGAACTAGTCAAGTTTTAGTATCAAGCTTTCATTAGCCTTAAAAAATAATTAGAAAAATTTTACTTATGTTTTTTAGACTAGTTTGCATGGATGGTACTATCTTTCTTAAGCTGCTTTGAAGAAATAACTATTACATTGTCTGGTTCTTACATTTCTTTGATATTGTTGTAAATTTTTAGTTCCAGTTTCAATTTGTTGTAAGCTCTTTATAGTATTTTTATATTTTATAATAAAATCTGTAAAATAAATCTACCTGTTTGTTTCTGATGTTAGTAATTAGTACCTCCTTCCATATGTAATTTCAGTTGTTCATTTTTATATGTAGGGTATCAGTTGACTTTCGTATATTGACTTTTTATCTTGTGAAATTTCAATGCTTACGTATTAATTCCAAGATTTTTTTTTGTTGATTCTATAGAATGCTTTTCCACAGGCAATCATGTCTTCTATGAATAAAGACAGTTTTATTTTTTTCTTCTCAACTAACATGTATTTATTTCATTTTCTTGTTTTATTGCACTAGCTATGACCTTCACTGCAATGTTGAATGGAAGTGGCAAGAAAGGATATCCTTGTTGTGTTCCTGATCTCAGGAGAAAGGCATTCAGTTTCTTACCAGTAAGTATGATGTTAGTTTTTCTGTAGCTATTCTTTATAAAGTTAAGTGAGTTCCCTCTATTTCCAGTTTGCTGAGGGTGTTTTTTCTTTTTTAATCTTGATTAGGTGTTGGATTTTGTCAAATGCTTTCTCTGCAACAATTAACAGGATCATATGATTTTTCTTCTTAAACCTGTTGTGGTGGGTTGTACTGATTGTTTTTGATATACCTTGAATAAATCCCACTTAGCTATTGCTATGGTTTGAATGTTTGTCTCCTCTAAAACTCATGTTGAAATTTAATTGCCGGTGTAATGGTATTGGGAGGTGGAGTCTTTAAAATGTTGTTAGGCCACAACAGATCCACCCGCATAGGAGTTTTAATGCGTTAAATAAAAAGTCTTCAGGAGCTCTCTCTCTCTCTCTCACCCTCTCACCTCTTGGCATGTAATAATGCAGCAAGAAGGCCCTCATCAAAAGCCAGCAGCTTGGTATTGAACTTTCCAGTCTCTAGAACTGTATGCCAATAAGTGTCTGTTTATTATAAATTATAGAGTCTTTGGTATTCTGTTGTAGCAGCACAAAATAGACTGAAATGGCTATGGTATATAATTCTTTTTATAAATTGCTGGATTCAATTTGCTTTGTTGAAGATTTTTGCATCTAAGTTAATGACAGATATTGATCTGTAGTTTTCTTTTCTTGTAATGTCTTTATCTGGTTTTGGAAATATGATAATGTTGACCTCATAGCATAATTTAGAAAATGTTAGTGCTCTATTTTATTGAAAATATTGTAACAAATTAGCATTATTTCTTTCTTAAATGTTTAGTAAAATTTACCAGTGTAACCATCTGGAACTGGGTTTCCTTTTTTTGAAAGGTTACTATTTACTCAATTTTTAAAATAAACATACAAATATTTACATTGTTTCCCCTTGTGTGAGTTTTGATAGTTTGTGTCTTTCAAGGAAATTCGTGGGCATAGCATTGTTCATAGTATTCCTTTGTCAACCTATCATTGTTCATGTGACTAGTAAGGATGCTCTCTCTTTTATTTCTGATAAATTGTGTGTTCTTTCATTTTTTTCTTGATTAACATGGCTAGAATTTTTAATTTTATAATTATTTTTAAAAAATCAAATATTAAATGTATTGAATTTATCTATTGTTTCTATTTTCAAATTTTGACCATTTCTGTTTTAATTTTTATTGGTTTCTTTTCTTGTGCTTGTCTTAGGCTAAATTTCTATTCTTTTTGTAACTTCTTAAAATGGAAGCTTATATTATTGATTTTAGATAGTTTTTCTTTTCTGATATATATATTTAGTGTTATAACTAAAAATTTCCCTCTTAATACTTTCACTGCATCCCACAAATTATAATTTGTATTTTTAATTTCACTTAGTTCAAAATGTATTTTATTCATTTTGAGACTTCTTCTTTGACCCATTTGTTTTTTAGAAGTGTTATTGCTTAATCTCCAGATATTTGAAAATTTGTTTGTTATTGATTTATATTTTAATTTCATTGTCATCTGAGGACATACTTTGTATGATTTTTATCCCTTTAAAGTTAAGATATATTTCATGGCCAAGAATGTGGCCTATCTTAATGAAAGTTCCATGTGAGTTTGAAGAGAATGTGTTTTCTGCTTTTCTTTAAGGAAGTGTTCTTTAAATATCAATTAGTCGGAACTGATCGATAGTGCTGTTCAGGACAACTATATCCTTATTGATTTTCTGCCTGCTGAATCTATCAACTACTGAAAGAGGGCTTTTGAAGTCTCCAGCTATAATAGTGGACTTGTCCGTTTCTTTTTACAGTTTTAACAGTTTTTCTCTTGTATTTTGATGCTCTATTGTTAGGTGCATACATGTTAAAAATTGTTATGTCTTCATAGAGTATTGACCTTTCTATCATTATGTAGTGCTCTTGTTTATCCCTGAGAATTTTCCCTATTCTAAAATCTGCTTTTGTCTGAAATTAATACAGCTACTCCAACTTTCCATTAATTAGTGTTAGCATGATATATAATTCTTCTTCCCTTTTAATTTATTTGAATGTTTATATTTAAAATATATTTCTTGTAACAACATTGCTGTCATTACTTTCACTTGTTCATGATATAATTATCCAATACAATGTTGCTATTATTTACTTTTTAAATGTTTTTAAAAATTTATTTTTTATTTTGACATATTGTAATTGCATATAATTACAGGGTACAGTTTGATGTTTTGATATATATCTATGTTGTATAATGATCCAATCAGGGCAATTAGTGTAACCATCATCTTATGCATTTTCTGTGATGAGAATATTCAAAAGCCTCTTTTCTAAGTGTTTTGTAATATGGAATATTTTAATGTTAACTACAGTCATCCTATTTTACAATAGAACCACCCAATTCATTTTTTTCTATTTAATTAAAAATTTGTACTAGTTGATCAACCTCTTACCATTCTATTATTCCTCCTCCCCTTCCCAGTCTGTAGTAACCACAGTTTTACTCTGCTTTTATATCAACTTTTTAAAAAAGATTCCATGTATGAGTGAGATTATACAGTATCTGTCATTTAGTCTCTGGCTTATTTCACTCAACATTATATCCTCTCTCTCTCTATATATATATCACAATTCCTTTATCCATTCATCTGTTGTTAAACTTTTGGGTTGATTCCATATGTTGGCTATTGTAAATAGTGCTGCAATAAACACGAGAGTGCAAATATCTTTTTGACGTACTGATTTCCTTTCCTTTGGATATATATGCAATAGTGGCATTTCTGAATCATATAGTAATTCTATGTTTAATTTATTGCGGAACCTACATACTGTTTTCCATTATGGCTATACTAGTTTACAATCCCACCAAGAGTGTGTAAGTGTTTCCTTTTCTCCCCATTTTAGCCAATACTTGATTTCTTTTATATTTTTGGTAATAGCCATTCCGACTGGAGTAAGGTGGTATCTCATTGTGGTTTTGCTTTGTGTTAATGACACTGAGCATTTTTTTCATATACCAGTTGGCTATTTGCATGTCCTCTTTTGAAAAATATCTATTAAAGTTGTTTGCCCATTTTTTATTGTTATTTTTTCTCTTTCTATTGAGTTGTTTAAGTCTCATACATTCTGGATATTAACCTCTTGACAGACATAAAGTTTTTGTCTATTTTCTTTCATTCTGTAGGTTGTCTCTTTACTGTGTTAATGTTTTCTTTGCTGTACAAAAGCTTTTGAGTTAGATTTAATTCCATTTGCCTATTTTTATTTTTGTTGCCTGTGACTTTGCAGCCTTATTAAAAAATAAGACTCTTTCCCAGCCCAATTTCATAAAGCTTCTTCTCTATGTTTTCTTCTAGCTGTTTCATAGTTTTGAGTTTTACATTTAAGTCTAATTTATATTGAGTTGATTTTGTATATGTTGAGAGGTAGTGGACTAGTCATAGTCTTCCACATGTAGATATTCAATTTTCCCAGCACCATTTATTGAAGAGACCATCTTTCCCTCAATGTATGTTCTTGGTACCTTTGTAGAAAATTAGTTGGCTGTGGATGTGTTAATTTATTTCTGGGTAGGCTATTTGGTTCCATTAGTCTATGTGTCTGTTTTTATGACAGTACCATGCTGTTTTGTTTACTATAGCTTTGTAGTATATTTTGAAGTCTGGTAATATAATGCATCCAGCTTTGTTGTTTTTGCTTAGGACTGTTTCGGTTATTCAGGGCCTTTGTGGTTCCATATGAATTTTACAAAAACAATTTGAACCCTTCTTTGCAATTTGGATGCCTTCTTTTTGTTTCTTTCATCTAGTTGCTCTGGCTAAGACTTACGGTATTATGCTGAATAGCAGTAGTGAAAGTGGGCATCCTTGTCCTACTCAGCTGAATATCCACATCCTCATCTCAGATGCTGGGGCAGTGGAAGGGATTACTCAGCAGGGGATACTTGGCATAGAGACAAGTTTCTCCTCAGTTAACTGGCAGTACCAGTGTGTGTGGGCTTACTTGTGGGGATAAGGCTGACCTTCTCCTTATCAGTAGATCAGTCAAGTTTGTTAAAATTCCTGCACAGTTATCCTGCCCCCAAAAAGATTACAAATCAATTATACAGAGTATGACTAACAGAAATAAAGTGTACTGGCTGCAGCTTCTATATCCATGGACTCTGTATTAAGGGGAACCATATTCTTAGTGTGTTGCCAAGGGCTTACAGTTGCTGTTGTTTCTCACATTGGCCATGTTTCTCCATAACCCCTGAACCAGAATATACAAAGCCTGGAGTTAGACAACCATCTGACTTTTTTTTTCTTTTTAAGCTTGGGTCTCACTCTGTCACTCAGGTTGGAGTTTTGTGGCATGATCTCGGCTCACTGCAACCTCTGCCTCCCTGGGCTCAAATGATCCTCTCACCTCAGCCTCCTGAGTAGCTAGGACCACAGGTGCACCACCAAGCCCAGCTAATTGTTTTTGTATTTTTGGTAAAGACAGTGTTTCACCATTTGCTCAGGCTCATCTTGAACTCCTAAGCTCAAGGAATCCACTCACCTCAGCCTCCCAAAGTGCTGGGATTATAGGCGTAAGCCTATGTGCCCAGCCCATCTGACTTCTTAAAAACTGTAGACTTTCACCTCAGTAATTGTTGTAGTCTTGTATGCCTCTCTGTGAAATTTTAATAAATGAAATGTCTTATTTTTGTAGAACATTTGTATTAAGTGCACTGTACTTTAATTCATGTATGTAGCTATCCAGATGTTCCAAGCAATGTAGAATAAACATTCTCATCACTGGACTGGACTGAGTAAAATGCATCAGAAGAATTAAATAAATAATAGAAATTTTAGCTTATCACAGCAGAAAAAGATCCTCCTGATCATGGAGGAAAACTTTTTCATCTCTTCCTCATTTGGTATGATATTAGCTGTAAGTTTGGCATATATGGCCTTAATTTTGTTGAGGTATTTAATACATACTTTCTATATGTAGATATAGATAGATATTTGTTGAGAGTTTTTAACATGAAGGGATATTGAATTTTGTCAAATGTTTGTTTCTATTGTAATTATTATATGTTCTTTGTCTTTTTTCTGTTAATGTGGTGGATTATACTTATTAACTTGCATCCCTGGGATGAATCCCACTCCATCATAGTAAATGATCTTTTTAATGAGAATTTTTGCATCTCTGTTCATCAGGGATATGAGTCTGTGGTATTTTTTTTTCTGTTGTGTCCTATTTCAGTTTTGGAATCAGGGTAATGCTGAGCTCATAAATTGAGTTTTGAAGTATTCACTCCTATTTTTTGGAATAGTTTGGGGAGAATTGGTATTAGTTCTTTAAAAGTTTGATGGAATTTGGCAGTGAAGCCATCATGTTCTAGAGTTTTCTCTGATGGAGATTTTTTATTACTCATTCAATTTCCTCACTCATTATCGATCTGTTCAGATATTCTACTTTATAATTTAATCCCAGTAGCTTGTATGTGTACAGGAATTTATCCACTTTTATATGTTATTAAATTTGTTGACATATAGTCATTCATAATAATTTCATGATTCTTTGTTTTTCTATGGTATCAGTTGTAATGTCTCCTTTTTAATCCTTTTATTTGAGTCTTCTCTCCTTTTTCTAAGTTAATCTAACTGATAGTTCATCCATTTTGTTTATGTTTTTGAAAAACCTACTCTTTGTTCATTGTTCTTTTAAATTTTTTTTTAAGTCTCTATTTCATTTATTTGTGCTCTGAGTATTATTCTTTCCTTTCTTCTACCAGTTTGGGGGTTTGTTTGTTCTTGTTTTTCTAGTTCCTTGAGGTGCATTGGTAGGTTTTTTATTAGAAGGCTTTATTTTTTTCTGATGTAGGTGTTTTTTGCTATAAACTTGCATCTTAGAACTGCTTTTGCTGTGTCCCATAGGTTTTGATATGATCCACTTCCATTCGTTTGTCTCGAAAAATTTTAATTTTTCTTTTAACATTTTTATTGACCCATTGGTGGTGTAGACCCATGTTGTTTAATTTCCATGTATTTGTAAAGTTTCTGAGGGTTTTTTTTTTTTTTTTGGTTGTTGATTTCCAGGTTTATACCATTTTGCTCAGAAAAGATATTTGATATAATCCCTATTGTATTCAATTTGTTAAGACTTGTTTTATGGACTAACGTGATTTTCTTCCTTTCTTTATGTAAATTTGAGATTCTATATTGTATCGCTTTCCTTCTGAAGAACATCTTTTAACATCTTGTAGTGGAAGTCTACTGAAAATGGAGTACCTCAGTTTTTGTTTGTCTGAGAAAGTTATTTCTTTTTCACTTTGGGAGGTTAATTTTACTGGATACAGAAGTTTAGGTTGGTGTGGGTTTTTTTTAAACAATTCAAATATTTTACTTTACTTTCTTCTTGCTTGCATGATTTCTGATGAAATTTTGCTATAATTCTCTCCTCGTTCCTTTATAGGAAAGCTTACCCCTTTTAGCTTCTTAGAAGATTTTCTCTTTTGTGAAACTTACCCAGAAATATTAATGTTTATATAATTATTACTAAAACTCCTAAATATCATGACAATTTTTCTCATGTACCTTACCTTATATTCGGTTTTTACCCCTATCTTATAGACATTCAAAGAAACACTGAGATAGTAAGTGATTTGCTAGTCTCATTTCAGATCCAGTGCTCTTTATTACAATGCAAATTTATATTGGCTCACACCAATAGTAACATATCTCTACTAAAAAGCTCTAGTAATAGCATATGTTGAGTGATCAGTTTCATCATTTAATGATGAGTTTCATCAAATCAAGTTCTTGCCTTTCACTATATTGACTTCTTATTTCCTGTCTTCCATATTTGAGTTCCCCTTGGGTCTACCTCCTTGCAGCAAGTAAGAAATCAATGCCGAGCAGTACGTACTTACCATCAACAATGTCTTACTTAATACATAGGTTGCATGTCTAAAAACAAAAAGAATATTAATTTCCTTCTTTTCCACTTGTAACAAAATTCTGATTATACCTTCTACTCTCTATTAACAGATGTGATGTTGCTTCAATTACACGAACACAGACAATTTCCCATTTAAAGAATATCCAGGTATAATTTACCTAATAACAAGAAAAGGCACAAGAAGAACTTACACAATAGGAATACTATTTGCTAAGTCTACCTACCATTCATGACCCAATAACCTTATTGTCTGATTAGTGAATGAAAAATTGCCATATAACTTCAACAAGTTTCCCAAAGAGATTCATCAATAATGTATAACTTCCATTTGTCTTAAATTTCCCCATGGTTAATGTCAAATTCATAGTTATAACATTTGTTTTTACATACCTTTCGACAGGGAGGCCATATGAGGTCATCCTTCATGCTGGAATGTTTAGTTCTAATCTAGAATAATACATGTGCTCCCCTCCCAAGGGTTTCCAGGCTTCAGAGTTCCTTCATTTCTCTATGGAAATGATGTCTTTCTTCTTATAAAAGACAGAAATATGTTCTTTTCTATTTAATAACTTCACCTGATTATCATGGTAACCCTTGTTATGCATCTTGTTTAATAGTTACTCCATTGAAGTCCACACTGGAGTTAGAAATTCTGACTCTTAATCGGTGCTCTCTCACAGACAAATTTAGAAAAGAGCAAGGAAGTTTAGAATGTGCTCCTTCTCCCCACCTCTTACACACCAATACAGCATATAATTATTTCATTTAGCTAAATTTGGTAGAGTTTGGATTTTTTTAAATTAAGCATATATTAGCAATGTAATAAAGCATTTTACAGCCATTTTGAGAGCTCAAAATATATGAACAAAAAGAGAAAAAGAAGACTAACAAAAAAACTATTTTACCACCTACCTCCCCCACTGCCTCATTTGGTATATTTTACATCTGAGTGCTTTTGTCTAATTCTAATGCTGAGGATAAAGAAGGAGTTAGAGCTCAGAATTCTAAAATGTGAAATATTTATTTAAATGTTTAATAGGATATCAGGCTTTCAGTATCATATAATATATTCATCAAAGACAAATAATAAACACAACTATGTGTAGATTAGTACATAGAAAGAAACCACAGATTTTAAATTCTCACATATAGAGAAAAATTTATAGGGGTAGAATGGAGAAGGAAATCATTTATGAAAAAATATAACAGGGTAACTATATTTAATGATCAGTCTTTAAAAATGACTCACTAATTTCTTCTCTTTAATGCACATCAGATCAACAGGAGTGTTTATTTCTCCTCCTTTGAATCTGGGCTGGCCTTTGAGCAACTGAATGCACAGAAAGGAGGCCTTAAGGGACCTTTAGCTTCTGCTTCCTTCTCTTGAAATGTTCACTCTTTGGGTACTCCTTCTCAGAAACCAGCCACATGGAGAGGTCATGTGGAGGAAAACTTAGGAGACCTGCTTACTAGCATTTCTCAACCAACAGCTTACATCCGTTGCCAGTTATAGGAGGCAGCCATCTTGGATGTTGTAGGCCACGTATGACCTCACATGACTATAGCCCTCGCTGACATCATAGGAAGCAGAACAACCATTCAGCTGAGTCCAGACAACTCAGCGATGGTGAAGAAATGTTAAAACACTATTTTGGGATTAGGTTGCTATGCAGCTAACAGATAACTAAACTATCTGTATAGGAAATAGTTGACCCATATGTGAAATGGATAGACCAAAGTCCAGTATAAAAATAAACATGTTAGACTCAGGAGGATAAAGGAAATTTAAGATAAATAACTGACTAATGTATTTTTGCTAAACAAAATATATTATAATATTAGACAGACATCTTTTACTGTATATATTTGAGGGAAGAGGATAATATTTTACAAGGTAATTTATTTATTTATATATTTGAGACAGAGTCTTGCTCTGTTGCCCAGGCTAGAGTGCAGTGGCATGATCTTGGCTCACTTCAACCTCCGCCTCCTGGGTTCAAGCAATTCTCCCACCTCAGCCTCCACAGTAGCTAGGATTACAGGCACGTGCCACCAGGCCCAGCTAATATTTGTATTTTAGTAGAGGGGGGTTTCGCCATGTTGGCCAGGCTGGCCTTGAACTCCTGGCCTCAAGTGATCTGCATGCCTTGGCCTCCCAAAGTGCTGAAATTACAGGTGTGAGCCACTACACCTGGCCAGAAGGTAATTTTTTATACAACAGTTTTATACTTATATGGAAAAATAGAGTATGGCCTTTATCAGATATACCTGTGTAATTTTATGGAGTGTTCTAATTCTCTTGGCCCGAGATTCAAAAAAACTGGAAAATGTTCTTTTCTAAAGATCCCAAGAGGTTGACCATAATATATAAGAAAAATACATATTTAAAAAATCAATAAAGATATATTCTGAAACCAAAGTTTTACCACACCTCTTAAAATTTCAAAGGAAGTAATTCTCAATGTCTTTAAATCATTTCCAGTAACTGACCACCGACTATATGCTAAGCATTTTGTCTGAAGATATGAAGGTAAATACTACATAGTCTCTGCTCTGAAGAGGCCATGAGACATGGAACAAGATTGAAATGTAAGGAGAAGGGAGTCAATAAGGAAGCAAAAGTTTCTAAGTGCCCACTATGTGCAAGGATTATTCTAAATTCCTTTGATTTTATCATCCTTTTTAAAAATCACATATTGAAGAGTAGTTTTATTCCTATTTTTAGGTAAAAATAATTATAAATAGAGATATTCTGTAACTGGTTTAAGGCAAGCTGGTAAAATAAGATAGCTGATATTTAGAAATCTGTTCTTTTTTTAGCTCCCAATCTAGAAATCCAATACAGTGCATTGAATGTATTGACATAAAAGTTCATGAGGACAAGGGCAAAGCTCTCCTGGAAGAAGGAACCTCTGCATACATGAGATCCAATGACAGGCTCCCATTGTGACTGCGTTCCCATTCTCTATTGCTCTCCACTGGTGTGCTTATTTTGCAGTAGGACTGAATGGCTAAGAGCATTTAGAGTCAGACCGATTTGGGTTATAACTCTGGTAAATGTGGTAAATACGTGACTTTGGACAAGTTATTTATCAGAGACTTTTCTGTCTAAAAAATAGGAAGAATGACATGTACCTCATAGAGCTATTATAAGGATCACACAATGAGATATTGTGTTATATACTTAGTACAGTGCCTCTTAGCAAATTATGGGAGTTAGTCTAAATGAATTTTTCATTACTACTCTGAGTTGTCATTGATTGGTCTGGGTCAGTTGGTCTGATTGGGATTTTCCCCAGGCATACAATTTTTGCAGATCTCTCCATATTTAGTAAAATGACTCTAGAAATAAATTTTGTGACTTGACCATCGATTATGACCCTTTCATGTTAGACCATATCTCCAGAAATGAGGTATTACATGTCCTTTAGAGACCCTAGTCCCACACTTTATGACATGTTTCTGTGCATTTGGAGAGACAGCATTCAGGGATAAATGTCTTGCCTTATCTCATGGAGCAATTTCTCCTCAGCCTTCTCCTTTGGTAGTCAGCTTCTACCTGTAGCTTCAGTGAAGCAAGCAGCATCTGCAGATATGAAAACCAATTCTTAAATGTGTATTCTTCATAACATTCAAAAATAGAGAATATGTGATCAGTAATGGATAGGCACACCTATTAGCTCATACTTTCAGTCAGTCCCTGAACCTGAACAGAAATAGTTAATTTTCAGAGATTGTAAGTAAAAAATATATATATCAGTGCTTACTTCTACTCCAATGCTGGCCTCATCTCAGCCAAAGCAGGGTCTTCAAAATCTAGACTATTTGAGGTCTGAGGGTCTGTCTGCAATTCTCCTCAGGCAACATGACAAGGAGGGAAGTCAGAGCTCAGAATCCTGACTCCAGATAACAAGGGCGGCACAGGAAAAATAGGAGAAAAGACATGAATTCATTATAGAATAACAGCCTGAGCAGGCACTTACCAAGTGAATTGGGAAGGAAATTTCTTAGAAGGCCTTAAGAATGTGGAGGAAAAGGAGCAGTTAATCTGAAATACAAAATTGAAAGGCATGACAGATGCATGATTCTAGTCTTCCAGATAAGATTCCTTCTGGAATTCAAAAGCATCTAAAAGAAGTAAGACAATTGGCTGCTGGGTTCAATATGTAAACACAGTGCTGGTTGACACAGTGAAGATGTTTATTACAAAAGTTAATGCAATGTCAGGGCGGAAGATCAATGTTTAACCCGATTTTGTTGCAATCTGTTGTTCTGCCTTGGAATACAGAATGGAAAATTAGCAAAGCACAGAAAGGAATATGTAAAGGATTTTTTCATAAGCAAACTCAAACCACGGACACTGATATTTGTGATAATAAAAACAAATCAAGATTTAGTTGTATTTGTAATTAATACATGCCCTTTACATTGTATATTCACAGTTTTTATTAATTTGAGTAATACATTATGATTTTTATTTGCCTCAATATCCAGATAGTCACAGATTATTAGAAATTCTCTATGTCCAGTCCCCCGATTTTATAGAATAAATCATAAAGAACAGAGTTGAAGTTACTTAGGTCAGGAAGAAGTATGGGCAGGAAAGAACAATGGCTTTCATTTCACAGGTAAGAAAAGACAAACATGAGACCCCTAGGAAGAATTTTGCCTATGCCGTGAATCTGGTATTGTATTACTAACAAATAAGCCTGTGCTTGATACATTAGGCATTCTCATTATAAAAATATCTTTAACATTCTGTGATGTAAAATATTCTGCAAGCATCTAATATTCATTTTACTGTAGAAAAAATAAAGATCATTCTTTATGCTATTGAAATAAAAATAAATACTTGGTTGCTGGACAGAGAAGTGAGTTGAAACAGCTTTTGATGCCTTCACATGACCTCTAGCTTCCTTATAATTTGGTAATTTGGGTAATATCTACTGAGATTAGTGCAATCTTCTTCCACAATTATTATTAAAGGCAAGTTTTCAGTTTGTATTTAAGAAATTATTACTTGAACAAAAAAAGAAATTATCACATGGAAAACAAACTAAAAAATGACTTTTTTCCCATTGTATTATACTTCGGAAAAAGAAGCACTCAGAAAAAAAATGCTATGTATTTTCCAGGAGTGAGGAAGCCTGTTAAAAGATCCTAGGGAGAGTGAAGCATGGGTTTCTGTCCAGCAGCAAAGGGATGACCTCACAAAGGCTCTAGCTGCTGCAGTGGGGCTGTGTAGCTCGCTCCTGTCAAAGGCATGATTAGTACAACCCCCCAGTGCAGCTGTCCATTGAGGATGACCAATTTAAAAAGAAGGAGTCAGCCAGTTAATTACTTTGTCAGCAATAAATATAACAATGGGCTGTGGTGGCAGCCCAATCCCGTGATGCATGCAGGCAGCCATCTGTACATCTTCCCCATCTACTTGGCACTTGTTGCTGCAGAATTGGTTTGGACAAGTGGCTTACAGTCACATAACAGACAGGAACTGTCTCCCCTTCTTTGGGAGGCTGTCTACATTAAGTGTCATTGTTTCAGAGGAATCAACTTTGGGTATAAATTGGGGACTCAGCAATAGCCCTGGCCCTGATGATAAATAAGGAGATTATTTATGCAATCTTGTTTTTATTCATTCACTAACATTTCTTGAGAGACTTCTGTTTGTCAGGCATATACTAGACAAGTATGGGAAGAGAACTGAGTCTATCTATATAGCAGAAATTAATATACAACAACATAACAACACTAGTAATTTTCTCTGTACTTTATGGCCAGTGCACTGGATAGTTCTAACTTAGACAAGTCCACTGTTATAATCCACATGGACAATTAAAGTTGCTGAGTTGACTGGCTCTTCTCTGTTTTTTTTTTTTTTTTTTGGTCTGTTTATCCAACTCTGCCACTTTTTCTTCTTTGAACTCTTTGAATAATTTTTGAAGGTAGCTATTTGAAAATAAAAGGCAGCACAGAAAAGCTGTATCTAATACTTGTCTACTTAAATTAAGAACAATGGAAACTGTTACTTTATGTTATTGATTAACATCTGATTTATTATTCCTTTAAGTAAAGATGGTGAATTGCTGGTTTGATAACCGTATTTTAATTTCAGTTAGATTTTTGTCAAACTCCAGAGGGATATCATTCCAGTCCTCTTCCTCAGTATTAGAGAATACTTTAGAATCAGGTAGACCTTTCTTCTCCTAATGCCCAGAGGGGGATATTTAGAATTTAGGATTAAAACAGAAGTGCTATGAAGAAACATTACTCTAAAGCTTCTTGTATTCCGTCTTTCCTTTGTATTGTCTACTTTTTAATCAATTTCTCCACTTTTATCTTCTTTTTTATTTACCCCTTATTAACCAGATCTAGACTTTTTATCTCTAATTCCTATCCAGAAATATAAATCACAAATAAATATTTTAAATAAATGATTACTTAAATTTCTTGCTGTTAATTTTCAAAAGTAGATGAGATAAATATTCTGTATTTGTTTCTTGCTAAAGGGTTTTTAGTGAATAAGAGCCTTTTTCTAAAATGAGCAAGAAGAAGGAGAATAAGGAGGAAAAGAATAGAAATCCACCTTACTCTATTCATTCCATTTTGTCTCAAATAGGTTTTATGATGAGTTGGTGTTTTTAAATAGCCTATTACTCTGATGAATGGAAGAGAACACATTGACATGTGATTTCAAACAAAATGTAGATTTATGTGGAAAATGAGTTTTTATGATGTTATAGTAATTGTCTTGCTCTTTTAACATTCTCTTCTGAAAAGCAAAGAAACAAAAGTAACCTTTTTCTTTCTTTCCTCCCTTCTCTCTCTATTTTTCCCCCTTATTCCCTTTTTTTCTTTCTTCTTTTTTATTCTTTCATCTTATATCTTTAAGTGCTTAATATGTGCCAAGACTGTGCTAGGTCCTGGTGAAAGTGATGAACACAGTCTATGCTATCTCGCTCTCTCTCCCTTTATTCTTTCCCTTTCTTTCTTTTTTATTCTTTTATCTTATACCTTTAAGTGATTAATATGTGCCAAGACTGTGCCAGGTTCTAGTGAAAGCGACAAACACAATCTATGCCTTCAAATAACTTATAGTATAGTTTTAAAAATGGACAAGTCGAAAAGCAGTTTTAAGTGCCCTCAATCATGAATTTATGAAGGCTCTTTATAAGAGGGATGTTCAGCTTAGCCTTGAGGAGTCTGGGAAAGTTTCTCCAGGGGGAGTGTCCTCTAAGTAGAAATTTGAAGATTGGTTCAGCATTAGTTAGGTGAATAGGAATAGAGGTTGTTTGGGGGGCATTGGAAACATCAAGTAGATGATCAGAAAGCAGAGATGAAACACAGAGTTTTTAAGATCACTTTTTCCTGTTCCCTAATCCCCACCTATTTATGGAAAACCCTGCAATAGGGGTGTGTGTGTGTGTGTGTGTGTGCGCGCTCAGGCACACATGCGTATGCATGTCTGTGTGTGTGTTTCTGTCTGTCTAGAAGAAATATATTTGTCTAGAGAATGATAAGATGGTCTGAGAAGTTTGTTTAGAAATTTCTGGAGAGGAGAAAGGAACATTTAAAATATAAAAAATATAATAAAAGCTGCTATTTACTGGGTTATTTTATGATGTGACAATCATTGCCAAATGATTATTGTAATTAATTTTAATTGATGAATGTATTATCAGTAATAATATTATTCTTATAAATAAATAAGTTAATGCTTGGAGGGTTTAAGCAGTTTGCCCAAGACTAGATAGATAATAAGAGTTTGAGGCACTTTCTGAAATCAGTAGTTTGATTTGATAATCCACCCTCTTAATATCTTATACCACCCATGAAAATGTCCAAAACTGAAGAACTAAAAGAACAAAAACAAAGATATAAACAAAATATACTTGGGAGGCATGTTAACAGCAGCAACGCTAATATTTCTTCAGTACCCACTTTGTATAAGGCACCATGTAGGGCACTTTGGCAAATATAAGAAACATAATTATTTCTTATCTAATTATCTAATGATTATATTTCTCATATAATAGTTTATCTCTCTCATATTTACAATTTAGATAAGGAAACAAGAAATGGACACAAATTCATAATACTGAGTAGCAATAATCAAATAACATTTGTATTGCATTTTGTAATTTCTGAAATCACCTTCACTTACTTATATCATTTGTCTCACAAAAATATGTGAGATAGTCATATCAGTCAGCTTGTTCTGGAAAAGGGCTATATAAGAATGTCAAATATTAGTGGTTTATAACTACTACTAACCTTTTTTCTTCTAGTCTTTGGTCTGTAGGTTCGCATTGGTTTCCTAATCTTGTCTGTTTGACTTTGAATGGGTCGTACTTGACTCCAAGCTTAGAGTTGGAGTGGTTTCATTTCATATGTCTTTATTCCAAGGCACAGGATAAAGAAGTGATGACTTCCTCAGGTTTGTCAACCTCAGAGTGACTTATAGAAGCACAAAAAAGACAAACTAAATCATGGTTGCACATTTAAAGCCTCTGATAATGTCATGTTTATCAACCTCTTATTAATTAAACCAAGTCACATAGCTTAGACCAACATCCATGAGAAGTGAAATTATATTTCATCCACAGTGATAGATACTACAAAGTTACAAGGGAAAGGATGTAGATGTATTATCCTACTATAGGAATAAAAAGAAATTAGAGAAATAATTCCATTTACAAATAAAACTTGCCAAGAATTTAAGAGGCCTTTGCATGATCACATAGTTATTAAGTAGAGGAGACAGGATTCAGCTCTTTGTCTTAGGATGTTGACTTTTATATGATTTGCTATGATACAACAGCACTCTAAAAGAAAAAATGATCACTAAAACTAAAGGCCATGAGTCTGAAAATTTTAGGAGAGGTGAGATTTGATATAGATGTTGAAAGTATGTGGGTATTAAGTAGGTTAACTGTACATGCCAGCTTACCTTGAGCAGTCTCTGAGTAATCATCCTTCCCCTCTTCTTTCTCCCCAGCAAAAAGAGTGCTAGTTTGAAAGATAAAAGTACGGATACTTTAGACTTTAATAAGTGGATAGGAATAAGGAATGTATTTCAATGAAGCCAAACCTTGCACGTAATTTCTGAAAAGGGACACAGATACACATGGTATATTCAAATGCAATGAAGAGATTAATTTGTTTGGGTGTAGAGGCTACATGTCAGGGAGTAATAACAGCAATTTACTGGAGACATAGGTTGAGACCAATTAGTGGGTTTTATTGGTTGCCAGACAGAGAAGATGGGGCTTATTTTTTATAGTCGGTAGGAAGACACTGAAAATTTTAGAGGAGGATAGTGACAGTATTACAGGAAGTGATTTAGAAAGATAAATGTAGGACAAATTGAATTCTTAAAAAAGTATGGGTTAAAGGAGCAAGTCATTAAACAAATTCAGTAGCCTTGATATGATATGAGGGCATGCTAAGCTAGACCCAAACTGAAGACAATGAACTATAAGGGATAGGTATGAAAGTTGTCACAAAGGAAGAGTATTAAACACTCAAATGGAAATGTACAGAAAGCAATTGGATATATGGGAGTGGAACTCAGGGAGAGGTCTGTGTTAGAACTATAAATTTGAGAGTCTGGTCAGGACATTTACTCTGACCTTAGACAAATTACTTAACCACTTTGAATTTCAGTGCTTTTTTCTAGTCAAAAAATTGAAGAACAAAATAGCACATACCTCTGTGCAACACTGAGAATCTACCCTTCAAAAAAGGTTAGCTATGATTATTAATTTGCACATTAAGTAAACATACAAACTTGCTTAATTGTATGTTATTGGCACTGGAGTATTTTGTCTGATAAATGCAATGTTAAATCGACATAGATTTACCCTTAGGAGTTTATGGTCTAGTAGGAGAGATGCTCTTAGTCAAAATATACGAGACACAGAGGCATAGAAAAACACTATTGAATTTTGGGGTGGGAATTATTTCCAGTTGTGGGAGGCATTTATAAAGAAGGAAGAAAATGAGCTGGAGCTTGCCAAATTACTATAATTTAAATATATAAAGATGATAAATATAAATATATTTGCCAGAAGGATCAACATAATAATAACAGAAACGACATAATAATAATAACAATAAGATCTAACTTCCAACATTATATCCTAGCAAATAACAATCCAGTGATTAAGTTTAGCTTAATTTATGGTTCTATAAAAAGAATTAGTGTGAAATAAGCTTGGGAGTGAGGTCATGGAGATTTGGATGCTTTAAATGTTAGGCCGAGGAATATAAAACAGCCACATTGACAGATATGAGGAAAGAGGAAGAAATGAATGACAATATCAGAGCAGTTCTTTGTTTAGAAATATTTTTGCCATATTTTAAATGAATTGGTGCAATAAAAGGACTTCAGTTAAGATGCTCTCATAATAACTCAAGAGAAAAGTAATGAGGACCTGAACTGGGACATAGGCAATGAGATTGGAGATAAGAAGGTGAATGAAGGAAATATTAAAAATGTAGATTCAAAAGTACTAAGAAAGTGGTTGGATCAGAATGTGGGGTACATGGAGCAAGAGAAATAAAACAATCATTGAGAGTGCTGAAGTTTCAAATCCAGGAAAAATGTTCACACCTTGGACAGAAACAGTGGTGACTGGGTCTGCATGAAAAAACAGTAGTTTCCATTTTGGCTCATTGGATTTTAGGTGTAAGTAGAATAGCCAAGTAGTTGTATTTAGCAGACAATTAGAAATATGAGGCAAAAATTTAAAAGAGAAGTCGAATCTGAAGATATTAATCTAAGTGTCAACTGCATAGAATTAAATTAATTAGACTGTTAAGGAAGAAAGTATAAAAAGAAGAAAAAGAAATTTAAGAGCAGAGATGGAGAGTAATAATCTTGAGGGGGAAAAATGAGATCAAAGAGACAGAAAAGAAATAAGGAAGTAGAAGGAAAGCCAAAAGAGGTAGTGTTATGTACATGGAGTAGGAATATGAGCACTTTCTAAGAAAATCATTCATGGGGCTGCTGTGGGGACAGGAGAATTCACCCATTTTGGTATTCGTAGAATAAACTGAACTTTACCTGAGAGTGGAATGATTAGAGAGTGATGCACAGTATCAGAATGAGGTTGGCACTGTAGAGGTAAACATGTGGGTCTTGTTACCAGAAGGATCAGATAAAGCTGGAGGAAACAGGGAGTTGAGGAGAGTTAAACTAATTAGAGCAGAACACTGAGGCCTGAACTTAAGGACAAAAGGAAGAATATCTTCCTTTTGTACTTCCAAAAGGAAGTACATCTATTCTGTGGTTGTTTCAGGGATAAATAGGTTTATCCAGTAGCTTGGATATAGTGAAGTAGTCGTACTTAGCAGACAATTTGAAATATGGGCAAAAAACTGTCTATTGAGGTTCACTAGTTTTGTTTTGTTTTTGAGACAAGGACCTGGTCTGTATAACCCAGGCTGGAGTGCAGTGGTGCAATCAAAGCTCATTGTAACCTCGAACTCTTGGGCTCAATCATCCTGCCTCAGTTACCAAGTAGCTGTACCAAGTACAGGCAGGCACCATTATGTCCACCTAATTTTAACGTTTTCTGTTAAGACTAGGTCTCACTATGTTGCCCAGGCTGTTCTCAAACTCCTGGGCTCAAGTGCTCCTGCTGCCTCAGCCTCCCAAAGTGCTAGGATTATAGGTGCGAGCCACTGTGCCAGCTACAGTTCACCAGTCTCACTCATGGCAGGTATTTAGTCTCAGAGATATCTCTGGATCTTTGGAACAAAATATGTTATTTAAATGCTCCTGCTCTTCTCCACTTTATTTTTACACCAATAAATGCTTTCACCTTTATCTTCTCTTAAGAGGCCACTTTTTATGTCAATATTCTAAATAACAGTTCTTCATAATTTTACGTTTTCATTAAATTCACTCAAAGCTCAGGTCCTTTCCCTTAGACTGAACTACTGAACTAGCCCTGTTTTTGTTGTTGTTGTTGTTGTTTTGTCAAGCCTGCACATACTGATGGTTCAATTTTCATTTAGAGATGAGAGCTCAGAATCTGCACCAGTCCTACTGAACACGTGTGAGAAAGACATGACATCTGCCTCAGGAGAATGTGAAGTGAACAACACATGCTCCGTCTTGGGCACACTTGTGCTCAGTTAATGCTAATTGGTTGCTCATTCAGTGTCCCTTGCTATAATATGTACTACTGGGAATTCTATGGCTTAGGAATAACCTATTCTGTCCTTCCAAGGGATATTTGAAGGGATCTGAAATCATCTGTAAGAATAGATACAATTCTATCAAGCTGTAAAAGAGGATTCTGGTTTTTTCGCCAAAATATTTAATCTTATAGAAGATATTAGATGTTATTAAGAGAAGAAAAGCACAGAGTAGTGCCTTTACATCTTCCAGATTTTCCCAGAAGATAATATTGCTGAATTGTGTCAGTTTATTTTGTTCAGTTTTCTTCATTGTGTGCTTGGCTTTAGAAGGTATTTTACTCCCAACAGCTCTGTTGGTAATAAGCAAGATGTTAGGCCAGTTGTAGCTTCTTCTAGATGTGTTTCTGAGGAGCTGCTCTTATTAATTTCTACCCCATCTGTTTAGTCAATTTACCATAAGTGACTTTTCCAAAACTAAAGCTTACCTTGTATGGTGGCATTCTGTAAAACCCTAAACATTCACATTCTTGTCGAAAACGACATGGTATCATGGATGTTTCTATGCATGTGGAACTTCTCTGTTCTCCTAACTCTTAATTCTTTATTATTATAGTGATATATATTCTTAAACCTCAATTCTGACTCTTCTACCTGTGCAGATCTCCCCATTCTCCGTAGGCTTTGGTAAATTTAAGGCAGGAAAAAGTATAGTAGAAAGAAGTCAGGAGTGATAAATCAGACCTGGTTTCTGGTTTTAGGTTTTTGAATTTGAGTACATTTTGGTCTTCTGAATCTTAGTTTTCTCATCCACAAGATGAAAATGTTGTGGATCAAGACTTGGAGTTCCTAGTTGTCAAATGATTTGGCAGTCCTTCAAACTGATAATCCTCAAACAGTTGTTCACCATGTATTTAATACAGCCAAGGTCAATAAGGTCAATGCTTCAAGGATTTTTCCCCCAACTTGAGATTCCTGACCACATTGGCAGCAATAAGATCAATTTATATTTTGGCAGCTATACAAGGACTCTCTTCTTTGTGTTAACTGGCTCTCTATTTCTTCTAAACTCCTGTGCTGTTTCAGCACCCTTTACAGGTAAGTGCTCAAGATTTCTTCTTACTCTATATGTGATATGGCCCCTTTGATTGTCCATCATTTTCATGATATAATGTTAATGTCTGATTTAACATTATATGGTATTAACATGGTTAATGTCTGATTTAACCAGCTGTGCTGTTTCCTGTTTGTACTCTCCCGCCTGAAATGTTCTCACTGTCCCTCTCCCCCAGATCCAAATGTTTCAACCTTGTTTCTTCCATGGACAACTTTCTCTTGACCTCTCAAGACAGAATGAGGTATTTTCAACTATATACTCCCATATGCTTCTTCATACTTCTTTGCAAACTTTATTTTATTGCAATAATGTATTTGTTTATACATATATTTTTATTAATAAACTGTGAGTCTAAATAGTAAGTCTATTTTAAAAGTTAAAAACTCTGTATTTGGTTTTAGGTCTCATATCCTTATCTAAATGCCTATATTACTCAGCTTTGTGAAAATGATGTCTACAGTGCATAATAAACAAGCCCAAACTCAATGGTTTTAATAATAAGTATTTATTTTTCATTCACACATCTGTGGATCAGCTGGGAGGGTACTGCTTCAGTCTGCAAATGTGTGAGTTGGCTGGGGCATCTCTGTACCATGTATCATATACTGAGGCCCATTGGATAAGGGGATAGCAGCTATTCTTGTCATGGCAATGAGAAAAGAACAAGGACAATTCAAGGCCTTACTTAAAGCATGTATGCTATATCCCATCATTAAAAAAAGACCCATGGACAAGTCTAAAGACAAGGGGCATAAAAGTACACTCCTCTGACCATGAAGCCATGAAAAGAATGAGAATGTACATTATACTACAGGGGAGTGAAGAATTAAGACCACTAATTCACGAACTCAGTCACCATAGTACTCAACAATGTGTTTGCTGTTGAATGTTGTTGAATGAATACATATACATGAGTAAATTCTGAAATTACAGGTGGCTCAACAAGGATATTGTTTAATAAGGGGGAAAAATGAAGACAAAGTGCCAATCTGAGCTGCAAGTTGTGCTACTTTCTTAAGCTGTTCATTGATTAATAAAATAGAAGCCAAATGGTATGACCTGGCCTTTCCCAGTGACAAGAGGCTCTAGAAAATAGCAGTTGTGATTCATTCCTTAATCCAGACTTAAGCTCATGCATAAAAGCAGCCTTTTTCTTATCCTCACAGCAATTGTCTATAAGGGAGAAAAGGAAAGAAGAGATAATTCCTGTTAAATCCCTGACACTAAGGGTAGGAAGTGATTCCTTTCTAATTTCACCAGGCTCTTTAGTTTCCTGAGAAGCTTTCCTTCCCCGTCCCCCCAAATTCTCACTGGGATTAGTTAGCAACAAATGATTCCTTCTCTTTATTACAGAAAAACCTGATACCTATCTCAAACCTATAATTATTTTTGTTCTAAAATGGGAGGAAAGACATTGGGTCAGTAAGTAAACCATGAGTTGAGATGGAGGGATAACCTCAGATAAAGAAGAGCAAGTTAAACAGGAAAAGAAATCACCATATAGGGTTTTCATATTTTACATGTTTGTAAAAGACCACAGGAACCTCCCACACAAAAATTTGTTTCATGGATATGTGAGGCCTGGAGTGAAGTCCTATGTGAGCTTTTCAGAAAGCCAGTGTTCCATGAGAACAAGAGCAGAGGAGCAAATAGATGTGAGAATCCTGGAAGATTTAATCAGGAGAGAGCAGGCTAGGAAATCAGCTACCAGAGGAATCTAAATAGAAGGCAGAAGAGTGAAGCTAGGGGAGAATACAAACCTGCAGAAACTGCACCCACCATTCTGCCAAGTTAGTGTGGGGGAGCAGGTGACAGCACCCACAGCTTCAGCCAGAAGCCAAAGGAGGTTCACCTAGGAAAGAACACTGCTATGAACTGAATGTGTCCCCCAAAATTCATATGTTGAAACAATTGCCAATGTGGTAGTATTAAGAGATGGGGCCTTTAGAAAGTGATTAATTCCTGAGGGCAAAGCCCTCATGGATGGGATGAAGGCCTTTATAAATGAGCTTGAGGGCGTGGGTTCACTCTCTTCTGCCTTCCACCATGAGAGGAGTAAGCAGGAAGGCCCCCATCAGATACCAACTGCCAACTCCTTGGTCTTGAACTAAGCCTCTAGAATGGTAAGAAATAAATTTTTGCTCCTAGTAAATTCTCAGTCTCAGGTATTTTGTTATAGCAGGACAAACAAAATAGAACAGTACTATTTTTCCAGAAAATAAAAAGAGGTGAGAGGTCTCAATTTGGAGAGTAGAAAGAGGCCAGATTAGTAGACTCCATAGTCCTGGGAACCCAAGCCTCTAAGCTCCTGCGATTTAGGGAGAAGAAACAGAATAGAGAAACCTATGATGGGTGTGCCACTTTAAAACCTGTGCCACTCTGAGCAATGGGAGACAAGTTTGTGATTTTTCCTTCCTTGTTCATGGTTTGTATGTCAATATGCCCTGGTATTCTGGAAAGTCATGAACCATGTGGGAATCTAAAGCCAGAGAAATGAAAATGAAAGAAGGTAGTGAGCACTCAGAATGGAAGTTTCCTTCTCTTTCTTCCTTTTTTCTTTTATATTTTGCTATTTTTTTTTAAAAAAAATAGCCATAATACTTTTTCCCTCCCCCTCAGGATTTTTTGAAAAGTGATTTATAAATTATTGCAAAGCACTTGGAAAGGGTAAAGCACTTAGTAACATTCCAAACCAGGCCAAGCACGGCAAATTTGCTGAATGTTGTTGGGAATTCCTTTAAGTTTTCAAGTCTCTGTGAGACTGTGAAGACTGATACTTTGTTCCTTTATGTGAACTTCAAGTTAGTATGTACATAAATAAGTAAAGTAATGTTATTTGACTTTATCCAGACAGAGGAATAGAAACTCAGAATTTTACAGTTTTTATACTCTTAACTGCACATCTCTTTCAGCCTCTATTTTTAAGTATGTTTACTCATAGATGAAACAACAAAACAACAACAAAGCAAAAAGCAAAGGTACATGAACAAACTTTTATATTAAATCTACTTATCTTTGTCTGTATTCACCTGTTAAAATAAGCAAAAAAAAAAAAGCCAGGAAAAATGGGCAAGGATGCAAGAGTCAGTCAGCACACATTCTGAGTGCCGTGTCTGTTCAGTAGTGTTCTAGGAACCTTGGAGCAGACTTCAGTATAAGAAAAGACCCAGGTCTTCACAGAGCTTACAGCTTAGTGGTGAGACAGATAAATACATGAGTAATAAAACTATAAAGAGATTTTAAAACTTAAAAAATATGGTGTGGTATTTTGTGTGTGTGTGTGTGTGTGTGTGAAGCAAGTTTCTGATATAAGACACACATGAGGAAGATTTTTTTTTTTTTTTACAGTTTTAGTAGCTGTAGATAGAAAGGAAAGAGATTTACATATCAGGAAATTCTTTACAAAGTTGTCTTAGTTATAGTATTTGAAACAAGAATGGCTTGGATTATGAAGATGGAAATGTGTGTTAGGTAACATCGGAAATGGAGAAGCCATATCAAAACAAACATTGATAAGATTTTATAAATGACTTAGTCATTTTTAGCAGCAGCCAGGCTGCAAGTATATCATGCTTTTCCACATCATTACTAAAGAAGACCTATGGAAAATTTAGTATCTGTCTTTCTAGACTTCTTAAAACACCATTGAACAAGTGAGGGTTAGTTTAAAGAATTTTAAACTAGGTTTTCCTCTTTACCTAGAATTTTTCAACTGCTCCAAAATGTGGAAACATACAGTAAGAAATAAAAATGAATCATAATTGTGGACCAAATCTCTTGCTTTTCCAGGCTTGTCTTGCCTCATTCCATCTGCCTTGCTCGCCTGCTTTCTCTGTCCCACATAAATGTCCTGTTTCTTCAACATCCCCAGACATGCACATCTTTAGATCCATGTCTTTGCCCTTTTGCTTATGCAAGTTCTTATACCTGGAATGTTTTCCCCTCCCACCCACAACTGAATATTCACAATATGTTTTCCAAGGACCAACCCTGACAACAACCTCTTTGTGAATCAATTCCTGATGCCTCTTTGCCATCTAAATTTGCCCCCTTCTGGGATCCCCCAGCACATTGAACATGTTTGCATTTTACCACTTACCAGACTGTTCTAGGTCTATACAATTAGGTGTTTATATGGTTTTGCCTACTCCCTAGACTTGAGTTCTTTGAGATCTGACATGCTGTTTATTCCAACTTTTTATTCTCAGAGCATAGTATAGTGTCTGGTAATTAGCTGAGATTCAATAAACAATAAAGGACCGAAATTTTTTTTTTTTTTTTTTTTTTTTTTTTTTGGTGAGGCATTAATAGTCTAGAAAGAAAAAAGGAGAGACAGGTCATCTCAGATTAGTATTCATACCAGTTTGAAAATTCACTTTCTATTTTAATCTTTTTTTCTTTGAAACTTCAAGCTAAAAAAGCAGAAATTTTCTAGGTCATAGGATTGGCAGACTGGCTATAACTGCCTGATGTTTTCTGAAAAATAGTTGGCAAGTATGTATTTGTAAAAACATTAAGAAAATGCATAAAACACAATTTTTAAATTAAGTGAATGATAAAAATATAAATCTATAAGAAATATATCAATGTTCGTCTACATATGGAAAATGAAAGCACAAAAATAATATAATCTTCATTTGCACAGGAGCAATCTAGATCATTCATTCTCTGGGTCTTTGACTTTTTCACCTTTCTCCTTCTGCTGCCCACATTTTGATAGTTTTACAATTCAGTATATATCAGAAGATAATACTAGAAAGAAAAAAAAAAAACAGAAAATGTTGAAATTAGTCGATGAGGTTTTCTTAAAAAGGAATTTGGTCTAGACAAATGTTGAGAGTTTTAAATTCACTGATTAATTATCATGTTCGCAGTTTCATAATCTCTCTGGTAATAGTTAGCTATAATTTAAACAATCTGTTTCAGTCATTTAATTCTGAAATTGTTGAAGTTGGGCACTTTTATTTTGTATACGGTGTATAGACCCAGATGAACTAGAAATACTGCATTTCCTGCTTTTTCAGGTATTTCCAAAAATCCCAATCCTGCTGCTCTGGTGGGGTACTTAATCCTTAGTAGAGTAAAACCGAGGCTTCTCTATGATTATCAAACTTCCAGAATCATACACAGTGACAAGGTATTGGACGTTTAGAGAGGCAGCCTTCCAGTGTAGTATCTCTTCTTACAGTTTATCATGCTGATATAGTCCATTCAGTTCCAACTTCAGCTGCTTCTGTACCATGCATAGAGAATAGGTATCTTGGTAGAGACTAGCAAAAGACTCACAAAAGAGTAACTAGTTACAATAAATGCAAGAATTGCTAAGTGAAAATATGAATTTATATTGTTCTCAGAATAACTGATCATCAGTTGCAGACTCTAAACACAACCTGTATTCCCCTGAAAATGCAACAATTTGGCTCCCATGAAGAAATTAAGGAAACAGAACTGAAGTTCTATCAGTGTCATTACTTCCATTTGTTTAAAATACAACCAATGATGTGTGAAATTATATAATTATTATATAAATATAATTTGTTAATTAACATTTTCACTAATAGTTAATTGGAAAGTTCTTGCTTGTCAAATGTTTAATATTACTTTTCCCTCCTTAGGCAACATATATCTCCCACCATTGAGCATATTTTTGGTCAGAATTATATTTGTTTTGGCAAACAAGACAGCTATAAACCTCATGATCAATTTTGTGTCATCATTGTTCCTTTCTATTAGGAATATTAGTCTTTGAAAAAAGTTATTTTAAAAAAATCAGAATTTTGAAATCTAAGTGAAAGATTATAATAAAAGTATCTCTTTTAGGATGAACTCAGAGGGGTGGAAGTGGTCTCATAGTTTTACAGACAAGAAAACTAAGTATGAAGAGGCTAAATAAGTGTTTGAGTCAGATAACTTGTGATTGTTAATTTTCTGTCAGCATGACTGGGGTAAGGGATGGCCACATAGCTAATAATTCATTATTTCTGGCTATGTCTGTGATGGTTTCCAGAAGATATTTTAGCATTTGAATCAGTTGACTGAGTAAGGAAGTTCTGCATTCACCAGTGCAGGTGGGCATCATTCAATCCACTGAGGACCTGAATTGAGCAAAAGAGTGGAGGCAAGTTGAATCTGCTCTCTTGCTTGAGCTGGAACAGACATTTTCTCCAACCTTTAGTCATAGGCATTCGTGGGCCTTCGGACTCAGACTAAGACTTACACCATTGGCCCTCCTGGCTTTCAAGCCTTCAGGCTTGGACTTGGAAATATACCATTGGCTTTCTTGGGCCTTCATCTTGCAGATGGAACATCGTGGGAGTTCTCAGCCTCCATAATTGTGTAAGCCAATCCCTCATAATAAATGTCTTTCCATATATCTGTATATATCCTATTGATTCTGTTTCTCTGGAGAACTCTGACTGTTTGATGGGAAAAAAGGAATAAAACCTCTCTTATTTACTAACATCAGTGACATTTTAAGATTTACAAATCACTTTTCTATGTTGTGCATTTTCCATTTAAACTTCATAATTGTCCGAATTATGCCTTACTTTATTCTGATTCCACACATTAAAAAAAACTGAGAGTCATTTACTAAACAAGAAGCTAAAACCTAATAGCTAGAAAGAACAATAGGACTCTCTCAAATACTGTATTTGCAGTAAACCAATAGAGTTTTTTCTAGATTATAGATTGTAACTAGAGTATGTGACTGTCCCTTTTGAATACTATAATATAAAAAAATTACTGATTTAGACAATGCCTACTTTGGTAACCCCATCTTCTACCACATTTACCCATACACATCCTTCTTCAGCAGGACAATCAGGATGGATGGCATTTTCATGCATGACCCAGAGTTATGCAGAATTATCAGTTGGTACACCCTGATTTACTCTTTTCTATTCTCAACAAGAAAGTACACACAGTTAGCCATACTGTGAAGTTAAAGGTATAAGCCTCCAGATGGCCAAGTCTGCCCACAACTTCTGACACCAACTGCAAGGAATTAGAGTTCAACTACAAAACTAGAAGCAAGATTCCACACAAGAACAGCCTTAATTCTGACACCAACTGATGTTCAGGGGTTTTCTTAAAATACCCTCAGATTTGAAAATTTGCTTTAAAGACTCACAGAACTCATTTGATCTTATTACATTCACAGTTATGGCTTATTACAAGGATAGGATACACACTAGAGCCAGCCAGTGGAGGAGACTAATAGGGAAGAGTCTGGGAGGATTTCAAATGCAAAGTTTTTATTGAACAGAATGCACTACCCTCCCAGCACTGACCTGTGATAATATACAGAGAGTATTACCAACTTGGAAAGCTCACCTGTGAGTCCAGAAATTTTATTCGAGCTTCATAATTTAGCAATGAGTGATTGAATAAGCTGCCACATGATTGAGCTCAGTCTTTACTCCCCCTTCTCTAGAGGTTGGGCTGATATCATGTGATCCAAGGAGACTACCATGAGTTACCTCATTAGCATAATCTACCAAGTGTGGTCTAAGGGGCCCATCAAGAAAAATAAAGATACTCCTATCACTCAGGAAATTCCAATGGTTTGGAGGTTATCTTTTAAGAACCAGGGACAAAGGCTTGGCTTCACTTTGGGCAAGGCCAAAGTCTACTATACAAAAGATATCAGAACTCCATTAGGTACTGACATTATTTGAGAGAGAGCTTTGAATCCTTTTTATTTCAATGAGTGAATCATTCACAAACCTTAGCATGCTAATATTATTAGTAAGAAGTTACTCATCTCACACCTCACAAATAACTTTCATGCAGCACAATCAGGTTGCCTCTATAAGAAAGAGCACGCTATTGCTCCAGTAATTCAGGAAACTCTATGCATCCCCTTTCATTTGTACCCAGGTTCATGCTAATCTTTTTATGTAAAGACCTCTCAACACTGTCTACTACTTAAGATAAACTTTTATTCTTACATTTTTTCAGACCAGGTTCAATTGTCATCCCCCTTTTGAGGCCTTTCCTAATTTCTTCAGAGATAATTGTTTTCTATGAGCTGAGGTAATACAAATATTGACAAAGTATGGTTCTCTTCTAAGATGTAATTAGTTCATTTGTTCACCTGGCAAACTATGAGAATTTGAAGGTAAGTACCATTTCTTATTGATTTTTGTGTCTTTAGTCTTTGACACAGTGACTATACTCAATTAATATTTATTAAACTGACCTGTAATAATAAGCAGTCTTAATGTGGTGGGCATTAAATAACTACATTATTTTGCTAGGGCTGCCATAACAAGATACCACAGACTGAGGGGGCTTAAACAATAGTAATTTATTCTCACACTTATGAAAGCTAAAAGTCTAAGATTAAGGTGTTGGCAGGTTTGGTTTTTCCTTTCCTTGGCTTTCAGATGGCTTCCTTCTGTACAGGCTCATCTCTGGTATCTCTTCCTCTTCTTAGAAGGATCCTAGTTATATTGGATCAGGGCCCACTCATATGACCTTGTTTAATCTTAATTATCTCTTTAGTGGGCATACCTCCCAATACAGTCACATTCTAAGGTACTGTGTGATTAGGACTTCAACGTATAAAGTTTCGGTGTACATAATTCAGATCACCACAAAAAAAATTATAGGTTCCTAAAGAGAAAAGTGACATGGTAAAAATGCAGCTTAGAGAGATCCATGTCACATAATATACAAGATGAACTTGAGGAGAATAGTACTAAAGGAAGAAAACTAGCAGGCTCCTGCAGGTTTGGGGGCCATAGTCCTGATGAATGACATTTCAATGCAAGACCTCAGCCTGACTTGTGCAAATTGACAAAGCTAATTTATTAAATCAATATCAGTCAATCATTGGCCAAGATCTGCCCTCACTCATGTGGAACATAGATAGAGGATATCTTAGCTCCTGTTTTACCAAACACTATTCCCTGAATAGAGTATTCCCTGAGAGCTGCGAGTTGTTATTAGCCAACACTCACAGCAGCTGTGGGATGGGAGCAGTGGCTATTGAAGTGTGTCACCAAGAACATTTACTGTAATCCACCAAACACTCAGATCCACTTGCTTCCTAATTAAGTTTACTAAATCCAGGCACAGCTTCTTCAGATTTTCTGGTTAGTCACAATTTCTGGGAAAACTTATAGAATAAAAAGAAGGAAAACTATCATTCTCACTGCAAAGTTTGTCCTGAATCCAAGATTGATACTCATCATCTTCCTCATCATGTTGGTCTATGTGGTGTGCCTGGTCGTTTGACCTTCAGCACTGAGGGTTCTGAGCTCTGGTTACCTTTTCAGATCATAACTGGGCATGGGATCATCAAAAGATGCTTCAGTGGATGACCTGAGCATCAAATATATTCCTTCCTGTTATTATTATGTAATGTCAGTCCTACTTCCTCAAGATGATCAGGATCAATTCTTTCTGGCAGAGGTATTAATTTTTATTTTCTTACCAGTTTACTGGCATGAACAGCCCAAAATATTAAGATGGTAACTACACCTAAAGTTCAGTGGAGCTCAGTAAGGGCCCTTTGATGGAAGCATTTCCCCTCTTAGAACCAAGAATTCTAGATCTACAGAGCCAAAAGTTGAAGAGACAGGAAGCACAAATTCCCCAAGTGGGTAAGTGGAATGGATAGTAAGCAGGACCACTTCTACTTCCACTCCTTGTTTCCTCTACCCATACATTCTATGTATTGGGTAAATGACACAATATAAGGGCTTGGTTTAAGGTATATATCACAGCTCAAAGAATACTACCCCATCCTTGTGCCTCTGCTAGGCCTTCAGGAGACCATTCTAGCACTCTATCAGGATGGCAGCTTCTTGATCAAGCTTGTCTGACCCGCAGCCCATGGGCTGCATGTGGCCTAGGATGGCTTTGAATGTGGCCCAACACAAATTCATAAGCTCTCTTAAAACATTAGAGAATTTTTTTGCAATTTTTTTTTAGGCCATCAGCTATCATTAGTGTTAGTGTATTTTATCTGTGGCCCAAGACAATCCTTCCTCTTCCAATGTGGCCTAGGGAAGCCAAAAGATTGGACATCCCTGTTCTCAATGATGTGGTATATATGACAGAACCCATGAACTTATAGTCATTTGCCTATTGCCATGCTTCTTTTGCCATAGAATGAGTTCTCTGTTTCACTGTATTATAAGGGATCCCCTGTCAATTTCTGAGATACTCTGTGAGTCTTTGGAGGGTGATAGCATGACACACTAGGCCAGAAAGACAAACTCATGTCCAAATACATGTCAGTAAAGGTCATGATGAAACATTGCCCTTTCTAGCATGTAAAGGCCCTAATGTGATCAACTTGCCACCAGGTTTCTGATCAGTCTCCTTAAGAAAGTATATTATATGGCTAATTCAGCATTGCATTTTGTTACTGGCAGGTTGGGTATTTATAAGCATCAGTAGCTAGGTCAGCCTTTGTGAGAAGAAGCCTGTGCTTTTATACCCATGCATGGCCTCCATCTCTTCCACCATGCTTCCTTTATTTACTGGAGTGCCCAATGAGAGAGACTGGGTGACATCTGCTGACTAAATCTTCGTGTAGCTCTGTTATTTCTTGTTTCTTCTTCAGTGGATATCTCTTATAAATATTAATATGTGACACAGAGATCCTAACACATTGTGCTTTTATCCATGTCCCGTCACTTGCTTCTTTCCATGAATGCCTTTCTGTGGTCTTGGAATCTTGCTCATTTCATGTCCCTGACCAGCAAGCTAAGTCATTCACTACTGCCCATGAGACTGGAACTTTCCTTACCATTCAAAGCAACTTTTCTTACCACTACTCTGTTTGAAGTAGATGAATAGATGTATAGCCCAAAAAATCCGTCCTTTGGGAGGATAGTCTCTCGTGGCCATTTCAAGTTTACTCTTGAGTAGAAGCTATAGTGCAAGAGCAATCCATTTTTGGTTTATACCTACATACCATCCCATTCATGAACCATGCTCGGGCTCTTTTCCCTGTGTATGGTTACTTGAGTAAACGACTGTAAGTCCTTTTAAGAAAGAAAGAAGAAAACACTTCCAAATACTTCAGTATTCAGTATCCTATGGTGATATGGTTTGGCTGTGTTCCCTCCCAAATCTCATCTTGAATTCTCACATGTTGTGGGAGGGACCCAGTGGGAGGTAATTGAATCATGGGGGCAGGTCTTTCCCATGCTGTTCTTATGACAGTGAATTAGTCTCATGAGATCTGATGGTTTATAAAAGGGAAGATTCTCTGCACAAGCCTTCTGCTCTTGTCTATCACCATGTGAGATGTGCCTTTCACCTTCCGCCATGATTGTGAGGCCTCCCCAGTCACGTGGAACTGTAAGTCCATTAAAACCTCTTTTTTTCCCAGTCTCAGGTATATCTTTACCAGCAGCATGAAAATGGACTAATACAGTAAATTGGTACCAGCAGAGTGGGGCACTGCTGAAAAGATACCTGAAAATGTGGAAGCGACTTTGGAACTGTGTAACAGGCAGAGGTTGGAACAGTTTGGAGGGCTCAGAAGACAGAAAAATGTGGGAAAATTTGGAACACACTAGAGACTTGCTGAATGGCTTTGACCAAAATGCTGATAATGATATGGACAATGAAATCCACGCTGAAGTGGTCTCAGCTAGACATGAGGAAATGTTGGGAACTGGAGCAAAGGTGACTCTTGTTATGTTTTAGCAAAGAGACTGGTGGCATTTTGCCCCTGCCCTAGAGATTTGTGCAACTCTGAACTTGAGAGATACAATTTAGGATATATAGAAAAAGAAATTTCTAAGAAGCAAAGCAGTCAAGAGGTAACTTGGGTGCTGTTAAAGGCATTCCATTTTAAAAGAGAAACAGAGCATAAAAGTTTGGAAAATTGCTGCCTGACAATGTGATGGAAAAGAAAATCCCATTTTCTAAGGATAAATTCAAGCTGGCGGCAGAAATTTGCACAAGTAACAAGGAGCCAAATGTTAATCACCAAGACAATGAAGAGGAAAATACCTCCAGGACATGTCAGAGGTCTTCAAGGCAGCCCCTCCCATCACAGACCCAGAGGCCTAAGACAAAATGGTTTCATAGGCTGGGCCCAGGGCCAATCTGCTGTGTGCAGCCAGCCTTGGGACTTGGTGCCCTGCATCCCAGCCACTCCAGTTGTGACTAAAAGGGGCCAAGGTACAGCTCAGGCCATGGTTTGAGAGGGCACAAGCCCCAAGCCTTGGTAGCTTCCATGTGGTGTTGAGCTGAGGGTGCATGGAAGTCAAGAATCAAGGTTTGGAAACCTCCACCTAGATTTCAGAGGCTTTATGGAAATGCTTGCATCCCCAAGCCAAAGTTTGCTGCAGGGTCAGAGCTCTAATGGAGAACCTCTACTAGGGCAGTGAAGAAGGGAAATGTGGGGTCAAAGGTCCCACATACAGTCCCTACTGGGGCACCACCTAGTGGAGCTGTGAGAAGAGGGCTCCCATCCTCCAGACCCCAGCATGGTAGATCCACCGACAACTTGCACCATGCACCTGGAAAAGCCACAGGCAATACCACCCTGTGAAAGCAGCCAGATGGGGGGCAATGCCCTGCAAAGTCACAAGGGTGGAGCTGCCGAAGACCATGGGAGCCCACCTCTTGCATCAGTGTGACCTCGATGTGAGACATGGAGTCAAAGGAGATCATTTTGGAGCTTTAACATGTGACGACCCTGTTGGATTTTGGACTTGCTTGGGGATTGTAGCCCCTTTGTTTTGGCCAATTTCTCCCGTTTGGAATGGCTTTATTTACCCAATGCCTGTACTCCCATTGTATCTAGGAAGTAACTAACTTGCTTGTGATTTTACAGGCTCATAAGTGAAAGGGACTTGCCTTGTCTCAGATGAGACTTCGGACTGTGGACTTCTGAGTTAATGCTGAAATGAGCCAAGACTTTGGGGGACTGTTGGGAAGGCATGATTGGTTTTGAAATGTGAGGACATGAGATTTGGGAGGAGCCAGTTGTGGAATGATATGGTTTGGCTGTGTCCCCACTCAACTCTCATTTTGATTTCCCATGTGTTGTCGGAGGGACCTAGTGGGAGGTAATTGAATCATGGGGGCAGGTCTTTCCTATGCTGCTCTCATGATGGTGAATAAGTCTCACGAGATCTGATGGTTTTAAAAATGGGAGTTTCCCTGCACAAGCCCTCTTCTCTTGTCTGCAACCATGTGAGACATGCCTTTCACCTTCTGCCATGATTGTGAGGCCTCCCCAGCCATGTGGAACTCTGAATCCATTAAAACCTCTTTTTCTTCCCAGCCCTGGTATGTCTTTATCAGCAGTGTGAAAACAGACTAATACATGTGGTGTTTCAGGATCCTTCCTCATGAAGATCTTGTTTCTCCTTTAGTTGATATGTTCAAGGTCTTAGAGCTAGTATAAGTCTGGAAACTGAGAGGTCGTGATTTTCCATTGGAACAGCTGATGGGAGTCTTCTGCTCATTCATTCTCGATCTCTTTTGAATATATATTAAACAGTACTCTTGTTGATGGTCGGTCCATCTTGTTCTAGAAAAATCATGTTTTAGACCCACCTCAGTAGATTCTTAAGGATCAACTCCATACACCACCACCCTGCTCCCACCCCCAGTTCTACGCTTTTGAACTTGCAGCTATTTAAAGTAATTCCATTTGCTTTACTTCTGAAGCTAAGCACTGCTGCCTAGTCTCTGATAATTTAGGTCCTATCATTCCTAGTACTAGTAGATAGCCCAGTTTTATAACAGTATCTCCTTCTATTAGTCCCAGCCTGCAAAAGACAACCACTACTGAGTTTCCAATGTGTTAATACCCCTCCTCACTAGCACATTCTTTGTCACCTTGGTAAAATTTTGTCTGGCATGAGGTAATGGTTTTGGTGGCTGATAAATACTGGTTATTTGAGAAATTGGATTGAATTTATTCAGCATTTTTACAGAGAAGAAGAGAAAGACTCCGTACATTCCAATTATTAGAAATGTTCTCTCTATAATTGGACAGGGATAATTCATGAGGCTTTTTCCATGACTCAAGGGAAAAATTTTATAATAATATGTAATTTTATTTTCTATTATTCTAAGTTTAGAAGTCATCCTTCTGATTATTTATTCAGCTTTCAGAAACCTGGATATGAAAAAATAGTCCCCATAATACAAGTATGTGGTTTTCTTTTTTGAAGCTCCCTAGTGAGAGGATAAATTGAGATATCTAGTCCTGAAAAACCTAGGGCAACAGCAACAAAAAACTATTATATCAACATGAGACCAAACTGAGTTCTTTACTCCTGCAAACGTTCAAATAAGGTGAAAACCCATATTTCATGGGTATGATAGTGGAGACTTGAACACTGGGTGGAAGGAGATGATGCCTTATGAGTAGCCTTTGCTGTACACTCTGGAGCCTTTGCCGTTTGACAGGATTAAACAACCATAATTGTAACTAGTATTTACAAAGTTGTGTGCTACTGCTAAACGTTCTGTCTTCTTTCACTAAACATTTTAGAGTTCCCTGAAGCCTTCCCTGAGGGATTCCTGAGGTTCCACTTTGACACCAGAAGCCTCCTAAATGTTGCATCTGCATCATGTGTGGATTATGCTGCATATAACGGATATCTGACTATGAGAATCTAGAGCCTAGCTGCCTTTCCAGCATTATAGGGAGGTGTGCTGCACTGTTTTCCATTGGGAGAAATTTGTGCAAAAACCTAAATAATAGCTCTAAGACTAGATGTTTACTTACTCTGTGGGTATAAGCATGTGGACAGTGTAAATGCTTTGAACACATTAAAATTATACACGAAGAAATAGAGCAGCTAATGGTGGCCCAGAAACAAGAGCAGAAAGGCTAGGACATAGTTTTCAGGGAAGACGCCAGAATGTCAGTGAGCAGGGAGAAAGTCACTAACAGCAGGGATATTAGAGTCAGATGGGCCTTGGTTCCATCCCTGGTTCTAGCACAGCCAGCACTGCAGGGTTGGTCAACATATGGAACAGCTTCAAAGCTCAGTATCTTCATCTGTTAGTGAAGACAACAAACTCATTTTGTTCTGGAGATGACTAAATTAGATGATATAGAGGCATGCCTCATCTTATTGTGCTTCACCTTATTATACTTCACAGATACTGCATTTACTACAAATTGAAGGTTTGTGGCAACTCTGCATTAAGCAAGTCTATTGGTATCTTTTTTGTTTTCAATGGCATGTACTCACCTCATATCTCTGTCACATTTTGGTAATTGTTGTAACATTTCAAACTTTTCATTATTGTTATATCTGATATGGTGATCTGTGATCACTGATATTTGATGTGACTATTATAATTATTTTGGAGCAGCATGGACTGTGTTCACATAAGATGGCAAATTTAGTTGACAGATGTTTTCTGTGTTCTGCCTCTTCACCAAGTAGCCTTTCCTCCACATCTCTCCCCTACTTGGGCCTTCCCATTTACTAAGAAACAACAATATTGAAGTTAGGCCTATTAATAAACCTACAGTGGTTTCTAAGTGGTCGAGTGAAAGGAAGAGTCACACATCTATTCCTTCTTAAATTAAAAGTTATAAATGATTAAGCTTAGTGAAGAAGGCTTGTGAAAAGTCAAGATAGGCTGAAAGCTAGGCCTCTTGTACCAAACAGCCAAATTGTGAATTCAAAGTAAAAGTTCTTGAAAGAAATTAAAAGTGCTACTCCAGGAAACACACAAATGGTAAGAAAGTGAAACGACCTTATTGCTGATATGAAGAAAGTGTGAGTGATCTGGATGGACAATCAAACCATCCAAAACATTCCCTTAAACAAAAGCCTAATCCAGAGCAAGGCCCTAACTCTCTTCAATTCTGTGAAGGCAGAGAGAGGTGAGGAAGCTGAAGAAGAAAAGTTTGAGGCTAAAAAATGTTGGTTCATGAAGGTTAAGGAAAGAAGCCATCCTCATAACGTGAAAGTACAAAGTGGAGCAGCAAGTGCTGACGTAGAAGCTGCAGCAAATTATCCAGAAGATCTAGCTAAGATAATTGATGAAGGTGGATATGCTAAACAATAGATTTTTTTTTTTATGTAGACAAAACAGTGTTTTATTGGAGGAAAAGACCAATCTAGGACGTTCATAGCTAGAGAGGAAAGTCAGTGCCTGGCTTCAGAGCTTTAAGGACAGGCTGACTCTCTAGTTAGGAGTTCATGCAGCTGGTGACTTCAAGTTGAAGCCAGTGTTTGTTTATCATTCTGAAAATTTTAGGGCCCTTAAACATTATGCTAATTCTACTCTTCTTGTGCTCTATAAATAGAACAACAAAGCCTGAATGATGGCACATCTGATTACAGCAGAGTTTGCTAAATATTTAAGCTCACGATTGAGGCCTACTGCTCAGAAAAAAAAAAAAAAAGAAAGATTCACAATATTTACTAGTGATTGACAATATCCATTTTGTAGCCCATGGATCAAGGAATAATTTAGACTTTCATGTTCTGTTATTTAAGAAATACATTTTATAAGGCTATAGTTGCCATAATGATTCTTGTGATGAATGTGGGCAAAGTAAATTGAAAACCTTATGGAAAAGAGTCACCATACTAAATGCCATTTGTGGGAGTGAGACAAAGCAGGATGGCCAAATAGAAGCTTCCACCTATCACCCCCCACACCACCCAGCACAGGAACAACAAATTTAACAACTATCTACACAGGAAAAGCACTTTCATTAGAACCAAAAATCAGGTGAGCACTCACAGTATCTGGCTTTAACTTCATGTTGCTGCACTGAAGATGGTAGAAAAAATAGTCTTAAACATCTAACACCTCCTAACACCCATCCCCTGGCAGCAACTGCATGGCACAGAGAGAGGATCTGTGTGCTTATGGGGAGAGAGAGTGCAGTGATTGTGAGACCTTGCATTCAACTCAGTGCTGCCCTGTCAGAGTAGAAAGCAAAACTGGCCGAACTCAGCCAATCCCTGCCCACAGACGGAGCATTTAAACCAGCCCTCGCCAGAGAGGAATTGCCAATCCTAGCAAATCCTAGCAGTCGGAACCTCAGTTTCAGCAAGCCTCACCACCATGGGCTAACGTGTGCTGGAGTACACACAAACTTGAAATGCAGTGTAGGCCACACGACTACAATTCCTAGGCAAGTCCAAAGGCTGTGCTGGGCTCAGAGCCAATGTACTTGGGGGGAATGTGACAGTGAGACACCAGCCATAGAGATTGAGGGAGTGCTTGCACCACCCCTCCCCCAACCTCAGGCAGCACAGTTCACAGCAACAAAACTGACTTTACTCTGCTTAAGGAGAGAGGAGGGAAAAATAAAGAGAAGTTTGCCACAAGAGTGGCAGTACTCCCTATGGGCCAGTAGTGATGGTAGCCATGGGGAGAAGCTCCTCTGCCTCTGGAAAAGGAAGAGAAGAGTGGCCAGATCTGTGTCATGTGGCTTGAGCACCAGCTCAGCTGCAGTAGAATAGAATATCAGGTAGATTTCTAAGTATTTTGATTCCACTCCATGGCTCCTGGACAGTATCTCTGGACCTGCCCAGGGTCTGGAGGAACTTGCCACCCTGAAGGGCAGGACAAAAACTTGGCTGGCTTTGCCACCTGCTGATTGTGAAGCCCTAGGGCCTTACGTGACCATAAACAATAGCCAGGTAGTGGTTACAGTGGGCTTTTGGTGAGACCCAGTGCTGTGCTGGCTTCAGTTCTGATCCAGCACAGCCCCAGTGGCGGTGGCCACAGGATGCTCATGTCACCCCTCCCCCAGCTCTGCATGGCTCAGCACACAGAGAGAGACTTCATTGGTTTGGGAGAAAAAGTGAGAATGAGTCTCTCTCTCTGGTAATCCACAAGATTCCTCCAGATTTTATCCAAGGCTGCCAATGTAGTACTTCTACAAGTATGCAAGAATCACAGTGTTACTGGGCTTGGGGTGTCCCTAATGCAGAAACAGCTTACATCACAACACCCAAGTCCTTTAAAATACCTGGAAGGCCTTCCCAAGGAGGACAGGTAGAAACATGCCCAGACGGCACAGACTAAAATAAATACCTAACTCTTCAATTCCCAGACATTGATGAACAATCATAAGCATCAACACCATTCAGGAAACTGTCACCTACCAAACAAATTAAATAAGGCACAAGGGACCAATTCTGGAGAAAGAGAAATATGTGATCTTTCAGACAGACAATCCAAAATAGCTGTTTTGAGGAAACTTAAAGAAATTCAACATAATACAGACAAGGAAATCAGAATTCTATCAAAGAAATTTAATAAAGAGATGATTGAAATAATTAAAAAGAATCAAGCAAAAATTCTGGAGCTGAAATATGCAAGTGACATACTAAAGAATGCATTGGAGTCTCTTAGTGGCAGAACTGATCAAGCAGAAGAAAGAATTTCTGAGTTTGAAGACAGGCTATTTGAAAATACACACTCAGAGGAGATAAAATGAAAAATAATAAAAAACAATGAAGCACACTTACAAGATCTGGAATATAGCCTCAAAAGGGCAAATCTAAGAGTTATTGGCCTTAAAGAAGAAAGTAGAGAAATGGATAGGGGTATAAAGTTTATTCGAAAAGATAATATCACGGAACTTCCCAAACCTAGAGAAAATTTCAAAATTCAAATATAAGAATGTTACAGAACACCAAACAGATTTAACATAAAGAAGATCACCACAAGGCATTTAATAATCAAACTCCCAAAGATAAACCATTAAAGGATTATAAAAGCAGCAAGAAAAAAGAAACAAATAACACAATGGAGCTCCAATGTGTCTGGTAGCAGACTATTCAATGGAAACCTTACAGGCCAGGAAAGAGGGGTGTGACATACTTAAAGTGCTGAAAGAAAAAATCTTTTATCCTAGAATAATATATCTGGTGAAAATATCCTTCAAACATTAAGGAGAAATGAAGAATTTCCCAGACAAACAAAAGCTGAGGAATTTCACTCACACTAGATGTGTCCTGCAAGAAATGCTAAAGGGAGTACTTCAATCAGAAAAAAAGAAATCATTTGAAGGTACAAAACTCACTGGTAATAAATAGCAAGTACACAGAAAAACACAGACTATTATAATACTCTGCGGTAGATAAACTACTCATATCTTAAGTAGAAAGACTAAAAGATGAACCACTCAAAAATAAGAACTATGCCAACTTTTCAAGACATAGACAATACGATAAGATAAATACAAACAAAAAGTTAAAAAGTAGGGGGCAAAGTTGAAGTGTAGAATTTTTATTAGTTTTCTTTTTGCTTGTTAGTTTGTTTATGCAAGCAGTTTAAATTTGTTATGAGCTTAAAATAATGAGTTATATTTGCAAGCCTCATTGTAATCTCAAATCAAAAACATACGACCAATAAACAAAAAAGAAAAACCAAGAAATTAAATCATACCACCAGAGAAAATCATCTTCACAAAAAGGACAAAGAGAAGGATGGGAAGAAGGAAGAGAAGGCCACAAAGCCAGAAAACAAATAGCAAAATGGCAGAAGTAAGTTCATATTAATCAATAATAACATTGAATGTAAATGAACTAAAATTCTCAGTAAAAAGACATAGAGCGGCTGATTGAATAAAAAGCAAGACTCAGTGATCTGTTGGCTACAAGATACATGCTTCACCAATGAAGACACACATGGACTTAAAATAAAGGGATGGAAAAGGATATTCCATGCCAATGGAAACCAAAAAAGAAGAGAAAAAATAGATTTCAAGACAAAAACTATAAGAAGAGACAAAAAGGTCATTATATAACGATAAAGGGTGAATTGAGCAAGGAGATGAAACACTTGTAAATATATATGCACCCAACCCTGGAGCACCCAGATACATAAATCAAATATTATTAGTGCCAAAGAGAGAAATAGATAACATTACAATGATAACTGGAGATTTCAACACCCCATTTTCAGCACTGGAGAGGTCTTCTAGACAGAAAATCAATTAAAAAATTGTACTTTATCTGCACTGTAGATAGACCTAATTGACCTAATAGATATTTACCAAAGATTTCATCTAACAGCTGCAGAATACAAATTCTTTTTCTCAGCACATGTATTATTCTCAAGGACAGACCATATTTTAGGTCACAAAACAAGCTTAAAACATTTTTTTAAAAACCCTGAAATAATATCAAGCATCTTCTCTGACTACAATAGAATAAAACTAGAAATCAAGAACAAGAGGAATTTTGGAAACCATACAAACACATGAAAATTAAGCAATATGCTCCTGAATGACCAGTGGTCAATGAAGAAATTAAGAAGGAAATTGAAATATTTACTGAAACAAATGATAATGAAGAAACAATATGCCAAAACTTATGAGTCACAGCAAAACAGTACTAACAGGGAACTTTATAGCTATAAGTGCCTACATCAAAAATGAAGAAAAGCTTCAAATAAATAACCTAATAATACATCTTAAAAAACTAGAAAAATAGGAGCAAACCAAATCCAAAATTAGTAGAAGAAAAAAAAAGATCAGAGCAGAAATAAATGAAATTGAAATGAAGAAAACAATGCAAAAGATCAATGAAACAAAAAGTTGGTTTTTTGGAAAACATAAACAAAGTGACAAACCTTTAGCCAGACTAATGAAAAAAGAGAGAGGACCCAAATAAATAAAATCAGAGGTAAAAAAGGAGACATTAAAACTGATACCACAGAAATTCAAAGGATCATTACTGGCTACTATGAACAACTATATGCCAATAAATTTGAAAATCTAGAGAAAATGGATAAATTCCTAGACACAAGCAACCTACCAAGATTGAATTGTGAAGAAATTCATAACCCAGACACACTAATAACAAGTAACCAGATCAAAGTCATAATAAAAAGTCTCCCAGCAAGGAAAAGCCCAGGACCCGATGGCTTCATTGCCAATTTCTACCAAACATATAGGAAGAACTAGTACCAGTCCTACTCAAACTATTCCAGAGAATAGAGGAGGAGGGAGTACTTCCAAACTTTTTCTATAAGGCCAATATTAGCCAGATACCAAAACCAGAAAAAGACACATCAAATAAAGAAAGCTACAGGCCAATATCCCTAATGAATATTAATATAGAAATCCTCAACAAAATACTAGCAAACCAAGTTCAACAACACATTAAAAATTTTATTCACCATGACCAAGTGGGATTTATCCCAGGAGTGCAAGAAGGTTCAACATAAACAAACCCATCAATGTGATACACCATAGCAACAGAATGAAAGACACAAACTATATAATCATTTTTCTTGAAGCTTAAAAGCATTTGATAAAATTCAACATCCCTTCATGATGAACCCCTGAAAAAACTTGGTATAGAAAGAATCTACTTCAACATAATAAAAGCCATATGGGCCGGGCACAGTGGCTCACACCTGTAATCCCAGCACTTTGGGAGGCCAAGGCGGGTGGATCACGAGGTCAGGAGATCGAGACCATCCTGGCTAACATGGTGAAACCCCATCTCTACTAAAAAATACAAAAAATTAGCTGGGTTTGGTGGCACGCAGCTGTGTTCCTGGCTGCTCAGGAGGCTGAGGCAGGGTAATGGCGTGAACCTGGGAGGCGGAGCTTGCAGTGAGCCGAGATTGTGCCACTGCACTCCAGCCTGGGTGACAGAGCAAGACTCCATCTCAAAAAAATAAAATAAAATAAAATAAATAAAAGCCATATATTACAGGCCCACAGGTAGAATCATACTGAATTGGGGGCAGGGTGCGGGGAGCAGCAGAAAGACTTTCCTCTAAGATCAGGAACATGACAAGGATGCTGCTCTTACCACTGTTATTCAACATAGTACTTGAAGTCCTAGCTACAGTAATCAGACAAGAAAATAAAATAAAATCATCCAAACTAGAAAGAAAGCTGTCAAATTATCCTTGTTTACAGATGATATGATTTCATATTTGGAAAAACCTAGACTCCACAATAAAACTATTAAAAATGATAAACAAATTTAGTAAAGTTGCTGGATACAAAAATCAACATATAAAAATCACTAACACTTCTATATGTCAACACTGAACAATCTGAAAAAGAATTTAAGAGACTAATCCCATTTACAATAGCTACAAATAAAATAATATACCTAGGAATAAACTTAACTAAAAAAGTTAAAGATTCCAGCAATGAAAACTATAAAACATTGAAGTATGAAATTGAAGGGGACACCAAAAAATGAAAAAGATATTCCATGTTCATGGATTGGAAGAATCAATATTGTTAAAATGTCCATACTATCCAAAGCAATCTACAAATTCAGTACAATCCCTATAAAAATACAGATGCTATTGTTCACAGAAATAGAAAAAAAAATCAATCTCAAAATGTATAAGGAACCACAAAGCACCCAGAATAGCTAAAGCTATGCTAAGCAAAAAGAACAAAGTTGAAATAATCACATTACCTGACTTCAAATTATACTATAGAGCTATAGTAACCAAAACGGCATAGTACTGACCTAAAAACAGACACACAGGTCAACAGAATAGAATAGAGATTCCAGAAAAAAAAAATCCAAATGTCTACAATGAACTCATTTTGACAAAGGTGCCAAACCATACATTGGAGAAAGGACAGTATCTTCAATAAATGGTGCTGGGAAAACTGGATATTCATATGCAGAAGAATGAAACTAGAACCCTATCTCTTGCCATACACAAAAATCAAACTAAAATGAATGAAAGACTTAAATTTAAGACCTTAAACTATGAAACTATTACAAAAATACATTGGTGAAACTCTCCAGGATATTGAACTAGGCAAAGATTTCTTGAGTAATACCCGACAAGCACAGACAACTAAAGAAAAGTGGACAAATGGGATCATATCGAGTTAAAAAGTTTTTGCACAGCAAAGGAATCAACAAAGTGAAGAGTGAATCCACATAATGGGAGAAAATATTTGCAAACTACCCATATGATAAGGGACTAATAACCATAATATATAAGGAGCTCAAACAACTCTATAGGAAAAAATATAATAACCTGATTTTAAAATGGACAAAAGATCTTAATAGACATTTCTTAAATAAAGGCATACAAATGACAAACAGATATATGAAAAGATGCTCAGCATCATTTAATATCAGAAAAATGCAAATCAAAACTACAATGATATTTGTTTAAATGGTTTTTACCCAAAAGACAGGCAATAACAAATGCTGGCATGGATGGGGAGAAAAGATAACACTTGCACACTATTGGTGGAAATGTAAATTATTACAACCACTATGGAGAACAGTCTGGATATTCCTCAAATAACTAAAAATAGAGCTACCATAAATCCAGCAATCCAACTACTAGGTATACATGCAAAGGAACAGAAATCAATATATCAAAGAGATATCTGCACTCTCATGTGTACTGCAGAACTATTCCTTATAGCCAAGATTTGGAAGCAACCTAAGTGTATGTTAACAGATGAATGGATTAAACAATGTGGTACATATATGCAATGGTGTACTAATCAGCCAAAAACACGAATGAGAGTGTGTCATTTGCAACAACATGGATGGAACTGGCAGTCATTATGCTAAGTAAACTAAGCCAGGCACAGAAAGACAAATTTTGCATGTTCTTATTTATTTGTGGGAATTAAAATTGAAAAGAACTGAAATCACGGAGATAGAGAGTAGAAGGATGGTTACCAGAGGCTGATAGTGATGGGGGTTTTTAGTGAGAAAGTGGGGATTACTAATGAGTACAAAAAAATAGTTGTAAACTATGAATAAGACCTAGTATTTTATTGCCCAATAGGGCAGCTATAGTCAATAACAATTTAATTGTACATTTCAAAAATAACTAAAAGTGTATAATTTGTTTGTAACACAAAGGATAAATGTTTGAGGTATTGATACCCCATTTACCCTGATGTCATTATTACACATTGTATGCCTGTATTAAAACGTCTCATGTGCCCCATAAATATATATACCTAGTATGTACCTTCCAAAATTTTTAAAATGTAAACAATGAACATTTCTGATTCATTATAGGAATTCAAAATATCAACATTAACAAGATTTTGGAAGAAGCGATTTTTATACTCATGGATTACCTTGAGGGGTTCAAGACTTTAGTGGGGGAAGTAACGGCAGATGGCATGAAACTAGCAAGATAACTAAAATTAGAAGCAGAGCCTAAATATGTGACTGGTTCACTACAATCTCATAATAAAACTTCAATGTAGGAAGGGTTGCTTGTTATGAACAAAAAAGAAATGGTTTCTTGGGAAGGAATATTCTCATGGTTAGGATGCTGTGAACATTGTTGAAATTATAGCAAAGGATTTAGAATATTACATAAAGTTAGCTCAGAAGGCAAGTCAGTGTTTGAGAGAGTTGACTCTAATTTGGAAAGCAGATCTACTGTGGGTAAAATAGTATCAAACAGCTCTTTGCAAGCTACACTGAAATCTTTCATGAAAGGAAGAAGTAATCAATGTAACAAACTTCAGTCTGGTCTTATTTTATAAAATTGCCACAGCCACCCCAACCTTAAGCAACCACCACCCTGATCAGTCTGCAACCATAAACGTGGTGGCAAGACCACCCAACAGCAAAAATATTATGACACCCTGAAGGCTCGGATGATTGTTAGATTTTTTTAAGAAATAGTGTTTTTAAATTAAGATATATCTATATCATTATTTAACATATAATGCTATTGCATATGTTTCAGACTAATATAAACAAAAATTTTATATGCATTAGGTAACCAAAATATTCATGCAATTCATTTTCTTGCAATATTAACTTTATTGTGAAAATGTGAAACTAAATTGCAATATCTTCAAGGTATGTGTGTACTTGACGCTTGAAAGAGTACCAGATAATAGTACAACTATGTTATTAACATCAACAGCGCCATTATTATTGTTAATAAATTTCAGAAGCATAAGTAATTACAAATGCTAGCAGATGTCAGTAACATCTATAAATCAGGGGTCTGATTGCACTTTTTTGTATATATGTCAATAGGTGATCCATTTGTTGTATTGTTATTATTTTTAATATATACTACCTGCTTGCAGATCTACCTTACTATCACTTTTGCTTTTAAATAGGAAATATTATATGTACATATATATCTCACATGTCATACATATCATGTCATATATTATGTATGTGCATTATAGAGAGATGGAGATCTATATATGTGTATATATGCCACATAAATATATATGAGGTTTGTAAAAACAATGACCTTCACATCCATAGAATCAGCTTCCTAATCATTCCTATATCATAGCAGACTTTAAAAACTGTGATTTCTTCAGCTGCCTGGGATCAGCTGGGTGTTTGCTAAGCTGACTGAGTATGCACAAGAAGGTGGGGCGCTCTGGCTATTCTGGGCACCCAGATATATTTGCAATCTGACCATAATTTAGAATGTGGTGGAAACCCATAGAAAACATAATCTGAGGCAAAAATCCCTACCTCAACAGAAAGATAGAATAATAGACATTTTGAGTTAAGCTGCAGTTTTTTTTCTACAGTACTCTTTTCTTATGGTCATACAGCATTCACTTAAAGTCCAGTAGAAGCAAGGAGTTTGCAACTTTCTAGAGCAATTATTTTATTATTTAATAAGTGTATTCTGCAGAAAATTTCTTATTTTCAAATCTGCAACCCTCTTACATTTAACTTTCTAGTTCACCTTTCTGTTGTAACAACTCAGATAAACTCTGCTTTCTCTTCCACTTATGTAGTGGATATTTTGTATATTTTCTTGGCTGTTCAACATTTGAACTCTTCCTGTGTTTAGAGAATTCACTGAATTGTGAGGTTTTTAGGGGGTTGGGGAGAGGCACAGACAGAAATATTTATTCTCAGTCTTTCATAGCTCAACCAAACAGATGTGGTGGCTCTGAACTTTAAATCTGGTGCTGGTCACCCAAGAAAAGACACACCACAGACTATGCACTGTAGCAGGAAACAGTGGAGAGAGAGGTTGTAGGGTTGTGTTTCTAGGGATAGCAGTACAATAGAGCAGTGATAGTATTCAGAGTTCAGCCCCAGGATGAGGGCAGCACGAGCTGAGAGATCAGATGTCCACTGGGGTGGTAGTAGTGTGTGCTCATTGGACTGGTTTTGTGGGATGATTTGGGATAAAATCCTGGCTACTACTAAGCCTTTCCAAGCTTGGTTCTGCATCCTTGCCAGATTTTGTGGCTTTTGTGAGCTATCCAAAACCTTCATAATTTGCTTTTCTGTTTCAATTATTCAAAGTCCATTTCTGTTGCTTGCAACTAGCAACCCTGGCTGATGCAGCATGACAGCCATTCAAATAGTTGGAGATAGCTACTGTATCTTCCTTTGTCAGTTGTTCAGTCTTCTCCGGAAATATAAATAGCTAATACCTGTATTCTCAGCAACATGTATTGTTTGCATTGATATTAAAGTTTGGATGACTAACTATATTTTTAAGAAACTTTATAAATTTAAGAGTTTTGGAATTATTTCCAATCTGGTTGTGTGTGCACGTGAAAGGAGTTGGTTAACCTTAAATATGAAATATATACTATGCTATGATTTTAATGCTTTTGTCCCCTCCAAAACACATGCTGAAAGTTAATCCCCAATGCCACAGTGTTGAGAATTGAGACCTGCTATGAGGTGTTTAATTCATGAGTGCTGTATCCTAATGAATGAATTAATGCTACTATAGAAAAAACTTGAGAGAGTGAGTTCAGCCTCTTCTATACTTCTGCCATGTGAGGAACAGTGTTCTTCTCCTCTGAAGGATGCAGTGTTCAAGGCACCATCTTGGAAACAAAGACCAATCCCTTACCAGACACCAAACCTGTCAATGCCTTGATCTTGGACTTTCCAGCCCCCGGAACTGTGAGAAATAAACTTCTGTTCTTCTAAATTACACAGTTTGTGATATATTGTTATATCAACACAAAATAGACTAATACATAGTATATCCTCTTTCTGAAAGTTCCTACTCTTCTCAAAGGAGAACAGAATTTCACTGAGAATTATTCTTTCCTGGGGTATAGAGCTATGAAATAAGATGATACTGAAAACTATTATCCTAACAGTTAGCAATTAGGCAAGCAAAAATCGGAGAAAATTATAGGTTAATTGGAGTTCTCTGAAATTAAAGCATTGCTTATAAATTCTTTATGTAAACTTTAATTTAAAAATAAGCTAAAATAAATTATCTCAGAGCAAGATGGCAGAATAAGAGACTCCCTCACTCCTTTCCCTTCACAGTAACAATATTATCATAGTCATTTATAGACAAAAGCATCTCTGTAGGAGTGCTGAGATTCACATAGGAGGTTATAAAACCCTGGTAGGGCCCAAGTCCTAAGAGGGTCATTTTGAGAGAACAGGCTTATGCCCAGGTGGCAGGTGTGCTGACCTGGGCCTCAGTTCCATACAGGTAAATGAAACCATCTCCTTTGGGTTCAGTTACCACCCCATTTGGCCTTTGTCTTGCTGCCAATTTACGTATGAGGAGACATGCCCACGTGTGCCTCAGATGACAGACCCAGTAACCTTAGTCTCTACTATCAACCCTAAAATATCCCTGTAACTCAGCTCCAACCCTTTGTATCTGTTGTCTGAGAGCAGTTTTGCCTATCCAGGGACCCACCAGGAGATATCCCCATCCATGTCCCCACAAGAAGGCAAGGCAACATTGATATTGGCTGTGAACCTTGAAGCAGCCCTGTGACTCAGTTCTAGCCTGTCTCAACCATGGTCCAGGGTAGGTACTGCCTGATCTAGGACCCACCATTGACCCAGTGGGAGCCTTCCCAGGGACCTGGAGGAAGCCATATCTATCTATGTGAACCTAGTAACAGGACCATGAAATGAACATTTCTCCTAGTGGTAGCTCTACTGACCAAGGTTCTGGAGTCAGTCTAGTCCACCTGTGGACCAGATAGGATCAATGTCTACTTGAGTCCTTGTCAACAGGCTTTCAAACTGTGGTCTTCATGACAGACAGAGCAGCAGCTAGATGACCTAGCTCCAACTCCATGTGACCACTATCCTAGAGGCAATCCTAAGCCCGGGGACCCAACAGAAGAAGGTGTTACATACTGAAACTAGTCTGTAAAGTCAGTAAGAGGTGTTTGCTCCTTCCAATGCACAGACACCAAGCAGGGCTATGTGGATAATGAAGAATTAGGCAAACATGACACTACTAAACGAAACTAATAAAGCTCAAATCAGTGACCCCAAAGAAATGATTATCTACCAATTGCCTATAAAATAACTCAAAAGTATTATCTTAAAGAAGCTTAATGAGGCACAACAAAAACATAAACAGCTAAACAAAATTGGGAAAATAATGCATGAGCAAAAAGAAAAGTTTAATTTAAAAAAACCCATAAAAAAGAACCAACCAGAAATCTTATAACAGAAGAATACAATGATAAGACTGAAAAATTCAATAGAGACCTCCAGTAGCAGACTTGATCATGCAGAAGAAAAAATTAACGAAGTTGAAGACAGGTTAAAGGAATGAAAAATAGAATTAAAAGAGTGAAAAGAACATAAGAAGCCTATGGGACAATATAAAGCACATGAATATATAGATTATGGAAGTTCCAGGAAGAAAAGAGAGAAAGTGGCAAGAAACTAAATACTTAATGAAAAAATTTAAAACCTTGTAAAGATATATAGAAATCCAGATTCATTAATCTCCCCAAACAAGATCAACCCAAAGAAAAACAATCAGAGACACATTATAATCAAATTGCCAAAAGTCAAAGACAAAGAGAGAATCTTGAAAGAAGCAAGGAAAAATAGATTAATCACATATAATGAAACTCCCATAAGGCACTAACAGACTTCCCAGAAGAAACAGCAAGCTGAGAGTACAGTGGGATGATATATTCAAAGGGCTAATAGAAGAAATCCTACCAACCAAGAATGCTATACTTGGCAAAAATGTCCTTCAGAAATGAAGGAGAAATAAACACATTCTCAGACAAATAAAAGCTGAGGAGTTCATTTTGATGAGACCTAACTTATAAGAAATGCTACAAGGGGTGTATATATATATATATATATGTATATATATATATATACACATATATGTGTGTATATATATACACACACATATATATATATGTATATATACACACACACATATATATGTATATATATATTCACCTAACATTGGAGTACCTTAAATATGTAAAGCAAATATTAATATTAATAGATCTGAAGAGAGAAATAGGCCATAATACAATAATAGTAAGGGACTTCAATATCTTACCTTCAACAATGGATAGATCATCCAAAAAGAAAATCAATAAAGAAGCAGTATTCTTTTTTTTTTTTTTTTGAGACAGAGTCTCGCTCCATCATTCAGGCTGGAATGCAGTGGCATGATCTTGGCTCACTGCAGCCTCCGTCTCCCAGGTTCATGCCATTCTCCTGCCTCAGCCTCCCGAGTAGCTGGGACTACAGGTGCCTGCCACCACGCCTGGCTAATTTTTTTGTATTTTTAGTAGAGTCGGGGTTTCACCGTGTTAGCCAGGATGGTCTCGATCTCCTGACCTCGTGATCCGCACACCTTGGCCTCCCAAAGTGCTGGGATTACAGGTGTGAACCACCGCACCTGGCCAAAGAAGCAGTAATCTTAACTAATACTACAAACCAAATTGACCTAACAGACACACAAAGAACATTCCATCCAACAGCAGCAGAATACACATTCTTCTCAAGTGCACACAGAACATTCTCCAGGATAGATCATATATCATGCCACAAGTCTTAACATATTTAATAAGACAAAAATCATATCGAGTATCTTTTCTGAAAACAGTGGTATAAAACTAGCAATCAATACCAGGAGGAATTTTGGAAAATTTGCAAATAGGTGGAAAGGTAAAAACACACTCGTGAAAAATGAATGAGTAAAAGAAGATATCAAAAGGAAAATTTAAAAGTATATTGAGGCAAATGAAAATGAAAATGCAACATACCAAAACTTATGGGATGCAGCAAAAAAATAGTTCTGAAGAGTAAGTTTATAGTGATAAATGCTTCCATTAAGAAAAAGGTAGATCTTACCAAACACCACCTGTTCCCCCCAAAATATTGAAATGTAAAAAAATTACAACTTAAATGATCAAACTGGACACACACAAAAAAAACAACAAAAAAGTGAAAGATCTCAAATAATCTAACTTCACACTTGAAGGAATTAGAAAAAGAAGAACAAACTAAGCCCAAAGTCAGCAGAAGGAAGAAAATAAAAAATCTCAGTAGTAATAAATTTTACAGAGAATAGAAAGGCAGTAGAAAGATCAATAAATTGAAGAGTTCATTTTTTTGAAAAAGTTATCAAAATGGACAAACCTTTAGCTAGACTAACAAAAATAGAGAGGGAACTCAAATAAATAAAATTGTAAACTAAAGAAGACATTACAATTGATACCAAAGAAATACAAATGATCATGAGATTACTATGAAGAATTCTATGCTGAAAAAGTGGATAACCTAGAAAAAAGATACAAATTCCTAGAAACATACAATTTACGTAGGCTGAATCACAATGACATAGAAAATAAGAAAAGACCAGTAACAAGTCAGGAAGTCAAATCAATAATAAAAAGTCTTTCATCAATGAAAAGCTCAGGACCAGAAGTATAATTCATGAGTGAATTATACTAAAAATTTAAAGAAGAATTAATGTCAATCCTTTTCAAACTCTTCCAAAAATTTGAAGTGGAGGTAACACCTTCAAACTCCTTTCATGGGACCAGCATTATCCTTACACCAAAGACAGATAAGGACACCGCAAGAAAAAAAATTAGAGACCAATATCCCTGATGAACATTGATGCAACAATCCTCAACAAAATACTAGCAAATCTAATCCAGTGCCACATTAAAAGGAGTATATACCCCATAATCAAGTGGGATTTATTCCTGGGATGTAAGCATGGTTCAACATATGGAAATCCAAAAATGTCATTCTCCACATTAACAGAACGAAAGGCCAAAACCATATGATTATCTCAGTAAAAGATAAAATGTTCAACAAAGTTCAATATCCTTTCAAGATTAAAAAGAAGCTTCTCAACAAATTAGGTATAGAGGGAATGTATCTCAACACAGTAAAGGCCCTATAACACAAGCCCACATCTAAAATACTCAAGAGTGAATAGTTGAAAGCTTTTCCTCTAAGATCAGGAAAAAGATGAGAGTATAATTTTTTGGCTGTGCACATTGGCTCATGGCTGTAATCCCAGCAATTTGGGAACTCAAGGCAGAAGGATTGCTTGAGGCCAGGAGTTTGAGCCCAGGCTGGGCAACATAGTGAGACAATATCTCTACAAAAAAAAATATTAAAAATTATCTGGGTGTGGTGGCAAATGCCCATAGTCTCATATACTTGGAAGGCTGAGGTAGGAATATCACATGAGCCCAGGAGTTAAGGTTGCAGTGAGCTATGATTTTGCCACTGCACTCCAGCCTGGGTGACAGAGTGAGACCCTGCCTATAAGAAGAGAAAAGAATAGAAAAGAAAAGGAAAGGAGGAGAGGAGAGGAGAGGAGAGGAGGAAGGAAAGGAAAGGAAAGGAGAGGAGAGGAGAGGAGAGAAGAAAGAAAAGAAAAGAAAAAGACAAAAGAAGAAAGAAAAGAAAGAAAGAAAAGAAAGAAAGGAAGAAATAAAGAAAAAGAAGAGAAAAAAGAAAAGAAAGAAAGAGAAAGAAAAGGAGGGAGGGAGGGAGGAAGGAAGGAAAAGAAAGAAAGAGAGAAAGAGAAACAAAGGGAAGGAAGGAAGGAAGGAAAAGAGTACCAACTATTGACATTTCTGCTCAACATAGTACTGGAAGTCCTAGCCAGGACAATTAGATAAGAGAAAAAATAAAAGGTATCAAATAGGAAAGGAAGAGGTTAAATTATTTCTGTTTGCAGATGACATAATCTTGTATGCAGAAAGCCCTAAGGAATGAAATGATTAGAACTAATGAACAAATCCAGTAACGTTACAGGATCTGAAATCAAGATACAAAAATCTGCAGTGTTTCTACATAATAACAATGAACTATCCAAAAAAGAAGTTAAGAAAACCATCATGTTTATAATAGCATCGAAAGAATAAATTGCTTAGGAAGTAAGCTAACCAAGGATGTTAAAGATCTGTACACTAAAATTTATAGAGTATTGATGAAACAATTGAAGAAGAAGATATAAACAAATGGAAAGAAATCTGTGTTCATGCACTAAAATAATTACTATTGTTAAAAAGTCCATGCTGCCAAAAGCGATCTACTGATGAAGTTCAATTCCTATCAAAATTTTGATATAAATACAAAAAAAATTCTAAAATGTATATAACATCACAAAAGATCCCAAATAGCCAAAGCAATCTTGAAAAAAAATAACAACACTTAAGGTATCACACTCCTTGATATTAAATTATATGTTACAACAATAGTAATCAAAACAGTATAGTAATGGCATAAAAACTGACACATAGACCAATGGAACAGAAAAGAGATCCCATAAATAAGCCTATGTATATATAGTCAACTAATCTTTGACAAGAGTGCCAAGAATACACAATGGGGAAGTGATTGTCTCTTCAATAAATGGTGCTGGGAAAACTGAATATTCATTGCAACTGAATATGAAAAAGAATAAAATGTTTGTCTTATACCATATAGAAAAATTCACTCAAAATGAATTAAATGATTAAGTGTAAAATCTGAAATCATAAAAATTCTAAAAGAAGACATAGAGTAAAAGCATTTTGACATTAGTTTTGACAATTTTTTTTTTGCTATAATCCCCAAACCATGGCAAGAAAAGCAAAAAGAGACAAATGCGATTACATCAAACTAAAAAGCTACTGCACAGCAAAGGAATCAATCAACAAAGAGACAGCTTATGGAATGGAAGAAAATATTTACAAGCTGTATATGGGGTAAAGGTTAATATCCAAAATATTTAAAGAACTACACAACTCAGTAGCAAAAAATAATAATAATCCAACTTAAAAATTGGCAAAGGGGCCAGACACAGTGGTTCACACCTGTAATCCAAGCACTTTGGGAGGCCGAGGCAGGTGCATCACTTGAGGTCAGGAGTTCAAGACCAGCCTGGCCAAAATGGTGAAACCCTGCCTCTACTAAAAATATGAAAATTAGACGGGCATGGTGGCACATACCTGTAATCCCAGCTACTCAGGAGGCTGAGGCAGGAGAATCACATAACCCTGGGAGGCAGAGGTTGCAGTGAGCTGGGATCACATCTCTGCCCTCAGGCCTGGGTGACAGAGCAAGACTCAGTCTCAAAAAACAAAAAACAAAAACAAAACAAAACAAAAAATGGGCAAAGGATCTGAATAGACATTTCTTCAAAGACATAAAAATGGCTGTGGCTAAATGGAAAGGTACTCAAGATCACTAATCATCAGGACATGCACATTGAAACAACGAGATATCTCATATCTGTTAGGATGACTATTATAAAAAAGATAAGAGATCAGTGTTGGTGAGGATGTAGAGAAAATTCTAGTGTACTGTTGATGGGAATGTGAATTGGTATAGACATTATGTAAAACAGTATGGAGTTTCCTCAAAAAAAATCAACATAGAACTATAGTATGATTCATCAATCCCACTTCTGTGTACACTGTACAACCATAGGAAATGAAATTGGTATCTGGAAAATTATCTTCACCCCCATATTTATTGCAGCACTATTCACAGTAGCCAAGATATAGAAACAACCTAAGTGTCTATCAGTGGTTGAATGTGTAAAGAAAATGTGGTATATACATACCTTGAAATATTATTCAATCATAAAAATAAGGAAATCTTGCCATTTGCAATAGCACTGATGAACCTGTAGGACACTATCCTAAGTTAAATAATCTACACACAGAAAGAAAAACACTGTATGATGTCATTCATACGTAGAATCTAAAAAAGTCAAACTCATAGAAACAGTAAAGTGTTGGTTTCCAGCATCTGGGTGTGTGGAAGTGGGTAATGGGGAGATGTTAGTCAAATACTACAACCTTTCAGTTATAAGACGTGTAAGTTCTGGGGATCTAATGTACCATATGGTAACTAGAGTTAATAATATTGTAATATGTTTACTTCAAATTTTAGAAAAGAGCAGATTTTAAGTATCCTTACTACACACACACACACACACACACACACACAAACACACACACACACACCAAATGTATTAGTCTGTTTTCACACTGCTATAAAGATAGTACCCAAGAGTGGGTAATGTAGAAACAAAGGAGGTTTAATTGATTCACAGTTCTGCATGGCTGGGGAGGCCTCAGGAAACTTGCAATCATGGCAGAAGGGGAAGCAGGCACTGTCTTCACAAGGTGGCAGAAGAGAGTGTGAGTGTGTGAAGCAGGAACTGTCAAACACTTATAAACCCGTCAGATCTCATGAGACTCACTCACTGTCATGAGAACAGCATGGGGGAAACTGCACCTACCTCCCTCGACACATGGGGATTACACGTCCCTCTCTCAACATGTGAGGATTACCATGCGAGATGGGATTTGAGTGGGGACACAGAGCCAAACCATATCACCAAGTAATGATGGGCGGTGATGGATGTGTTAATTTGACTGTGGTAATCATGACACAATATATATCTATATAAAATCATAATGTTATACCCCTTGAATATATACAATTTTCATTTGTCAGTTAAATATTTTAAAATTTAAAAATTAGCTTTGTATTAAAAAATAAGCTTTATTACAAATGTCTTTTGTGACCTTCAATAATATGGGTGCTTTACATAAGATTTCTAATACCTCTAGGTAGGTTTAAATTCAACTTTCGGATAAGGAAACTGAGTCTCAGAAAGGCTGAACAATTTGATTGTCAGTCAGATGCTGATGGGGGATTGATTCCCCACGTGTTTAAGACTCCAAAGCTCTTCCCTCCCACTATGCCCCATTGCTTCCTAAATGTGATAAACTTTTTAAATTACTGCTCATATAAAACATAAACTAAAATACATTATCATAATCAATATCATTTCTTAACAAGCTAAATATACCGTTATAATGGTATATGTATGGCTATGTGTAACACTAAGATATTTTGGAACCATTTATATGTACAATTGTCAGACATGAATTTACGCACAGGCATGCTAAGGCATAAAATCTTTAAAGTGCCCCTGAAAATTCAACAAATCAACAAAATGGAATGAGAACACAAGATCAAAACCTTTTTACAGACATAGCTTTATATATAATATATATTTTTACAACCATGAGTGCCTTAAATTGCTTTAAAGGAAGCCACATTTATTAAAAAAGATATTTTTAAGTTTTAAAGGGATAAAACACGTCCTTTAAAATTAAAGTTACCTTTACAATTTCAAATGATGCAAAGCAAAGAATTTCAGAAAAAGAAGTAAACACTATGTGGCTGTTTTGTATAAACTATGACCTTAAATGGTCACAACATCAGAAAACTTTGTCATAATACTGACTGTTAGGGACTAAATGAGTGACCAAGGGTAATTTATTAATTTAATTAAGTCTCTTTGAACTTCAGCATTTTTATCTGCAAAATTAATGGGTTAAGCTCACCGTAACCTTAAACTCCAGGGCTCAAGCAATCCTCCTACCTCAGCCTCCTGAATAACTAGGACTACAGGCATGCACCAACACACCTGGCTAATTGTTTTAATTTTTTATTTTTGTAGAGACAGGATCTCCTTATGTTGCCCAGGCTGATCTCAAACTCTTAGTTTCAAGCAATACTCCTGCCTGGGCCTCCCATATGGTATTTTGTTATAGCAGCTGAAGGGACTAAAACATTACCTCTTAGACCCCTCCTTAACCTTCCTTTATTAATCTGGGGTCTTTCTGAGACTGGACATATGTGAAAATTAAACTTCTCATGTGAAGGTATATTTTTAAATACTTCAGACATCTAAAAAGACAAAAATGTTACGTAGTCTGAAAAATGTGATGTAACTTTAGATTTAGAGTTTACAAAGTGAGTCCTATGGAGTCTTGCTCAAAGTACTCATAGATGTTAAATCTAAATACAGTTCACTATATATTCTATACAGATTTAACTATACTACATCAGCGGTGTATATTTAATTCCAAAGCTGTTCTAACAACAATATCACATACAAATTAAAATCAGGTTTAACATAGTATAACACACAACACAAATCTTTATGTGTGTGTGTGTGTGAATGGACCTAAAATCAATTTTCACTCACATTAAAAGGCTTAAAATCAACTCCAGACCATTTTTTTCATCTCTTCTAGACTATTCCTAGCAATTTAAAAAAAAAAATTGCTGATTTATTTTTCTACTAGAAATTGGAGCTTATTTTTCCTCAGTCTCAGAGTTTTCATAACAATTGACATTTGGAACTATAAGTTGAAGATAGACTATCTATCTATAGCCAGATGCTAAAAATTATGAACAATTTATATATTTTTTAAAATACTGTTTTGAAAACAATTTTGAAAATTTGAAAAAATAGTTTTGAAATATATATAAATAATTTTTTATTTACCTAGATTTAACCTTTGAACAAATCACTTCCTTTATGTGATATATAAATATTGTTCAATTTCTAAAAATAAATTATTGTTGCTTGACAAAACTATAGTTAAATATCCAGTATCTCTATGTAGAAAGAAAGTGTACATGAAATTGGAAAGAGATCGCGGAACGATTATATGCTTGATGAAAAACTATATTTTGAAAACTATATTTTGAAGAAACCAGTATACATATAGTGAGGCATCACTCTGGATTTGGCCTTAGCAGCAGCAGTGACAGCCAGGGTTGCAAACAAGGGAGAGATAACAGAGATGTTGACAATAAGTGACAACTTTTCTCTCATACTAGGATCTTTTATTTTAGAAACCATGCCAAAATTTGTATCAATATCTCAAATATTTTCACTTTAGTAGTTTGGATTTAGACTTCATTCATTCCAAGAAAGACTCTTTTTAATTAATTTATTAGAGTACAGTAGTGCGCTACCCCATCTGCAGGGGACATGTTTCAAGACCCCCCAGGTGATCCCTGAAACTGAGGATAATATCTAACCGTATGTTTTTCCTATACATACATACCTATGATAAACTAATTTATAAATTAGGCACATTAAGAGATTAACAATAATTAATAATAAACTAGAACAATTATAACAACATAGTGCAATCAAAGTTATGTGAATAGCGTCTCTCTCAAAATATCTCGTAATGTTTTCAGACCAAGGTTGACCACAAGTAACTGAAACTATAGAAAGTGAAACTGTGGATAAGGAGAGACTACCGTATTGTTTCCAGAAATTTTCATGTGTCTCACAAGAGTTTATAGGGCTCTGGTATATGTATCACTGATTTAAAGTAATACTATTTATATAGTACTTATCTCGAAGTTATTTTTAATGTTTATCTCTTACATTTGAGCAATTGTTGGAGAAGAAGAAATTCTTATTTCTATTTTTAGAGGTGTGGAAAGCCGATAGACATGAATCTTAATTGATTTGCCAAAGGTCAGATAGCAAGTCAAAGGCAGTTCTTGGCCCAGAACTCTAATTTGCTGAAATCAGCTCTGTTACTAATTACATATATGTATTGCTCAATTGATAACTATATTCTTCTATTGCCTCTGAGAATGTAAGCAACACTTAGATCTTATTTTACTTGCAAATGGTCAATCAATGAATCATTCAATAAATATCATTTAATAAAATTTAGTATTTTGGTATAACCAACTTCTGGCTGTGCAATTACATAGGTTAAGTATAGAAATAATTATAGGTGGGATACAAAAAGAACTTTTCCTTTCAGTAGAGAGCCTACTTGCAGAATCAGGTAGATGAAATGTCACTTTTATGTATTATTATTTACAACTGTGGACATCCTGTGATCCAGCAACTAAAATGTAAACAGTGGCCAGCGTGCCGCAGTCTGTACTCCAGCATTGTGGCCAATCAGGTACCAGATGTTCAGTATTTCTAATATATTACAGAGTCCCTATAGACTTCATAGCATCCCCTTCCTTGTTCGCACCTTTTCTTTAGGCAGATCTGTCTCCTCTGCCCCAGTGTTTCTAAAATTCCTCTCTCTGAGGACTAAAGATTTTTCTCCTATAATTAGTGACAGCATAATAGCAAATAACTCAGGTAAATTTGCCACACCACATACTATGCATAAATTATTATTAGAGGTATTTCCCCCAAATATCAGAGTTTGATGCACTGTAGCAGGGAAAATAGAGAAATATTAAGCAAAAATGTGGAGGAGGTTAAAAAAAAATAGCTGGGGATACTAAAGATGCGTTTTCCATTTTCTGGGAGTACTGCTTGGTGATGTTCACTGAGACTGAGGAACATGAGTTAGTACAGTGACTCGTGGATTCAGGTGAAGAAGGTAAGTAAAGAAGAAAGTGAAAGCCAGCAGAACCAGCTTCCCAGCTAGGACTCTGCAGTAGGCATAGGAAGAGGAACATTGGATGCACATTCAAGTCTTGAGTTGCAATACAGCTTTAGAAATAGAGGTGATTCGAGTGATTTTTAGAACATCTGCAAGAATAATTTCACTGGTTTCTAATGACATGGCTTGATAAGAAAAAGATTAGACAGTATTATTTTCATGATGAGCTTCATATAATTATCTCTATGCTTGTACTCTGGTTCATATTATATACTGTGATCTTTATGAAATATGATTATGGCTAGCCCTAGCAATATGATTTCCCACTTTCCTGCATGAGCTACACATGTTCTTTCCAGGTCCACAGAACCTAATATATTCAGTCATGTAGTGTTGCCACCTTTCTTCACTACCCTTATTTATTTTATCTTATTTTTTTTGTAAGCAACAGAAATTTCACTTTTGCATTATATGACTCCCCCCACCCCGGGTCATTAATTGAAAACATAAACAAAAATGCATATATTTCTGAAATTTACGAACACTCTTAGTATATCCTTTTTCTAAATCACCCAGCTTTTATTCACTGTGTTTCATTTCCTGCTTTTGCTCTTTTGTTTTTAAGAAAATATAAGAAAATGCAGTTCAGTTAGTGTGGTAGGGTTTGGCAGAAAAGAGTATAAAAATTAAAAATTAGAGAAATAATCTGGTCAAGTCATTTTGAAGTTTACTTCATTGTTCCACCTCTAAACTCTGGTAAGTATACTCCTTTTATTTGAAATACCTGTCCTCACTTCTTCACTTGGTTAACATCTGTTTTCTTCTATGCCCCATTCACTCCTTGACTTGACCATGGCTGTGTTATATACTTCCTTCAGTAGTTCTGGACACCCTGGGCTTTACACTATTTTAGCCTCAATCACATTGTTGTCATTGCCATTAGATTGGGGATTACTTCAGGGCAGTAATAACGTGTTTGCATATTTTTATTGTTAAATCTTACAGTTTGGTCTAGGAAATTCAATAGACATTTGTAAGAAGCAAAGAAGGAAGGGAGATAGAGAGGGAGGAATGGCAAAAGGAAAAGAAACTGTAGTTTCTAAGTGGTTAAAAAACATTAAGTAATAATGTTTGTCCCTTAGATTTTAACTCCACAATCTTGTGACTATTTACATTGTTTTTATTTGTTCATAGAAATGTAGCTAGAGGTTGGTGGAAGGAGCAGTTGCTTATTCTAAGCGCATCCTCAGAAAGTGGAGTGTTTTTAATTTTTGTTTTTAAAAATGATGTTCTGACATGATAGTTGGTAAGACAGTGATGAAAAGGCCTGAGCTGAATCAGTGTGAAATCCAGACCTTGAGACAGGAGAGAGTGACTCCTCTAACAGCCTTCTGTCTTGCTAGCATGTTGGATGCAGTATGTGTTTCATAATTGCAGCTTGATGATGGCAGTGATAATAAAAGTAATCATCAGGACAATAATTTCCAAAAATCTTTCCTTTCCATTTCACAGTACACATTCCCTTGCATTTAGGGGCAGTTTCGTTTTATTTTTGTTTACTCTTCCACTATTTCACTTAATGCAGACAAATTCTAGAGGCACTGTCTCTAATAAATAACGTAAGAAATTTAGAAGCAGTAAGTGAACTCCATTTTCACCTGTGCAGAATAGCTCAAAAATGCTCTATTTCTGTGAAAATGTCAATTATTTTTGAATTATCAAGCTTATGTTAACTGTTCACCAAATTCTGTATTTCTATAAAAGCAAAATGATGGTCTGATGGTCAGCACTATCTGCTTTTCAACCATGACTCAGATTATTGCTGGCTAGATTTCTAAAGATCCCAAAGATTTCTTTTAAACAACTAGTCCTAGAACAGCTACCAGCCCTGATTCTTCAGTCTCCTTCTGAACAAGCTATCAAGAAATGCTGCTGAAGGCATTTCCTGTTTCCTTTCCACTTCTTTAAGATTTCTATGACGTACTTAATCTGGGTCTTGTGCCCTGTCAACTTTTAATAGTTCTAATTGCTCAACTATCTACTCTTGTGTGATCATAAAATCCTTTTAACATTCCACTTTTCCCCTCAAGAAAATGTATCCAGTTTCCGGGACGTGACCTTCAGCTTCATTGGAAAATACGCAGGCAGAGAATTCATTCAGGCTTTCGACTACTGCAGCCTCATCCGTCCCTGCCTTCCCACTCATCCGCTTAATGGCCCTATGGATGCCTGGCTAGGTTGTATGCTTTTACAGTATAAAAGAAGTTTGCCCTCCAATTTGGTAATTTCGGTACCTCTTTTTCTCCCCTGGGTCCTTTTTAGAGTTCCCTTTCAAGTATTGAGGATTTGATTTTCTATTCCTTTAAAAATTGTGGATCCTGATAAAGGAAGGGGGAGGCTTTTCTGTGCTACATCTTTCTAGAAGCTTTACTTTTCTACTTTGGTCTTGTAAAATGCTAAACAAATTTATCACTTATTAGTGGGAATGGTGTTTTGGGTGATACCGTGTTTATAAAAACCACTTCCCTGCTATTTACCCTGAACTTAATTCAGTGGCTTGTCTTTTTCTGAATTAATGATTATATGCTGTATTTTATTTTGTCTTCCTACACTTCCTTCTTGTCTCTAAACACCTCTAGCTTCTATTTGGGATTAAATCATATGCTTAATGAGATTTAATCACGGCTTCCTATACTCTCCTTTGAACCCTAAATATTATTTAATTCTAAACCTAGCATTCTTTCCTCCCTTTTCGGGTGATGTACACATTAAATTAGAAATCAGCTTTGCACCAGATCCAGCCTCACTTCCTCCACTTGATGTAATCCTGTGCTATGGCAAGATAATTAAAATCTTCCACTGTTACTACCCTGCCCTTTTCTTGCTCTGTCCATGCGTGTGTGTGTGTGTGTGTGTGTGTGTGATATTTGCAGTTCATTTCTGCCAAGACAGCCTATAACATTACTGTTATCACATTTTCAACCAATTTATAATACATTACTCCTGTCCTTCATCATAGCTTATTTCAGAAACCTATCATTCAGGAATTATCAAGTTTTCCCCACAAACAAAGAAGCATCTTTTTTTTGTTTTTGTTGATTCTCACAAATATGAGTACCTAATACAAGGTAGTCATTAAAAGGTTTATAAAAGCCTCGGAATTAATGTACTGACATTAACAAGGTTTTGTTAAGCAATAATTGACCACTTTATGTACGCAATTACACATGGTGGCTAGGAAATTATTATGATATATGCACCCGTCGCATGTGTGCTCATGACCTTATAAAATGGCCGCATATTTTAAAAAGAAGCAGAGCCCTGCATATAAAGGAAATTTTGAAAATCTAGGAGCAGTCTTTGGATTGTTTGCTGCCACTGCTTCTAGGCAACAGGCAAGAGATGTTTACAATCTGGGCTCTCCCCTGCCCCCACCTCTAGGAGCTTTTCATCTGCTGCTGCTGCTGCTGTTGATAGAACTACAAGACCCAGTGCCTCAGAGTGCCCCTCCTCCACCTCGCTTCAATCTCCTGGAGCCCAGCTGTTAAGGCCTATCTAGCTAATCACCCCCTTTACCACAAGGTTCTTTTGTGGAAGTTAATGTCATGTTCAGAGAGGACAGTGCTGCAGGGAGAGCAGAGGATTTGATTTCTCACTTTACCTGTGAGAAAAACAGCATGTGGAATAAGGTGCCTCTCTTGTCCTTGATGCTTGACTTCATTGTCACTCACCTTCTGCTGCCTTGGCGTAGCCCAGAGAAGTGGGATCTCGGTTCTCCAGCTGAGAGTTGAACTTAGAATAAAGACCTTTGACCCTGGCTTCACAAATAGTCTTTCTTAAAGAGGATGCTCACATTTTCCAAAAAGATAAAGAGAAAGGAACATGATTTTAATTTACTTTCTAAAAACACATGCAACCTTCACTTGTTTAAGAAATGGAGGGGGTAGAAATTTAAGAAAATGAAAATGATAGAAGAATATCCAATTCTGAAGCTAACTTATTTTTGGCCTTAGGAAACAAGCTTTAATTTTTTTTTTTTTATCTTGTGAAAGGCAAGAGGAAGGTATTTGCAAAAGGAAGGAAAGATATGTATTTGCGTATTGAGAGAAATAAAATTTGGGGACTGGGGCTGTTAGGCCAAGGTTACTGTTTCAGTTGCCAGGAAACCTATATATCTTGTTTTGATACTACCCAGAGATGGCTGAGGCTGACCAAGTAGAATGGCAGCTGAATTTTGAACATGTCAGCCCGGCAAAGTCTGAGTGACAGTCTTTAGGGATGTTGTAGAAGGCCTTAATTTCTCCACTTGAGGGGAGGATAGACTAGATCCTCTCTTAAGAGTGCTTTTAATCCAACTTTCTCTGATTAACGATGACCTCAGTGTATCATGCACAGTCAAATGGAGAGGTCTTCTAGTCTATTTATCATGAATCCAGACTCCAGGATCTGATGCTTTTGTTCTAACCCTGGCTCTATTGCTTTTCTTCAGTTTCTTTATCAGTAAAGTGGAGATGATACCTCATAGAGTTATTATATGATTTAATGAGATAATACTCATAAATCAGAACAGAGCTTGGAACACAGTAAGCACTTGAGAAGTGGTAGCTATTATAATTAACATCTTTTTGATGAATTAAAGGAAAGAATTGGTAATTAAAATTCATCTTCATGTTATTTCCTATATTACTATCACCTATATTACTATATTTCCAATATTACTATATTACTATACTATATTCCTATATTAGTAATATAGGAAATACTAACAAAATTTGGTTAGTATTTAATATTATTGGGCCAAACATTTTCCAAACTCTATCTATAAATTAGAAGTGAATCCAACTTAAAAATTATTCTTAAAAAAATGTGTTTAAATGTAGACATCTATGTTCCTTAATGAGATCAGGTTGGTAACTGCAATTCTTATGTCTGTGGATCCTTGTTTCCTTCAGACTCTCAAAAGAATATTAATAACTAACATCTGTTTAGTATAAGATGAGTTGGCGAATATAATCACATTTGATCCTCAACCTAGACCTTAAAATAATGTCATGGTTATCCTCATTTTACATAGTGGAAATTAGACTCACTGGGGTTAAATGATTCTTCTGATTTTCCTTTTTTAAATCATGTTCTTTTCTCACTATGTGCTTGTGGTTCTATCACAGAAGACGAGGCATTGAGTAGAGATAGATGGAAAAGACGGGGAGAAAGAATGAGAGGTGAGAGAAGAAGAAAGAAAAAAATAAGTGTGCAGAATAATAAGTTATTCATATTTGTGCTGCTGACAGAAAACCACCACAGACCCTAACGTCTATGAAGCATCTAGCGTCAGGGCCTCAGTTCTCTTTCAAGTCACTCCATGAAAAGGCATAAACTCTGATTCCTAGCCCTCACCCACCAGCCTAGGTACAAACAGAAGTGCCTCTCTCAAATACCCTTTGCCTTTTCTATGTGAATTTCTTTGATATTTCAAACATTTACTTACCCAATTGTAAGCGAAAGCTGTAACTGGCAGAACCAAATAAGAGTTTGGCTGGAAGTATTGAACTGTGATGCTCTGAATACAGTTTGTTTGGTTAAGGCTGGTCATAGAGAGTATGGAACACCTGTACTTTCAGAGCTAGTCCTGGATACCATTTCATTTGAATGTAAATGTGTTGACTTTAATCTGTAAGATTTTATTTGACTTGGACCCTTTTACCTTAGAGATCATTTGTCTTCTTTTACACTCTCATGGCAACTGGGAGCTACTAAAGTGCATTTTGTCATAATTTAACTGCTAAAGGCAGCTGTGTGTGTGTGTGAGAGAGACAGAGAGAGAGAGAGAGGGAGAGAGAGCACTCTTCCTATTTCCCAATCAGTTCCCTGTAATACATTCATGAGTTGTTTATCTCCATGCAGCATTTGAATTCCTTTCTTAAAGAACACTTTAAATGGCCTGAAAGAATACCAGAAGCCATGATATATATTATTTAACTGCATCAGGAACCTAATCCTAGAGGAGAGACTTCAGGAAGAAAGATAGGTTAAGATTTGCACACCCCTCTGATTGAACACATTCCAAGAAATAGAATTCAGGTGATTATAAAATATACCTAACCTTGCTGGGAAAGGATGCTGCAGTGGGCCTGGGTTGAGTATTCTCCTGTCTCGAAGAGGAGAGAGATTTTTGTCCTCTGGTTGTGAGTACTGGTGGATTTTTTCTGCTTTAAGCATATTAGTAAATCTAATACCAAAAGAGAGCACAGAAACATTTCCTCATTAAGACGGACGTAATGAGAGAGAGGAAGAGTTGATATTGCCTTGGAGATTAAAAAAAAAACAATATCTAGGAGGGAGATATAAAAGGATTTAGCAGTAAGGAACCAAGTGTGAATCTTTCAAACCATTGAAGTTATAGGAATTGAGTACCTAGATGAGGCAGACACACAGAGATCATAAAAACAGAATTACAAGGGAATAATCCTAATTTTTAGGATAATTTTTCAAGAATCTGACATTTTTGTGACTTGATCTCCCCTGCATTTTATAGTCCCAAAATTTCCTGATATTATTTTATGTTAATTTAGCAACTTTTCTAGCATGTTGTGGTGTAAGTACTTGAAAGTAAACAATGCTGAACTGTTCATGAAAATTATCTTCACAGTTGGTGGATTGAGTCTGTTGTAATTTTGCTTGAAAATACTTGCTCCTATGTGGACAGTATTTCTGTTACAAGGGTTATAACACACTTTACATTCCCATCTCTAGAAGCCAAATCACATAATATTCCGTAGAATGGTATAAAACCAAAGGTTTAATCTCTCATGAATGTATACGAAAGAAACACACAGCTGATGGTGGAGAGTGCTATGCCAAAAATTGAGATTAAGTGAAAAATCTAAATTCTGAATGATAAGACTCTTGGCCCCCTTCCCTATTCAAATTTAAGAACAGCATCAGTCAGGCCTGCATCTCCCAGGTAGGAGAGTAGAGCATAAGTTTGGTAGATAATGTCCCAGGAGTATTGAGCTTTTAGGGTCCTCTCAAAATTGTTCAGCCTGAAAACCTCACACTGCAAAGAAACAGCCCATGGTCACAGAGCATCCAAGCAGCATCTTAGCACCCAGTTTAAGCATGAATGGACCACCAAGGACCCCAGATATATGAAGAAGAAAAAAAAAAGCCAGGACATGGAAGGTAGAGCACAAATAAACAAAGCATAAAAGACCTTTGCAGAAACATTTTAAAAATTCAGAGAGCAGAATTTTTTTTAAAAAAAAGCTTTTATAATTCATATCTTTATATAAATGGTGAAGCTGCTGCAACCTAGAAATAAGAAGAGAAGAACATAAAAAAGAAAGAAGTACTTTCAAGTGCTTTTGGAAATATAGGAGGGATGAAGAATTCATCTGAAGGATTAAATTACAAGCTTGAGCAAACCTACCCCACAATAAGCAAAGATACAGAAAATAGCAAAAAAGTTAATAAAATTAGGTCACTGTAGGAGGTTAATATTTTTAAAAATCAGAGATTTTTAAAGAGATCACAGAAAAAAATGAAGTGCAGAAAATGATCAAATAAATTATTTACCAACATTTTTCAGAATTTAAGGAGTTTTCAGATTTAAAGGCACTATTCTGTTCATAGTGCCTTTCAGTCTAAAGGGTATCCTTTGCCCCCAAAATAAGATTCTAAAACTTTATGAGGAAAAAAAATAAATTTCATTAAAAGGATTGGGAATCAAACCAGCATCAGACTTCTCAAAACTAACTCTGGTAACTAGAAAAAAATAGAAATGCGTTGAAAATTATGAGGAAAATCATTCTGAGAAGACATATAGAATTTTTATAGCCCAGTTAAAGTTTTAATCAAATATAAGTGTACAACATTGGACATGCAAGATCTTAAGAAACTTGCCTCCCATTTACTCTTTTTGAAGAAATCACTAGAATCTGTGTTTACCAAAAGAAGTGTGTAAACAGAGGAGAAGGCTTATATGGGGTCCAGGAAACCAGAAATCCTTAACAGGAGAGCGGTAAGTAGAGAAAGAAATTTAAATAACAACAACAACTAAAACCAAAGAGACAGTGAATATGATTATGGAATATTATACAACTAAACTATGATGCTATTTACAGTTTTCATAATGCTGAAAGTGAATGTTAATCTTACCAAAAATTATTATATGGCCATTGTTAGGAAAATGGGTGTGAGTGCATGTGTGTGTGTGTGTCAGTCGCACATAGAAAGGAGTTGGAGTAAATATAAACGACATACATTTTCTTCATCCAAAGTAACAAGTCAACAGATAATAGCTAAAACTGTAAACTCAAGAGGTTTCTGAATGTATATTTAGGCATATGGAAGAAAATATCAAAAAAAGGGTGAAAATAATTGAAATCAATTGCCTTTAGGGAATTGGGAGACTGCTTTTTTTTGTTGTTTTTGTTGTCATAAACCTTGTGCAACTATTTGTCTTTTTGTCTTTATAAGTTTGATAGGGAAAATTTGAAGCAGGAAATTTACATACTACTAGAATAGTGAGAGGAAATCATATGAATGGTGGATACATATAGGTCTAGTTAACCCTTAATGTAGACCTAGGAAAGTTCCTAGAAAGCTATTGAAACAAGGAGGGCAATGTTAATCAGCATCTGTAAAGTAGGCAGCATATGGCAGGCATTTGGTTTAATACTTATACCTATGCCGGAAGGTGAAAGAAAATGATTAAAGAGGTAAAAAAAAAGATATAAAATAGTCACAAATGCCTCTGTTACTGCACAAGCATCATAATTATTTCATAAAACCTCACTGCTACATTTTGTTCAACCAGAAAATAAAAAATTCAAATATCATTAGTAGCTGATGGCAAATCAAAATGTTTGAGATATTTTGAGAAAAATTATGGGAACTTTTCTATAATTTTCAAAATGTGTTTTCTATGAATAATTTGCTATTATGGTGGGCAAAACTTGATCCAAATGGAATCAATATTTGTAGCCAATATACAAAGAACTTACACATGAATTTATGAAAATTATGTAGAGAAACCAGTGTCGCAAAGAAAGAGAACGTATCAAATTACAGATTTTACAGAATTGTTCTGATAGAAAAAAAAGTCAGTTGTAGAAGTATGATAATGTCAGTTGTAGAAGTATGAGTTGTAGAAGTATGATTTTACTAATGTAAATCAGGAAAGGTTGTTACACTTTCTTCCTGAAATCTCCGTGATCAAATCTCCCGTTTTTTGTTTTTTGTTTTTTTTTTTTGACATCTAGCCCAGTACTTGGGTTATGGTGGGTATTCAATAAACATCTTCTAAATGAATAATTAAATAAGTAAATGAATAAAATTTTGGAGGTAATATGAGAAGTCTAAAATCACAAAGTAAACCTGAAAGGACCTATTCTATTTAAAAAGACTCATGTCATATAGATTCTATAGCTCTCATTCTATCTCTTAAAAGTCTCACTATCATATGTCTTGTTATCTCTAAATTAAACCTTCAGTTTCAGAGTTTAAGAATATTTTCTCTGTTTCATCCATCCATTTTTCAAAATGGAAGCTCTCCTTGTAGAATGGATCACGGTCAAGCATAGAGTCTAGGTAAGCTACGGATGTGATGAGCCTGGAAAAATTCAAGTCAGCCATGTGCTGTGGTTTTTACAAATATCTTGGACCTACTGAGAAGTCAAACACCTAGCCAAAGTTTCAAGAAGAGCTAGAATTAGCAGGAGGTTATAAAATATTTGAGAATAACAAACCAAGGTTGAAGGATGTGACACAATCCTCACTCAGATTAGCTCAAGGGGATTTCATGAAGACTTGAAGGGTTAGGGGACATGGCTCACATCTCTGACTGGGTGTGCTGGAGTGTTGCCTGGCTTGTATAGCTGTCTGTGAATAGTAAATTAAGCATCTTTTACTGCATTAAGGGAATGTGTATCATTTGTCTGTACATATGGGTGTCTTTCTGTCAATCACATAATCATCATCTTTTTGACAACCATGCAATCCTACAAGTAAGAAACGTTCAGATATGTGGAAACCATCCTACCTTTCAACTTTCCCTTCTCTGGATGGAGTGCCTTTTTAAAATGAGTTATTTTCAAGCCATCTAATCATCAATGCTTCTGCATATTTGCCACAAACATGTTCAAGCTTGTAGAAAGTTCTCAATATATATATATTTTTAAAATTTTGAATAGTGATGTTTATTGTTTCTCGCATACTACAGTAGAAAGTAAGTACTCTTTAACATCAGGAACCCCCATGCTTAGATCTAAGTTTTGCAATATATTCTGGGTCCTTTGGAAATTATTTAACCTCTGAACCTAATTTTTAAATAAAAATACTACAAAATTAGAGAAAAAATTACAATGCAATTGCGAGGATTATTATAATAAGGTGAAATGTGTAAGGAAATATACCTGATACCTAATAAGCATTTAATAATGTGAATTTCTCTTTTATGCATTTTTTATCAATATGATAGTTCTTGATGTCTCAAACTCATACGAAGCATTTATTCTTATATATTTACCACAAGATTTAATGTTCAAAGTATAAATAGGATCATAAATTAACACAGGAGTTCAGATTGGTCTTACTGAAAAATATTGAAAAAAACTCTATTGATTTTTATGCATTGTTGCTAGTTTACAGACTCACTTTGTTGACAGTAGGCAGCAGCTGTGTCTGAAGCTCCAGAACTCTTGCTGGATGTTCTCCTTCAGCTTCTCTGAGTCATGGACCAGGCACAAATAAAGCTTTTAGGTCAAGTATGCCAGCTTTAAATGCAGGTCATCCATGTTGTCAGGTTTAGTTGCATTGAGAGATAACTGCAGGCAGTTTCCAGTTTGTGGGTTTCTGTTTATTCTTGTGGATTACAATTTGCCTTTGCTTTCACCCATTTCATGCCCACCTTTTTTATCTCTATATGTATGCCCTACTTACATTTCATGAATTCAGATCCACCACCAGACACAGAGAAAACAGTTTTTCATAGATGTCATTATCAGTTCCCACAACTGCATAACTTCTATGAGAAATCCGTTGTTTCTTATTTGTTATAGTGATTCCCTTAGCCCGATTGAATCCTAACTGATATGTCATAGGTTAAGTAGCTTACTTTCTCCCAATATAGTTATGTTTTTGGATTTGCATAGATGACCTTTTCTATATCTGAGATCCAGTAACTGATCATGTTTAATTATTTCAGACGATATAATGTTGTGTTAGCTATGAAAGCACTGTTTGCATCACACTGACATCTATTATCCCTCTTTTTGCCTTTAGATAGTTCATATTTGTTGAGCCCTCAGTATGTGCCAGGGACTAGGCTAAGTAGCTTTCATTATCTCATCTAACCTTGACATAATTCTACGAAGTAGGCTCTTTAGAAATGGGTAAAGAAAATTTCAGAGAGGGTCAAGTTTTGATATTGGGTCTATGTTACTGGACCATAGTTGGTGGCCCATTTGAAAAACTACCAACACATCAGTTTACAGAGAGTCAAAAGTGTTATTTACAAAGTATGGTGACATCAAAATACAGAAGAAGCAAATATCAGAAGTTAAGATCAGTGACTAGTAAAACTTTATTTGGATAAAGGTCATACATACAGATAGAAAATGGTAGAGCCAAGCATCTGAGTCTAGAATCTGAATATTAACCACTACTCTACACTACATCACATTTTAGCACTATACTATTTGAATCAGCTTGTCATGCCTTCTGGAATTTTGGTTGGAATTGCATTAAATATATTGATACATTTGAGGAGAATTGACATCTTAAAAATATTATCTTTCAGCCCATAAATCTAGTATATTTCTCCTTTTGTTTCAATTGTCTTTACTTTCTTTCAGCAAATTTGTATTAAGTGTAGAAGTTTGAAACAACTTTTGATAAATTTATTCTTGAATATTTTATTCTTCTTATTTTAAGAATATTTTATTCTTACAATTACCTTTCCCAATATAGCCAACCTATTGAATAGCCTAATTGGGGTTCTCAGATCAAGGCTGGAGGAAGTTCTGTGACAATAGAAAGATACAGTGCTTTTTGTTCTCAAAATTTGGGGGTATTTATGAGGCATGACCTGATATTTAATATAAGCTTCTGTTGAAGTGATTGCAGACAAGATGAACATTTTGAGAATCTAGGCGCAGTTCCAATATTATGACAATGAGAAGAAAGTTAAATGGTAATGTGTCCAGAATTGGTGGGTTCTTGGTCTCACTGACTTCAAAAACGAAGCTGGGGACCCTCGCGGTGAGTGTTACAGCTCTTAAGGTGGCGCATCTGGAGTTTGTTCCTTCTGATGTTCGGATGTGTTTGGAGTTTCTTCCTTCTGGTGGGTTCGTAGTCTCACTGGCTCAGGAGTGAAGCTGCAGACCTTTGCGGTGAGTGTTATAGCTCATAAAAGCAGTGTGGACCCAAAGAGTGAGCAGTAGCAAGATTTATTGCAAAGAGCGAAAGAACAAAGCTTCCACACTGTGGAAGGGGATCCAAGCAGGTTGCCACTGCTGGCTGGGGCAGCCTGCTTTTATTCTCTTATCTGTCCCCACCCACATCCTGCTGATTGGTAGAGTCGAGTGGTCTGTTTTGACAGGGTGCTGATTGGTGCATTTACAATCCCTGAGCTAGACACAAAGGTTCTCCAAGGCCCCACCAGAGTAGCTAGTTACAGAGTGTCCATTGGTGCATTCACAAACCCTGAGCTAGACACAGGGTGCTGATTGGTGTGTTTACAAACCTTGAGCTAGATACAGAGTGCCGATTGGTGTAGTTACAATCCCTGAGCTAGACACAAAGGTTCTTCACGTCCCCAACCAGACTCAGGAGCCCAGCTGGCTTCACCCAGTGAATCCCGCACCGGGGCTGCAGATGGAGCTGCCTGCCAGTCCCGCGCCGTGCGCCCGCACTCCTCAGCCCTTGGGTTGTTGATGGGACTGGGCGCCGTGGAGCAGGGGGTGGCGCTCGTCCAGGAGGCTGTGGCTGCACAGGAGCCCAAGGAGGGGGTGGGAGGTTCAGGCATGGCGGGCTGCAGGTCCCGAGCCCTGCCCCACGGGAAGGCAGCTAAGGCCCAGCGAGAAATCGAGCGCAGCGCCGGTGGGCTGCACTGCTGGGGGACCCACTACACCCTCTGCAGCCGCTGGGCCGGGTGCTAAGCCCCTCATTGCCCGGGGCGGCAGGGCCGGCCGGCTGCTCCGAGTGCAGGGCCCGCCAAGTCCACACCCACCCGGAACTCCAGCTGGCCCGCAAGTGCCGCGGGCAGCCCGGTTCCCGCTCGCGCCTCTCCCTCCACACCTCCCTGCAAATGAGGGAGCGGGCTCTGGCCTTGGCCAGCCCAGAAAGGGGATCCCACAGTGCAGCGGGGGCAGCCCGGTTCCCGCTCGCGCCTCTCCCTCCACACCTCCCTGCAAATGAGGGAGCGGGCTCTGGCCTTGGCCAGCCCAGAAAGGGGATCCCACAGTGCAGCGGGGGCAGCCCGGTTCCCGCTCGCGCCTCTCCCTCCACACCTCCCTGCAAATGAGGGAGCGGGCTCTGGCCTTGGCCAGCCCAGAAAGGGGATCCCACAGTGCAGCGGTGGGCCAAAGTGGGAGCCCAGTCAGAGGAGGCGCCGAGAGCGCGCGAGGGCTGTGAGGACTGCCAGCACGCTGTCACCTCTCAGTAACTTTCCCCATGAGCCTTAATTTTCCATTTATTCAAATTAGAATTTCTACATGAAAATTGAAGTTTTATTTTTTTATTTTTTGAGACGGAGTCTCACTCTGTTGCCAGGCTGGAGTGCAATGGCACGATCTTGGCTCACTGCAATCTCTATCTCCTGGGTTTAAGCAATTCCCCTGCCTCAGCCTCCTGAGTAGCTGGGACTACAGGCGCATGCCACCAAGCCCGGCTAATTTTTTTTTTTTTTTATTTTAGTAGAGATGGGGGTTTCATCATATTGGCCGGGATGGTCTTGATCTCCTGACCTCGTGAAACACCCTCCTTGGCCTCCCAAAGTCTGGGATTACAGGCGTGAGCCACCGTGCCCGGCTGAAAATTGAAGGTCTTTTTAAGAGTAAATAGGCAGCAGCATATACTTGTTCACCAGAGCCATACTATAAAATATAGAATAATGATGAGTGAATGCATTGGCTGATTATGATCCTAGTATTCAGGATTTAACCAAAAAAAAAAAAAAAAAAGCACTGGCCTCATTTATAAATTCTTAAAACTATCTACAAGTTGGCAGCCAAGGTTATTTGGGACTCTAAAAAGGTGGTAGATTAAACTTCTGGTTCCCCTTCCCTGCATAGATATTTGCTATGACCCCATTGATGGTGGTGTATAGTTTTCTCCAACTGGGGACTTTGAGCTTAGCTATGGGACTTGCCTGGTCAAAAACATTTAGGGGAGGAAGTGTCAAAGAGCCAGTTCCAAGCCTAGGTGTTAAGAGCCTCAAGGATTTCTACCAATTCTCTTTGTAGCTCTGCCACTCTTATAAGAAAAACTGTGCAGTCAACCTGAGTGATGAACCAGGGATAGCGGAACCTACAGCTTAACACAGAGCAACCCAGCCAAGCCTCACCTTCACTATCAACCTCAGATCTCTGAAAATAAATGATTAACTGGGGGTTGTTTGTTCATCAGACTCACTGTGACAATAACTAACTGATACTGAAATTGGTACTGGAAGTGGGATACACATAAAATACATACCATTAGATTTGGGACTGAGCAATGGATGAAGGTTGAGAAAATGGGAAGAAAGCTAATATATTTAGAAAAATAACAACATTGTGTAGAGGTAAAATATTTACTAAAACTTTTGCCTGCTCTAACTAGGAAAATAAAAATTGTATCTCACAAACTTGTGGACTTGGACAGGATGGTTTCTAGGCAATATGGGAAAAGTGTGAGCTCATCTCTTTTATATGTATATAATGTATTTCTACAAAAAATATACATAAAGAGATAGATATACAGAAACAAATCAGATCAGAAAATAATTTTAAAGTTTGTGAGCAGAATGTTATAAATCCAGAAATTGCTGGCTTGGGAAATTAAACTATTCCTCATCTTTAGCTTCTATAGCCAGGAAAAGATTCTCAGATTAAGATACAAGATGAGAACAAAGATGAAATCAATATTGGTATACAGCCTTGAGTCATAGAACCAACCAGGGTTCAGCCCTCACACCATTTATTAAAATCTCTGAAAGAATTAAGGTCATTTCCAGTAGATTCCTTCCAAATATAAAAAGGGATCTAAAGAAGGGCTTTCTAAATAAAATAACCTGCTTTGATTTAACTATATATGATATAGAAAATTCTAACATTGTAACAGTTTTATTCAAACCAGGCAAGTTTAATTTTAAACATATTCATCTTGAATTGTATAAAACAACCAGATTATATATTTTAGAAAGTTAACATTTTATTTTGGTAGAATATTTTGTTTTTTGACTCTCAGGAGCAACTTTTATCATGAAAATAAAGTGTTTCCTATATAAGAATGTAATCGTATTACAAAAGTTTATTGGCATAATCCCATAGAAGCCTAATATGTCCAAGATTAAGAGTAGAGAGAGAAGCATGCATCAGAGAAAATTGTAGGTTTGGTTTTTGGCTGATGAAGTGTTCTAAAAAAATATATAGAAGGTCCACAATATTTTGAGAGATTTGATTGGCAAAAAGCAATGAAAGCCAGGACTAAGATGGACTGGGCCTGCTGAAAATATAAGACCTTCCAACTGTCTCACGAAAGGAAGCAGCCGAAGGCGATTGCTCAGCTTCTATAAAGAGCATTTTAGACAAAGTCCTCTGTAAAAATGGACAAGAAGGATGATTGGGGAAAAGGGACATCCAAACTAGTAGACAATGCAGGAGAATAAAAAACTGGGGACCACTTCCTGGAAGCAGAATTGGGAATTTTACTAAGGACCATTCTCTAATCCTAGAGAAGGGAGACTTAGTAATATTTTCCAAATGGGACTTCAAAATTACCGTCTACCAAGGCTTCCTATGTGCCTGTATCCCATTCTACTCTCTTTGGCTTTCCAAATGGAAGAGCTTATTGCTATTATTCTTTCTCTGTTCCGGAAGTGTATTGTGTTTGGGCGAAATAACTTGCCATTTTAGTTTATAGGTTTCCAAATCAAAAAGAGCCTCATCTGGACTAACAATGATTACATGATCCTGAACCTTGAGCTTAATGTCATGTGACATGAGACTTTTAAAGATTCTAGGATGAGGGTGTTTGTTTCAGTTTAGTTTTGGTTTGGTTTTGCATGGGGTGGTCTTGCAAATGAGTAATTGTGGCCAAGAGTGTAGATTAGAGTAGATTGAAATCTTGTCCCCAATTTTCATCCTTTCTGCATCCATATCCTTGTCATGATCTCATCCAGAGCATAAAGTTTATTCCTATGCCTTGATTTTGACCTTAGCCTTGCGTGTTGCATTGTCCGATTGTATGTGGATGGAAGTGATAGTGTGCCAGTTCTTAGCCTAGACCTTAAGTGGAATTATTATTTTTCTACTTGCCCTCTTTTTATCTGCGCCATCTCCATAAGGAAAGTTTCCCTGCTGACCGTTCAGCCAAAATGGACTGAGTGAACCATGCCCAATCAGACCCACAGCTGGAAGCAGAGGCACCTATTTAGGTCCAGTCTAGATTAATTTACCCTAGCTGATCTTCAGATCTGTGAGAAGAGACTACTGTTGTTTTAAGCCACTCAGTTTTGGAGCAGTTTGGTTTGTTAAACAGAGTTACTGTGGCAATATAGAACTGATAGATAATGTACCAATATTCACAAAGGAGAAGGAACAAAGGGTAGCATCAGAAGGAAAGAATAGATCTGCTAGTTCAGCCACCCACTTAGCCAACTAGACTGCCCATTTTAGTTACTGACCCTTGTCCTAGTTCATTCTAACCCTACTAAACGTTTTTTCATATTCAGATGACTGCAGTTAGCAGTGTTAGGTGCTACAGAGATCTAGAATAAAGGAGACCAACAATATCTTCCAGATAAGAAGACACTGCTTATCTTCCAGAAAGTATTCTCAATGAATGGCAATGACAGATTGTTTTAAATTGCTATTTGAAAATTATTTTAAAATGAAGCATTAAATGGCTAGAATTTATTTATTTTGGCCACACTGTGAGTATATCTTTTGTTTGGCCATCCAGCTCTACTCTCCCTGCTTTCCCACCTTGCTCTCTGTCCCCGGGAGGCTGAAATATAGACCTGTATGGACTAGTCCATGGGATTCCTAACTCTGGCTGCTGATAGTGCTCTGCCAATAAGGAGTCCTGGCAAGAGATCAGAGATGGATCAGAGATGGGTAAGAAACTGATGTCAAGGTATTTATTCTCCTGGATTCTTCCCTTTAGGGTCACCATAGGGCAGTTATTTCCCTAAATGAATCACTGCTTCTCTCTAGATAACATTCCTTACAGACTCTACTCAGGTCCTGGGTGGTAAAATCTCCACTGTTAGCCTCAGGGGACCACCCTTTCAATTGTGATGTTCCCACATCTTTCCCTTTATGGTCATCCCAATTTATTGTGTTGGAATCTTGAGGTAGACACAAATAATCAGATCCACAGAATATAAATTATGGTTATTTAATCTGAAATAACCAGAAAATGATAAAGTAAAAAGAAAACACATTTTTGAAAATTGTGACTACTCAGCATTTACATACACACTGACAGGACATAACTATTAATTAGATACACTCACTGTCTCAACTTCTAATTTATGATATATAAAACTCAAATATACTCTAACATTAATGACAGTTTTATAAAAATCAGGCATATTTAATTTTCAACACATGTTTTAAACTATACAAAAGAAATCAAGTTACATATTTTAGAGAACTAATATTTTTATTTGTGATAGCATACTTTGACTTTTGACCTTCAAGAGCATTTTTTCTTTTTATCAAAGAACTAAAGTATTTTTTATATATAAAGTTAGTCATATTATCTTGGAAATATGTATCAGTTTAGGAAGTAGTGAATGCATTAAAACATAGCAGAATTTATACCCCTGTTTGGGGTCAGACATTTAAGTTTTCCATTCTTAATAATTCAAGTCAGATTCTTTATAGACTCCCATTTTCAGGCACCACTGTAAAAATGTAGATGTATATTATCACCAGAAACCTGTGACTTAAATTGAAGCCATGGCAATCTGGCCATGTTAAAGCATGAAGCTGGATGTGCACAACTGAAATGGATCCACCTAACTTTTTAAGTCAGGAAGCTGAAATCCCCTTAGGGTATTCTTACAAAATGTAAATTCACTGATGTAAAGACCTCAGCAGAAAATCCCATATTTTACTTGATGGCACTTTAACACTATCCTTTCCTAAAGAAAGGATAAAGCAGGATGAAACCTAACTGACAACTTTAGAAAGAAATATTTATAGAGAATATGGTGTCCTTTTAAGATCAACTGATGATTGCTACCCTTCAGCATTAGATAAGTTTTTATGATTTTTTTTTTTGAGAAAAAAAGAAGCCAAAATTTTTTTTGTTGAATAAATTATAGTCTCACACACACACCCATACACACATACACACATGAAAGCATGGTGGTTATATTATCACAAGACATAAGTTATTCTTTTTTTCCCATTGAAATATTTGGTTAAATTTATTTGACAGGCCTGGACAAGAGTTCTAGCTCTATTACTGGGCATTATATGTTTCAGGGCAAGTAAGACACTGATTTCACTAAGCTAAGACAGAAGGGAATGGTAGCAGTGAAACACTGGAAAGCACAGGATGGGTGAAGATGAGCTGGTTTTTGTTCCCTTTCCTGTAGTCCCTCACAGAGTCTGACTTAGAGAGGACACTATTCCAACTAGACCTCATATTGGACAAAATAAGTCCCTTATATCTCGGGATCACATCTTTATCCTGGAAAAGAGATTTGGATTCAGATCATTGAAAGTAAGGCCTGTGCTGTAATAAAAAGTGCCCCAAGGTCCTAAAGTATGCATTAAAGATGACAAAGGAATGTTTTAAAAATCATGCGGAAGTTGCCCAGTCACTAAGTAAACCTACCAGTTTAGCTTAGACATGAGGGTGTAATTCAGAATAATTCCATTTTCCCAAAGACACAGGTTCCAAGCCATATAGTCACCTCTGACTCTTTCTTTGTTGCCATTTATATTCAATCGGTCATCAAGAACTAACGTTTTTAGCAGCCTAAATGTATCGTCAAAGTGCCCCTTCCTTTCTGTTTCCATGGTAGTGACCATGAAATGACCACTATTCAGCCTTTTGGCTAAGTACCTGGGTAGTTGGAAATAAACTCCTAAATTAATCCTATAATGCTAGTATTTCCTCTCTCCACTCCCTACATGATTATTAGATTAATTATTAATAAATCCCAGCTTTCAACCTGTCACTACTGTGCTCTAAATGTTTCAGGATGTCAAAAAGTAAAACCCAATCATTTTTACTAAGCATTCAAATCCAGTACAACTTTAAACTCTAATGGAATCATGCACGAAAATATTATCATTACAATCACTAAAATTTGGGTCTACTTAACAGTTTTATGAATTGTGTTTATATACATAGTCTCATTATATTCTCTAAACAATCTTGTAGAAAGGTGATATTTACTATTAATATAATTATTACCATGTTTAATAATGCTGGCTTGAGGAAAGGAAGTGCAAAAGGAATGTAACAGAGACAAGAAGAGGGCAGAGACAAGCTTTGTGAAATAGCCTGAGGTCTAAGGCAGGGCTGATCTGTGTGGACAAAGGAGCCAACTTCTGGGCATCTTAGAAAATCAAGGGAAGCAAGTGCTTGCATTTCTTAGGACAAGTGGCCCCTTCAGAGACAAGTGGCTTTGCTACCAGGGGCAATTAAATCTACCAGAAAGAAGTTGGCCCTGTAAGGTTTTAATGTTTATAGTTTGTGGCTCTGTTACGTGGTAGGAGATACAAATTACAAGAAGAGAAATGGGAGTTAGGGAGAGGAAGTATGAAAGTAACTTTCCAGCCTAAGAAATTGTTTCTACTCTTCTGAACTTTCTTATCACCGGCCCTGTCTCCTGTAACTTCTTGAGAAAAAAGACCTCTGACCATCTAGATTGAGCCCATAGCTGACCCCTCCAAATGTCTCGCTGCTTTAAGTCTCTTTGTCTTTGTTATTATGTTACATAAAGGATTATGGTTAGTCTTAGATTATAGTGTTACTCTGGATTCCTAGAGGAGGATATTCATAAATAGAAATAAGAAATAGCCAAAATATATGAATAAGAGGTATAGGGGAAAGCTTGTCTTTTTGTTTTCCTTATATTGTATTTGTCTTTTCCTATATGTCTGCTCCATTATCCTCTTGCTGATACCTACTGATAATTCCTCCTCCACAGTCCATGGTGCAAATCTAAATAATTGGCTTCATTACCATTATTAATCATTGGCAGAACACTTCATGCAAAGCCTCTCTTTGAATTGCTCACTAGACTACAGATGGCCTACCTTTGTATCAGGTGCCCTCCCTTAGTCTGATAAGTAAACCTAACCAAGAGTTTTGGGTGAAATAATTATAGCTAGGATGGGAAGATAAACATGGCAACCATCATGCACGACATGTTCAGTAAGTGTTCTCTCCTATTATGTTTCCATTCTTCTTTCTTCCGACCTGTACTTAACCAGTCCTTCAAAGAACAGCTCTTATATTGAATTCCTTCCAAACTTCCCCAGCTAGCCCACGTCACAGCATGGTGCTGTGGCAAGAATATGAGGCTTAACATTACACAGATCTCACAATTACCACAAATTCATACCTTAAGTAGGTACTTCTCAAACTTCAATGTGCACGAGAATCACATAGAAAACTGATTGGAACACACATTTCTGTGCATCAGTCCCAGAGATCTGATTCAACAGGTCTGGGTTGGACCTTAAATTTGCATTTCTGACAACCTCTCAGGTGATTTTCATGCTGCCTGTCCACGAAGCACACTTTGAGTGCAACTTCCTAGCTACATGGGTTTGGGCATGTTATTTAGTCTCCATCTCTAAAATAGGAAGACTTGCAGTATCTATTTCACTGGACTGTCAAGCAATTTATAAGGATCAAAATATATTCCATATTTGGTATATACTGGCAATAAAAATTAACTGGTTCACCTTCCCATTCTCTGATCTTTCTTACTTATTCAATCAATAATAATAATTCAGTACCTCTTGTATGGTACTTCCTTAAAATTTATTTAAGACCAATACAAATTTATGTGGTGGTATGTTATGACTCTCCAATTAGATTCCAAGCCACTCAGGAGTGGTAGCATATTCCCTACAATATTTTGCATATAGTAAGCACTTCTATTGCTTTATGAAGAAACAGTGAGGTACCAGGATTAATTGCTTAGGCATGGTGCCCAACACCTCAGTTTGAATCACGGCTCTGCAACTGAGAATCTATGTGGCTTTACACAAATTATTTAGCTTCTTTCTTCCTCAGTTACTTCTTCTGTGTGATGGTTAATAGGTTCATATTGAGTGTCAATATTGAAGGATTGAAGGATGCAAAATATTGTTCCTGGGTGTATCTGCGAGGGTGTTGTCAAAGGAGATTAACATTTGAGTCAGTGGACTGGGAGAGGCAGACCCACCCTCAATCTGGGTGGGCACCATCTTATCAGCTGCCAGCATGGCTAGAATAAAGCGGGCAGAATAAGATGGAAGGAGTGAACTTGCTGAGTCTTCTGACCTTCATCTTTCTCCCATGCTGGATGCTTCCTGCCCTCCAACATCAGACTCCAAGTTCTTCAGCTTTTGGACTCTTGGACTTACACCAGTAGTTTGATAGGGGCTCTCAGGCCTTTGGCCACAGAATGAAGGCTGCACTATCAGCTTCCCTACTTTTGAGGTTTTGGGACTCAGATTGATCCATTACTGGTTTCCTTGCCCCTCAACTTGCAGATGGCCTATCATGGGACTTCACCTCATGATCCTGTGAGTCAATTCTCCTTAAAAAACTTCCTTTCATATATACATATATCCTATTTTTAATAGTTCTGTTCCTCTAGAGAACCCTGACTAAAATGCTCCGTACAATGGGGATAATAATATTAGCCTCCTCCTAGGGTTGTTGTATTAAATAAGATCCTACACAGTAAGAACTACGGTAAGTGTTAGTTACTGTTACTAAATTCATTTTGTAATGTCTCCCAGTGGAAAGACTGAACATTTAAAAAGGGAACAGAAACTGAATGTTAAGATAGTATAAAATGCTTTACTAAAATACAATTATTTTTATTTTCAAGTATTACAAAGTCGAGTTTAGTGTTCAGTTAATTGTGGGTTCTTTGTTCACAAATAACTTCTATGCTAACTATTGCCGCACATTTAAAGAGAGTTATAAATGCTTACATCTCTTTTAAATTTATATTAGCTGCAAGTATCAAAGATGATCTCATTATGCTTCCTTCACCTATGGTACACAACTATTTTGTTAAGCAGCTTTTCTGAACACATGCTTTCTACAAATTATAGAAAGTGGCTTGGGGTATGACCAAGAAAGAAAACTGTGTGTAAAGTTGTGAACAACCGAGTCACCTACTGTGTCAATATAATCAATGGAGCATTAAAATATACCCACCAACATAACATTTCCTTCACTGCTTTATAGCTACTTACTTATCTCTCCTCCCTGCTAACATGTAACTTACTTGATCATGCACATTTTATGTTTTCTGTAATCCAGGAAGACTATGCATGTCACTGCAGAAAGAGCATAATTTTTAGAGTCCAACTATGGATTTCAGTGAGATCTCCTTCAAACCAGCTACGTAAACTTGGAGAGTTCATTGGTATCTCTGAGTCTCAGCTTTCAAAAAGTGAAAATAAAACAAAACTTGTGGGTAATGACCATGAACTTTCATAGTAAAGATAATGTTTTATTATGTATCTAAAAGTACTTGTATCAAACTAGATAATTAATAGTAGTTAACTATCAACTAATCTTTCTTGTATTCTAGGCATTTACCTTGGTGAGTAATACAATGTAGACACTCGAAAATGTTTCTCGAAATAACAATTGTATACATTAAGAAAGTTGGTAGTGTTTCATTCTCAATGTTGACTAATTCCAGCGCACAAATCAGAATGTTCAATAGCACTAAACCACTAAGTCAGTCACAGCTCTCCTCACATCTTCCTAGAAAATCACGACAGTTGCAGGTCACGTCATAGTTCAGCATTTCTTGAAAATTTGGAGGATTTGACCATATGGTACCCATATTCCTAAAATGCATCAGTTAGTCACAGGTGAGTACCAGATGACCAGGAGGTTCTCACCACTTTGTGAAATCCTATCAATTTTACTTGTGTCCATGTTTACAGATTCTATCAGTCAGGGTCTAACCAGGAATACAGAAGCCAATACTGTAGCATAGGCAACTAGTTATACAGGTGATACCGACAATGACATAAACCAGAGATTGACATGGCAAGAAGATACTACTAACACTTGGCTGGAGAGAAAAAGGAGGAGCTAGTGTTGTAGGAGCCCAGGGTCATGGTTACGTGAAGGGTACACTGGAACACACAGAGATGAAGCCATTGCTAGAGAAACAGTCAGACACAGCGAACAAGAAGGGGTGGGGAGAATGGAGCTAACTTGGTGGTCTCCTACTAGTCCCCTACCCTCAAGTCTCCTGCCAGTGCTTGCCATTGTTTTCACCCTGCTGGAGGCAGCTGACTCAGAAACCTGAGGAATGCATCTTGCATGGGTGAGTCCTTCTGTGACACAGAACAGAGCAAGGCAAGGAGGACATAGACATCTGAAGGCAAACAAGCCTAGAACCTGGATACTTATCTGCTTTATCATTTGTATTGTCTGCTTGATCCCTTGGTCAGTGTTTCAGTTTGTCATGTTTGTTACAGGGCAAGAGGCCTTATAACATTTCTTTTCAGAGGAGTAGCAACTATCTCACTTCTTTTACTTTCTTACTTCAATGCACTAAGATTGATGAAACTACTTTATTTGGTTTCTTGTTTTAAGCTGTCTTTTTATGTATCATGCCATCCCTAACCTTAGGAGTTACATCAGGGCAAACTCAATAAGACATATGATAATGGCTGTTGTTCTCTGAACACCCACTATAGGTCAGGCCCTGCATTGTGTGGCTAATTATAACAACAATTTTGTGAAGTTAGTATTACTCCTCAGTTTACTTAAGATAAACTACAATCTAAGGTAGGTTAAGGAAGTTTCCAAGTTTGCATGGTTGACGAATGGCAGAACAGAATTCCAATCCAGGTTAGCTAGACTACTTCAGATACTATTTAATTATTTCCATTATTCATTCTGTCTCTCAATGTAATTTTATTTTATTTTTCCCTGTGGCATTCTAAGTACTCTTGTCCTAACTGCTTGAAAACCACCTGTCTTATTGTTTAGATGTCAGAGTGATATGATTGCACAACACAACTCCTTGACTGTACATAGAATAACAAATCAATGGTTTGGGCTAGGAACCTTCCCTAATGAGGCTACACACACTTGTATGTAAGAAAAGTCTGGCTGGAATATTTTGTTAGGAAAAATGTGGATTCCAGTACAAGACCAATCAATAGATTTCTTCCAACATGTGTATTCTTACTAGATAGATACATAGATAGATAGATAGATATATAGATAGATAACAGCTAGATAACCACATAGATAGATAGATAGATAGATAGATAGATAGATAGATAGATAGAGGACAGATAGACAGATTAAATAGATTTAGGTTGGTGCAAAAGTAATTGCAGTTTTTGGCATTAAAATGTCATTGCTTTTAATTCCAAAAACCACAGTTACTTTTGCACTAACTTAATAGATACTAAGAGATGCAAAAGGGTTTCAAGAGAACACATATTTTTGGAGAACACATGGAGAAGATTTAGGGATGAAAAGACTCCATGGGGGTTTGTGATACAGATAAAATAATAATAATAATAGTAATACCAGTTTTAGTAACCTCAAAAATTAAATACCTGATACATTTACTTTTCTCCTCTTTTTATTTATTATTTAAATTACTACCCCCAGATTAACAGCCTAGCAGGTACTAGAGTACCTGGTTTTTCAAAGTCCAGCAGTAAAATTCAATTCATATGAAGGCTTAATTTAAGATCTTTTCATATTTTGATTTTTCTGTTGCGTTGCACATTTCTGATCACTCTGTTTTCTTTATGACACTCTGTCCTCACCGTCTCTCTGTCTGTCTTTCTCTCTCTCTCTCTTTTTTTTTAGACACTACTAGTTTTTGGTTCTGCTCCATCTTGAGCATGCTTGTCAAAATCCCTGCAGTGTCCTCTCTCATTTGCTGGTTAAAAGCACAGGCTCTGCGGCCAGACTGCCTAGGGATAAATTCTGACCCTTCAACTGACTAGCTCTGTAACCTTTGGCTGTTTTCAAAATCTTCTTTTAAAAGACATTATGATACAGAATATACATTAAGTTTGAAAAGTTTAATTTTGATATCCAATCTAAACAAGAATCTGCATGATTACTAAACCAATACAAACATGTTCATATTTGGTTAACTTTAGCTTACAAAGTGTATACTCAAGGACTAATTAGGATGCTTTTGGCTCCATGTAACAAATCCTCTTTGGACCGACATATAGAGAAAGGGCATTTGTGTGTTTATCAATGAGCAGACACAGAGATACAGTATGCTTCAGGGTGGGTCCCAGGTTTTTCTGCTGGCTCAGTGAGGTCATGAAGACAGGCTCTTTGCGTCTACTTTGCTGCCTACACTCAGGCTTCATTCTTAGACGGTTCCCCTCGTGGTGGCAGGTTTGCTGCCAGTGGCAGTCTGGGCTTTGTGGCTGTGCATGTGGCTTTGGTAGGAAATGTCAGAAGGTGGTCAGAAGAGATCAAGGAGTAGAGAGAGAAGATATGGAATTGTTGAGAAGGAACTCCTTTTCCAGAACACCCAGCAAATCTCTCCTGCTCTCTCATTGGCCCACATTGTCTTAATGTTCCTCGTCCCTAGCAAGGGATGACAGTGACATAATTAATCAGCCAAATCTGTTTGGGGAGAAGGAATGAGACACAGTAAAATATACAGTGCCAAACTTCTTCATTTGTAATGGTAAAATCTTCGCAGGAAACTAGTCTTTGTTACATAAAATGTATTTTGTTGTCATGGGGATTACTTCATAATTATGTGGTTCAAGTTATGTGCTGAAAACTTCTTGGCAGCTATGTAGGAGACAGTCCCATTTAAATTATCATTTTGATGTGACCTGTGATTAGATTATTTTAATTTCCGGATTGTAGGGGAGATAGAAAAAATTATTTATCAATTGCCTATTTATAGGTGACCAATAAAAATGATTAAAACAAAAATTGTATAAGTAACTAATATGCAATTTACCTTTTCCATACACACCAACTGGAAGAAATACTTTATATAATCATTTACATTAGAAGGCAAGTAAAATTAGAATAAAGTAAATACCCAACTGAATTCTACTGAGGTAATCCCAACTACTCAGGAGGCTGAGGCAGGAGGATCGCTTGAACTCAGGAAGCAGAGGTTGCAGTGAGCTGAGATCGTGCCTTTGCACTCCAGCCTGGGCAACAAGAGCAAGACTCTGTCTCAAAAAAAAAAAAAAAAAAAAAAAAAGGAGGGTGGGTGGCTGGTAAGATGGCCAAATAGGAACAGCTCCAGTCTGCGGCTCCCAGTGAGATCAACACAGAAGGTGGGTGATTTCTGTATTTCCAACTGAGGTACCTGGAGGTACCTGGTTCATCTCACTGGGACTGGTTAGACAGTGGGTGCAGCCCACAGAGGGCGAGCAGAAGCAGGGTGGGGTGTTGCCTCAGCTGGGAAGTCCAAGAGGTCGGGAAACTCCCACCCCTAGCCAAAGGAAGCCCTGAGGGAGCCTGCCTTCAGGAACAGTGCACTCCAGTGCACATACTATGCTGTCCCACAGTCTTCGCAACCCACAAACCAGGAGATTCCCTCGGGTGCCTACACCACCAGGGCCCTAGGTTTCAGGCACAAAACTGGACGGCCATTTGGGCAGACAGCGAGCTAGCTGCAGGAGTTTTTTTCATACCCCAGTGACACCTGGAACGCCAGTGAGACAGAACCATTCATGCCCCTGGAAACAGGGCTGAAGCCAGGGAACCAAGTGGTATAGCTGAGTGGATTCCATCCCCACAGAGCCCAGCAAGCTAAGATCCACTGGCTTAAAATTCTTGCTGCCAGCACAGCAGTCTGAAATCAACCTGGGATGCTCGAGCTTGGTCGGGGGAGGAGCATCTGCCACTACCGAGGCTTGAGTAGGCTTATAGATAGACTTCCCAACTTCCTGGGACAGAGCACGTAGGGGAAGATGTGGCTGTGGGCGCAGCTTCAGTAGACCTAAATTTTCCTGCCTGCAGGCTCTGAAGAGAGCAGCAGATCTCCCAGCACAGCATTCGAGCTCTGCTAAGGGACATACTGCCTCCTCAAGTGGGTCCCTGACCCCCATGCCTCCTGATGGGGTGACCCTCCCAGCAGGGGTCAACAGACACCTCATACAGGAGAGCTCCAGCTGGATTCTGGTGGGTGACCCTCTGGGATGAAGCTTCCAGAAGAAGGAGCAGGCAGCAATCTTTGCTGTTCTTCATCCTCTGCTGGTGATACCCAGGCACAGAGGGTCTGGAGAGGACCTCCCGCAAACTCCAGCAGACGTGCAGAAGAGGGGCCTCACTGTTAGAAGAAAAACTAACAGAAAGTAATAACATCAACATCAACAAAAAGGACGCCAACACAAAAACCTTTTCCAAAGTCCTCAGCATCAGAAGCCAAAAATAGATAAATCCACAAAGATGAGGAGAAAAAAAGGCTGAAAATTCCAAAAACCAGAACGCCTCTTCTCCAGAGGACCTCAACTCCTTGCCAGCAAGGGAACAAAACTGGATGGAGAATGAGTTTGGCAAACTGACAAAAGTAGGCTTCAGAAGGTGAGTAATAACAAACTCCTCTGAGCTAAAGGAGCATGTTCTAACACAATGCAAGGAAGGTAAGAACCTCGATAAAATGTTACATGTATTGCTAACTAGAATAATCAGTTGAGAGAAGAATATAAATGACCTGATGGAGCTGAAAAACACAGTACAAGAACTTCGTGAAGCATATACAAGCATCAATAGCTGAATTGATCAAGCTGAAGAAAGGATATCAGAGATTAAAGATCAACTTAAAGAAATCATGCATGTAGACAAGATTAGAGAAAAAACCATGAAAAGGAATGAACAAAACCGCCAAGAAATACAGGACTATGTGAAAAGACGAAACCTACGTTCGATTGGGGTACCTGAAAGTGATGGGGAGAATGGAACCAAGTTGGAAAACACTCTTCAGGATATTATCCAGGAGAACTTCCCCAACCTAGCAAGAAAGGCCAACATTCAAATTCAGGAAATACAGAGACAACACCACAAAGATACTCCTTGAGAAGAGCAACCCCAAGACACATAACTGTCAGATTCACCAAGGTTGAGCTGAAGGAAAAAATGTTAAGGGCAGCCAGAGAGAAAGGTCAGGTTACTTACCCACAAAGGGAAGCCCATCAGACTAACAGCAGATCTGTCTGCAGAAACCCTAACAAGTGAGAAGAGAGTGGGGGACAATATTCAACATTCTTAAAGAAAAGAATTTTCAACCCAGAATTTCATATCCAGCCAAACTAAGCTTCATAAGTGTGGAAGGAGAAATAAAATCCTTTAGAGACAAGCAAATGCTGAGAGATTTTTGTCACCACCAGGCCTGCCTTGCTCCTGAAGAAAGCACTAAATATGGAAAGGAAAAACCAGTACAAGCCACTGCAAAGACATACCAAATTGTAAAGACTATTGACACTATGAAGAAACTGCATCAACTAATGGGCAAAATAACCAGCTAGCATCATAAAGACTGCACTGTCTTTACTCCACACATAACAATCAACTCCATACATAACAATATTAACATTAAATGTTAAACATTTAATGTTAATCAACTCCACACGTAACAATATTAACATTAAATGTAAATGGGATAAGTGCCACAATCAACTCCACACATAACAATATTAACATTAAATGTAAATAGGCTAAGTGCCACAATGAAAAGACACAGCCTGGCAAATTGGATAAAGGGTCGAGACCCATCAGGGTGCTGTATTCAGGAGACCCCTCTTACGTGCAAAGACACACATAGGCTTAAAATAGAGGGATAGAGGAATATTTACCAAGCAAATGGAAGGCAAAAAAAAGCAGAGGTTGCAATCTTAGTCTCTGATAAAACAGACTTTAAACCAACAAAGATCAGAAAAGACAAAAAGGGCATTACATAATGGTAAAGGGATCAATGCAACAAAAAGAGCTAACTAGCCTAAATATATATGCACCAATATATATTTAGTGGGTGCACCAATACAGAAGCACCCAGATATGTAAAGCAAGTGCTTATAGACCACAAAGAGACTTAGACTCCCACACAATAATAGTGGGAGATTTTGACACCCCACTGTCAATAATTGACACATCAATGAGAAATAAAATTAACAAGGATATTCAGGACTTGAACTCAGCTCTAGACCAAGCAGACCTAACAGACATCTACAGAACTCTCCACCAAAAATTAAAATAATATATGTTCTTCTCAGCACCACATTGTACTTATTCTAAAATTGACCACATAATTCGAAGTAAAACACTCCTCAGCAAATGCAAAGAAAGGAAATCATAACAAACAGTCTCTCAGACCACAGTGCAATCAAATTAGAACTCAGGATTAAGAAACTCACTCAAAAGCGCACAACTACATGGAAACTGAACAACCTACTCCTGAATGACTACTGGGCAAATAACGAACTTAAGGTAGAAATAAATAAGTTCTTTGAAACCAATGAGAACAAAGACACAACTTACCAGAATCTCTGGGACACAGCCAAAGCAGTGTTTCAAGGGAAATTTATAGCACTAAATGCCCACAGGAGCAAGTGGGAAAGAACTAAAATTAACACTATAATATCACAATTAAAAAAACTAGAGAAGCAAGAGCAAACAAATTCAAAAGCTAGCAGAAGAAAAGAAATGAGATCAGAACAGAAATGAAGGAGATAGAGACAGAGAAAACCCTTCAAAAAAATCAGTGAATCCAGGAGCTTGTTTTTTGAAAAGATTAACAAAATAGACCACTAGCCAGAATAATAAAGAAGAAAAGAGAGAGGAATCAAATAGACACAATAAAAAATGATAAAGGGGATATCACCACTGATCCCACAGAAATACAAACTACCATCAGAGAATGCTATAAACATCTGTATGCAAATAAACTAGAAAATCTAGAAGTAATGGATAAATTCCTGAACACATACACCCTTCCAAGACGAAACCAGGATGAAGACAAATCCCTGAATAGACCAATAACAAGTTCTGAAACTGAGCCAGTAATTAATAGCCTACCAATCAAAATAATCTCAGAACCAGGATTCACAGCCAAATTCTAACAGAGGTAAAAGGAGGAGCTGATACCACTCCTTCTGAAGCTATTCCAAACAATAGAAAAAGAGGGAGTCCTCCCTCACTCATTTAATGAGACCAGCATCATTGTGATACCAAAACCTGGCAGAGAAACAACAAAAGAGTAAATTTCAGGCCAATATCCCTGATGAACCTTGATGCAAAATCCTCAATAAAACACTGGCAAACCAAATCCAGCAGCACATCAAAAAGCGTTTCCACCATGATAAAGTCAGACTCATCCCTGGGATGCAAGATTGGTTCAACATATGCAAATCAATAAGCATAATCCATCAGATAGACAGAACCAGTGGGAAAAAAACACATGATTTTCTCAACAGATAGATACAGAAAAGGCGTTTGATAAAATTCAACACACCTTCATAATAAAAATGATAAATAAACTAGGTATTGATGAAAGGTATTGCAAAATAATAAGAGCTATTTATGACAAACCCACAGCCAATATCACACTGAATGTGCAAAAGCTGGAAGCATTCCCTTTGAAAACCAGCACAAGACAAGGATGTCCTCTCTCACCACTCCTATTCAACATAGCATTGGAAGTTCTGATCAGAGCATTCAGGCAAAAGAAAGAAAGAAAGCATGATCAAATAGGAAGAGAGGAAGTCAAATTGTCTCTGTTTGCAGATGACATGATTGTATACCTAGAAAACCCCATCATCTCAGCCCAAAATCTCCTTAAGCTGATAAGCAACTTCAGCAAAGTCTCAGGATAAAAAATCAATGTGCAAAAATCACAAGCATTCCTATACACTAATAATAGACAAACAGAGAGCCAAATCATGAGTGAACTCCCATTCACAATTGCTACAAAGAGAATAAAATACCTAGGAATAAAAGTTACAAGGGATTTGAAGAACCTCTTCAAGGAGAAGTACAAACCACAGCTCAAGGAAATAAGAGAGGACAGAAACAAATGGCAGAACATTCCATGCTCATGGATAGGAAGAGTCAATTTCATGAAAATGGCCATACTGTCCAAAGTAGTTTATAGATTCAGTGCTATCCTCATCAAGCTACCATTGACTTTCTTCACAGAATTAGAAAAAACTACTTTAAATTTCATATGAAACCAAAGAAGTGCCCATATAGCCAAGACAATCTTAAGCAAAAAGAACAAAGCTGGAGGCATCACACTACCTGACTTCAAACTATACTACAAAGTTACCGTAATGAAAGCAGCATGGTACTGATATCAATACAGACATATAGACCAATGGAACAGATCAGAGGCCTCAGAAATAACACCACACATCTACGACCATCTGATCTTTGACAAACCTGACAAAAACAAGCAATGGGGAAAGGACTCCCTATTTAATAAATGGTTTTGGGAAAACTGGCTAGCCATATGCAGAAAACTGAAACTGGACACCTTCCTTACACCTTATACAAAAATTTACTCAAGGTGGATTAAAGACTTAAACATAAGACCTAAAACCATAAAAACCCTGGAAGAAAACCTAGGCAATACCATTCAGGACATAGGCATGGGCAAGGACTTCATGTCTAAAACACCAAAAGCAATGGTAACAAAAGCCAAAAGTGACAAATGGGATCTAATCAAACTAAAGAGCTTCTGCATAGCAAAAGAAACTATCATCAGAGTGAACAGGCAACCTACAGTATGGGAGAAAATTTTTGCAACCTATCCATCTGACAAAGGGCTGATATCCTGAAACTACAAGAAACTTAAACAAAGGGCTAATACCCTGAATCTTCAAGGAACTTAAACAAATTTACAAGAAAAAAACAATCCCATCAAAAAGTAGGCAAAGGATATGAACAGACATTTCTCAAAAGAAGACATTTATGCAGCCAACAAACATACAAAAAAAAGCTCATCATCATTGGTCATTAGAGAAATGCAAATCAAAACCACAGTGAGATACCATCTCACACCAATTAGAATGGCGTTATATCATTAAAAAGTTATAAAGCAATAGATGCTGGAGAGGATATGGAGAAATAAGAATGCTGTCACACTGTTGGTGGGAGTGCAAATTAGTTCAACCTTTGTGGAAGACAATGTGGAGATTCCTCAAGGGTCTAGAACCAGAAATACTGTTTGACCCAGCAATCCCATTACTGGGTATATACACAAAGGATTATAAATCATTCTTCTATAAAGACACATGCACACGTATGTTTATTGTAGCACTATTCACAATAACGAAGACTTGGAACTAACCCAAATGCCCATCAATAATAGACTGGATAAGGAAAATGTGGAACATATACACCATGGACTACTATGCAGCCATAAAAAGGGAGGAGTTCATATCCTTTGTAGGGACATGGATGAAGCTGGAAACCATCATTCTCAGCAAACTAACACAGGAACAGAAAACCAAGCACTGCATATTCTCACTCCTAAGTGGGGTTGAACAATGAGAACACAGGGACACAGGGAGGGGAACATCACACACTGGGGCCTGTCAGGGGATGTGGGGCTAGGGGAGGGATAGCATTAGGAGAAATACCTACTGTAGATGAATGGTTGATGGGTGCAGCAAACCACCACGGCACATGTATACCTATGTAACAAACCTGCACGTTCTGCACATGTATCCCAGAACTTAAAGTATATTTAAAAAAAAAAAAACACAAGAATACCCTAGTTTCATAGGAGTTAACATTTCCAAATGAAACATTAATGGAATTTCTCAGACCAGCGATATTATAAAGCCCTAGAGAAATTTTGTAGACATTCAAGTCTCCCCAAGATGATTGCATCATGTTTCAGAGATAACTTGGATTTATAAATTACTTTTACAGGTTAACGAGGTTGTCCACAATTTTTAGAGAATTAGAATTACTTAATGTGAGAAATACAGAAAGCAGAACATGTTTTATTTTAGCAATCTGAGACAGACTTTCAAAGTTAAAATTAACTTGCATTAAACATTCTCGTACCATTAGAATACAAAATTGATTGAAGAACTACAAATTAGGAGTAATACTAAAAATGCTATTTTATTTTGAAGAAATTTGTAACCAAGTTAGGAAGGGATTGATGTTAACTATAGTCATATTTAATATCTACATCAATCACCTGGAAAGGGAGTAAACAATATGTTAATGAAATTTGCAGATGATACTGAATTGAAGGGTGCTGTTAGCATGCATTATGACAAGGTAGATAAATGATTTTGAAGGATTATATGTAAGTAAAAATGACCTTATACTTGAAAAATCAGGCTAGTACAATTGGTAAAAATAATTTTTTAAAATTCACTCAGTGGAAGCAAAAGCAAGTCATGTATAATGGACAGAAAGAATGTACCATCCATTTACGGCAGATTTGACTTTACTAGCAATGTAATGGAGTCAAAAATGAAAACGGTATTTGAGAACTGGACATGTTAAATATTCACTTAACAATGACAGTAAAATACTGTTTATATAATTCTGATGGGACAACTATTTGAATATTAAAAATAATTTGGTATTTACCAATGTACCCAAATATAGGAAAATTAGATTTAATATAACTGAGATGAGATGGGCAATAAAAATGATTAAAGAGTTAGCCTGATGAACTTATAAGAAAAAAATTAAAATAATTCATCTTGTCTGCAAACCTAAGCAAAGGAAACACAAAGAACCATATGTAATAACTTTCTTCACTAAGGCATTCTACAGCAAAACTCAGTTCATTCAAAGTAAAAGGCATTCTTTGAATAATCCAGATTAAGATTATTTGGTAATTTTCATTAAAACAATAGTAACAATGATGTTTCTGATGGAAGGCTAAATAAACAATTGTATACAATTATCTACTATGTGATCATTTGTATATTCCAGGGGTCATGCGAGAAAAGAAAGTGATGAGAATCAGCTACAATAGCAATAACTGCTGAAGAGTCAAACAGTTGTTCAAAAGGCGTCTTGACTATACTATGTTAGCAATGAGAGCAGATGGAGGTTCCCCCTAATTGGCTTTTAGATAAGGCTACAAAATCATTGTAGTTGGATTTGTCCTTCTGCCTAAAGACCAAAGGAAATAATAGCATTTTGTTTTTCTATTTCTTCATTCTTCAAAAAACTTTTATGCTTATTTTACTTATTAATTGTCCCAAAAAGTAGTATCTTTTTGGCCAAGTATTTATTTATTTATTGGTGTGCTTTTGTTTCATTTCGTTTTAGTGCTGGGAAAGTGAGACATCAGATGGTTTCAAACAAGTGTGTACAATATTTATATAAACAAGAATTTTGTCACTCACACACTCAAAGACACATACATAGACACACACATACTGCTTATTACCCTTCACAGGGATAATTAAATTTAACAACAGTCAAAAAATGGGTTCTTCAACCCAGCAATCCTATTAATGGGTATATATTAAAAAAAATCATTCTACCAAAAAGACACATGCATTCGTATGTTCATAGCTGTGCTATTTACACAAGCAAAGACATGAAATCATCCCATTGGATAAAGCAACTGTGGATATATACACCATGAAATACTATGTAGCCATAAAAAGAATGAAATAATGTCTTGCAGCAACATGTATAGAGCTGGAGGCCATAATCCTAAGCAAATTAACACAGGAACAGAAAACCAAATACTACCTGTTATCACTAATAAGTGGGAACTAAGCACTGAGCACACATGGACATAAATATGAGAACAATAGATGCTAGATGCTGTGGCTTACTAGAGGGTGGGAGTGGGTGGGTTAAAACACTACCTATCAGTTACCATGCTCACTACTAGGGTAACAGGATCTGTGCTCCAAACCTCAGCATCACTCAATATTCCCATGTAACAAATCTGCACATGTATACCCTGTATCTAAACTAATAGTTGAAATTTAAAAAAAAAAAGGGTTCTTATCTAAATGTTGAGCAATGGGTCTTTGCCAATTTATGTCTGGGTCAAAAGTAGGGTGACCAGTAAAGGCAACAGTTCCAACAAGTCATTATATGGAATATTTCTGCCACATTTATTCTTCATCGTCCATTTCTGACACTGGCTGATTTGCTCATGAATTGTTGATAGACAGAGAAGTACACATAGTAACTCTAGAGTAAAATGAAACTGAAAGTTTGGCCAGCTGTTGAACACCATATAATTGTCTTATAAAGCAGTATTATTGTGTTTTAAAATATTTAGAAGGAAGAAAAGGAAACATTCCATTAAAAAACTAGTTTAGAGGGATCCAAAACACTGCTGAGTTAGTTACCATATAACTTTTCATATTTTATGAGTTTAGGGCTAAATTCAATGACTTGCAAGGTTTTCATGATGTGTGCCCTTCAAATCTTTATAGTGTCATCTCCAGCCACTCTCAACACACACGCGCACACATGCAGACACACATACCATGATTTATCCAAACCAACAAAAACTTGGTATTTTCCACATATGTTATGCACATGTTGTCTCTATTTAGAATGCATTTCTTCCCTTCATCTGTCTAGAAAATGATTATCTTTCAAGGTCCAGTTCAAATGCCACCTTTTATGCCAAGCCTCACAATATCTTTCCTCAACCACCTTCCCTCTTCAGACAGAATCAGTCACAATTCCTTTGCGTCCCTACAGTACTTATGTACAACATCACAGTGATAACAAAAGCAACAACAACTACCACTATTTCAATTATAAGCATCATTTATTAAATATCTAATATGCCAGGCACTGTGGTAGGTATTTTCTATACAGTCTTTATTATCTTTACAATAACACCTGAACATATGTATTGTTCTCCCCATGAATAACTTAAGGTCCAGAAAAATTGAAAAGTATATTAAAAGTCCTATGACAGTCAACATAATCCCACTTACTCTACTCATTGCAAATCTTTACTCTTTTCATGTGGTCATTTTCCTTTTCTGTATGTCTCAATTCTTGCTCTGATAATTGTACTCAGTAATTTTTTATTTATGAGAAGGCAGTATGTCATCTTCACAAGACAGGCCCTGTGGCCACATTGTGTGGTTTAGAATTCTGGGTTCCAACTCTTATTAGTTGAGTGATCCTGAGTAATTTATTTAGCCCCTCTGTGCATGAGTTTCTTCATCTATAAAGTGAGGATAAGACTCGTACCTTATGGGGTAGCTTTGAGGATTAAATGAGGTAATATATATAGCTAATATATATAGCAAGTATAATAGCATCTGCCTTGCTATAAGTGCTCCATATCTGTTAGCTATGATTATTGGTTTATGCATGCCTTTCTCCCATCTAGACTGTGAACTCCTCAAAGGCAGGAATCATATCTCATTCATCTTTTCATCTCCTCCACCTAGAACAGCATCTTGCAAATACCAGGAACTTGCAATGTAGAATTACAAAAGTAGATTTATGCCAATGGTGAGTTAGTATATTGGGGGTGGTGCAGAAGGGCAGGGAGGGTAAGAGTTATGTATATGACACCAATATATGATTGCCGTGAGTCACTTTTTCCTGACAGGGGAAAAAAGAAAGAACCCATCAGTTGTGTGGACTCCAGCAATCCATCATTGCACTCTTCCAGCTGGGAAGCTACGATATATGCTGCAGAACCAATTTCCCCTTGCAAAAGGGACTGAACAGATAGTGAAACTCTCAAGCGCTAAGAAGGTATGCTAAGGTGTCAGGAGTTTCTCACCCGCAGCTGCTACTGATCCCCTGCCCCAGTTAGCTTGGAGCCGCCAATTCTGCTTCTTCATGCTGTTCCCAGACCTGCAATCGAAAATTGGTTTCTGCTATATGCAATGATTAAAAAAAAATCCCACCAGAAGAGATCTGCTCCAGTGATTAAGGTCAATGGACACTATCATGAGCTCTGCTCTCTTGCTTGCTATTGTTCTGATCTTTTTTGTTCTTCTATATGCCCTGATTTCTGGCTACTGTCCAAAATTTCAAATTGCCTTTACCTTCAGTCCACCCAAACTGCCCCGTACTCTTAATTCCTTCTGCCCTGTTATCTGCTCTCTTGCCTTGTGGCTGAATCCTGAACACATTGACACAAGATATTCATCTTTGTCTTGTTTTATGCTTGATGGAATTTCCTAATCCTAACCCTATGTCCAGGTCAGCAACACTGGTGACTGGCCTAGCTGTAAAGAAACAACATTGTACCTCTTCTCAAGTTATGGACCTCTTACACACAAATGTCTTATAAAAGAAGGTGTGTTAAATAATAGACAACAGTTCCAGGCATGGGAATCAGAGTGAGCCAGACCTGATCCATAGCCTCAACTCTATCATGCCCACCTCTGTGCTCTTGGACAAGTTACTTACCTGAATAAACCTCAGTTTCTTCATTTGGATAAAGAGGCACCTAATGATTCTTACTTTGTAGAAATGTTATTTTGATTATTTAGCTAACTAATGCATGAAGTCAGTTAGTAATTAATATTGTTATTATTAAAAATGCATTCCAAATTACTGGTTCAGAGATGAATCATAGCTAAACATAAGACTCAAAATGTTAAGTCATCATATTATCAAAGTATCTTATTTTAGACCTAGAAATGATCTTAAATATCCAATCATTTTCTTTAAGACGGGAGGAAATTGTGAACCAGAGAGCAAGATTCAGAATTTTGTCATAATAAATTAAAGTTCCCATTTCCATATCTCAAATGCAGATTTTTGTCCTAGACTTAACAATTGCAATTTGAAGGGCTTCATTCAATTAATTCCCATCTCCATCCACCCATCCGTCCATCCACCCATCCACTCCTTCAAAAAATATTTATTGTAGAGTACCTGCTGTGTTTCAGTCTCCCTCCTGAGTCCTGGGAATTTGCAAAATAGTCATAGTCTCTATCTTCATGGTACTTTAATTCTACTTCCTTCTGTTGTTTTTTATGTCACTCTAAGTTTTTGCTTCTGTTATTAGAAAATGAATTAATGTCCCTCTGCATATAAAAAGTAGTCCTTTTAGAGAGATGTAAGCAGCAGCCAGATTTGGAGGAAAGAAAGTTATCATTGGTAGAAGTGGATCTCATAAACTGTTTTTATCAAAATGTCGCTTAGAAGCCTTTAGGTAAACACATTCTTCATGTAAACTTAGGGAACCGACTTTTTTTTTTAAATCTGTTTATCCTCTCCTGCTTTTGGATTTCTCACTCTCCCGTTATTACAGTTAAGTATGCACTAGAACCTTGAGCACATGTACACACCTGAAAAAATTGTGTATATTTTAATGGATTTTAAATGACACAAGAGCAGTCGCTGTGTTTTATACCATTTTGGGAATCTTAGTACTTGATAGGTGCTCAATAAATGTATTGTTAATAACAATAAAATGTCAATGAATAATTTAAAACTCTTCTGGAAATGGTTAATTAATAATATTGTTAACAGCTGAAACTGTCGGCTTTTTGCATATTACCTTTGCTTTTCTCTGAGCTAAGTGTTGCTTTTGGATTAGTTAGCAGGTGGGGTAAGTACTGCCTGATTGGCAGTTGATAGTAATCAATGAAATTAAAGGGAAGTTGTCCCTCTCATCATTTATATCTCAAAGTGCTCCATTTATGACAATGCTAAACTCACCCAGAGAGCTTTTTGACATGTTAAAAACTCTAGCTATTTGGAAACTCAAAATATTCAAGGTATAGTAAATGAGAAGATACATGGAAATTTTAGCTATGTGGAAGCCATTAAGGAGAGAACTGCTGAAGTGTTGGAAAAAGTCAACCAGCCTGAGTAACTCCTGAAGAGCCTGGCTTGATATGGTGCTGGGTGATCAGTGCTGCCCATAATGGAGACTCTGGTCTAGAATATAACACAACTACATTTCCTAACATTGACAAAGCACTTCATCTAATCCTCCCCATAATGCTGGGAAATCAAACATATTTCAAACTCAGTGAAATATTTCAGCAGTATTAACAAACAAACTAAACCTTGGAAAAGTTGAGTATAACTGCTTAACATTACTTGATCAATAGCCAGTAACGTTTAAGTGAAGACTTATTTTTAAACCATGTTTTTTGACCAAAAGTCCAGTTCTATTTTTATGAAATCACAAATGCATCAGTGCATGTGATGAATTCCTTCTCAGCATGGGATACATTGCCTCCCAAAAATTGGTTTATAATTTAAACAGAAAGGGAAATCTAACACACAAAAAATGAAAGAATAATAAGTGATTGTTATAAAAATAAGTGTTATCTAGAGTGGTAAGATAACTCTTTATGGAAGAGAAAGATCTTGAAATGTGCCTTCAGGCATAGAGAGAATTTCAACTAAGTAAAGAGCGAAGGGAATGACACTCACCCTGAAGGTTCGGCAAAAGCCAATGCGTGTATACCTGGGGCTGCCATTTAGAGAATCCATAAGGCATCCATTAGATGGACTGTGAAACCATTCCCCCCAACTCCCCCAAAAAAGACAAGTAAAAAGCAAGAGAATGTGTTTTTACCTTTAGCTTTAAGAACTAACAATAACATTATTTTGATATTTTTTGACACAAGGTCTTAAAGGTTGTTTGAATGACTGATATTAGACTCAGGGATCCTAGCATAACAAAAGCTAGTTTATTAGACAAAGAATTGGGAGTTCTTAAATGCTTTTTCTAGGTTCTCTCATTTCTCACTGGGAATAATTCATTTATCAATGCCACAAACAAATAAAGAAACAAATAATCCACAGTTGTTCTTGGTTTTGCAAAGAAGAATCAATTTGTATACCAGATGCTCCTCTTAAAACACAGCAGAGTATTTAGGCACCAGGTTTTCTTCCTGCCTTCATACCTTCTCAACTTCATCTTTCCAGAAAAATCCATCAAATAGTTCAAGCCAAAAATGTTGGCATTATTCTTGACTTTTCTTTTCTTATAGTCCACATCCAATACCTCAATGGGTCCTGTTGTCCCTACCTTCAAAATGTATGCAGGATCAGACTACTGGTCACCACCACTGCTACCACCTTAGCCCATTTAGTCTGTATTAATTCAATCATTTCTTAACCACTTACCCTGCTCTGTCCTTTCCTCTTTTTTCCGTTCTCAACAAAGCAGCCAAAGTCATTTTGTCTAAAGGGAAATTAGTTCATTTCACTCATAAACTAAAAACCCATTAATTGCTTCCTATTTCATTCGGAATGAATGTCTAATTACTTACAAAGACCAATAGATTTCTACATGACCTGCCCCTCATTACCACTGCAACCTCATTTCTTACCACTTGCTCACTCCATTGCTATACTTTCAATACAACTTTGTACCTGCTACAAAGTTGTCTAGTATCTTCTACCTGGAGTTCTCATCCCCTAAAATCTATATGTCTCACTCTCTCACCGTTTTTGGGTCTTTACTAGAATATCTTCTCAGTGAGAACTTACTAGTAATGCTATCTAAACTTGTAATCTACCACATACACCTTCTATCTTCTTTATGCTTTTTTCCCTTCTTTTCACACACTACTATCTAATATACTACATAGTTTGTTTATTACTTATTATTCTGACCCCAAGATGAGAATGTAAAGCACTATGAGAGTAGAATGTATTTTTTATTCACTATTTTTTCTAGTACCTAGAACTCTACCTGGAACGTAAAAAACACTATAAATATTTGTCCAAAAAGTAAGTCAATAACTTTTTAAGAGGGTATGGTAGATTAATCAGGTTTATATCCCACTCACTTAACCTCCTGGTTTCACTCTATGGCAGGTTATGTTTTCCAAAGATGATAGCACCAATATCTCCTAAATCACATGTCTTATTATAATATAACATTTTTACTTCCCCATCAAGAGGCAGAGTGGGCTCATAACTGTTTCAGCTAATAGGGTCAAGATAAAACCAATGACCTCACAATATAACCCTTTGTTCACACCTCAGAAAGATTAACAATGATGCTTCATAAACCCTTTCACACAGATGAAAGTTTTTCTAAGTACACAAGGCCATGCCTCCCAAAACTTCTCTGTTAAATATTAGGTCTCCTTAGACTCTTGAGTGCGTTGTTCCATAGCAGCCTGACAGGGGTCCTCTTTAGTTCACAGATCCTCAGAATTAGAGAAAACTAGAGAAACTTTAAGAGTCTAACGCAACGAATCATATTCAAGGAGCCTCATCCACACCTGGACCTGATTTAAATAATGAACTGTTGGTCTTTAAGTTGACATCCTAATAGAGGTTTTGGGGGGTGAGGTGAATGTATTTTGCATATAGAAGGAATGTAAATTGGTGAGGCTAAAATGCAGATTACAGCAGACTGTATTTTTTTAAAATGACTGCAACAATATCTCCTGCCGCACATAATTTTCTCCAACATGGTTTTGACATTCTGTTGAAATGGAGGCTGATTCTTCTCCTTTTCAATCTAGCTTCTATTGCCTTGATTAATTAAATATGATGGAATTGCTGCTGTATGACTTCTAAAGATATGTTATAAAAGGCAATTCAGCTTCCGTCTTGGAGTCCTGGGCTTGGAGCCCTGAACTACCACATAAGAAGTCTGAGTCCCTTGTGTCCACTATACTATGTGGAAGCCAAACTACATGGAGAGGCCACATGGAGGCTACCCAATCAACACTACTCATCTTTGAATCTCCACAGCCCAGGTCCCAGGCCTGTGAATGAATGAGCCTTCAGATGATTCTAGCCTCCAGCTGCCAAGCTACTCCTAAGCTTCAAGTCTTCCTGAAACCAGTAAAGGACAGCCACTGCATTTTTGTCTAAATTCCTGACCCCCAGAATCTGTGAGAAACATAAATTGTTTTTAGCCATTATGTTTTGGAATATGTTATTATTCACAATAGTAACTGGAACAAATCTCCTTGTAATATATTTTGCAGCTCCTTCCAACAATAAGTGGAGTCCATCGTCCACCCCTTAAATCTAGGCCAAGAATGAGACAGAAGTGAAGGTGTGCCTGTTCTGAGCCTAGGCCTGAAGAGGCCTTGTGCACTTCTGCTCTTGCCTCCTCCTTGAGCTTGGGCTAGGCTGATGGAGAATTATTGACCTACACATGCTTATCGCTAATTAGTCATGTGAAAGAGATCTGCCTGGATTATCAGAGGTACCTACTTAATCTGCAGCTGACCACAGGTGTATGACTGAGTGAGCCCATCTAAGACCCCACACACCCAAAACACTCAGATGACTTACAGATTCATGCAAAATAATAAATGCTTATTGTTTTAAGCCACTGAGATTTTCTTGGGGGAAGGGGGCTGGATGAGGAGGATTATTACATAACAATAGCTAAATGATACAAGGGGAGAAAGATCTCCCAGGTAACAGAACTCTTGCATATTTTGAGTGGAAAAAGCTATGGTTGGAATGTTGGAAATAAGAATCACTGTTTATTTGTGGTCAACCAGTTATTTTCAATTTTCTCATATCTATGCTTCCACGCTCATGGTATATAAGTCAAGAGGACATGCAGGAGAGACCATTTTCTCTGTTATTCATGAATGGAATAAAATAATCTTCTCCTTCTCTCTCTACCATTCTAATTCTTACATCAAATCCAATGAACATACTTTGATTTTATAACAGCTCACTTCCTCTGTAGAATTAGACTTAACACACATAATGACATAGCTTCATGAACAGCATTACCCTACTCCTAAGCCTAGATAGAGAAAAAAAAGAATAACTTTTAAAGTGTAGCTCAGAATTCAAATTTTATCAAAGCCAAATTGGAATATGGAAAAGATTTTTTAAAATTCTAAATTTAGGTGCAATGGTTTTCATGTGTGTTTGGAATCTGGCAACCCAGCTCTTCTCTTCCTACTTTAGAAAGGTTGCATATAAGAGGGAGAAGGAAGTTTTGTATAGTTGTAGATGAATCCTTTATGGCACCCCTCAAATAATTATCAAATAAGAATACGTGAATGTTTATATCATCCAAATATCAGTAAAAAGTAAAATATATCCTTTATAAGAACATCTATTTTAAAATTAAGATGCGTTGTTTTCCTCGAAAGGCCAAACCTGAAATTTTATACATAGAAATAATCAGTAGTTTCCTAATGTAGGAAGATGGCCTTTACAGACCACAAACTTTCTAACCTTAAAATATGAATGATACAAGAAAGAAAATTAAGTGTGTAAACTTTTTGACATAATGAACATAAGAATAATGCAAAATAAAGACAGTAATTCACCGAGAAAATGAACACTCAGAATTTGAAATTGCCCTTTTGATTTTTGTAAAGATGATATTTTAATGAAGATTTTATAAGAATTGAAGTAACCTGCAATCAAATTGCATTCCTTGTTGCTACAAACACTATAGCTGGTTAACTATACTCAACTGATTTCCAACACTTCACTGAACATAGAGCATGAGGTTGGGAAGGAATTTATAATCTAGTATAGATGACTCATGTTTTCTGCTTCTATTTTTTGAGCTCATGCCTTCTGGAGGACAAGGGTAGATTAGGCGTAGAAAGCAATGGTAGTTTTGTCGAATTCGTTTTGTTGAATGTCACATAGAGGAGATATTTGGTCTGGAACATGGGGTTAAAGGACTGCATCCATTGTTTGTTTTAGTCATGAAAGTATGTGAGATTGCTCTAAAAGGCAGCAGAGAGTAAGAAGACAAAAGGAACTATAAGGAATTCCAATGTTTTAAAGGAATTAAAGAGGAAGGACACAAAGGAGATGACAGAGAATGTAATAAGGATGAATTTGTCAAAGGAGGTGAATACCAGAGAGGCTAATAGGATGAGGTATGACACAAGAAGTCCATCGAACTTGACAACTAAGACACCTTCCTAAATAAGGACATTAGCAAGGATAGCTCTGGTGGGATGGTGGGGGTGGTAGTCAATTTTCAGAGGTCCAAGATGTGAATATAATTTAGGAAACATAGTCATGGATATAGCAACATTGTTAGGAATGATTGTATGGGAAGGGAAAGGAAGAGTCAGTGTAGGAAAGATCAAGGGCAATAGTGAAAGAAAAATGAGGGACCAGTTGAAGAACTGGAAAATCTAAACCAGTTATTAGAATTTCTGTCTACCTTGTTCTTAGTGCAGATATATCAACTTGCATCCATGGCCTCATCCAAGTCACTGGTAAACATGTCCATCAAGATGGAGACAATAAAAGGATCCTTGAAACATACCACTGCAATTCTCTTCCCAGAGGTTCCCTATCACTAGTTAAAACATCTTTGCATGTCTTATTTCAACACTTTTTTTTTGCTCTCTGAAATTTTCTCAGTCTAACTGGGTGACCTATAGTACATTTATATCTATGTCTCCTTTGTCCTTCATTTAAATTCCCCCTCCCCGTGGGCTTCTCCACAGTTATGGAGCTCCATGGCATTCTGTGCTACTATGCTTTTTTTTCCCCCCTATCTTTATCTTTTAAACCAAGAATCATTTTACTTCCACTTTTCACATATGGCCTCACAAAAGTTCAGTTCTGTTGGGAGGGCTCATTTAGTTTCTTAGTTTAAAATCTCAAGTTAACTAAGTTTACTTGATATACCAGACAGTTATAGATGAGGCTGCAAGTTTTGCTTGTCACACCATTCCCAGTATATTTTCCTGTGAATTAGAATTCACCTTCACCACTGATAGTCCTTCCTCTATGCTGCAGCAGATAAATGACAGTATATGTAGATATTACATTTGGAAATTTTTCTCTTTTTTTCTCGGATTAGAATTTTCCTCTTCTCTCTCTTGTAACTTTTAAAAAATCACTTGAGTTCTCAGACTGTATCATTAAGAGATTAATTAATTCTGATTCTTTACTTAATTGTGAAAATGGGTGATATTTCTCACAGGCAATGGGACATGGAACAGGAGGAGGAACAGCAGGCAAGAACCTGGGAGCAGTTCTACAGAGCAGGAGGAGGTAGGAGAGAATCAGTGTTTACAATTTCTCCACGGTTACCTGACTAAATCAGTGTTCTCTTGAGCCCTGTACTCACTGTGAAAATATTTTTCTGGAACTGGCTTATCAAGTGCAAGTTATCAAAACCTAGTTGCAACTTATCAGTTCTGAGGCCGTCAATAACAGGACCCTTATCCTCATTATTTCAATAAAGTTTACAATTACTCCCCTTACCTCATTCCCAAAGCTGGCTTCTTCATAGTGTTCTATTGAAATATCTAATTTGACTAAAGACTTGCCATAAGATTCCTTGACCTTCCAACTTATTTGCTTCTTTTTATAAAACTCAGTAGTGCTTACAGAATTTTTGTTATAATTATTTTTATTTTCTTTTTTCATACAATTAGAATGACAAATATTTTTCTGGATTTGTTTTATTGAGCACTGGAGTGACATCATTTTAACAGAAGCCTCTGAGAAGTATAATTGTGTTTGAGTTAAACTAGGAAAGTTGTCTGTATTGACTGAAAGAAGGAACTTGAAAAAGGCTAAAGTTTGGAAAGACTTCTGAATAATTAAAAGGAATGAATGCTAAGCCAAGTACCATATTCTTACTTGTACAGTCTATAGAAATTGAGAGTGGGAAACAGATGGAAGTTGAGGTATAGACTCAATATCACTGGGATGTCAGATCAGAAATTATTTTTGGAAGTGTAAAAGGAGCTTTGTGTGTAGGAGGAGCTAAAGAGCTGGGATACAAATCCTGGGAGGTACTAGACAAAGAGTGAAAAATTATGTCTTGAGTGGTAAGTAGGGCTTACCTGCTTTGTGAAAGAGCTATATGATATTTTCCTAAGTACTGATTACACATATCAAATCCTGTATATTTTGCATTTTTAAATTTGAGCACAAACCCCAATGATTTATAACTATTTTCTAGCAAGAACAGGGAGTTTTATATGATTTTTATTTTCAGTCATGCCTTTCCTTCCTTCCACCCTGGTGTTCTAGAGGTATCACATTTATCTAGATATAATTCTCATGTGGATTATAAGATTCTAGAGATCACGAAATAGATGGAACAGCTAAATGGGTAAGGCAAAGTAATGAAAGGATTTACCAAACTTAAGGACTAGTCTAAGATTGAATGAAAGAAAAGCTGCTATGTGTGCATGCTTGACAGGACTAGTAGGGCTCATTCAATCTTGGGGAGGAACAAAGGGCTGGCAGGTGAAAGAGAGAAGCAAACATTGTCAGACCAGGTGTCCAGCATTAAAGCTCGGTTGTACAGAGGATCCCAGATGGCTTAAAAGAAAGGTGCGAATGAAACGACCCAGAGAAGTCAGGAAACAGGAAAGGAAGGCAATAAGCTACGTTTAGGGTACTTGCAATTAGAAGGATTTCAATTGCTTGGCAGTTGTTTGAGTGATAATGAATGTTTGACTCATTCTTGAATAGTGGATAGATTTATTTATTTTTGAAGAAGTATTTTCCAGCCTCTTTCACCTCTGTTTCTCCCCAACCCCTCCCAATTGTTTTCATTTTAAAGGAGCAAAAATATATTTAAGAACTTCTAAAACTAGAATGAAAAGCAGGAATTTAATTAATTATATGCTAGATAATCATATGTATTACCAAAATATGAGAATCTAAGATAATATTAAAAATAAGTTGTCCATATTAAAATATATATAATCTGTGTATTATAGTGTATATGTTACTTAATATATATGATCATATACTGTGTATATTATATATGCACATGTAGTATATATGTGTAATATATACAGTATGTATTAGAAACTTCATATTACATACAGTATATATTACAAGTGTACACATGTACATATATGCATGTCCAATGTACACTTATAATATATACTGTATATATTATACATATATACTATACATGTATATGCATAGTATATATGTACACTATACAAGTAGATATATATTTACTTTTTAATATATACTCTATATAAAATATATTGATGAGCTGCATTAGTTTTATAGTGGAACACTGGAGTGATTTCTCTTTTTGGAAAATGTAAACATTCTCAATAATATCTAGTATATCGATATATGTATATATGTGCATATCAGTTACAAATATTTTAATACATGTGAATTTGAATTTTGCTTAACAAACAATATTTTCCATGATTTTCATAAGTTATCATACCATAATTTTATGTAAGTTTTCATATAATGATGAGAATAAGATAATTTCAAAAAATGTTTAAATATACATTTAGTGAACATAATACTAATTTTCCCAAGCAATGTTTTCTTATGTCTTGTGTTTTTTTGCATTCTGATTGAGATAAATGCCAGTCAGTGGCAAGATAAAAAAAAGATATAAGTTAGCTTTAATAATGTTCAAAACTAATTCAGGCATCATATAGCTATTTACTTTGTATATTTGAGAAGCTGAAGAATAGATTCCTAATCTTGAACCACACAGACATTGTTACCAGACATAAACTATTAAAGCTGTAAAAGAAAGGCAAGGTCATATATCTCAACAATGCTAATATGAATATGTAGTTCAGTATTTATCTTATATAGTCAGAAATTATCACAAAGTTCTAACTGTATTTCAAATGATTTGGGGGAGACAATTTTTCATGGGTACCTTGTGTTTCTGCACATCTTAAGAGTGAAGTACTAACTTTCCTTTGTTCTCAGCTGTCTTTTAAAGATTATTATATAGCAAATATCCTTGGAAGATAGAGATAGTGTTTTCCTCCAGAGCAAAGGGGAGGCATCACATCTGTCCATAAGAGAGGATTCATAAGTTCAGAGTTCTTCTTTTGTAATGTAATGCATTGAGTGTGAGGTTGTCACCTGGCCCCTTTAGCATGAGTCTGTGGAAAATGGAGCTTAAAAAACCAACACAAGTAAATGCAAAAAGTGCAAGTAAAATACCCTGAAAGTAAAGAACCCTTTTACTGCAATACTATTTAGTCATAATGGGTATATTGTAGTAATCAAATGGCAAGTGTATCAACTTTCATGTGGTACAAAACTTACACACTTGTTACAATATAATGTGTCCTAATTTTTATTACCTTAAAAATGTGTACACCATATATATATAGAAAATGTTCTAATTTTTAGCAATGCTATAAAGTATTTAATATGAAAATCTCCTAAAAATATATATATTTGGGGGATTTATAGTGTAGTGCCTATCAAATTTAAAATATTTTGTATTTAAATTATGAAGAAACTACTTTATATCAGGTGACAATTCAAAGCATGTGAATTATAACATATTTAAAGTATTACAGAATCTTCAAGTAGAAGTAATACAAGAGGTATCTAATGAAATAGAAAAAAATATATATATGGGCCTATTCTCTTTCAACAATTACCTCCTTCCTTTTTTTTTGTTTTGTTTTTTTTTTGGTCAACATACATTTCTTGCACTAGTTGTTATTCTTTTCGCCTACTAACAAATGCTCCCTTAAAAAAATTAGTTGTAATTTTATTGAAAATCTGTGTTTTATATGGGCTTTCTGAAGAAAAATAAGTTCTTTAAGGGCCTGTATAATCATGCCAGTGTGGTGAGATTCCAGGTGGATAGTATGAAACCTATCAGC